>NC_000004.12:142671381-143296381 GCF_000001405.40 Homo sapiens | reverse complement strand
AGGTTTTCTTGGTGCTATTTTAGTCCTAGGTAGAAGATTATTCATGGAAATATTAAATCTTTTTATTTAGAAGAAACTGCAGCAGCAAAAAGGTTAATCAAATCAAAACCTGGTAATGTTAGATCACACTTCGGCAAACTTTCACTTTTTCTTTCTATTTTTTTTTTTTTTTTGAAGACAGAATCTCACTCTGTCACCCAGGCTGGAGTGCAATGGCACGATCTCGGCTCACTACAATCTCTGCCTCCTGGGTTCAAGTGATTCTTCTGTCTCAGCCTCCCGAGGAGATGGGACTACAGGCGCGCACCACCACGCCCGGCTAATTTTTTGTATTTTAGTAGAGACGAGGTTTCATCATGTTGCCCAGGCTGGTCTCGAACTCCTGAGCTCAGGCAATCTGCCTGCCTCAGCCTCCCAAAGTGCTAGGATTTCAGGCATGAGCCATCACGCCCGGCCTTGGCAAACTTTCATATGGGGGACACCAAGTCCATGACTGCTCCCTGACTGATTGAGAGATAAGAGTGAAACATGATAAAATCAGAAAGAAATACATCTAGAAAAACCTTCCAGTTCATGACAATTTTCAGTGTTCAAAATTCATTAAGAACTCTTCCTTTAAAATACAGATATCTCTGAATAGTTGAATCCATTTGTCATTCAAGTGGTGCAAATTATTTTACTCAGATAGCATTTTACACTCATTTCACAAATTGAGCCCAGGTATATGGAAGCATTGGAAGTACTGAAAAGAGGTTGGTGGTGAGCGTGGAAGGGTTAATTTTTAAGCAAGAGGTGTTTAAGACTAGTAGGAGGTGGGTTTCTTCTTGTACAAAGGATCTCTCCTCTGTACACTGGCACAATTACATGGTCTTTATGACATTGGATGGGAGACCACATCAGGATTCTGGAAAACTCCAGGAGTGAGAGGGGAGCTCTGATGAGGGGCTAATGTAGGCCCTGGGTGGTAGAGGAGTAGTAGAGGTACAGGAGAGGGAGGCTGGGATATAGAAAGGTTGTAAACCAACATCACCTTTTTCACAATGTTGCAATGTTGCCCAAGAACCCGGTGGTGGGAATCACTCCTTGATATTGAGAAAAACCTGCAAAGTACTTATTTCCCACTTCGTGTCTGAATGGCTTAAAATAATATAATAGTGTTGAGCTGTTTTGAACTTTCCCCTTTTCTATAGTTAATTGGAGGAATCCGGTGGAGAAGATGGTTTCTTTGCTATAAAATAGGCTCTTGTCCCTATCCTGATTCTGTCACTAATGTGTTATGTGATGTGAGGCAGATGACTTAGCCTTCTTGCTCACCCTTTTTTCCCCTGGTATTATAGAAAAGGCAATAATCTCTGTCTTGCAGTGTTAATGCAAGAACTAAATAACATATGTTTTAAAAGCTCAGCAGGATACTTTCAGTAAATATTATATTTCTTTCTCATAATGCTTAATTCCATTCATTCCATTTTGAAATTCTGGAAGGACAAGCTCACAGTGCAGAGCAGGGCATCGGGGTCATTCTTTAAATTTTTTTTTTCTTTTTTTTTTTTTTGTAGAGACAGGGTGTTACTATGTTGCCTAGGATGGTCTCAAACTCCCAGCCTCAAACAATCCTTCTGAAGTGCTGGGATTATAGGTGTGAGCCACCGCACCTGACTGAGGCCATTCTTGACAGGGTCCTCCAGGTCTCCTCAGCTGTAGCCCATTTCTCCAGGGCTCTGAAGCCAATTCATTATCTCAGGGGACCTGGGAGCAAAAGAAGAAATGGACTTTGGTTTACTGCCAACTAGAGCAGAGCCTTTCCAGAGCTCTCCCAAGCCCAAGGCGTTTCCCTGGAACTGGACCAGCCGTGGATGGAACAGGCCTGGTTTCCCTGTGTTTGGCTTGCCTTGGAATTTCCAAAGAACCCTGCCAGGATCCTGCCAGACGTGAGATGCTGTTCTCTTTTTCCTCAAAGCTGTTTATGTTAATTAATCAAGACATTTTGGAGCAGAAATCCTTCATGTAGAGGACATTTCCCACAAACATTCCACCCTGCAACACATCTTCCAAGCTAAAAATATTTTATGTGTTCTAGCCCCTAAAATTTTATAAATGACCATTCAAGATGGAAGCAGTGATGATTTGTACATATTCCTTAACTGAATGCCATTTGAAATGAAAAAAATCAATAGTAATCCCAGCAACTATCTAATGCATTATAAAATTAACTCTAGCCTCTCTAATTTGCATGGTTAAAAGCATTTTAAGTGGCCGGGCGTGGTGGCTCACGCCTGTAATCACAGCACTTTGGGAGGCCGAGGCGGGCAGGTCACTTGAGGTCAGGAGTTTGAGACCACCCTGACCAACATGGCACAACCCCATCTCTACTAAAAATAGAAAAATTAGCCAGGCGTGGTGGTGCGCGCCTGTAATCCCACCTACTCAGGAGGCTGAGATAGGAGAACCAGGAAGGCAAAAGTTGCAGTGAGATGAGATTGTGCCACTGCATTCCAGCATGGGCAACAGAGTGAGACTCTGTCTCAAAAAAAAAAAAAAAAAAAGCACTTTAAGAAACCATAAGTCTTAAAGAGAAAGATAATTGGGAGGTTATTATGTGTTGATCACTTCTGTGGATGTTTCTCTAGGATGGCCAAATAAAATGTCTGTAGTGATATTTTTATTGGAAGTGCCAATTTCTTTATTTTATGGTAAATATTTTTGCAAAGAGTTGTTCATCTGGCAAAGCGCGTGACTATAAACCTTGTTAATTGCACATCTAAGCTTAACCTTATTCTTCCACAAAAGCAATGATCAATAACTTGGTCATCATGATAGGAAGTGGAGTTTCTGGGGGAGGAGCAAGGGGGTTAACATTTTTTTCTACCCTTTGGAGGGAAGTGGGACTTATTTTGCTCTTCAGACTGTCTTTTCAATTTTGTTTTTCTTTTTTTCCCTGTGTATCTGGTGCAATGAGAGATGGGCCTGAGGTAGCCTGTCAGTTGAAAGGTGGCCCTGGGCCTTTGGAAGTCCTAGGAGGATTCAGGTAGGGCTCTGGGGAAAGGAAGGGTTGGCCAGCTGTTCTTGCCCTTGTGTAGAAGTGCATTTTCTTGGAACTTGCCTTGCCTCCTCCTGCTTCTGTAGCTGTAGGATCCTGGGGACAAGTCTTGAGTGTAGGTCTATAACAGTCATTTTCAATGTGTGGTCCACAGACTGGTGGCATCAACATCATCAGATAATTTATGAGAAATGTAAACAATTCTCAGGTCCCACTCTAGACAAACTGAATCAAAATCTCAGTGGGTGGGGCCCAGCAGTCCAACTTTTAACACGTCCTCAAGGTGACTAATGCAGAGCCACTGGCCTACAAAACTTCACCTGCTTCTAGGCTAAGTCTTAACTAGGTTAGTGGGGTTGTGTTTATGCAGCTCAACAGAGGAGGAAAGATTTGGGGTCAGAACCTCAGCTGATAATAAAGTATGTGAGCATGGGATCACTCTATGTATATGCCTTTTTGGGACCTGTAGCAAACATGTTTGGCTGAAGAATCAGGATTTTGACTCCATTTGTTTCTTGAAGACACAGTGTAGATACTAGCCATGTCTTCTGAACAGATTTGTATATTAGCAGCTGGGCCCTCTGAGCTCTAATACTACATTAACCATTGCCTTGCTAAAAGATGTTATACAAGCCATTTTCTATGCATCAGATGGGGAGTGTTTCTAGCCAGGGCAAGCCGTGGTGCTACAGTTGGGTTTGCTGTTGAGGCTGAGGCCATTTTCTACTTCTCCTGGGTGTCCAATGCCCTCCTTTTTTTACCAGTAAACTGAGACCTCTCTTGAGTGTTTCTCAGGACTTTGTCACCAACTTAGTTGGTTATTATGCTATCCATTCTAGCTTGTTCTTGCATTTAACTGGGTTTTCTCATTGGCTGACTGAAAGTGTGAAATTTTAGGCACTAAATCCAGTGGTGACAATTTCTGGGCACTGGCTCTATTCAGATTTCTCAGTCTTGTGTCTTTCCATTATCTAAGAATTATGAGGGACTGAGAAGTAATTATGTGATGAGCGACACATACAAACATTTCTTAGTTATAGACGTTAGTGCAGTTAGGAAGGCTGCAGGCTTATAAGTGAGAAACACCCAGGTTTGAATCTAGGTTCTAGCACTTATTAGGCCAATGGCCTTGAGCAAGTTGCTTAGTTTTAGTTTTCTCAACTTAATATAGAAATGTTAATTTCTACTTTCTAAATTAGAGCTAACATACTCAATGTTTAGTGGCAACTTTTACTGTTGGTATTAATAAAGTGATAGATCCAAGCTTATCTGAAGATAAGAAGTCTTTTTTATTTGACTTGGAATGAATCATATGTCTTTTTATTGTTATTATTTTTAGAGACAGAGTCTCACTATATTGCTCAGACTAGAACTCCTGGGCTCGAGTCATCCTCCTGCCTCAAACTTCCGAGTAGCTGGGACTACAGATGTGCACCACTGTGCTTAGCTCTTGAATCATGTATCTTGATATTGTTTTCCCCGTTTGATTTTGTCTTTGCAATGCAATGTTGTTTAGGCTAATATTAATATTATTCTTTAGCCATTGAGCACATACCATTGACAGGGGCCTGAAAGTTACTGGGTATAAGGAAAAGGCCAGGACAAGATGTAACATTCACTATAGGTAGCTGACAAAGTGTAAGGCTGGATAATTAAGCCCCAAATTTTTAACTGTTCTTAATCATGCTTTTAAAGAGAAGGAGTGTCTTCCCTTCATTTCATTCTGCTGTTTGCTTTATTGGGAGGGGAGTGCCTTACAAAAGGTAAGTGAGGTTGAAGAGCCTCTCTTCCAACACCTACTAGCTGTAAGGCCTGAGGCAAATTGCTTAACCTCTGACACTCATTTTCATCAGCTATAAAAATAGACTAATACCTAGCTTTCAGCAGTGTTGTAAGGTTAGAGACTCAGGTAACCCCAATTATCTGCCTTAATGGAGGAGAGCAAGAGATAATCCACAATGAATAGATTTTTCTTTGACATTGGAGGCTCTATTATTCCTTTTTCCCTGCAGATTTATCTTCCTACTACTTTGTGTAGGCCAAGATGAAAATTCCTTTAACTTGTGGAATTATTCTCTTGTATTGTTGAAATAACACTTATGTGCCAGAACTTTGCCAAGGAGATGTGCAAGCCTTTTGCAGATAATCAGGAGTTGACTGTGAAAGGTTGATCCATTCAAAGGTCATAGGCTACTGGAAATACCTCCAGTGCTAGTTTATGTACCAGCTGGTGTTCCTTCTTTGTGCCAGATGGACAGTGTGCATAGAGATGTAGAGCAGACTGAGTGGGAAGTGGCTGTGTTGAGGGAACAGGCAGACCTAGGCGGGGCCAGATAGAGCATCTTCCCATGTTGAAGGTGGCCACTTCTTACAAAGCAACACAATGACTGCTCCACAGACACCTTGAGAAAAATAAAAGGATCACTTCACTTAAATGTTTTCATTTGCAAAATAGTCATAGAGCATATGCCGTACGTGGTTGATCCGAGGATTACATGAGAGAACTGTATAGACCCAGCCTGTAGTAGATTACTTTATTGGTGGGGGTTCTGTTTAAATCCTTATTGGCCTTAGATATTTTTCCTGACTCTATATCTCCATGTTCTCTCCCAGAAGAGCAACACTTTCTATTTGTAAAGTATTAGGTGCAAGTATTAGTATTTTGCCATTAAAGTGGCAAAAACCGTGATTACTTTTGCACCAACCTAATATAAAAATAGACTATTTCCACCTGACATGTTGCACTATAGCTTGCCAAAAAAAAATCTTCATTTCTTGAGGACAGATAGCTAATTCTTTCTCTTTCTTCGCGCCCTGTAGTACAGCTGTTGCCTGGTCTTTTCTTTCTTCCTATGGTAAGAGAGGTGCTGCTGGGTTCTGAGCTCAAACCCAAACTCAGAAAAGCTCCTGAGGTCTTCAGGCCCTCCACCTGCTCAAGTGTGGAAACTCGCCAGTTCTAGGAATGGGTAGGACTTCTGTAAACTTCCCCACGCATTTTTTTTGGTCTCAAATTTTAGGTCATTTTGTCTCATTTTCTTAAGAATCCTGTCGGGGGTAACTTGTATTTGTTCTATTTTTCCATTCTTGAAATATGATAAATCAATACTGTTTTCCTTGATGGTTATTTTATCAATCCCATATGTCAATGGGTGCTATGTTAACTTGTTTATTTGTAATCTTCTTGCTGTATTATGCAAAATAGAGACTATGGTGAAATGGCAGCATGGTGATATGAAAATTATGCATGCTTTTGGGTTGGGTGGGCTTTGGGTTCAATAGACTCAGTAGAATCTGTGGAATACTAGCTGTGTACTTTAGACATCACTTTTGGCTTCAACTTCCTTATCTATAAAAGTGGACTAATGATGCCTATTTTATATGATTATTGTGTAGGTTAAAGATGATATATTAAAAGACTTTGCACAAGGAAAGCATCCAACAAAGTATAGCTATGCTTGACCCTAACATTGGAAACTGCAGCATTTGTCTGAAGGTTTAACAAAAGTCATGCTGTTCATAGTTACCCTCTGAGGCACTATTGTTGTCTTTCTGTTGTGAGGAAATTGAGGCTCAGAGAAGTTATATAACATGCTCAAAGATATGCAACTAGAAAATGGAAAAACTAGGTTTCAGCCCAGATTTTTTGACCCTAAATTTAGAGCATTTTCTACTACATACCACCTGCCCTATCTTGTGATGAGAACCTAATTCTTTATGGTATTATGGGGCCAAAAATTGTGAATGCCAAAAACACACACTTCCCCTTTTCCCCTTTACATCACTGATTACCTTCTGCCTCACAGTATAATTACTTCTGCATATGCAACAGTTTTTCTCTTAGTCTATGACAAAATAAAAAAATCAATGCAGAACATGACTCTGGGCATTTTTTTTTTTTTTTTGAGATGAAGCCTCACTCTGTTGCCCAGGCTGGAGTACAGTGGCCTGATCTTGGCTCACTGCCACCTCCCTCTTCTGGGTTCAAGTGATTCTCCTGCCTCAGTCTCCCAGGTAGCTGGGATTACCGGCACCTGCCACTCCTGGCTAATTTTGTATTTTTAGTAGAGACAGGGTTTCATCATGCTGGCCAGGTTGGTCTCGAACTCCTGACCTCAAGTGATCTGCCCGCCTGGGCCTCCCAAAGTGCTGGAATTACAGGCATGAACCACCAGGCCCGTCCGACTCTGGTCATTCTTGCATTTTCTATAACGTCAGCACAGGGCCTCAGAGTCAGTAGGTACGCAGCATATGTTCGTTGACTATAGAGCTAAATGGTACAGCTTCACACCCAGCTTTCTGCAACAGTCACACAAGCATGGCATTCCACTCCTCTTGCGTCTCTGAGTTCAAGTTTTAAAAATAAATGATTACACCTGTTTCTATTCCCAAAATCCTTGAGGTGGCTCATTGCCCAAGTTAATCTGTACCTGCCTTCACTGATTCATGGAGGGATCAGCAAGTTCACATGCTGATGTGAATAAAAAGGAGGGAGGGGACAGGCATTTTATAATTTATCAAGAGACAAGCACAAACATATCAAAAAATTGTATGCAAATGAAGTGTTCTGTTTAAATAAATCAATTAAGAAAAAGTACATGTAGCAACCATTTCCAAGAAATCCTCTGCAAAAAATTAATGTGGTTGAGGGACTTACCAGATAAAATCTAAAAATGTTCATCTGCTCAGCTAAGTCATCCTGTGAACTCCTCGTCCCATCCCATTCTGCTCCATCAGCGGCTCTGCATTTAGTAAAGGCTTTAAGCTATAAATGATTCTGCATGTACAATAACAGGGTTGCTTCTGATTCGTTTCATGCTATATAGGCTTACCTGCTTTCAGAAAGAAGTTAGTCTCAGAATTCACTTAGTGAGTCTCAGAATTCACTTAGTGATCCCCAAGAGAATAACACCAATCGGTTATACACAACACAGCCAACCTTCCAGTGCAGCGTGAGGGAAAATTTTTACTGACAACTAAGTCCTAGTGGATATGTTTCCAGAACTAACCAAACTGAGGAATAAATTAGTGACTCAGGGGTGGTCTGAGAGATGAGTTTCCACTAAAGTAGGGAGCACTGGTTGTATGGGTTACATGTTTGGGACTTGGGAATTATCATTTTCTTCCAGTTTTGAGACTGCCTTTTGGCTGAGTGCTATCGTATAAGTCATTTTTTTTTTTTTTTTTTTTTTTTTTTGTGAGAAGGAGCTTTGCTCTTGTTGTCCAGGCTGGAGTGCAATGGTGTGATCTTGGCTCACTGCAACCTCCGCCTCCTCGGTTCAAGCAATTCTCCTGTCTCAGCCTCCTGAGTAGCTGGGATTACAGGCATGAGCCACCACATCCAGCTAATTTTGTATTTTTAGTAGAGATGGGGTTTCTCCATGTTGGTCAGGCTGGTCTCGAACTCCTGAACTCAGGTGATCCGCCTGCCTCGACCTCTCAAAGTGCTGGGATTACAGGCATGAGCCACCGTACCTGGCCCATATAAGTCTATTGACTACTCTGTGCCTTGGTGGGTTCATTTAGAATAGTGTTTCTCAACTGGGGGCTATTTTGCCCCCTAGAGGATAGTTGGCAAGTCTAGAGACATTTTTGGTTGTCACAACAAGGGAGGAGGGACATGGGGGGATGGTGAGTCTACTGGCATCTAGTGGGTAGAGTTCAGAGATGCTGCTAAACATCCTACATTGCACAGGACAGGTTCCACAATAAAGAATAATTCAACTCAAAATGTCAATCGTGCAGAGGTTGAGAAACCCTGATTTAGAGAGATAGTGGTAATATCCTGAACCTGTCCCCTCCAGTGGGATGTTAGATAATTTTCCTTTTATAGACTACGTTGAGATCTTTGGCTAAAAGTTGCTGTGTAAGTTCAAGAAAAAAAAATCATGTTGCTACAAGTCCCCAGGCCTCAGTGAAGCTTGCTGACAGAGTCTGACTCAGCTTCTTCTCACATTTTTAAAGAGTTATCTTTGCTCTCATTGGGGTTTGTCATTTTTAAAAGCTTGTTTTTCTTTCTAAAGTATTTTGAATATTAAAGATTTCGTCCGAACCACCTAGTTATCTAAGTCATTTCTGGCATATTGTTAAGATTCTTAAAGAGAACTTTTCAACCTGGTTTTGATCCTGGACTAAATGATACTTATTTTCCTGAGGTCAAGGAACCAGAGGAGTCTTTAACAATGATTCCATTGCTGGCTGATGAGACAGCTCACCAACACGCGAAAAAGAGTTGTTATTAAGAGCAAACTGAGTTTTTTGCTGGCTTTTCTCTTCCTTTTGCTCCCGGAAAATTCTTTCCAGTAGCCCCTTGGGATCACACAGAGAATGACAAAGAAGGGAAAAAACAATTTCCAAAGTAGACACTCTCAAGAATCGTATTTATTTTTTCTGGAACCATCTAGGAAAAAAATAACAACCACACAGACAAGACAATTTTAAACCAAGCCTGCTTCTGATTTAAGTCATTTCCTTTCTGCTAGCCTGTCAAAATTCAACTGCATCATATCAAGTTGGTCTGAAAAGCAGATTGGTGCATGATGTACTTTATGAACTCCTTTGACTTTGGCAGACTCTAGAAAAGATTAAATGTGTTAGAAATCTGAGAGGCTAGGAGAATGGAGAAATGGAGTTTATTTTCATGGAAAGTCAGTTGTGTACTTTAGGTTGCTAGGAATATTTTCCCTATGAAAAGATAATTTGACTGAGGCCGAAGATTAGGAAACAAAAAATTAAACCACTGGGGATCAGGCAGAGAAATAGAATTTGTACCTATGAAAATTTATTTTGGCAGAGAAACCTCTGTCTCATTATCCGTGGAAGAGCATTCTGCCAGCCTTGTTAATAATATTTCACATTAGTTCAATGAATTCCTTTAGCGGATGGCAAAAAGTTATAAGAAAAAACAGTGTAAGCTGGAAAGCCCTAGAGAAATAGCCAAAGAAGCTGCTCTGAGAGTCAGAAAGCAAGAGCTACAGAAACAGGAGACTGCAACATTGCTCTCAGCCTTACCTTTGACGTCCCAGGGATAGATATTTCTTGGGAGTTTTCTTTCTTCCACTCTTGGAAGGGGATTATGGGAATACAATTGGGTCATGGTGCTGACATTAGCATTATAAATAATGCTTGGAGGCTAGACCTAAGATGCTGAGAACTGACTGTTGGATTCCCAGAACATTTTACATAATGATGTCTTGGATGCCAGGTCAGCAGACTGGCTGTCAAAAGAAATGCAGGCAGCAGAAATCCATTGGAAGTAGATGTTAGAAACTAGATATTTAGCCACAGTTTTACAATAGCTTATTTATTTTGTTTGCAGTGTGGTGTGGTGGTGTTTGCCATAATTTTGTTATTCTCTATACATAGAATTATATAGCTTGAAAAAGTATTCTTTTGCTGCTACTTAAATGTGATCTCCTTCTTGGCTTCTTATGGTTCCTATAATCAGCCATGGCAGAAATCCATGACTTGTCAAGAAACCAGCACTTCAGCACTTATGTCTGTGTTCCTGTTCAGATTTTTCTCTTCCACGTAGGTTAAATGGAGAACTGCAATTAAGTTAGAGACAAATGTAACTTGATCTGATTGGTAGAACATTGAGGTAGGAATGAAATTTTTCTTGCAGGTTGGAGGTGCAAAAAGCAGGGAGATTTAGCTTTTGCAAGAGCATCATAAAGAGATGTTCTGTATGGGGTGGGGGAAGAGGGGAGGGATAGCATTAGGGGATATACCTAATGTAAATGATGAGTTAATGGGTGCAGTACACCAACATGGTACATGTATACATATGTAACAAACCTGCACATTGTGCACATGTACCCTAGAACTTAAAGTGTTATTTGAAAAAAAAAGAGATGCACTTCAGTGTTAGCTATATCTAATATATATCTAATACTAATATGCTTTCAAGAGAAAGCGTAGTAAAACTGGGATTATTATTTTTTTAAATGATACTTTTAAAATTTCCACTACCAAATTAAGAGACAAGGTAGTGCAAAACAGAGGTTGGCAAGCTTTAGCTTAAAAAGGCTAAACAGTAAATATTTTAGGCTTGTGGGAGAGATGGTCTCTGTAGCAATTACTCAACTGCCATTGTAGTATGAAACAACCATTGATAGTATGAACGGGTGTGGCTGTGCTCCAATGAAACTTCCTTTATGAACACTGACATTTGAATTTCATGTAATTTTCACATGTCACAAAATAATATCCTTCTTTTGACTTTTTTTCAACCATTTGAAAATGTAAAAGACATTCTTAGCTTGCAGACTGTGAGGTGGCATGGTGGACTTGACATGTGGACTGTAGTTTGTCAACCCATGGTATAGAGAAGAACATAGAGATTTTGAAATCAAACAGACTCAGGTTAAAAATCTGACCCCACCCGCTATTAACAAGCTGCTAGATTGGCTGGGGGCAAATCTCTTTTGTAAGCTTCATCTCCTTCATGTGGAAAATGAGGACAGTAGAATCTCCCATTTATGGTTATTATGGGAATTAAGAAAAATAATATTAGTAAAATGCCTATTATTCTGTCCTCTCTTAACAAATGAAAACAAAATAATAAAAACTATTTTTATTAATTACATGTACCAAATTTCTGAGTCACCTACATTTGCAGTGAGAACATGTTATTGTATATTCTTTTTTTTTTTTTTTTTAGAGACAGGGTCTCACTATTTGGCACAGGCTGGTCTCGAACTCCTGGGCTCAAGTGATTCTCCTTCCTCAGCTTCCCCAAAGTGCTGGGATTACAGGTGTGAGCCACAGTGCCTGGCCACAAGGGTTTGTTTCCATCCAAATGTATTTCTGTAGTCTCCTGCTACAGTCCACATATACGCACTTAATACGAATCCAGGTGTATGTATACTTTTCCACAGGAACAGATGAATTAACATTCAAAACATGTTTTTTCTGAACTTTCTTACATTGCTCGAGGGAGAACCTTTTCAGGTTCACATTGTAATTTATACCTGGGAGTTGCTGTGTTCCCAGTTTCCTTCTTTTTTTTTTTTTTGAGATGGAGTCTCTCTCTGTCGCCTAGGCTGGAGTGCAGTGGCGCCATCTTGGCTCACTGCAACCTCTGCCTCTCGGGTTCAAGCAATTCTCCTGCCTCAGCCTCCTGAGTAGCTGGGATTACAGGCGCCCACCACCACCCTCGGCTAATTTTTGTACTTTTAGTAGAGACGGGGTTTTACCATGTTGGCCAGGCTGGTCTTGAACTCTGACCTCAGGTGATCCACCTGCCTTGGCCTCCCAAAGTGCTGGGATTACAGGCGTGAGCCACCGAGCCCGGCCAGTTTGCTGTTTTCATCAGAGCTGGTGGGACAAGAGTCTTTGGTTTTATTTCAGGGCCTAATATCTGTAACAGATCAAGACGTAATCATAATAATGTTTATGTGTGGCTTTGGTTAGATCACATAGATGAGCACCCAGGAAAAACTTTATTCAGAATAAATCTTCACATATAATTCTTCAAGGTAAAAGCATTTCTCTAACTCCATAATTTGTGAAAATAGCCTCCCAAGAGGTCTTCTAGTCTTAAAATCTTTATTTACCTTAACCCAGATGATTAGCTGGTCTTTCCATTTGAAAGAAATGCCTCTATATCTCCATTACTTATTCTGATGATACCAAACTAAATTTTAAAGAAAAGTGTGATTGATTCATGGGGCCAAGACAATGGTAAGTGAGGCACTCACCTTGGGTGCAAAATTTAAGGGGCACCAAAAACTCAGTAATAAAGGTAAATAATATTTTAATGGAACATTTTAAAAAATAAAATTATGCAAGAAAATCCATAATGAACAAAATTTCTAAATTTTACATAAAGACTGTCAGTAGCAGTGCTGGCCAAGCCATAGTGGAGTCTCAGGCAAGAGGAAAACTCAGTAATGCTGATCCAATAGATCTTAGACTGCATCATAACTATTTTTCCCTCAGAGGCTGGGCTTAAAATTATTACCATAATTAAGAATTTCGAGTTAGAAATTGATTTTGTTCTATTGCATTACTTCCTTCTATTCACTGTGTATTTCCTTTCCAGATTCTCTTCTTTGACTCTTCCATTTTCTCCTCTTTTTTCTGTTATCACTCATATTTCTTTTTGCTACTTTCTTTCTGCACATCAGCTTTGACCAATGTACTCTTCCTCAGATTTTATAAGGAAAACAATCAAAGAACTCTTTTATTTATAATAACTGAATGGTTTCCTATAAGTCTATACTAAGTCTTTTTTTCTTTCTTTTCTTTTTTTTTTTGAGACGGAGTTATGCTGTGTCACCCAGGCTGGAGCACAGTGGCGCGATCTCAGCTCACTGCAAGCTCCGCCTCCTGGGTTCATGCCATTCTCCTGCCTCAGCCTCCCAAGTAGCTGGGACTACAGGCGCCTGCCACCAAGCCCGGCTAATTTTTTTGTATTTTTTTAGTAGAGACAGGGTTTCACTGTGTTAGCCAGGGTGGTCTCGATCTCCTGACCTCATGATCCGCCTGTCTCGGCCTCCCAAAGTGCTGGGATTACAGGCGTGAGCCACCGCGCCCGGCCAAGTCTATACTAATTCTAAGGCTAGAATGCCTTTCGTTGATGTTGGTTTATGTCCTCTTGGCTTGAAGCCGATATGCTGATCTCTTTAACAATTCTCATGATTCCCTGAGCTATGATGGAAGTCTCCAATCTGGGAAAAATTGCTCCATGTGAAAGCTGATAAACCACAATAAGGTCTCGTGATTTCCTTTTAATCTGTCAGTGGCAAGTGCTCATGAATGTAGTGGGCCACTCCTCTGTGACTCCTGACAGTTACCAGCACATTCTTTAGAGAGGAGAGTTGGAAAATCAAATGTTTGAAGTAAGCACCATTGGGATCTGTAGGGCTATTAATGTGGTAGCATCTGGCATTTATAATCTGATCAAAAGCTCCCCTCCTCTTTCTTAATCTTTATCCCAGATGGGAGAATGGCTCAGTACCAAGAAAGTTTTCAGCTTTTCTTCCCAGGGAAAGCCAAGCCAGAAGCGCGGAAAGCCACAGGGAGGTGACCATGGGAAGAGGGGTCAGAGCCTGCTTATATTCCAGGCAATATCTGGAGCATCATGGGGACAAAACTTCTGAAAAACAATTTTTACATGCAAGCAATTATTTTTCACATCGATTAATCCAATCCTGTGATTCTATAGCAGATACTCAGGCAGAACCATGCTTTGAGAATTTCCGCTATTATCTGATATTTAAAAATGTGTTTGGCTCCCACATTGCTGGAGAGTGCATACATGGTATAGTTCCTTTAGTCCAGAAGTTGAAGCTCTAAACAGTAAAATAAACATGTCACATGTTTATTCACATACTGTCCAAACACACACCAACTGCACTTTGTGGTTGGTTTGAAATTTTGATTTCAGTTTCTGTGTTTATTTATTTTTCTCTTAAGAAACAATGTGAATATCCTGTACTGGGATAGGGTTGGAGCTGGGGGAGGCGGCTCTTTCCATATGATGGGAGAAACTGAAGTTAGTTTCTCCAGGCTTGGAAAGCTTCCTGCATTAAGTAGAATTAGCAATGAGCTTGAACAAGACAAAAAAGAGAATTTTCTAAGGAGATGAGAGGAAGCCATTTTCAGACAGATGAGAACTGTGGCTTTTTGACAGAGTCTCGCTCTGTTGTCCAGGCTGGAGTGCAGTGGTGTGATCTCAGCTCACTGCAACCTCTGCCTCCTGGTTTAATCAATTCTCTGCCTCAGCCTCCCAAGTAGCTGAGACTACAGGCATCTGCCACCACACCAGGTTAATTTTTGTATTTTTTGTAGAGATGGGGTTTCGCCATGTTGGCCAGGCTGGTCTCAAACTCCTGACCTCAAGGGATCTGTCCACCTTGGCCTCCCAAAGTGCTGGGAATACAGATGTGAGCCACCATGCCCAGCTGTGTGGCTTTCTGAGCTAAATCTAAGGTAAGTATAGAGCAGCGGTTCTCAAATTAGAGTGTGCATTGCAATCACCTGCAGGGCTTCTTAAAACACACGTGGCAGGGTCTACAATGAAGAAAAGCTGCAGCATTCATCAGATATATTAAATACACACATTTTAAGTGTTGGGTACAAGTTTCAAGAAGCAGTTATTTGTTAAGGAAGGAGGCAAATCTCCAGCAGGTAAGTAAACAAAGAAAAGCGAATTCTCTCTGAATTTTATTAATCACAGACTATGGTGTAAAGCAAGATGCACAGTAAACTGCAGAAGCTGTGGATTTTGGTTAGAAGACTTAATCTTGAATTCAGACATTGACATTTACTAGCTGTGTAATCCTGGAAAAGCTATTGCTGTCTGGGAACTCAGCTTCCTTTTTTGAAACATGAGGATATTATAGATCTTACAAGTCATTGTGAAATTAAGATATGTTACTTGCCTGGCATACAGAAGCCACTTTTCTATGGCATAACTTTTCCCAGGGTTCAATACCGTTACCTTTTCTTGTTTTCTCCTCTTTTATGTATGAATTAGTGTTTTTGAAAATATTCTGAATTTGAATTTTGTGTCTTTTGTGTCTTTATGCATTGAAATAGTTCTTCACATTTTATGTCTTGCCTTTTACTTTTTCATGATGGCTTTTGAGGAATTCTTAATTTTAATGTAACTGAATTTGCCAACTTTTTCTTTAAAATTGTCAATTAAAAATCTTTTGGCTGGGTGCAGTGGCTCACATCTATACTCCCTGTATCTTGGGAGGCCAAAGCAAGAGGATCACTTGAGCTCAGGAGTTCCAGACCAGCCCAGGCTACATAGTAAAACCTTGTCTCTACTAAAAATTTAAAAATTAGTCAGGTGTGGTGGCTCATGCCTGTAGTTCCAGCTACTTGGCAGGCTGAAGTGGGTGAGCTGCTTGAGCCCAGGAGTTTGAGGCTGCAGTGAGCTATGATTGTGCCTGCAGTGAGCTATGATTGAGCCACTGCACTCCAGCCTGGGCTACAGAGTGAGACCCTGTCTCAAAAACGAAACAAAAAAAAAAACAAAAATCTTTGTAAAAGTCTTCATTACCCTCCAGGTCACAGAGATATTCTCTTTTGTCATATTTTTAAAGCTTTATTTTTTTGCCTTTCACATTTAGATCTTTCCTCCACTTGGAACTGGTTCTGTAGTACGTTGAAGTGCGCAATTACTTTGCACTGAACTGCAATACCAACTCTATCATTTACCAAATGGCTATATGCGCATAGGGTTCCATTCTCTTCCATAACTCATTTGTCTGTTCCTGTGCCAAAACCACATTGTTAGTTATAATCTCTTTACAATAAACTTGATAACTGGTAGTTCAAGTTCCTACCTTCTTCTTTCTCAAGAGTGTCTCAAAGCTGGGCACAGTGGCTCACGCCTGTAATCCCAGCACTTTGGGAGGCCGAGGTGGTTGGATCATGAGGCCAGGAGTTCAAGACCAGCCTGGCCAAGATGGTGAAACCCCCATCTCTACTAAAAATACAAAAAATTTAGCCAGGCGTGGTGGTGGGCGCCTGTAATCCCAGCTACTCAGGAGGCTGAGGCAGAGAATTGCTTGAACCCAGGAAGTGGAGGTTGCAGTGAGCTGAGATAGCGCTACTGCATTCCAGCCTGGGTGACAGAGCGAGACTCCATCCAAAAAAAGAAAAAGAAAAAGAAAAAGAGTGTCTTGGCTCTTATTGACCTCTTGCACCTTCATTTACATCTTAGAAATGGATTGTCAAATTCCACAAAAACATTTTAGAATTGTTTGCATTATATTAAATCTTTGGATCATTTTGAGGAGAACTGACACTTTTTTCAATTTGTCATTCTAATTTTCACAACTCTGATCACTTTTAAAATCTTATCTGACTTTGGTCTTTTGCAATTTTACTATGAAATAGATAGTTGTGGATTTTTAAAAAATGTTTCCTGCTTGAAGTTTGTAAGTCGTCTTGAATCTGTGAGTTGCTGTATTTTAAGAATTTGAGAAAATCTTAACCATTCACTAATGATTAAGGTTTGCTGAAAATATTCATCAAATATTTTCTCTGCTAAGTTCCCTCCTGTGTCTCTTTTGGGACTGTAATTAGATATATATTAGTCTTTCTCATTCTAGTCTTCTTATTTCAAAACTTCTTTTCGCAATTATCCCTGTTTCCTTTTTTTTCTTTAAAGAGTCTCACTCTGCTGCCAAGGCTGGAGTGCAGTGATGTGATCTTAGCTCACTACAGCCTCTGCCTCCCGGGTTCAAGCGATTCTCCTGCCTCAGCCCCGCTGAGTAGCTGGGACTACAGGCTCCTGCCACTACACCCAGCTAATTTTTGTATTTTTAGTAGAGATGGGGTTTTGTCATATTATTGGCCAGGCTGGTCTTGAACTCCTGACCTCAAGTGATCTGCCTGCCTCGGCCTCCCAAAGTGCTGGGATTACAGGCATGAGCCACTGCATCTGGCCTCCTCTGTTTCTTTTTTAAATTGTAATTTATTTAAAGACTTTTAAAAAAAGTTTTAGGTTCAAGCAAATTTGAGGGGAAGGTACAGAGCCATTCCACATACCTCTATCCTCACGCATGCCTAGCCTCCCCTATTGTCAACATTCCCCTACAAGAGTGGCACATTTGTTACAATGTTTGTTGTGTCTTTCTTCAACCATGTTCATTCTACTAATCAGTTTATCAAAGGAAGTTACCTCTATTACTGAAAAAAAAAATTCTAGCATTTTCACTGGACTCTTTTTAAAAGTTTTCATTTCTCTGCTGAAATACCAGTGTGTTCAAGGAGGTCATCCATCTTTTCCTGTGTATCCTTTAACATTATTATTTGCAGTTATTTTGAAGTCCCTGACTCTGATACTTCCCATATCTGGGTCTTTTTTTTTTTTTTTTTTTTATATGGAGTCTCACTCTGTCACCCTTGCTGGAGTGCAATGGTGTAATCTCAGCTCACTGCAACATCCACCTCCCGGGTTCAAGCGATTCTCCTGCCTCAGACTCCTGTTTAGCTGGGATTACAGGAAGCTGTCACCACGCCCCTCTAATTTTTGTATTTTTAGTGGAGATGGGGTTTCACCATGTTGGCCAGGCTGGTCTCGAACTCTTGACTTTAGGTGATCTGCCCGCCTTGGCCTCCCAAATTGCTGGGATTACAGGCGTGAGCCACTGTGCCCGGCCTCTGGGTCATTTCTGAGTCTGCTTCTAGTAATTCATTTATCTCTTAACAATTGATGGTGTTTTTTTCTCCTTGCCTTTTGTATGACTAAAATATTTAATGAAATGTCAGACATTGTACATTGAAGAATAGTAGAGACTGAGGCAAATAATATTTATGCCTAGAAATAAGAATGCTTCTTCTAACAGGCCCTTAGTGTGGGACATTGAGTCAATCCAGTCATAGCTTGCACTAGATTAAGGTTTTTGTTGTTGCTGTTACTTTCAGTGCACTACTCTGCATTGTATTTACAGTAATCTTGTCCCTCTTCCAGTGTCAGCAGACACATTGGGGCAGGAATGTGAGCCCAAGGGGTATTCCTGTGTTTTTCTCAAGAGTAGAGGGTTTTTGTTTCTGTCCTTCCTTCAAGCAGTGGCTCTTTGCACAAGGGTTTGCTGCTCCTTTCCAAGTGGTACAAAGCTCTTGCTTTCTATGAGAGAAGGATCTAGGAAAGCAGGCAGTGTTTTTTTGCCTTTTCTCCCAACATCAGTCAGTTATCATCCACATAACTGTTCCAGCAAAAGGGACTTTCTTGAGTCTTCTGCCTCACATTTAGTTTTTCTTGTGAACACCTAGTGAAAGACTGCAGAAAATAATTTTCAAGTGAGTGCCAATTATCTTTGTGCTGGAGACTTCCAATTATTCTAAACGGATACCTTAGTATGTACTCCGTCTTTAAATATACAGTAAGTATTTTTAGCTGATTTCTTCGTAGCCGCCATTAAGGGACCAACCTTTTCTACTCATGCTTTCTCAAAGGCAATATAGTTCATGGGTTCCACCTCTCTCTATGGAGGTGATTGTCACTCCTTAGAATTCAGTTTACTTGGTTGTCTTGTAATCTCAGCTCTCTGATGAATTCAAAAAGTTAAAATTTTATCAACTATTTTCTTCCTGTTGGAATGAGAGCAACCTTTTGTAGCAGCTTTTTATATCCTAAGCACAAACAGAACCCCCTCATGATTCATTATTAGCATATTCTTTATTAGCATATTAATGATCTTTTATTAACATATTAAACATGGTCATTTTATAGTCTGTGTCTGAAAATGTATTAGTCAGGTTTCAAACAAACAACAAACATAAATCCCCTACTGGGACACGCACACACACACACACACGCGCGCGCGCGCACACACAAACAGATTTGTTATAAGCTTATGCAACTTGCGGAGCTGGTTAAGAATTTTCTGTAAGGCTGGACCAAAACGTGTCGAATCTTGTTGCCTCTGCTCTTAGTGCCAAGGGTATCCTGCAGGAGCTGGGACCCTTTGTCCCAGAGCTCTGTATGCAAACCTCACCCAAGAGTTGGAAAAGCTAAAGAAGGGTAGAGGGGGAGGTAGAGCAGTTGTAGCCCCAGATGGTACCTCACATCAATGAGGCGAGTCAGCAAAGCAACAATAATACAACTTGTGTGCAGTTTAAGATGGCTGCTGTTTCTCTCCTGCCTTCCAACTAATAAGGCTCTCCCTTGTAGCATACCATAGCCAACGAAAAATGGCTTCAGCTTAGCCAAGCTGACACATTACAAAGCCACCAGAGATAACTCCACTAGCTGAATTGATTATGTGACTGCTTTTTGGACCATATTGTTCCACTAATTCTTACTCTTTGTGCCTTTTTTCTTATGTATTTTGCTATTTCTGAATGTTCATTTTTCTTAGAATTTTGTTTATGGGAAAACTTACAGGCTCAGTTGGAAGTTGGAGTTTTGCAGAGTGTTCTACCAGATTCTTAGAAGGGATTACTCTAGGCTGAATTACTGGTTCGATATTTTTGGACTACATGAGTTATGTAATTATGGGTACAAACCCACAATGAACACTCAGTTGTGGATCCAAATTTTTGGCATCACTTTTTCTGTCACCTTTTTTCAGTGCCATTTTTAAGAGAATTGATTTTTCTTGCAATGCTTTGAGGTTGGGAACAGATTTACTTCCAGTTCACCTTTACACTAAGACCGTAGCCCTTTAGGTCCTAGAGTCCTAGGTCCTAGAGTCATGTTGGGAAGCCCTTTAGGTCCTAGATCCTAGAGTCATGTTAGGAAGGAGGGGAATTATATTTTGTTAGATTCCTACATTAGCTTGTCCCTGGGTTTCATTTCAGTTTCTTATTTTGGAAGAAAGAGAAGTTTCAAAGGAAATATTTGTAAAGGCATAATTGAGAGTAAAAATGTACACCACCTTAGCTATGCAGATCTAAGGAAATGAATAATTTGATAAAATCTTTGCTCTGAATATTTAAAGGTTAACTTATAATTTAAATATTAAAATTTGAACTATTTTAAAGGAAAATATTTCCAAAATATTTTCCTGTGATCTTTAACATAGGATATCAAGCATAATTAAAGTTTTTTTTTCTTACTCAGGATAACCATTGTGAGTGTTCTTAAAATTATAATCATAACAATAATTCTACAAGACAGGCATTTTAAAAATTATCCATTGAAAAACCCAGGATGGTGCAGTGGCTCACACCTGTAATCCCAGCACTTTGGGAGGCCAAGGAGGTCAGGAGTTCAAGACCAGCCTGGCCAATATGGTGAAACCCTGTCTCTATTAAGAATACAAAAATTAGCTGGGCACAGTGGCACGCGCCTGTAATTCAAGCTTCTTGAGAGGCTGAGACAGAAGAATCTCTTGAACCCTGGAGGCAGAGGTTGCAGTGAGCCGAGATCGCGGCACTGCATTCCAGCCTGGGTGACAGAGTGAGACTTGGTCTCAAAAAAATAAGAAAAAAGAAAATAAAAGAAAGAAAAAACCCACAGAACACTAAATTGAAGTTCTAAGAGTACCAAGTAGTAATAAATAATAAAAATATTACCAGTTCATAATTTTGATCATGGATGAGATCTACAATCACTACATTTTAGATGAGCTGTTCTCTCAGTAGTGTCTTTTGAGGATATACAGTCTTACCTTTAGTAACCACTGAAGTGAAATACTAACAGCTTACATTTATTGAGTGCTTACTGTTTGCCAGCATAGTTATAAATGCTTTAATCCTCACAAAAGCGTTTCGTGGTTGGCACTATTTTTATTCTCATTTTGTAGCTGGGAAATGGAAGTACAGGGAAATAAAGTAACTTGTTCAAAACTATATATATAGTTAATATAGTTAATATGTGAAAAAATTGAAAGATGAACCCAGGAGGTTTGGCTCTAGACCTTGTGTGTGTGTGTGTGTGTTTTTTTTTTTTTTTTGAGACGGAGTCTCTCCCTGTTGCCCAGGCTGGAGTGCAATGGTATGATCTCAGCTCACTGCAACCTCTGCCTCCCGGGTTCAAGCAATTCTCCTACCTCAGTCTCCATCTCCTGACCTCGTGATCTGCCCACCTCGGCCTCCCAAAGTGCTGGGATTACAGGTGTGAGCCACCGCGCCCGGCCGAACCCATGGTTTTAATACTACACTGCGCTCTTTCACAGTGCTATTCTGTACGAGTAGATGAAGAGAACCGTAGTCCACTTCTGACAGCAGAACACTTGTATTGTTTTCTTTTTTAGTGTCTTTCTCTTTGGAAAGATTCAAACCTACAGAAAATTTTCAAGATGAGGATGATGAGCACTGTATCTACTTTTCATCTAGACTTTTTAATTCTTTGCTTCTCTATTTCTTTATTTTTGAGCCATTTGCAGATGTAATACTCACTCGAATCTAAATATTTCTTCTTGTCGCTCCTAAGAACAAAAGTATTCACTTATCTTGTACATGGCCCACTATCAAATTTCTGTAATTATCTGAATATTACCATTTATAGATTTATTTAATCCAGATTCCAATGAAGATGACTCATTACCTTCAGCATTCATATTTATTTTGTCTTTACTTTAGAATAGTCTCCTATTCCCCTTTTTTTCTTTTATGACATTGACTTTATTTATTTGTTTTTCTCTAGGTTAATTATTTTTGCACAATGTCTCTCAATTTTGATTTGTTTGTTTCCTTGTGAGTAGATTCAGGAGTACTGTGCAGGTGATGTGGGTTATTCTTAGTGATTCACATCATAAGAATGCTGTGTCAGTTTGTCCCATTATTGGTAATGTTAAATTTGATCAGTTTCTGTCAGATTTCTCAAATGGTAAGAGAACTTTTCCTTTTCAAATTAATAATATATGCGATAAGATTTTGTATCTATATAAATATTTTTTTCCAAATAATCTTTCACCTAGTAGCTTTGGCACCCACTATGGTTTTGCTGAATCAGTCGTTGCTATTAGTGATTTTAAAATGGGGATTTTCTGTTTTCATTGTGTATTTGCATTAAATGCTTGGCATTTTTTTCTGTAAAGAATCATGCCTCTCCACCTTTACTTTCTAAAAAAATTTTGTTAGTGTCAATGTGAACTCCATGGGTACTTTTTCTTCAATGTGTCGTATCCATTTCACACAATATTAATTCTGATGAATGCACTGTCTAAAATATTGCCAGTGGTTGCCCCTTCATGTTGACTCATACAATCTCTTGACATGTCCTGGTGAGTTCTGAGTACTATCTTACTTTCTGGCACTGACTTTTCTGTAATAAGATATTCCAGCCTCATGGAAGTCTTGTTTTGGGTCTTCTATCTCTGCTGTCCCAATTTCTTCCCTCATCTTCTCTTTTTGTTTTTTTTTTCTAGTTTACGTTGGTGCTCCCATTTACTTTAGCCATTGTGCTGAGAGAAGAATCTTTTATATCAGTTCCACTGGTCTCACAAGTGGAACAAATAGCCTTTTTGTCATGAACAGCACAAGGTAAGGCCCTCTTGTATCATTGCATCTCCTATTCGCTTTCTCCATCAAAGCACATGGCCTGACATGAGAGTAAGCTCTCACCAGATGCTTTTAAAGTGAGTGTTCATCGTGGTTACGGCCTCCGCACATCCAGCTTCCACATATATAGAATGACTTTCATCTCCAGAAACAGTAAAACTGCAGCTATTAAAATACAGCCTTCCATAATTCATACATAATCAAAATGCATCATTCATGTCATAAAATTTGGTCCAAGTTATACTATGAAATAGCTTCCTAACTTGTCCCTTGCTTCTGTCTTGCCTCTTACAGTCCATTCCTCCAAAAGCAGCCAGAATAATCTTTTAAAAACACAAATAAGATATTATATTTCTACTTAAAATATACCAGTGGCATCGCACTGCACACGGAATAAAAGCAAAAAACTTATTCCTATGGCTACTGTGTACTTCTCCAACCTTACCTCCTATGACTTTCTCGTTTCCATGCTTTAGCCTTCATCTATCAACTCACTAAGCCTGTTATTATCTCAGAGCCCTTGCTCCTGGACTTTTCTCTACCTCTGATTCTCATCCTTGGATCTTTACATGGCAGACTTATAATTATTCCAGCCCTTCTCTTGAAGCCCTTCCCTGTTCACCTGTCCAAATAAACCCACTCACCTTCCATATCTTTCTATCTTAGTTTTCTTTACAGCATCATCATTTGTCTTCTCCATCTCCCCTGGAACATAAGACTCTATAAGGGCAGAGGTCTTGTCTGTCTTAATTCACTGCCATCCCCTGACCCCTTTGAATAGAACGCATGGTATGTGGTAAATAAATGTTTGTTGAATGAATCAACAAATGAATGCATAAGTAAACCACATAATTATAGCACATCAGACCCTCAGGTGTGATACATATATATTGAGGTAGTTTTGGGAGGTTTGTTTTCACTAGTTGCTCAGGTTCTATCACTATTATTGTTTTGTTATTGTTATTTGTTTGTGTATCTGTGTATGAGAATAAAGAGGTCAATGTTAATTCCAGATTCAAATCCATTTTGAAAAATCTTGGGGCTCTGGAAGATTGTCTTTTAATAGCCGCAGTTTTACTGTTTCTGGAGGTGAAAGTCATTCCAAATATGTGCAGGCTAGATGTGTGGAGGCTGTAACCATGATGAGCACACACTCTAGAAGGTCCTGGTGAGAATTCACTCTGATGTCAGGCCCTGTGCTTTGAAGGAGATAGCGGATGGGAGATGCAATGGTAGAAGAGGGCCGAGGGCTGTGCCTGCCTTGCCCTGTTCACGACACAAAGGCTATGTGTTCCACTTGTAAGACCAGTTTGGAAGAGAGAACTATTAATTAATGATACCACTCATATCTCTAAAAAGTTTAGATATTAAACAAAAATCTGTTTTAGTATTTATCTCTTCAATTTTCTGAGAAACACAGGCTTATAGCAGAGAGTTCTTCAAACATGACACAAGTTCTGAGAAAAATATTCTATGTGTTATTGATGTGAATTAAAATTCATATAAATAAAATCAAATAAAATGAAGAATCCTGCATCTTTCAGGTGAAAAAATAACGTGTAATAAAATCTAGTATCTATATAATGGCAGAAACAGGACAGCTGATGAAATGAGATTCAGTCATTCATTTGCCATTGTCCACATATTTGGTTCTTTTCTACCATGCGGACAAATATTATCTTGAGTTTGTTGTTGTTGTTGTTTTAGATGTTTAGATTTCCCCTGGAGCACTTTGTTTGACAAGTCATTTTTCTTTTTAGCCCTCCACATTCTTACCTATAGCTAGGTCTAGAAATAATGCCAAAAATTTTTATTACTTATTCAAAATGCTGTGAGGGTTAAGGAAAAAAAAGATAATTTTAAAGATTTTCTGAACTCTTAAAAAAATGGCTGCTATGCAGAATATCAATACTAACCAGTTCCAAATATTTCTGACTCTTCTCACTACTGACACAATTTTTTTTTTTTTTTTTTTTTTGAGACGGAGTCTCGCTCTGTCGCCCAGGCCGGACTGCGGACTGCAGTGGCGCAATCTCGGCTCACCGCAACCTCTGTCTCCTGGGTTCAAGCAATTCTCTTGCCTCAGCCTTCTGAGTAGCTGGGATTACAGATATGGACCAGCACACCTGGCTAATTTTTGTATTTTCAGTAGAGATGGGGTTTCACCGTATTGGCCAGGCTGGTCTTGAACTCCTGACCTCAAATGATCTGCTTGCCTCAGCCTTCCACAGTGCTGGGATTACAGGCATGAGCCATCGGTGCGACCTCTTCTCACTGCTGAGCTAATTAAAAAAGAACTGATTACCTAAAAATAAGTAAGTAGGCCAGGCTTGGTGGCTCACATCTGTAATCCCAACACTTTAGGAGGCCAAGGTGGGAGGACAGCTTGAGGTCACGAGTTTCAGACCAGCCTAGGTACCATACATAGCAAGACCTGTCTCTACAAAAAATTGTAAAAATTAAAAATTAAAGAAATTAAAATGAAGAACAAACCAATAAAAACAACCAGCAGATAAAAGCTAGCAAAAGCAAAATATAATACAGATGTGTATATGTTACATATACAAATGTATATTATACATATATAATATATGCACATAATTATAATTATATGTATCATATATGTTATTGGTAACATATATGTCATATATATCTCCATATACATATGTGTATATTTCCTTTTCTCCAAATCCTGTGTTTGTGATAGAATGCTATTATTTTTGCAGCAAATTACTCATGGGTACCACCTTCCCACTCTATTTCCCTAAGTAAGTAAGTATATGAAAAGCCACAAAGGCTGACTCAGCTAGAGTTAGTTGTACCCATCATCAACTCATCAAATTTACTAATAAATGGGTATTTCAAATAGTCCGGACAAGTTAAATTCTTTTGGCTTAAGTAGTAATAAGCTAGATGATCCTCTGCCCACACCACTCTCTGGTATTAAGTTGGACATTTATAGTAGTGTTAGAAGTTGCAATGTGCTGCCCTTTGTGATGACAGCCCTAGTGGCTCATTCTTGGCAAGGCATGAGCTTTGGATGTGTCTTTCTAGCACTGAAGAGGGTTTCTCCTAAGTTCCTAACATTCTCAGCTCTATCCCCTTTGGGATAAATGCCATGTATTCATGAGGCAGAGTTGGCGACCAGGGAGAATTTTTTTCTTTGCAAATCTCACAGGCCTAATATTTAGTACACAAAAATTATAATTTAAGAAAAAATCGTGAAAATCTAAATTAACGTGGATTCCCAAAAGGCACCTCTTTTTCTACTCACAGAATCTCATGGAAGGAAATAAAATTATCAGTGCAGGATGAGCACAGTTTTACTCTCTTCTCCAACTTTCTATTTTGGAAATTTTCCAAACTTTTAAAACTTTGCTTTTAAAAAGCGAAGACAGGCCGGGCACAGTGGCTCACGCCTGTAATCCCAGCACTTTGGGAGGCCAAGGCGGGCGGATCATGAGGTCAGGAGATCGAGACCATCCTGTCTAACATGGTGAAACCCCGCCTCTACTAAAAATACATAAAAGTAGCTGGGCGCGGTGGCGGGCGCCTGTAGTCCCAGCTCATCGGGAGGCTGAGGCAGGAGAATGGCGTGAACCCAGGAGGCGGAGCTTGCAGTGAGCCGAGATCATGCCACTGCACTCCAGCCTGGGCAACAGAGCAAGACTCTGTCTCAAAAAAAAAAAAAATAAAAAATAAAAAAAGTTAAGACATTCTTATGATACCACAAGTCAAAAGTACTTTTTCATTTTGTTTTGAAGTTCTTTTGAAAGCTAACAATTGGTTTAGTTTGCCTTAGCAAAACTTCTCTCTGGCCATAGGCAAGAACCCCAGAAAAGAAAGAAGTAAAGCAATTGTTTTAAAAGGAATGTCTGGTCAGCCAACCACCTTCTCAGGTGGAACCACCTCCATCACAGGGTAAAGGAAGGAGGCGGTGGTAAGGAGAGCAGTGCTCTGGCTTTTGACACCAACCTGGCACAAAAATCCAAGGGAGGACCTAATATTGAAAGAAGATTCAGGATGGGCTCGGGAGAAACAAACCTGGAGAAGAAGTTGATTAGATTTCAACCAAGCATTCATTATTAACAGGGAAAGAAAACTGAGGCAATATTATTATTATTATTATTTTAATGTAAACCGTATCTTGCTATGTTGCCCAGGCTGGTCTTGAACTCCTAGGCTCAAGTGATCCTCCCACCCTGGCCTCCCAAATTTCTCGGATTATAGGTGTGAGCCACTGTGCCTGGCCACAACAAGAACTTAATTGCTCATATTTCCTTAAATGTTATGCAAATTTTACTTCCAATGTAAACTTAGCATTTAGAAATCCCAGTTAACCTTTATGGTGAGATTTCTTTTTCCTCTAAATGAAGAGCTCTATTTTGTTGTGAGGATGGTTTTTAGGGGCATAATTGAATGGAATAATATGGTAACATCTTCATCCCAGTAAACTACACCTGTGAACGGCCTCATCTTAAAGGCCACAACATCACAATCTAACCATAACCCCAGTTACAGATGGCCTGGTGCATTAGTCAGTTTTCATGCTGCTGATAAAGACATACCTGAAACTGGGCAATTTACAAAAGAAAGAGGTTTATTGGAGTCAGAGTTCCACTTCGCTGGGGAGGCCTCACAATCATGGTGAAAGGTGCATCTCACATGGTGGCAGACAAGAGAAGAGAGCTTGTACAGGGAATCTTCCCTTTTTAAAACCACCAGATCTCCTGAGACTCACTCTCATGAGGACAGTGCAGGAAAGACCTACTCCCATAATTCAATTGTCTTCCACCAGGTTCCTCCCATGAAATTTGAGGTCAGGAGTTTGAGATCACCCTGACCAATTGTGGGAGTTACAATTTGAGATGAGATTTGGGTGGGGACATGGCCAAACCATATAATTCTTTCCCTGGCCCCTCCCAAATCTCACATCCTCACATTTCAAAACCAATCATTCTTTCCCAATAGTCCCACCAAATCTTAACTTATTTCAGTATTAACTCAAAAGTCCACAGTCCAATGCCTCATCTGAGACAAGATAAGTCCCTTCTGCCTATGAGCCTGTAAAATCAAAAGCAAGTTAGTTACTTCCTAGATACAGTGGGGGTACAGGCATTGGGTAAATACAGCTGTCCCAAATAGGAGAAATTGGGCAAAACAAAGAGGCCACAGATCCCATGCAAGTCTGAAATCCAGTGGGGCAGTCATATCTTAAAGCTCCAAAATGATCTTTGACTCCATGTCTCACATCCAGGTCATGCTGATATAAGAGGTGGGTTTCCATGGTCTTGGGCAGCTCCACCCCTGTGGCTTTGCAGGGTACAGCCTCTCTCCTGACACAGACTGGCATTGAGTGTCTGCGGCTTTTCCAGGCTCATGGTGCAAACCATCAGTGGATCTACCATTCTGGTGATGGCCCTCTTCTCACAGCTCCACTAGGTGGTGCCCCAGTAGGACTCTGTGTGGGGGCTCCAACCACATTTCTCTTCCCCATTGCCCTAGCAGAGGTTCTCCATGAGGGCCCCATCCCTGCAGCAAACTTCTGCCTGGACATCCAGGGGTTTCCATACATCTTCTGAAATTTGGGCGGAGGTTCTGAAACCTCAGTTCTTGACTTCTGTGCACTCACAGGCTCAACACCAAGTGGAAGCTGCCAAGGCTTGGGGCTTGCACCCTCTGAAGCCATGGCCTGAGCTCTACATTGGCCTCTTTCAGTCATGGCTGGAGCAGTTGGGACACAGGATACCAAATCTCTAGGCTGCACACAGCACAGGGACTCTGAACCCAGCTCACAAAACTATTTTTCCCTAGGCCTCCAGGCTTGTGATGGGAGAGGCTAATGCGAAGACCTCTGACATGCCCTGGAGACATTTTCTACATTGTCTTGGGGACTAACATTCAGCTCCTCATTACTTACGCAAATTTTTGCAGCTGGCTTGAATTTCTCCCCAGAAAATGGGATTTTCTTTTCTATTGCACTGTCAGGCTGCAAATTTTCCAAACTTTTATGCTCTGCTTCCCTTATAAAATTGAATGCGTTTAACAGAAGCCAAGTCACCCTTGAATGCTTTGCTGCTTAGAAATTTCATCAACCAGATACCCTAGATTATCTCTCTCAATTTCAAAGTTCCATAAATCTCTAGTGCAGGGGCAAAATGCTGCCAGTCTCTTTGCTAAAACATAACAAGAGTCACCTTTGCTCCAGTTCTCAACAAGTTCCTCATTTCCATTTAAGACCACCTCAGTCTGGACCTTATTGTTCATATCACTATCAGAATTTTGGGCAAAGCCATTCAACAAGTCTCTAGGAAGTTCCAAACTTTCCCACATTTTCCTGTCTTCTTTTGAGCCCTTCAAACTGTTACAACCTCCTGCCTGTTACCCAGTTCCAAAGTTGCTTCTAAATTGTTGGGTATTTTTTCAGCAATGTCCCACTCCCAGTACCAATTTACTGCATTAGTCTGTTTTCATGCTGCTGATAAAGACATACCTGAGACTGGGCAATTTACAAAGGAAAGAGGTTTATTGGACTTACAGTTCCACATGACTGGGAAGGCCTCACAATCATGGTGGAAGGTGAAAGGCATGTCTGATATGGCAGCAGACAAGAGAAGAGAGCTTGAGCAGGAAAACTCCTGTTTTTAAAACCATCAGATCTCCTGAGACTCACTATCAGGAGAACAGCACAAGAAAGACATAACCCCGTGATTCAATTACCTCCCATCAGTTGCCTCCCATGACACATGGGAATTGTGGGAGTTACAATTCAAGATGAGATTTGGATGGGGACACAGCCAAACCATATCACCTGGCTTAGGAGGAGTCAAAGACATTTCCTCTGATTTATAACTTCCTCTTCAAACTGTACCAGGTTGGTCAAACACCCAAACTATTCTAATCATACTTATATATTAGGCACATCAATAAAAAGAAGTGTGGATTGGCCTTTCATCCTATTTATTCCTGTTCTGCTGGGCTCCACGTGGGATGCAAACATAATCAGGACTCCTGCAGTGAGGTGGCAAGAAATGGAATGGTTAAGGAATGCTCCAAATCAGTTTCCATCTTGGCTTCTGACCCAAGCTATATGGTCTCTTCCCAAGGCTATGTGTCCAGTCCCTTCTGCCTGAGAGTACAGTTCTAACTCTTAGGTTGTGTTAGATTTTAAAAGGTCAGAATTCAAGTGCTGTATTCTGGACCCTTTTTTGGGTCTGTTTTTGTTTTAAGGTATTTCCTGCACACTTGAGTAGCTTTTGTACTTGCAGTGCAACTTAGTTAAGGAAAGGTGGAGTTCCTTAACTTTATTATCCCATTTTCTGGCTGACAGGAACAGTAGAAAATTAATTGTTGCTTCCTCTTGTCAGTTGGTTTTTTTTTTTCCTGCAGCTGAGGCTACTTATTAGCATATTAACAATATTCCCTAAATTTACATAATATGTGAGTGATCCAGTTTCTTGATATCTTTTCCAGCATTTGGTATTGTCGCTAATTTTTAGCTGATCTGATAGGTATGTAGTGATACTTCATTGTGGTTTTAATTTGCATTTCCCTAGTAGCTAATAATATTGAGCACTTTTTTTTGGTACTTATTTACCATCTGTATATTCTCTTCTCTGAAATGTCTGTTCATGTCTTTTGCCCATTTCCTAGTTAGATATTTTATAGTTTTTTTTCCTGTTTAGTTTTGATAATTCTTTATATATCATAGATACTAGGCCTTTATTAGGTATGTGGTTTTCAAATATTCTTCCCCCTCTGAGGTTCGATTTGTCAATTTTTCCTTTTATGAGTTGTGTTTTGGTGTTAAGTCTAAGAACTCAGCCTAGCCCTATACCTTAAAGATTGTATTTTATGGGTAGACTTGTGTATTTTACCAAATTTAAACAATTTTCAGCTATTATTTCTTCTGACATTTTTTCAGCTGATCCTTACTCATCTACAGTGGTGTGAAAGTTGGACCTTTCAGTCCTGTAGTGTTGGCTCATGCCTATAATCCCAGCACTTTGGGAGGCCAAGGCAGGAGGATTGCTTTAGCCTAGGAGTTTGAGACCAGCCTACGCAACATAGTGAGACCCTGTTTCTTAAAAAAAAAGGAAAGAAAGTTGTATCTTTCTTTATTGTCCTACAGGGAGTTGCTTCACGTTCACTGCCTCTCTCCTCTGTTGTCTCTACTCTACTATTGAGCCCATCCACTGAGTTTAAAAAGATTTTTCTGTTACTGAATTTTTCAGTTTTATTCTGTTACTGAAGTTTTCAGTTTTATAATTTCTAGTTGGTTTGTTTTAAAAAGCAACTTCTGTTTCTTTCCTGAGAGTTTCTATTAATTTTTTTTTGTTTCAAGAGGATTTGTTATTGATTGTTGAAGCATTTGTATTATGCATCCTTTAAAATCCTTGTCAGATAATTCCTACCTCTTATTTTTTCTTGGTGTTGGCAGCAGTTGATTGTCATTTTCATATTCAAATTGTGATTTCCTTGGCTTTTGGGTATGACAGTGACGTTTAATTGTGTCCTGAATATTATGGCAATTATGTTAGGAGACTCCAGGTCTCATTTGAGTCTTTTGTTTAAGCAGGAATTCACTCTGTTCAGGTTTATCATGCAGGTCCTGGCCTAGTTTTGTGAGCAGCGGTTCCAAAGGCAGTTTACTTTCTAGAGCCTTTGCACTATTATTTTGGTCTGCTGCATTTATCAGGTGTCCCTGATATCAGGCTCCCATTACTCCCTGCTGGTGCTGGCTAAGGGAATGGAAGGGTTGTCTCCAGATCTGGTTGCTGAGTGACTCTTGGTGAGGAGGGATGGGGTAGATGCCCCTGTCAGTGCCCCCTGGCTGTTTCTGTGTCTCTGAGTAAAGGAGTCTTGGCCCATGAGAATAAAGAGGCCTCCTGAATTGGGCTACTTGCTGTCACTAGGTCTATCTTGCCATTTCTGCCACTTATCTCAGTCTTTCTTGGCAGAAAAGCCAGGTCACAGACCCTACAGGGAAGGAAAGTGCCTCCCCTAGCCACACGGCTTCCAACTGATGGTCTTCTTTGTGGAGTTGGGTTTGCCTGATGCCATTAAAGGAGAGGAATGGGCCTACGGTGCTGCCTTCCACTGCTAGGCAGGGAGTTCGGAAATGATAGGCTGGGATGACCTTCTGTTGGGTGGCGGAGATGATAGATGCCCTGCCACCATGTTGTTCCTTTCCCCTGGGGTCCCAGACCAGCTTGCCTTCCAACCATGTTTCAGAGTTGTCCTTTGGTTGTCTCTTATGCCTTTCCTAGGGTTTATAGTTCAGAAGAAAAACATGACAGCATGCCATCTTATCCAGATTGGAAATCTCTGTATGTGTTTATGTCTTCTGTTGTATCCCTTTGAGAAGTTGGGCTGGGAGATAAGACAGAAAGCTGCTTTGAAGCAGTAGGCAATGTTAGTTCAAATAATGTAAGAGTTACTTCACATTGTATTATGATTTTTTTTTCTTTTTGAGATGAAGTCTTGCTCTGTTGCCCAGGCTGGAGTATAGTGGTGTGATCAGCTCAATGCAACCTCTGCCTCCCGGGTTCAAGCAATTCTCCTGCCTCAGTCTCCCGAGTAGCTGGGATCACAGGCGCCTACAACCATGCCTGGCTAATTTTTGTATTTTGTAGAGATGGGATTTTGCCATGTTTCCCAGGCTAATCTCAAACTCCTGACCTCAAGCGATCTGCCCGCCTCAGCCTCCCAAAGTGCTGGGATTACAGGCATGAGCCACTATGCCCGGTCTGGCTTAGAATTTGATAATTCACTTCTCATTAGTTTATTCCTTGAAGATTTCTACTACATTTGTCTCAAAACATTACTTTTCTTAACATCCTCTCTGGCCCTTGCACTGGTTTGTACAATTGGAAGAGTATTCTTTCTGTTCACAATATGCGAGAAGACCACAGGCTGATTGAACCTGAGAATTAGCCTTTCTATCTTCTACTTCACCTTCACCTACAGCTTATCCAAGGTACAGGTAAAGTTTCTAGGAAGCAACAGCAGTCTCAGTATTTACCAGATTTAACAATCCCCAAACTAAAAAATAGCTACAGATATCATAACTGTAAAATGATACATGTAAAGAGTCATCAATAACTATCAGCTGAATGAATGAATCAATTGCCATTTACATTTTCATTTTCTTTGTGTATCTGAATCCCCCTTTTTTCAAATTCAGATACATTTTTATTTACAATTGAATTGAATGGGTGTTGAAACTAGGTTGTGTGTTCTGGCTTTGTTTCCATAGTTTCCTGGATTTCTTTTCATGCAAGGCACATCCACAGGAGTTCACTGAACTCCTCAGGAATGATGAAGCTCACATATGTGTTAGGATAAGCAATTAACTTTAGGAATATGTAGAAAGACATTCATTAAAAGCGTTAGTCAGCAAATCTGGGGAGTTGGAGGAAACCAGAATTTCCTGCCCCCTACCCCAAACCCTCAAGATGCCTTTGGGGACCCTTTTCAGTTTAATGCCTGTACAGCCTGGATGTGAAGCTCACATGATTCTTATCAAAGACTAGTAACTGACATCTTAACTTCTTCAGCTTCCCAGGAATTCATATTTACCCTCAAAGAGAATGCTACCCTACAAACATATCACATTTCATGTTAGCTGTGGAATACTGCCTTTGAGGCACTCAGTGCAGGCATGCCACTGACACAAACCCTCACTGAACACATGTTCTCCTATCAAGGATGAAGGGCATGTTGTTGTTGCTTATTTCCTCGTATCTCTTATCCATTCTAGACTATAAGCAAAACACACAAAGAACTGTGCTAATTGTTCTTTTCTTTCTTTTTCTTTTCTTTTCTTTTTTTTTTTTGAGATGGTGTCTTGCTCTGTCGCCCAGGCTGGAGTGCAGTGGCACTATCTCGGCTCACTGCAACCTGCACCTCTCGGGTTCATGCCATTCTCCTGCCTCAGCCCCCCGAGTAGCTGGGACTACAGGTGTGTGCCACCACACCTGGCTAGTTTCTTGTGTTTTTAGTAGAGACGGGGTTTCACCGTGTTAACCAAGATGGTCTTGGCCTCCTGACCTCATGATCAGCCCGCCACGGCCTCCCAAAGTGCTGGGATTACAGGCACGAGCCACCACGCCCAGCCGGAACTGCGCTGATTTTCCTATCCATATCCATCTTCTCTCCAGCCCCTACCACAATACCTGACACACAAAAGGAGACACTGGTGGGGGTGGGAAGGAGTAAAAAATGTGAAAGAACTTGTTGTTTCCCAAATAACTTATAACTTTGATGAGGAAGATTAATGGATAAATAACTATCAATAATGTAAGTCATTCAAATAAATACTAGAAAGAGGGTAAAAATTTTAGCCGTGGTAGTCTCCAACACAGAGAAGTTAATCGCTAATTTATGGGATCAAGGAAAGCTTTACAAAGAAGCAGGTTTTCAGCTGCCTGTGGAATAATGTAGTCTAGTATATGGGAAATTCTTTCTCTAGAGTGCATTCCCCTTTTCTTGACTTCTGTTCTTTTTTCCAAAAAAAAGAAAGTCTTATAAATTCTTCCTGTTACTAAGGGTCTGCTTCCTGTGGAAAGTCCTGAATAGCATTTAATGATTTATAAACAAGAACTTCTGTGTGATAATAATGGATCCAGATCTGGGTGCTTAAGTTGGGAATAAAAATATTAACCAAATTTTCAACACAAATACTTCTCCAAGGCTTTTGGGAGTCTGGTTTGGTTTAAGCAATTTGTTTTTGGCTCATAAGTAATCTCAGATGGTAGCAGCATTTCCAATTAGATCTTAGTCCTGCTGATTATAATTCATTTATGGTGTGAACATTTTTTAAAAAATTAGATTTATAGTGTTATTGAATTCTCCAATGACCAAGAGAAATTACATAGATTTCAGTAATTGGATTTTCTAGCTGAAAGGCTATTAACTCTCTAAAGAAGAGAGAGAGAATATATAACAAATCCATTTAAACTCTGTTATATTTTTGTAATAGGACTGCACAGTATCATAAAATATTTTGTAAAGTATTACCAAGTTTTTTGGGGACCATTTCACTAATCTTTATCAGGAACCTGGTTGCAAAGGTGGGAAAGAGAGTAATCATATTCTTTTTTCCTTAAGTAATTTTTCAGCATAGAAAGTAACTTGCTACTTATCTCACAGCAGACCAGTAGCAGAATCCTCTATCTTATACTGTGTTCTTGTTTGGTGGCTATAAAAAAGGTTTTAAAAATCTTTGCTCCTAATAATCAAGTTTTTATTAGCCACTCTGAAAATGAGAACATGGGGTGGGGGTGAAAGAGTTGAAATGAATGTCTTTAAAAAGGCAAGAGAAGGTGAGGAAGATGAAGTCTACTTGACGGGAACAGAATTTCTTGAGGCAACATGTAAGCCCTTATAGTTGGCCCGCACCACCAAAATAGCCTGCATCAGAAGAGACCATGACCTTAGGGTGTTGGGTGACTAAGAAAGAGCTGTGGCATGGCTGGATACGTGAGGGCTGGTTGAGTGGACTAAACAGTTCCAGGCCTTTCCTCCACCAGACATAGTTTCTGTCCTGTTACTGTCAACAAAGCTTACTAGGGGAAAAACATTTATTGTCTGTACCTTACAATTAGCATTCATCTACTCCTGTGGTGTTGTTACACCAAGAATCTCCTCAAACAGATTGCAGTCTCTTTTGGGGCAAGGACCAAAGCTTACAGATTGTGCCTCCACAGGATTTGGTACAATTCTTTATACAAGTTAGGAAGTTAAATTGTATTAGTACATTCTTGCACTGTTATAAAGAAATATCTGAGGAGGGGTGACTTATAAAGAAAAGAGGTTTAATTGGCTGCAGACTGTACTAGAAGCATGATGCATCTGCTTAGCTTCTGGGGAGACCTCAGGAAACTGGTGGAAGGCGAAGGGGAAGCAGGCACATCTTACATGGCAGGAGCAGGAGAAAAAGAGAGAGATGGGGAGAGGTGCTACACTCTTTTAAATAACCACATCTCACAAGAGCTCACTTAATAACAGCACCCAGAGGGATGGTGTTGAACCATTCATGAGAAACTGCCCTCAAGATCTGATCACCCCTCACCAGGCCCCACCTCCAACATTGGGGATTACAATTGAACATGAGATTTGGGTGGGGACACAGATCAAACTATATTGTCAATAAATATCTTTTGATGATATTTCATTTAGCTTAGATGTCAGGGATGTCCATGGTGTTTATCTCTGGCTCAAGACAATTCCAATTTTTTTGAGGGCCGATGCAGTCCCCTTTCCCAGCTGTGACATCTTAACTTCTTCAGCTTCCCAGGAATTCATATTTACCCTCAAAGAGAATGCTACCCTACAAACATATCACATTTCTTGTTAGCTGTGGAATACTGCCTTTGAGGCACTCAGTGCAGGCATGCCACTGACACAAACCCTCACTGAACACATGGTCTCCTATCAAGGATGAAGGGCATGTTGTCGTTGCTTATTTACTCGTATCTCTTATCCATTCTAGAATATAAGCAAAATACACAAAGAACTGTGCTAATTTTTCTTTTCTTTTTCTTTTTTTTTTTTTTTTTTGAGATGGTGTCTCACTCTGTCGCCCAGGCTGGAGTGCAGAAGAGGAACCAGAAGCCAGGCCTCCAGTTTGTGATTCTCTCTGATAGGCCAAGCAGAGCCATAAGACTCTTTCTTTTAGAAATCTGGAGTTTTGACCTAAGAGAAAAAGAGATTTGGGTTTCTTGCTGATGAAAACCCATAGCGTAAGAAAGAAACATCCACAAACTCCCTGGTTTGCACCTGTGGCACACATGATGGTTACCTACCGAGAGACTCAGTTCCATTCTTATTCACTACCAGACACCACAATTTCCCTCTGGTATCAGCTGAAGATTCCTTGATTTCATGGAAAATGGGCCCAACTTCTAGTCTAGGGATTGTCATAAAGCCATAGCCCAGTTCTATCTAATGATAATTATAAAGTATCTAGTAATAACTATGAATCCAGTTCTATCTGAAGAGGCATGATGGGAAGTCTGCTGAGGGATTTCTGGGAAATGCTTATTGCTCCTTGAAAATAAAAGAGAAATAATGAGAACTCTCTGCCCTAGCCACCACCCCTGCTTCCTGCTTCCTGGCTTTGAATGGCATGCTGGTGTTAAGGCAACCATCTTGTGGCTATGAAGCAACCACCCATAAGAATGACTGACACATTGAGTCTGGTTAAATGAAAGCATGGAAAAAGTCGGGCTCCTTGATGACCTTATTTAGTGGCAAAACCAGCCTCAAAATATCTAGAATGTTATTTTGCCAGATAAATCTCTTTATTCCTAAAGCCATTGTTAGTCAGAATTTTTGTTATTGGCAGTAAAATGAATCTTAAATGGCAGACCATATGACCCGGACCTTTTTCCTTATGTTCTATTAGACTTACCAATATACTTTCTGTAAATTCTTTTTCCTCTTCTGGCTAACTAGAGTAAATTTCTATTTTGTGCAGCCAAAGGAATATTAACTTATTACTCAGGCTTTTCACAAAATATTTGAGCTTTTCTTTTCTTTACAACATAGGAGGAAGTCAGAAAAATGTTCATCCAAATAAAGAGTAAGTGATCTTTTCTCTGTTTTCCTTGAGCATTCTTCTTCAATTTGGCTTAACTCTAAATGGAGGCAACAACAAGCCATGAGTTGCTGTTATGTGCTCAGCTTTGCAAAAGAATTGCAAAAGAGAGATGAGGGAATTAGAGTGTAGCTTAACCAAGGGAAGGGGGTATGCTTGTTAGTAACCAAAGAAATGCAATTCAGAGTTACTATTTTATGTTACCTGAGGTGAAGGTAAAGTTTGGATATGGATATGTAGCAAGGAGCATTTCAAGTTGGCGTAGCCACCTTTTGAAGGATAGGAAAACATTTAGTAAAGACTACAAAGAAGACCTTTATAATACTACTTTGTAATATTGCTTTGACCAAGTAATACTACTCCAGAGAATTTTTCCTAAGGAAATATTTTGACAGATGTAGGACAGATGTTTTTATCAGTAATACCAAAAAAAAAAAAACCTGACAGAAAAAAATTAAATATTTAAAAATAAGAGAATAATTCAGTAAATTATAATGTATCAAAAAGAGGGACTGCAATTCAACCATCAAATATAATAACTTATAAGCAAGGTAAGCAAGATACCTTGCTTAAGCAAAGTAAGAAGATAGAAAATGTTTTTGATATGGTGTTTTTCAAAAAGGTATTGTAAATTATGATTGCAATTTTGATAAGATCTGGAAAGTACAGGAAAAAATAAAAAAGTTTTTGGAGCTAAGTGGAATTGAGGGTAATTTTTTTTCATTTTTTGGAGTGTTATGCAAATGTGTTTTATTGTTATGCCAAGATCATAACCTGTGCATAGAAAGAAAAGTTTTTTTTCTCTCTTCAAACATCATAGGGAATTAAGCATTTGCTTATTTTCTGTCTTTATGCTGAATAATTGGAATAATGGAAGATTCTTAAGGAGTAATATCTGAGAAGTGACAGGATCATCATCATAAGAGGCACAAATGTTTAAAACATAGCTTGTGAAGGCCTTAGCAGGATCAATGAGATGAGGTCTAAGTGACATCAGGGTGGCTTACTTTCTTCCTAATCTGTAGTTTCTCCCGGTTATCTAGTTGGTGGCTGTCTTTCCTTCTGGGAAATATATCTGAACCTAAGAAGTCCTCTTCCAGGCTTTCTGAAGTCAACCCAATGGATGGACACACCATATATATTGCTGGGAAAAGATCTCAATGAATAAAAATAGTTTCTCCCACTAGGACTGATAGTTCTTTTCTTGAAGAGAATATAATTGGTACAATAGCAACATCTGGGAAACACTTTCATTTGCATTTCAGATGAGAGAGTGCTAGAATATGAACAGGGCTGGGTTGATACAACCTGGGAGTGAACTCCTAGGTGAAACAAACACATTACACTCTACTTCTAGGCTGGATGTTATGGCTTATGACTGAAATCCCAGTGCTTTGGGAGGCTGAGGCAGGAGGATCACTTGAGGCCAGGAGATCAAGACCAACCTGGGCAACATAGCAAGAACCTGTCTCTCCAAAAAGGAAAAAAATTAGCTGAGTGTGGTGGCATGTGTCCTAGCTACTGGGGAGGCTGAAGCAGGAGAATGGCTTGAGGCCAGAAGTTCAAGGTACAGTGAGCTGTGATTGTACCACTGAGCTCCAGAGAGACCCCATCTCTTTAAACAATTAAATAAATAAATTCTACTTCCGTATTTGTTCATGTCTTCAAATAAGATAAGAAAACACAAATAATTACACACTTTAAATGTATGCAATTAAAAAAAAACACTAAATAGCCATGGTCATGTTGAACAGTAAGAATGGGCCCATGTTCAGAAGGAACCATGCCTTGAACAGAGATGTATACATGCTCAGAGAAAATCTGCATTATGATTAAGAAATGTGGTGTCCCAGCCACAAGAAGTGTAAATTGCCTTTAGGGCTATGATAAACAGCAGTTGTCCATATAGAAACATGTATTTGTGGTATAGTGGTTCTCAACTCCATGAATTCCACTCTCCTCATAGGCATTTGGGAGATGTTACTTGATTTAGTGAACAAGGACCAGGAATACCAAATTTGCACAATGTTGGAGACTGTCCTGGACAATGAAGACTTCTCCCCCATAAAACATCAATAGATTCCCTGAAGGAAAACACTATGTAGAAACCAAAGCTGAAAATCATCTTGAAATTGTCATAAAAAATGAAAGGAAGGCTGGTGCAGTGACTCACACCTGTAATCCCAGCACTTTGTGGGGTGAGGCAGGAGAATTGCTTGAGCCCAGGAGGTCAAGGCTGCAGTGGGCTGCAGGGTGATAGGATGACAGAGACCCTATCTCCTGCATGCCCCTGCAAAAAGGAAGGAAAAGGCGACTGCAGGAGAAACACCTACTTTCCTGAATGTACGATTTTGTTTTGATGGTGATGATTCAACAGTTCAGAAATACTTCTGGTATATTAGGATAGGCTTTATCAAAGACACTTGTGTAACATTGTCCTGGGCAATTCTCAGAAAAAAAAGCAATTTTGAAATTCTCTAGTTAGATGCATTCTGAAAGTAGTGACATTTAGAGATTTATTTCAGAGAGGAGCTTTAAAAAATCAGGTTTCAAAAATACGTCTGCTGGGATTTTTCTCTAGCTTTGCCATTTTTCTAGGTTTTATAATTTCATGTAGTCTTCTGGGGTGGTAAATCTGATGGCAGAGAGTACCAGTCAATTAAAGAGATATAGAAGTAGTACTTTTCATTTGCATTTCTCATTTTGAGTCCAATTCTTACTCAAAATAATCCAGCAGTTTTTAGGCCTCATACATTTTTTTTCCCAATCTGGGGACAGTTGGGTTTGTAATAATATATTTTGCCATGTAGCATCTATTAGCTTCATGGAAAGTTATTCTTACAATCACATAATTGTGGCTATGTTTGTTTGCTTAACCTGTAGTTTTAGCCTTTTAATTTCAATCCCTTTTCCCTTATAACTGATTATTCATTATTATAGAGAATTAATATAAGAGGAGGATTAGTCCAGTAATGATTCTTCCTTGATTACATTCCACATTATATAATGGGGAAAAACATACATTGAAGCACCCCACCCCTCAGGTTGGGAATGTGAACACACTGAAAAGAAAAATATTATCAACTTATTTTCAGTCTTTTCTATGTGCTGCTAATGTATCTGAAAGTGTATGCAACTAACATAGTCTTCATCATTCCTCATACTAGATATTTTAGTTTTTTTTTTTTTTTTTTTTTTTTTTTTGACAGAGTCTTGCCCTATTACCCAAGCTGGAGTGCAGTGGTGTGATCTCAGCTCACCGCAGCCTCTGCCTCCTGGCCTCAAGCGATTCTCCTGCTTCAGCCTTTCAAGTAGCTGGGATTACGGGCACCCACCACCATGCCTGGCTAATTGTTTTTTGTATTTTTAGTAGAGACAGGGTTTCACCATGTTGGCCAGGTGGTCTCAGACTCCTGGCCTCAAGTGAACCACCAGCCTCGGTCTCCCAAAGTGCTGGGATTACAGGTGTGAGCCACGGCGACTGGCCACGATTTTAGTTTTGCTTGAAAAAAATTAAAGTTCTCTTTCTCCTTTCTCTCTGTCTCTCATTCATTCTCTCTCTCTCTCATTCCCTCTCTCTCTCTCTCTGTCCTTTCTACATCCTTGCCCTATAAAGCAGGATTCTAGTGCTTTGGCTAGTTCTCAATGTATTTTTGCTCTTCAAGTACTTATTTTCACTCACCTTTAGCAAGGGAACTCAGTGAAGAAGCAGCATCTTAAAAATCTTAATGCATTTTCTCACCCTTTCTCTCCTTGCACAACCACATGTTGCTTTTGGCTAAGCCCTCTGGTACAGTTACTGTTATATGTGCTGCAGAGAAGAGGGTGTGGATTCTTGGGCTGGCCCCGGGTCATCTTCCTAGGTGGCTTTTTGGAGCCTGAATTTCCCTTGCACTTACAGGAGAAAAACTCCCTAAGGACTGGAGAGAAAAAGATAAAAGAGTATTTTTCTTAGAGATCAAAATAAGAACCTGATACTTGTTCTTGGTTTTCAGCACTCCCTAGCCCAAGGAAATCAGTGAGAAGAGAGAGGGCAGGGTTACAGGACCATAATCCTGTTCCTAGAGGCATTCCCTCCAGAGCAGAACACTGCTCAAAGCCTGGGTGGCCAGGGAAGCTCCCTTGTGGAGAGAGGAACGGAGGGCAAGGGAGTGGCCAGGGCGTGCGAGGAGGTGAGGTGGTTTATGCTTACCCTTCCTTGCACCGCCAGGGGGACTCAACTGGGAGCCTCAAGTTGGGAGGGCTGATGGAAACTATTCTTTTGTTTTATTTTAAATGAGAGGAATATGACCCCAGTATATTGTTCTACTCTCTATCTTCTCCTTAGTCCTACTTCTAGAGTATGCCATTTTCCCCCAACAGATCTCACTCACCAAAAAGAGAATTTAAAGTGAAGGGCTATTGAGTGGATGCAAGAAAACATGCAAAGGAGTCGAGAGAGACTCATGTTCCCCGTTCTGTTAAATTCTAGTGGAGGCTTATCACATGCTATTTCCATTGTCCTGATGGCCCACTGCTGTCTGTTCTGCTCAGAGAACCTACTAAATTTTAATCTACCCCTGCATACCTTCCCTGAAAATATCCACCCTTTCCTCCCCAGGTTGTCGTGTCCTCCCAGAGCATCAGGCAACACACTCTGGTGGAAATAAACTTAACTGAAATACAGTTTCCCAAGAAGTCCGCAGGCAAACTGCTTACAAGGTTTTGTCCGTTCTGGCCAACAAAACAGTAGTCAGTAGGTTCTACTCAGTGCATATATCTTCTATGATGATAGTAGAGGGGTTCTTGAATATGAGAGTACTCATTTATTTATTTTTGAGATGGAGTTTCGCTCTTGTTGCCCAGGCTGGAGTGCAATGGTGTAATCTTGGCTCACCGCAACCTCCGCCTCCCAGGTTCAAGAGATTCTACTGCCTCAGCCTCCCGAGTAGCTGGGATTACAGGCACGCACCACCACGCCCAGCTAATTTTTGTATTTTTAGTAGAGATGGGGTTTCACCATCTTGGCCAGGCTAGTCTTGAACTCCTGACATCAGGTGATCTGCCCGCCTCGGCCTCCCAAAGTGCTGGGATTATAGGCATGAGCTGCCACGCCCAGCCAAATATGAGAGTTTTAGGAAGACAACAACAAAACTTCCATAGGAGAGTGACTGAGTCCATATGATGGATGAAAACCATTTACATTTGATGATAGACTTAACCTCAATCGTTGTGCTGGATTTCTGTTGGAATGTTAGCAACAGTCCTAACTCCCATCTATTTTCTCCCTTATCATGTAGGATCTGGAAGCCTGGAAATTATATTTTCTAAACTGCTTTGTCACCAGATTTCTAATTCAGGTTCCATGTATGGAGGTCACTCCTTGAGATTTAGAGTAGAACCGAAGGCAAAAAGGAGAAGCCATCATTGACTCAGCAGCTGTGGGCAAGCAGATAAACAAACCTTGGCAAAGAGCAGACATGAGGCTTTGCCCGAAGCTTTTAGGTATTCTTCTGGAAATCACCCACTTTGGTACTGCAGGAAGTTGAGATCATTAGCAGAGGTTTCTTCTGATCTCTGAATTTCCTGATGTCCTGAAAACTATGAGGAGCTTCCCTGACTTTTCTTCTCCTAGTCCTGACAGTGGTTTTGTGTAAGGGCTCTAATTCTCTGTATTAAATCCTTTCCTTCTTGAAATACCTAGAGTGATTTCTGTTTTCTTGACCAAATCCTAACTGGTACACTCTAACCAAGTAGAAAAAATATTAAAACTTGAAGAGTAGGTTTTTGATGTGAGCTTCTGATTACTACCTACCAAGGCCCAGATGGTTAAAACAAGGGTCATTTTTTTTCTTTGTGGTATCCAAAAATCTGCTCATCTTCTTTTGTGTATGTCATTTATCTTTTGTCTCATACCTGTGATTTGCATCTTATATCAGAGCTCATACCCTTACAGGTTACAATGATTTGCACGTAGTAGGTCCAGAATACTTGTTATTTTTTCCAAAAACATGAACTATACTATGCCCTTGCTTTAAATATATTTTAGATGAAATATTTGGTAGCTGAATAGCAAACAAAGGAGGCTACTTACTACATTTTCAAAACATTTTACAAAATGTCCGATGCTTACATGTTCCAAGAAATAGTTCATCCTTCAGTGTGAATAATGTTGAATCATTGCTTATTCATTCATCACACATTCATCTAGTAAATATTTATTGATCACCTACTATGTTCAGGTACCATTATAAGCACTTAGGACATATCAATGAACAAAACAGGCAGAAATCCCTGCCCTATTCACCGCACTGCCTTGATTTGATCTTGAAACCTGAGACTGGATGCTGTTTCCCTTGTTCCTTTGTGTTATGTGCCTCATTGTCACTAAGGCAATTATTCTTAGTGGGATAATAAGTGTCCTGATGGCAGATCCAAATGGAAAACCGATTCTTCTTTTTCAGGAAGAAGCATAGATTCCAAGGCCCTGTCTGTGAACCTTGTTTTCCTGGATGCTTATTATAAGGATGACACTGTCTGTCTTCCTTGCCGCCTAATATCACATACATATATAGATAGCATGTCTGCCTGCATGAAAATGCCAAATCCCTCCTCTTTATTTGTAACAGTAGCAGTTACACAGTTTCTCCCGAAGTCTTGGCAAGTTGTAGTTCTGCTGGGATGGATAACATTTACCGGCACTCTCATTTAAGTTTCTTCTTGTCTACAGTTTATAATATTGCTTTTATTATTTACATTTAGAAATAAAATAGTCTGAAGTGTTTTCTTATACTATATATTGTTCTTGGCATATTTCCATGAAGAAGTTCTTGTTACCTTTGCTCATATGGCACCTCTGAATGATTTCTGGAATGAGACTGACTCATTGCTTATGACTAAGTTTAGTACATTTCCTTGAAAAAGATAATCCTACAGTTAATCCTAATACATTGTAAATATTCCATAATATTCATTTATATAGTTGTGGGTAAATGATGGAAATGTATTTCCCTCATGTATATATTTTGTCCTTCTTAGTAAAAGAAACACATGGAAAGGATAATTCACTGAGCAATCATTTAGGATAATTTTTTTGTGTGTGTGCACAAATAAAAGAGGCTGAAGCAGTGGCTGTGCTACTGATGGTCCTGAAGAACGGCCAGAAGGAAACCAGGGACCATTAGTGTTTCTGGTTGATGAAGAGTCTAAGGGCACTAAAATAGTGTCTTGGCCTTTATTTCCTTATTCAGGCCTTATTATTTCCTGCCTTACACTCAAGGAGAAGGGCAGGGCTGGGTGTGGGTGTGGGAAGATCTGCTGATCTGGGCCAGAAAAGCAATGAGAACCCAGGCAATGGCACTGTTCATATCCAGCCAAGAAGACATTGGTGCAGCTGGGATTTGGCTCTATTCAAAGGGCCTGTGACTAAAGTATAACATAGGACAACTGCATTCATTCAAAAGTTTTAGGCTAACCTGCATAGCATGGATTTTTTTTTTTCAGAAGATGGAAAAAGCTATGCTTTTAGATTCTTATTCTCTACATCCAAGCATGTAGAAAGGAAACAGTAAGTCAGGCCAAACATATTTTACAGTTTGTATCCTGTTGGCTGTCTGCATACAAAAAGCAGACTGAGCTAGGTAGGAGAAAGGTTAAAACAATTGTAAAGGGAATTGTAAGAAAAAAGGTGAGCAAGGTAGTACAAAGAACTTTTAAATCAATTATCAAAAGAAAAGAAAAGAAACACAGGGAAAGAAAAGACCAGGAGGCTACTTTTAAATAATGCCTTGAAGTGTCTGAAATCAGCAAAAACAAAACAAAATGAAACAAAAAACCCTAGAAAATTCAAAGCTAATTTTGGTGTCTTTTCCACCCAAGCCTATTTAAAGTGTTCCAAGCCTGTGGCACAGCTGGGGAGAAGCAGAAAGATGATGCTTAATGCTTGCCCCCAACTTCATGTCTATTTCCACTTTAATCCAGTCTGTTAACATTCTGCATGGTGTTTATTTTAATAGAGAAAGGTACGTAAACACACTGAATGTAGGAAGGCATAGCTGGAGATGTTCCAGCTTTGAAGATGTGGTAGGTAACATGGCATCAGAGTACCCCTGGCTAGCACATTCCAGCGCCGTCAGCTAACCAAAGCTTGGTACTGGAAAGAGACCCTACAGTAAATATTTTTTTTTCTGTTAATGGGCACAATTGCTGAAATTTCACACAACACTTCAATCTTGCATGGCAGTGCAATTTCCGTACCACATTCAATAGCTGACCTTTTAAAATACACATTTGCAGAGTTAAATTTGCTTTAGCAAGTTTTTAAAAGTCCAACAAATGGGTGGAAACATGGTTTGGCTTGGTTTGGGCTGTGAATTGCTTCCCTTTTCCACTTTGTTTTTCCCACATGTTCCTGTCCTAGTTTAGGAAATGTGTTGAGGGCAGGGAAACAGGTGGGGTTTGGAGGCAGGAATAGGGAAGAGGGATTTATCTATATTATCTGGAATGTCTTAGGATGAAATCTGCTTGGGGAGTAGCCACAGCATTTCACATTCCAGTTGACATGTATTTACTGTAATATCTGTATTCAATTATCTTCTTTATTTCTACCACACTTATTTCTACCAAGAAAGATTTGAGGAGATTGTAATTAAAACCGTATACAATGAATAGGATAATAAAATTAATAGGTAAAATTGAAAGCCATATACTGCAAGCAAAGAAAATACACCATTAATTATATTCAGATCTTTATAGTAACCAAAACAAACAAAGAAATCTAAACATGTATTTATTGAGTTCTCACAGTTGTATCCAGCTCTGTGTTATAGCACAGAAAAGCATGCAATTTAATGCATAATAATATCTAATTGTAGCATCTTTGGTGTTGTTGGGGCTCAGAACACAATCCCCAAATTATGGCGCTTTGGCATGCTGAGTACTTTTAACCAAAGGAGGTTGGAAGGCCTTAGAAGCAACTTTAGAACCAAGGTCTTTCTGACTTTCCCATCCTCCTGTTTTCCATCCTTCTTTCTCCCTTGAAGCAAGTGATGGAAACCAGAATTTATCTTCCTTAAGGTGGATCATAGAAACTAGAACCATTCTCCCCAAAGCAAGCCATAAAACCCAGGACTATTATTCTAATCTCCCCCTGTCTTTCTGTGTAGGAGCTGGCCATAAAGAAATTCCCTGGCCTGCTTTATCTTACTGTAGGTCATAAGACCCTTGTTCCAGAGGGATCCTGCCCCATACCTGGGAGGAAGGAATGCTACACAGAGAGGCCAAGAAGCATCTGAATAAACAGGCCTTGCTGGGTCTCCCCTTCGGTCTCTTACCATTAGATCCTACCTTTTTGTCCAATCATATTTCTTCATGGCTGTCCATTTTTCATTGTACCTAAGCATAAAGATAGTCTTCCCTGGGTCTTCATTTCTGACTCTGATGTCACATAAAACTTTGAAATAAATTTGTTATGCTTTTTTCTTGCTAACCTGTCTTTTGTTAGAGGAGTGTTGGTTGTGGCCCTTATGATGGATGAGAAGACAATTTACTGTGGAGAAAATTTGGTGAAAATTAGCTTTATTCTGACTATAGTCAGCTATGGTATTTAAAATATACATTAAGGAAAAGTCATGTCTAAGGACTTATAGACTATTTGTGAACACATCTGGGGACAGGTGTGTCACCATATGTGATTGAGGAGGCTGGCTCCAGGTCAAAATCCTACCAGTGATCTTTCTGTCCCGACCACAGGCGATTACAAAGGCTTTATCTGGCAGGCCTCATGGGGGAAGCTGTCCTTCCCACACCACAATTGGTGCATGGTCTGGAGGGAGTTGCAATCAAGGACACAGTGCCTCCCAGACTGGCCATGCTCCTACACATGTCTACATTCCTAGTCCAAACACCTCCTTTCAGAGGTCTCCTTATCAAGACACTTGTCTCCACTGTGACATTGTGACTCAGTATTCAGTACTTTTCCACTCCTTGTCCCCAACCCGTCTCCCATCCCTAAGGCAGTGAGCGAATCCGCCATTCTGGATTGATCCATCTGATGATACTCCCCTGGAGCTGTTCCGTGGGGAAAAATGGAACATTAGAGAGCTGGTGTTTTGTCCTGTTGGCCTCTTGCTTATACAATTGCAGTCAGTGAACAAAAGCTTAATTGTTACTTTCAGCTTGGCTCGTTGTCTTAATTGACCACATTAACACCTGTCAGCTCCTCACTCTCCAACTCAGCTCCTGACGGTAATTACATATCAAACTTTGGAACAGAGACACAATTTACACTTCCTATTGGGGGTGAATGGATATTCATCTATAAAAATCAGGCAGCTTCTCTGAATTCCTGAGTTCCCCTGCTATCGAGGAGACTTGAAAGGCAATGTTGTTTCATGTACAGGATACAGAACAACAACAACAAAACCAGAAATCCTGGGTTCCAATGTAATTGAACCTTGTGTAATTTGGACATAAACCCGTTGTCCAAATTTGCTCGGTTTTTGTTTTCTTGATTGTAAAGAGAAGAACTCTGGATGAGTTGATATCTAAGATGCCTTTTACTCTGGTTTTATGAAGAGAGTGCTCACCTGGGTCCTCACCTGGGTCCTCATCTCTTCACTTCTGGGTGCAGGTTAGAGTATCTATCCAGACTTAACTAGGATGTGGGAGTGATGGAGTGGGGAGGTTGAGGCTGGTATGGTTTGAATGTGTGTCCTCTGCAAAATTTATGTGGAAACTTACTCTTCATTGTGATAGTATTATAAGGAGGGGCTTTTTGGGAAATGATTACGTCATGAGGGCTTTGTCCTCATGAATGGATTAGTGACTTATATAAGGGCTGGAGGGAACAAATTTAGGTTTCCCCTTTTGCCTTTCTGTTCCTCCGCCATGTGAGGACACAGCATTTGTACCCTCCCAAGGGTGCAACAACAAGGTGCCATCTTAGAAGGAGAGATTGGACACTCACCAGACACAGAATCTGCTGGTGCCTCCAACTTGGACTTCCAGCCTCTAGAACTGTGAGAAATAAGTTTCTGCTGTTTATAAATTACCCATTCTAAGGTGTTTTGTTATAGCAACACAGAAAATCTAAGACAAAGACCCACAACATAATCCTTAGTGCCTTCAGGAACAATTGCCCCAGCCATGGGTCATCTAGTGGGAAGCTCTAGGTCTCAGGTAAAAATTTGGCTTGTCTCTAATATGAGGACAGGAGTAGTTTGGCCTGGGAATTATAATACGTTATGCATAGTTCCCAGAGGAGATAAGCCCATGGTTTAGTTTTAGGGCAGTGGTCCCCAACCTTTTTGGCAGCAGGGGCCAGTTTTGTGGAAGACAATTTTTCCAGGGACTGGGGGTGGGGGGTGGTTTTGGGATGATTCAAGTGCATTAAATCTATTGTGCACTTTATTTCTATTATTATTATATTGTAATATATAATGAAATAATTATACAACTCACCATAACGTAGACTTAGTAGGAGGCTTGAGTTTGTTTTCCTGCAACTAGACGGTCCAATCTGGGGCTAATGGGAGACTGACTGATCATCAGGGATTAGATTCTCACAAGAAGCCCGCAACCTAGATTCCTTGCATGCACAGGGCACAGTAGGGTTCATGCTCCTATGAGAATCTAATGCCGCTGCTGATCTGACAGGGGGCAGAGCTCAGGTGGTAATGCAAGCAGTGGGGAGTGGCTGTAAATACTGATGATGCTTTGCTAGGTCTCCCACCACTTACCTCCTGCTGTGTAGCCTGGTTCCTAACAGGCCATGGACCAATATTGGTCCATGGCCTGGGGTTTGGGGGCCCTGTTTTAGGGCATCCTAACGTTTCCAGACTCTTGGTAAATGAATACTTTTCTCCATATATGTAATAGGAGCTTACCTCTAGAATAACCTATTCTAGGGAATTGGCAAATAACTCTATAAATACCCAGTTATCTTAGTATTTGCTACATTTGTAGATTTTGAACAAACACAGGTGTTCTGGATTGAATTGTTTCCCTCCTTCCTAAATTCTTAAGTTGAATCCTAACCCCTAATGTGACTATATTTGGAGGAGGGAACTTAACTAGTGTAATTAAGTTAATATGAAGTCATAAGGGTAGGGTCCTAATCCCATAGGGCTAGTGTCCTTAATGGAGAGGAAGAGACATCAGGGATCTCTCTCTTTCCGTGCATGCACAGAGGAAGGTCCATGTGAGGACACAGTGAGCAGGTGGTTGTCTGTAAGCCAGGAAGAGAGGCCTCACTAGGAACTGACCCTGTTGGCATCTTGACATTGAACTTCCAGCCTTCAAAATTGTGAGATAATAAATTTCTTTTGTTTAAACTACTTAATTTGTGGTATTTTATGGCAGCCTGAACAGACTAATACATTGGGGAAAATAATCTGTACGAAATGCATTGTCTAAACATGAAGCAACAAAAAAATCTGGTATGGCATTGAGGAATTGATGGGATGTAAGAAGAAAATATCCATTTGGCTTTGACTTTGGAAAAAGTTCCTTCAAGCAATATGGTATATTGACCTACGATTATGTTTCACTCTTTGTGGGTCCTATCATATCAATTGTTCTGCTAAGAATAGTATTTCCCGAATCATCATATTTTAAATATTAATAATTGTTTTAAAGCTTTGGCCTTTAGAAAAACATTAGGACATTTAATTGTAATAATTATATGTATGTACCTATGTGTAAGTCTACATAAAATAAAAATATTATAAGCTTTAATAGTGTAAGACTTAAAGGTAGAGCTGATAAACTGGAAGGTGGTAGAGGGGGGAATTTTGGAGCAAAATGTAGGGAACTAATTGCTCAGTTTATGAATTAGAGCATTGAGAATACTATCTGAAGTAGATACAAAAATAGAAGATAAAGTTCTTTAAAGTTACAAAGATTACCAGTGTTGTAACCACTCAACAAGTTCTTCCTGCCTGCTGCACAAAGACCACAGCATTGCAGTAAAGAAAGTTTAATTGACCTGAGGCCAGCCATCCCATGCAGAAGACAAAGTTATTACTCACATCAATCTCCCTGAAAATTCAGAGACCAGAGTTTTTTAAGGATAATTTGGTAGGTAGGGGGCCTGGGAGTGGAGAGTATTGATTGGTTGGATCAGAGATGAAATCATAGGGAGTCAAAGCTGTCTTCTTGCACTGAGTCTGCTCCTGGGTGGGGACCACAAAATCAGACGAGCCAGTTTCATCGATCTTGGTGATGCCAGAGTCTGAAAAATATCTTGAGCACCAATCTTAGGTTTTCTAACAGTGTTATTATCCCTAGGAGCAATTGAGGAGGTTTTGAATCTTGTGGCCTGTAGCTGCATGATTCCTAAACCATAATTTCTAATCTTACAGCTAATTTATTTGTCCTACAAAGGCAGCCTGGTCCCCAGGCAAGAAGAGGGCTTGTTTCAGGAAAGGGGTGTTATCATCTTTGTTTCAAAGTTAAACTATAAACTAAGTTCCTCCCAAAGTTAGTTTGGCCTACACCCAGGAATGAACAATGACACCTTGAAGGTTAGAAACAAGATGGAGTTGGTTAGGTTAGATCTCTTTCACTGTCATAATTTTCTCACTGTTAAAATTTTTGCAAAGGTAGTTTCAGTGGTAGAGCTAAAACTAAAAAATGCTAACAATTTTTTGGAGAAGAAGTAGCCAGTTAGTGAGCTAGATCCCTCCTTATTTACAAAGTAGGACCAACAGATACTCCAAAAGCTGACACATCAAGAAATAGAGTTATGAGTATATTCTTTTGAATTGAAATCTGAAACAGTCGTAAGTAGGTGTTATTGAAGCCTCTGAAGAGAGCCAATCCTCTTCCATATTCAGTTTCTGAACAAATCAAGGAATAAGGCAAAGAATAAGGTTGATGGAAGATTCAAATGTTTATTATTAATAAAATCTAAGTTGGAGAACGTAACTTTCTGTGAGAGCTAAAAGGCATAATAAGTTCCTTTAGTAGAAGGAACTTTATCCAGGCAGTTATAAAAGTGCTGGACCAGGGCAGCCCTTCCCACATTTCGGGAAAAGCCTGCACCTGGAAAAGCAGTAAACACATTCTCCCTCGGGGTGCCAGCTCCCAGGTGAAAGAAAGGAAGAAGCTGAGCCAGGAATGCACGGGTTTAGCTTTTTATTTTCCCTGAAGTTTGCTACTCAGATGAAGCCACATTTTAAAGTGAATTCCATTGTGGAGTGGAGAGAGGCCAGAAATATCACGTCTCCACGTGGAAGGAAACATTAAGACTAAGGAGTTTCCCCTTCCAACTTGCATGAGACATGGGGTAGATAGGAGAATAATTTTAGTTTTCATTTTATACCCCTTTGTCTCTTTACACCTGTGTGAAGCTTGTAATTATATTTTTAAAAAGCTTGGGAAGAATATGAATAGAAGATGGGAGGTGAATGAGGGTTTACTGGGTGCCTTACCTTTTTGTTGGCTTATTTTTGTTCCTATTCTACCCCACTTTCATTCCCCCTAGAAATTTTGTTTGAACCAAATAAGGAGGGGAGATTATGAAAAGAGTAAAGAAGAAAGGATTAAATGCCAGCCCAATACTATAAGTCAGTTCTCCTAAATTTTATCTTCAAATGCCCATTGTCTCTAATGCAGCAGCCACACCTCATTCCACTCCTATAGAGTTATCTTTATTTTGCCCACAAAGACTTAGGCCTGAGATGACATCTCAGCCACCCTGACTTGTTTTTTGGATTCTCAATACCTTTTTCCTGTAAATAAGTTCTAACAAGAGAGAGAATTTGGGGAGGAACTTCGAGCTCCCCAGACTCCTGCAGGTTACTCCAGCAGTGCTGGTTTGATGCCCATGACTCTTCATTCCCTTTACTCTCCCTACTCCATTGCACTGGAGAAAAATTTCTCTGACTCACAGAACTAAATATCCCTTCTTCTTCCATTTGTCAGGTGATCAAGAACTTGGGATTCATGTTGTGTTTATCTGTGTGGTAGTTACACAGGTCTATACATATGTGAAAATTTATTGAGTTGGATACTTAAGATGAGTGCCCTTTATTCAATTTACTATATGTGTATTACCCATCAATTAAAAAAAAAACTAGCCTTTAATTTTTTGGCAGTTTCTACCTCTGCCCAAAACCAGCACAAGAACAAGTGAGGCCTTTCCACTAACCTTTTATTCTGGCAACACCTTGAAAGCGGGGCTTTCGAACACTCCATAATCTACCAGTGTTTCTTGGTCTTTTAAATATTTATTTTCCCCAAAACTTACTGTTTTCAGCATACAGTTAACTTTTATCTTCCCTAGACATTTCTAACTTTGACTGGAATCCAGAAAATCTAGAATCCAGAAAAAAAGATTGTTACATTTTGCCAAAACAACAACAACAACTTCTGCATGGCAAAAACACCATGAATAAAATAAAAATATGCATGAAAGGTAAACAAAAATGGAGAAAAGTATTCACAACCCAAATCACAGGCAAAGGGTTCTGCCCCTAATATAGAGTTCTAACCCAGAGGAACAACAACCCAATAGAAAAATGGGCAAGGGATATGAACAAACAGTCCCATGAAATATAGAGCCCCAAATACATGAACAGATGCTTATCCTCACTCACAAGAAGAGAAATGAAAGTGGAAACTACACTGAGATATTATTTTTCAAGCTGTCGGACTGAATAAAATTCAAAGGTTACATACCACATGGTGTTAGCAAGGCTGGAGGAAACAGACTCTACCATACATTACTTGGGAAGGTACATTTTCTTGCTTTCATAGGGGGCAGTTTAATAGTACTTATCGCTATTGTTACAAATATATATGCCCTTTGACTCAGAAGTTCCATTCCTAGGAATTTAAGTGCGAATACACTTTAGACAGGCAAAATTATGCTTATTCAAGGTAGCATCATTGTTTGTAATCGTAAAATATTATAAATTACTTAAACGTTTATGATAGTGGTCTGGTTAAATAAATAATAATATACATTTACAATAGAAAACTAGCCAGCTACAAAAAAAAGGAGAAAGTTCTTTTTGTTTTAATATGAAAACCATCTAAGTTTTTGTTGAGTGAAAAAGAAAAGATGAGTAGAATAATGTGCAAGGCTATGGTAATGCTTGTGTAAAGAAGGAGGGTAAAAGAGTATCTGTGTATATATATCTTAACCCATTTATTCCTGAGGTTGCAATTTTTTTGAATTTTTGGAATCAGACCTTGGCAATGACCTTCAGTAGTAGGATGTAAGTAACTCCCACATGCTTAATGTTCCAATAATGGAACACTAGGCATAAATGGGTTTTAATATGTGCACAAAATTACTCTGGAAGTATAACGAAGAAATGAAATAAAGATATTACCCATGGGGGTGTAAGGGAAAGACATTTCATTTAATTTTTTAAAAAATGTTTAAACCTTATGAATGTATTACCTATTCAAAGCAAAACAAACAAAAGCTATCTTGACATTTGTAACCCTCCTTTGTGGCCCATAATGGCTGAAATATGCACAGACTTATGTCAGGTTCTAACTGAAGTCCAAGGGGAGTTGGTAGGTGAGTGGCAGGTAGCTGGAAAAACACTTGAGGAATGGTAGACAATTTTGACAGGGCTTTACTCTCTCTCTGGGCACAAGTGAGCTATATGTACAGTGTTAGCAGGGTAATTATACATTTTACAGACATTAGTGACTGTGAGCCAAGCACAAGCTCACATGGGTGATCACCTAATGCACCTCACATGGCATGGTTACCTAATGTGGGGGGTTGTGTGCCTGCACTCCAAACCCGCTGAGTCATGCTGCACCAGAAAGCAGCCTTGGCCTACTCCTGATTAAAGCACAGCCATTTCCCTTATGACTTAGTTTATCACCAGAAAGAGCTAAGTATTCCTCAGAGCCAATTATTAACACATTCAGCATTTAGAGGTGGATGAAAGGATAGAAAATATCTACTTTTGTTCCTCTTGTGTTGCTTTTCAATCTGAGTGTATGTCCCCATTTATGAGGCTGTAGAAATTGTCCCTTTGTTTCCTTCTTTGCTTTTCTGTTCCTCTGCTTCTATGGTCCTTACCCTATCTCCTGGTACTGGGGTCCTTTTTGATCTACAGCCTCTTAAAAGGAAAAAGCCTCAGATAAAAAGCTTTTCTCTTGCTCATACTAATTACTCCTCCCAGAGTGCCTTTGGTGAGTTATGTTGTTAAAACACCCATTCAACACATGAATCTTCATAGCACTTGTTACATTTATAACTTTTCATTTATTTAAATAACCTTCCTTTTCCATAAACTAAGTTCCAGGAAGGCAGAAACTATGCCTGATAATAACCCCATTCTATCCCTGGATACAGTCACTGGTGCATTGTAGGTATTTAATAATTACATAGAGGAAAGGAAGAATGCAGGAGGAGGCAAGTCCATATCAGCATAGAGTGTGTTTAGGGGTCCAGGGAGGTCAAGGTTAATAGGAAGATAATCTGAACAGTCATAACTTGCCTTGTGTAGCTTTCCCTCCTATCTCAACCTCTTTTCACTTATTAGTTCTTTATTTCTTTCCTTAACCTTGCCCTTCTTCTTCAAATGTGGAGGTCCTGCTCTGGCCTCAGCCTGGCCAATCTCTCTGATAAACAAAACCACATTTAACATTCATGAATGGTTGTAGAACTCCTTCCAATTGTAAATGAATTTTAAAGAAGAACCCACAGGATGTGCATATCTACTATTCTTTCCACAGCTGTATGGCCTGTGACCTTTGAAGCATGATCATATCTTCAATACTTTGGCGGCAGCTCTGGTTAGAATGTTTGAAATTGCTTAGTGATTTCTAATCTCAGAAATCAGGGAGTGCTGGAGATGAGAGTTTTATTTTTTTGAGTTTTGTGGAGAGTCACTTCTTGGAGACACTGGCTGCCTGAAAGCCCTACTTATTTTATCAAAATAATAAGGTTATTGAAGAAAAATAAAGAGCTCCTTTGATCTTCTACCAAAAGAGAAAGAAGACAAAATGAGGTCCTTGAGGGTAATATAGAAAGCAGTGGGCCCTTCCACTCAGAGTAGAGTGAAGGTGTTGCAGAGTAACAGGAGAGAGCAGGAGAAAAGAGAGGAAGCAAAAGCCTCCCCAAAACAGAAACAGGAGGCAGCTGGGAATTAGAGGTATCTATGCAGGAATAACAGGAGTCAAAGAGCTACGAGAACACCTGGTCTTCATGGTAAGGTAGTAAAGCCCCTGAACCTACTGCAGTGCCTGGGCCCACAGGAGTTAACACTTGAAGAGATGGTAGCAGGCAGACAACCCACCATCCATCAGTGAGGACTAGTCTAATGAACTATTGTCTATCCATACAATGGGGTGATTCTAGCTCTAAAAAGAAATGAAAGCTATCTCTCTATATAGCATGTCCTTGAATAATGTTTCATTCAGCATCATTTAGCTATAGCATTGATGAAAAAAATTGATTCCTGGCTGGGGTTGCTGTTTGTGTCGAGTTTGCACATTCTCCTTGTGTCTGCATGGGCTTTCTCCAGGTATTCTTGTTACCGGAAAGGGATCCTGATCCAGACCCCAAGAGAGGGTTCTTGGATCTCCCGCAAGAAAGAATTTGAGGTGAATCCACAGAGTAAAGTGAAAGCAAGTTTATTAGGAAAGTAATAAAAGAAAGGCTACTCTATAGACAGAGCAGCCCTGAGGGCTGCTGGTTGCCCATTTTTATGGTATTTCCTGATTATATGATAAACAAGGATGGATTATTCATGAGCTTTCTGAGGAAAGGGGTAAAGATTTCCCAGAGCTGAGGGTCCTTCTGCTTTTTAGACTGTATAGGGTAGCTTCCTGATGTTGCCATGGCATTTGTAAATTGTCATAGTGCTGGTGAGAGCATCTCTTAGCATGCCAATGCCTTATAATTAGCATATAATGAGCAGTGAGGATGACCAGAGATTATTCTCATTGCCATCTTGGTTTTTGTGGGTTTTCACCAGCTTCTTTACCACAACCTGTCTTATCAGCAAAGTCTATGACCTGTATCTTGTGCCGACCTCCTATCTCATGCTGTGACTAAAAAATGCCTTAACCTCCTGGGAATTCAGCCCAGTCTCAGCCTTATTTTACCTAGACCCTATTCAGGATGGGGTTGCTCTGGTTCCAACGTCTCTGACATTCAGGTTCCCACCCACATCCTAAATAGGTGCACTTTAGGTGAATTGGTGTCTCTTCATTGTCCCAGTCTGAATGAGTGTGGGTGTGTGTGAGTGCGCCCTGTAATAGGATGGCATCCTGACCAGGACTGGTTTATACCTTGCATCCTGAGCTTCTGGGACGGACTTCAGCTACCTGCGACCCTGAACTGGAATAAGCAGGTTGGAAAATGAATGAGCAAATACTAAGTATTGTAAAATAAAAATTTGTAAAGCATACAATAATCATACAAATGCACCACAATAGGCTGGGTGTGGTGACTCATGCCTGTAATCCCAGCACTTTAGGAAGCCAAGGTGGGTAGATCACTTGAGGCCAGGAGTTTGAGACCAGCCTGGCCAACACGATGAAACCCCGTCTCCACTAAAATTATAAAAATTAGCCCGGTGTGGTAGTGCATGCCTATAATTCCAGCTACTGGGGAGGCCGAGGCAGGAGAATCGCTTGAACCCAGGAGGCGGAGGTTGCAGTGAGCTGAGATCGTGCCATTGCATTCCAGCCTGGGCTAGAAGAGTGAGATTCCATCTCAAAAAAAAAAAAAAAGTTTTTTCATGAACCTTATCATGACTTAGTGCACCAGTGACACTCTTGGACTTTCTGCTCTGTCCTGTGCTTCCTCTTTCTTCAATAGCCATTCATTTTAGTTAAGACAGAAATTTATCATACAAGATTTATTTTCATATAAAATTTTTCCTTTCTTTTTCACTTTTTTAACCAAACGTATAGTGTCATATCCATAAATTTCTTTACATCTCTCTTTCCTACTTACTGGTTTCTTTCTGTCTTGTTTCTATTTCTTTCCTAAATCCATATTTTGAATCAACCTTTAAATAAACTCCAAATTATATAAAATTATTCTTTTTCTCAATAAAGCCCACATTTTAGTGCCATCTTATAATTAATTTCCTAAAAAAAACCTTACTTTTCTGGCCACATTTTGCATATGAAATTATATAAAAATTAGAATTTCCAGGCCGAGAAGTAGCTCATGCCTGTAATCTCAACACTTTGGGAGGCTGAGGCGGGCAGCTCCCTTGAGGCCAGAAGCTTGAGACCAGCTTGGGCAACACGATGAAACCCCGTCTCCACTAAAATTACAAAAATTAGTCCACTGTGGTAGTGCATGCCTATAATTCCAGCTACTGGGGAGGCTGAGGCAGGAGAATTGCTTAAACCCAGGAGGTGGAGGTTGCAGTGACCCAAAAAAAAAAAAAAAAAAAAAAAAATTTTTAACTCTTAGTAACCTTAAATTTTAGCAAGCAATTTTAAACTGTCACATCTCAGTATTTTATAAATAAGAACCATTTTATAATTTTCAGAAACATGTTTTCTTATAATTTTTTAAATCTTAATTGGAAATGACCCAGATATTTAATGAGCATCTATTATTTAATTTAACATAACTTTAAGATTTTAAATTACATGAAAACTCCATTTACAGGCATTTATCTCATTTACAATTACCTAATCTATTAATTTTTAACAGTTTCGCTAGATTATTTATGCGAACTGAGATATTTATCAAAGCTAGTCACCATTTCAAAATATATTCCTTTTAGCCATTTTTATAACCTGTGAACATTAAGTGTTCACTTAAGTAAGAATCTTAAATACATGGGTATTTTGCAGATAACTCAGAAGGTGGGATTACAGGCGCCCACCACCATGCCTGGCTAATTTTTGTATTTTTAGTAGACACGAGGTTTCACCATCTTGGCCAGGCTGGTCTTGAACTCCTGACCTTGTGATCCACCCGCCTCGGCCTCCCAAAGTGCTGGGATTACAGGCGTGAGCCACTGCACCAGGCCGGTTCATGAAAAAACTTCATGAAATAAATTTTGCATGTGATTCAGTCGCCTTTAATTAAAAGGAAATTATTTATGTGTTCTTAAAGATTGAGCTTTGATGTTAAAAGTACATTAATACAAAACTAGAAATTTTGGTCTCCTATGTTAGAACAGCGAGATTTTCTTAAATTATTGATTTGATCTTAATAAAACTGCAAGAGGTTTTAATTTCTTTTCTTTCCTTTTTTTTTTTTTTTTTTTTGAGACGGAGTTTCACTCTTGTTAGCCAGGTTGGAATGTAGTGGCGTGATCTCGGCTCACTGCAACCTCCACCTCCCAGGTTCAAGTGATTCTCCTGCCTCAGCCTCCTGAGTGGCCGGGATTACAGGCACCTGCCACCATGCCCTGCTAATTTTTGTATTTTTAGTAGAGACGGGGTTTCTCCATGTTGGTCAGGCTGGTCTCGAACTACCGACCTCAGGTGATCCACCCGCCTTGGCCTCCCAAAGCGTTAGGATTACAGGCGTGAGCCACCGGGCCCGGCCAATGTTTCCATTTCTAATTCTGAACTCTATTCCTTTCTGAAACTTGTTTTTATCAAGATAATTCCCACATTATCTGTGTTAGATTTTTGATTACTTAGGAAAATGAAGCTTTAAAAGGATTGATTTTTACACCCATGCAACTTTTTGTATTCCTTCTGAAGTCTTTTGATTTTCACTCTGATTAAATGAACAATTATTATTTAACAATAAGCTGTGATTCTGTTAGGGTCAACTGTTTTGAATCTTTTGACATCTTTGGCAGGTTTCCCCAGGATCAAAATCCTAAGTTAAGTCTTATTGGCTTAAACTTAATTTTAAGATTATCTAGTTGGGCCCCTGGAGAGTTTCAAAGAATATATCTCTCATCTTATAGAGAGAGCAAATGATTAGACTTATTTGGTAAATTGTATGGGAGGCATTGTCAAATGGTAAGTAATAACAAATTTTCTCAGTTACATTTATTGGTATGTTATTGATGTCAATGTTACAAAAGTATGCAGATTCATAACAATATAATGCTAGTAGTCATAATTTTGGTTTTGTTAAATCTTTTCTAAAGTTATATTTGTATGGATATGTTATTAATGTGAATATTCAAGAGTATGTGAAACTTATTAAAATCTGATAGCCCTGATGTGATGTTATCAGTTATGATTCTGGTTATTATCTGAAAATGCTGCATGTAATAGAAATAACTAAATTTCCTTGTCAATTGGGAACTTTCATCAGATTTTAACCATGGCTATTTTAGGTTTTTGCCATCCATAGTTATTGTTTTGAACTCTTCTCTAAAAGCACTGGCAACCAACTACAGTCCAAAATTACTTTCATGAAAAGACTCTGACAAGTGCTCTTGAATACAGGCTTCTGATAACTTTGGAGATGATATCATTGAACTAGATAAAACCTTCCAGAACTCTAATAAAAAAAAAATGACGTGTTCATGAAGATTGCTAACATGACACCAAGCAGAACAAGAAGTACATGGGACTGAACTGATGAGGGAATAAAGTGATTTTTATGACCTTTTCATTGAAATATTGCTGATTCATTTTGTATTTTGTTTTTCAGAATCAAGAAAACTTATTTTCTTTTGAGCAATTTGTATCTTACAGTAATTGGTATTCTTTTGCAAGCAAAATTGAAACATTTACCTTTCTCTCTCTACCTGAATTCTCCAGGATTTGGAAAGTATTAATAAGCATTCTTATTTTATTTCAATATAGTTATTTGAATAAGTTCAATAGAATCTATTTTCTTTTGTTATAGGACATATTAGAAGCACTGGTTATTTTACCAAGGCTGTGGCTGGAATATTATATTTTCAAACATGGCAAGACTGCTTTGAAAGACTGGGATTGAAATTATAAAGCCAATATAAAGAGAAAGACTGGCCTGGTACCTGGTCTGCACAGCTCTCTTACAGGGTCCCTGACCTTGGGGTAAGTAAAGAATGTCACTTTCTGGCTGGGCACAGTGGCTCATGCCTGTAAGCCCAGCAGTTTGGGAGGCTGAGGTAGGCAGATTATTTGAGCTCAGAGTTTGAGACCAACCTGGGCAACATAGTGAAACCCTATCTGTACCAAAAAAAGCTTAAAAATTAGCTGGGTATGGTGGTGTGTACTTGTAGACCCAGCTACCTAGGAGGCTGAGGTGGGAGGATCACTTGAGCATGGGAGGTTAAGGCTGCTGTGGGCTGTGATCACACCACTGCACTCCAGCATGGGCAACAGAGCGAGACCCTGTCTCAAAAGAAAAAAATAAAAAGGCCAGCCACAGTGGCTCAAAGTGCTGTAATCCCAGCACTTGGAGAGACTGACACTGGAGGATGGCTTGAGTCCAGGAGTTCAAGACCAGCCTGGGCAATGTGGTGAGACCATGTCTTAAAAAAAAAAAAATTAGCTGGGCGTGGTGGCATGCACCTGTAAGTCCCAGCTACTCTGGAGGCTGAGGTGGGAGGATAACTTGAGACTGGGAGGTTGAAGCTGCTGTGAGCCATAATCATGCCACTGCACCCCAGCCTGGGTAACAGAACAAGGCCCTGTCTCACACACAAAAAAAGATGTCACTTTCTGACAGGCCAAGAATGTCAAGATACTTGGGGGACTTTAAGAAAAAAGGAATTCACCCCATTTGTACAGGCATTACACGCATATTCTCATGATGAATCCTTGATTTGGCTTGCTAGACTTGAGAGGCTCTTAAAAGTCTAATCCAAAATCCCTTATGAAAAAATTCCAGCAAAGCCAACTTAAAAAGGATCCTATGTGGGCAATGGCTATTCTTTTTACACTTTATGCAACTAATCAGGCAAAGTATAATAAGACTAAAATGTATATTGAGAATAAATTGGTGTTGCTGTGATTTCTCTTTAATAGAAAAGGGGGACTGAAGAAAGAAAAATAATGTTTCAGAAGAAAAGTATAGCACACCTGTTATTAGACTGTAGCCCTGACCATTGTTTTTGAGTTTTTTATTACTTGCCTGCAATTTGGACTGAATACTAGATTATTTTTTGGCTATGAGAAATCTCTAAAGAAGAACCTGGATTTAATTTTCTTCATGATGTTTTTAGTTGGCTCGCTAGTGGAATCAGTTCTTTTTTTTTTTTCATTTTGGCATACAAATTCTCTTTTTGATTATAATTCTTATGTGCAATATATTACTACTATTCAAATTATTAATGCTATGTATCTCTTGTTGTTTTACTTTCACAAGAAAACTAAAATCATGAAATTCCAAAGACTAAAGGTGATTCAACAAATGATAGCAGCTATGAATTGATGACACTTGTTTAGTCATCCCTGGGACTAAGTTCTGTATTTTGTTCTGGTTTTCAAGTTGTTATTATTAAAATCATAAACATGGTTGTGATTTTTCTGGCTACTTCATATTGTCTTTGTGAGAAAGACCCTGGAAGGGTTTTCTCACCAGATTATACTTAATAAACATAATGAACCCACTCTGAAAAGTCATAGGCTTAACAGCCAACCAAACTAAACAGAGGTTACAAAAATGCATCATGCTAAAAGCCAAAGAGTCCATGAAGTAAATAAATGCCAAAAGAAATCCACAGGAATTTAAATATAACTAAAATTGGCCAGGCACAGTGGCTCATGCCTATAATCCCAGCACTTTGGGAGGGTGAAGTAGACCGATTGTCTGAGCCTAGGAGTTTGACACCAGTCTGGACAACATGGTGAAACCCTGCCTCCATTTTTAAATAATAATAATAATAATAATAATAATAATAATAATAATAAATAACTAAAATTGCTAAACAAAGGGAACCCTCCTTTATGGATTTTAACTCTGTATTGTAATTAAATAGATTAAGGCACAGTTGATCATATGTTTTCTCTAAAAAGCCTAGTGCCTATTCTTCACAAATTGACATTTTTATACCTTATCTTATTCTGCCATTTCCAAATACTATAGCCTTAAAAAATCCAATATATATATTTGAAATTATTTGCCACCATTGTAGGAATCATAGACTATTTGATCTGACAGAGATCTCTTTCCAGGGTTTTTATTTCAAAATTAAAGAAAATACATATATTGTAATTTAAAAAATTACAGGGTTATCATTGGATTCTAAAAATGTCTCCTGTCAAGAGCATACTCTGGGCTCAAAACATTTTTTTTTTCTGAAGGGAAGTATCCCAATATTTTGCTTTAGGACTCTGTCTTATTTGCACAAGTGCTCTATCTTGCTAAATTAATCTTTCTCCTGCCCGTGCCCTCCGTCTATCATAAGGGTGTATTAAGATGTCATAATAATAAGTCTGTTGTCTTTCCATTATGTGCAATTGTGTTTTGAAGCAATGGTATTGCCTGCAGCAGACTCTGAGGTGTCTCTAGGGCCAACATGTGTTGTTAGTCGATCTTGGATTTGTGTTTTCAATGATTTCACACAGTAGGAAAGTTATCACTACAAATATACGATCTGAGAGAATCAATGCTTGGCATTTTGGTTAAGATGAAATTTCATTAAAACAAACTTTAATGCTGGCTTACAAAGGAGAAGAAGACATAGAAACATATACCAGTTTTCTCTGGACTAAATCACGTACCTGTGTCAAGGGATATTGGTAGCTCTACCTACTCAACTTGGTGGAGGAAAGGATAGGTGGGAAAAGTGAGGTAAAGTGGTTTTCTGAGACAATTCCATGTATTTATATGATCCTTAGGTTTTTTTTTTTTTTTCATTACCAGCTGTCAGAATTGCTGTTTCACTTTGGCCAATGTACTTTATTTCTCCTAGCCTCAATTATGTGGTATGTAAAATAGGAATAATGATACCTGTTAGAGTGATTGTATTGATAAGATTATAAATGTAAACCACCTAGCTGATTGGTTTAGTTGAAGTTATCTTAGTGCAAATATTAGAAACTCATTGAAATAACTTCAGAGGAAATAAAGGCTTATTAAGGAATACAAATATGGGGGAACCAAGGAAGAATTAGACAACCAGGGAGGAGAGGAACTGGTTTGTCTCTAAGGATTAGCCCTTCTCTGTCTTTTTTTTTTTTTTTCTGCCCCTCTCTACAGGTCTGCTTTTTGTCCTCCTTCTGTCAACCAGCTTCCTTATTTTACAAGTTACTCAAATGGCCTCTCTAATCTCCAGCCTATATAGTCACTTGGAACCAGCACCCACCACTAACAGGTAATTCTCTATGTCTCTTTATTTTACTTGCAGAGATTCCTGATTGTCGAAATTCATCTTTTAGAGCAAAGAAAGAAGTCCTGGCTTGTTGGTCATGTGCTGAATGGATTGTCTTTGAGGCCTGTATTTCCTGATTCAAAAGCAATGGAAAGGAGGTGCAGCATCTGGTGGGATGCTTCCTATGGAATGCACTCTGGGTGGGGCAGACAGTGATAAATAACTGTATAGGGATGTTTATTTAGCACTCCATAAATGTTGGCTCTCCTTATTGCCTTTCCTCTTCCTCCTCTCCTGAGTCATTTTCTTCCTAACACCGAGGTCCTAATGAGGGAATTACAGGCTCAGGATTACTGATGAAGGATGCCTGGGAGATAGGCCTCTGTGGAGTACATACTCATTTTCTACGCCAGTGAAGGAGGTTCCTTGTGAAATGATAAGCAATACTTATGCACTTTTTGCCACACTATAGCCAGAATGGATCTATCCTGTTGTAAGTAATTTTCTGCAATGTCATGGGCAGCAGGAGCTGTGATTAATAAATTGAAAACAGACCATAAATTCTATAACAGTTATCAAGTCACTATGACAAGATGTCTCTTGAAATCTACTGAAATATATAATTATTAGGCTGCTAGGACCCCTTTAGATATTTGCCATGCCCTTTAGATATTTACACTTGCCATGTGTAAGTGCAGCACCTCATATTTCCCCTATGACTATAATTGCTGGTTTATTTCCCTTCCCTGCCAGACTCTGAGCTACAAAATAAAGGTTGGGGCTGTGTCCACTTTGTTCAAGTTCAACTTCATTACCTTGCTAGCCAGCATTGTACCTAGCACATAGTAGATGCTAAGAAATATTTTCTTAATGATAAACAAACTTACATAACAGACTTACAAATGTAGCTGGTTTCCCTGAGACAATCACTGAATCATTTATGTACTTAAAAATTATGTTTTGGTCCATTAAAGCTCACAGTTATTATATTTGTCTTCTTTAAACTTCAAGTAAACTCAGGTTGTCTCCTGAGCATCTCATCTTTGAGAACTGCCCGTTCACAACAGTGGTATACATTGTATAAGTTTTGCCTGAAAAAGGGCACCCAGATGATGGTGCTTGAAAAGGGGTTGAAATTCAGCCCTCAAGAAATACAGTCTTGATTCGCATCAAGCCTCTTGGTATTGACTTCATTAGCTTAGAGCAAGAGATATTCGTTTCTTTTTGATTGTCCAAATAGGGCTGGTGCCTTTTTCTAATTGTCATAGACAATTAGACATAGGCACTAGGACAGCCTGGCCCACTCCACCATGGTGAACTCTTGATAGCTGGATTGCCTGGAAAATGGAGATATGAATTGTTTAAGGCATTTATTCCGAGTCAACAGTAGATCTGGGAAGATAATTTGCCAAATGGCACCCAATTTATTTTTTTGCCTCTAGTATTTAACACAAACTTAGCTCTTTATATAAGTGCGTAACCATGATGGCCTAATCATGATGTTCCAAAAAGGATAGTGGAATATGGAATAACTGTTCCAGACAATTGCTGTCCTGTTTATATTGGCAGCCTGAGTCCTTGTTGAAGATAGAATATTCTGGACAATCACTTTCCAAAGCCAGATTTTAAGGGTAGTTATAGTGTTTTCTGTATTCTAAGGCAGTGAAGATTGAGAAGCAAGTTTTGTATTATTACTATTATTTTACTTTTCATTTTGCAGTCATCTTAGCCATGAGTGAGGAAAGTAATAAACTTGTGTCTATTGGCTAATCTGCTTACGTAGTTGCTTCTGCTATTACTGAAAGCCGAGAGGGTGGAAATTACCCAATTCAAGAAATTATTCAGCAGAAACCTACAGAGGTGTATCACTGATTTCAACTGCAAATTATTTTTCCATGTTCTGAGCCTCGATTTCAATATTTTTCTCATTAACACTAGACTATGGTTTGAGAACAAACTGCTCCATACAGAACTAAATGAAGGTCAAGCCTGTCATTCACACTAAAAATGAAGTTCTCTGGAAATATAAGCTGCCAAAAATACAGAAAAGTAGTATTTATAAACATGTGTCTTGGACTTAGCTAAGTATAGATTATCGTGGAGAAATTAAAGGGCAGCAGTGCTAGTGCTCTGTACTGAAATATTGTGATTTTGATATCAAGACCATAACAACCAAAAGACAGGCATCCTGAAAAATATTCACCTAGTTTCAAGAAACTAGGATCAGCCAGGCACAGTGGCTCACGCCTGTAATCCCAGCACTTTGGGAGGCCAAGGCAGGTGGATCACGAGGTCGGGAGATCGAGAACATTATGGCTAACACGGTGAAACCCCGTCTCTACTGAAAATACACAAAATTAGCTGGGCATGGTGGCACGTCCCTGTAGTACCAGCTACTCGGGAAGCAGAGGCAGGAGAATTGCTTGAGCCTGGGAGATGGAGGTTGCAGGGAGCCGAGATCGTGCCACCGCACTCCAGTCTGGGTGAAACAGCAAAACTCTGTCTAAAAAAAAAAAAACAAAACCAAAAACCAAAAAACCCAAAAAACCAAAAACAAAAAAACTAGGATCAGTGGTAGGAAGTGGAGGACTGAGTATAAACCAAGACCCAAGAAATAAAAATAAACTTAAAAAGAAGACAAGATGTTCTAATGGGGTCTAGCAAGCAGACAGACTGGTTAATAAGTGGACAATAGCAGCAACATTAAAAAATAAGTTTATTGGTCTGTTGTCTTAACAATAGGGGAAACCATTAATAATATTGTAAGTTCTTCTTTCAGAAGTCACAGACGGTCCATTCTCTAAATGGAATTAAGCCTGAAGTTTCCAGGAAGATAGGTGCCCAGATTTTTTCCGTAGCATTTTCATTTATTTCAGTAATTAGACAACACATGTGTTTAATTTTTAAAGGGTACCCAAATAATGGACAGGATGGGAAGGAGGCATAAAATGATAAAGTGTAGTTTATCACCATTATGGCTTATCACTAGAGTTGTGCTGTTCATTATGGCGGCCATGAGCCTCATGGCTCATGAGCATCTAAAATGTGGCTAGTGCACCAGAGTAGGTGACATTTAAATTAAATAATGGATACTCAATTTAGATATATACAAACAGTTCATTTCATCCTGTCCAATTTTCTGCAACTCTCTTGTTTTAGGCCCATCATCCATCACTGAGGCTCTTCCAACAGCTTAACTACTTTCCTTTTCTAATGAAACACTCTGGGAGGCTAGACTCAATAGAGCTGCCAGTTATAATTAAAAATTTAAACTTTTTTTGAAGTACAAAAGACATACAGGGAAGCACAAAATTATAAGTAGATAGTTCCACATGTAATCACAAAATCAACACAACCTGGTAAACAAAGAACCAGGTAAAAAAATGTAACATTAATCACACCACAGAAGTCCCCTATTCATGATCTTTTCTGAACACTTCTCCTTCCCTTTCTCCAAAGTTAATATTGTCTGTACTTCTCATACCACAAATTAGCTCCCGCCTGTTTTATAGAAACAGAATCATAAAAGTGTGCATTCTTTTGTTTTTTTTTTTTTTGAGATGGAGTCTTGCTCTGTCTCCCAGGTTGGAGTGCAATGGTGCAGTCTAGACTCACTGCAACCTCCACCTCCCAGGTTCAAGTGATTCTCCTGCCTCAGACTTCCGAGTAGCTGGGATTACAGGTGCACACCACCACACCTGGCTATTTTTGTATTTTTTGTAGAGACGGGGTTTCACCATGTTGGCCAGGCTGGTCTCAAACCCCTGACTTCGTGATCCACCCACCTCGGCCTCCCAAAGTGCTGGGATTACAGGCTTGAGCCACCACGCCTGGCCACAAGATGGGCATTCTTTTGTGTTTCCCTCAGTATTATGGTTGTGGAATTCAAATGTTGTGACGTGTATCTGGAGTTTATTCATTTTTGCTGCTGTAAAGGAATTTAATATATATGAATGTCCATCAGAATTTATATTTTGCTAAAAGCAGCAAGAAAAATGCATATCCACAGATTACTTATCCATTCTTTTCTTCATGAATATTTTGGTTGTTTCAAGTTTTAGGCTACTATGAATAATACTGCATTGAACATTTAAAACTGTTTCTGTGTACACAACATTTAAAATGTGCCTTCTGCACACATTTTTTGTAGCATCTCTCTTTAGCAGTGAAGTTACCAGATAACACAGTAGGCACATGTTCAGTTTTAGAAGATAGTGCCAAACAGTTTCCAAAGTACTTTTATCAATTCACGCTCCTGTAAGTAGTATATGAGAATTAACTTTCTATATCCTCACCAATGTTTGATATTGACAGTTTTTTTAAAGTTTATTCATTCTATGAGCATTTAATGGCATATTATTGAGGTTTGGTGATTAATGAAGTTCAGCACCTTTTTGTATATTAGAAATTTATTTTCTTTGGAAGTGCCTGCTCTTTTGCTCATTTTTCTATGGCTTTTCTATGTTGATTTGTAGTTCTTTATACGTTCGCTTATGATTTACACAGATGTACCATTTTGTGGCTTTGTATTTTATTATTATTATTTTTAATTAGAGACGATGTCTCACTAAATTGCCCAGACTGGTCTTGAACTCCTGGGCTCAAGTGATCCTCCCACCTTGGCCTCCCAAATTGTTGGGATTACAGGTGTGAGCCGCAGCACCTGGCCCATATTTTATTCTTAATGGAGTTTTTGATGAAAAGCTTTTCATCTTAATGTAATCCATTTTATCACTGTTTTCCTTCATGACTAAGGATTTTTTGGTCCTGTTTAAGAAATCTTAACCATACACCTAGATTTTGAAGATGTTCTAAGTAATCTCTTTGATGTGTTATTTTGCCTTTCAGTTTACAGTTAAAATCCACTTGAAATACATTTTTTATATATAGTGTGCGGTAAGGGTTTTCTTTTATCTTACATGATTACCCACTGTACCACTAAAATTTATGGAAAAGACCATCCTTTTCACACTGAAGTGTCACCTTTGTCTAGGGGCCAAGTCATTGCAGTTTGCCTGGGACTTTCTTGGTTTTAGCTGAAATTTCTATGTCTTGGGAACAGCCTCAGTCTCAAACAACTAGGATGGTCACATTATTTTTGTCATAAATCACATATGCATGTAAGTATGGGCGTATTTCTGATAAGTCCCCTTATCTTAATTATTTTAGCTTTATAAGTTTTATCTTGTAAAGAAAGTCATTCTACCTTGTTCCTCATTTCCAAGAGTCTTGACAATTTTTGGACTTTTTCCCTTTACATTTCCGAATCAGCTCAATACAAAATAGAATTCCCAGATTGGGATTGCATTGATTCTACAGACTGGGAAAAGTTGGCTATTTATTTTGAGGACAAATTAGGTATTTATAATATTGAGTCTTCCAAGCCATAATTTATCTAGGTCTTCTTTAACTTCCTAAATAATGTTTTATGGTATTGTGTGGCAGTCTTATGCATCTTTTATTTCTAAAAAGCTGTTTCTAGATTTCTAAAAAATTGATTTTTTACATTATTGTCAATATTTTAAAATTTCATATTCTAATACCTGTCACTGGTGTATAAATATACCCTTGAACTTTGTATATTAACTTTGTATTTAGGAGACTTGCTAAACTCAATTCTAGAAGTTTATGTGTAAGTTAAAGATTCTTACTTTGGATTCTACATAAACAGGTGGCTGGGTCACAGGCTGTAGTTTGCCCATCTCTGTGTTAGTCCATGTTTATACTTCTTTTCCTGGGAGTCTTTGTCTGTACAGTGTGTGTTTGATGCACAGTGGATGCAGCAGGAGGTCCAAATTGCTGCTCATGGGCAGTGTGTCTTGAGCTTCCCAAAACTGTCCCTGCTTTCTTGTTCTGGAAATTGAGTCAATGGTGCCAAATCCATTTCCAAATCTTCCTTCCTTTTTGTAGATCCAAATCTCCACCTGGTATGCTCTCTTCAGCCTGAAGAATTTTAACCTATCTTTTAGTGCAAATATTCAAGAAAAAAATTCTCTCAGCTTTTGTCTAAAAATATCTATTTCCCCTTCATGTTGAATGAATCTTCACTGGATATAGTGAGTATTCACTAGGTTGACTTTTTTTCCCTTCTGCACTTTTTAGATGCCATTCCACCATCCTCTAGCTTTCATATTCTGATAAAATGACTGGTCTTTTGTTTCTCTATATCAAGGATCAGAATTTTTAAATGTACCACAGTAAATATTTTAGGCTCTGCAGGCTGTATGGTGATATGGTTACACCATAATCAATCTCATCTTGGATTGTAATTTCCAGGTGTTGAGGAAGGAACCTGATGGGAGGTGATTGGATCATGGGGATGATTTCCCTCATACTGTTCTCAGGATAGTGAGTTCTTACAAGATCTGATGGTTTTATAAGGCAGTTTTCCCTGCTCTCTCTTGCCTGCCACCTTGTAATACAAGCCTGCTTCCCCTTCTGCCATGACTGTGTTTCCTGAGGCATCCCAAGCGATGCAGAACTGTGAGTCAATTAATCCTCTTCTTTATAAATTACCCAGTCTCAGGCAGTTCTTTATAGCAGCATGAAAACAGACTAATATATATGGTCTCCGTCATAACTACTCAGCTCTACCATTGTAGTGTAAAAACAGCCATACACAATAGGTTACAGGTATAGCAGTGCTCCAATAAAACTTTACTTACGAAAAAGCAGGACGCAGGATAGACTTGGTCTGTGGGCTCTGTATTGTTTGCTGACCTCATATTCTTTTCCTCTGGGTGCTTTTAATTTTCTCTTGGATAACTGACTCTCAGATCTTCCATTTTTCTCTTCACTGTGCTCATGATTTTCTACATTCCTCTTAAGCTCCTACTTTGCAAATTCCTTTCTTTCCATAATTTCTGGATTTTTCTCCTTCTTTGAATGCCTCAGACTTTTTGATCAGATGCTGGATACTGTGAATTTTACTTTCTTAAATGCTGGGTATGTATACTGCATTTCCTTAAAAAGGTTGCCATTTGTTCTGTATGCAGTTAAATTACTTAAAGAATTTAACCAGCATTAGAATTTGATCCTTTTAAGACCTACTTTTAATCTTTGTTGGGTGTAAACTTTATACTGTAAAGGATTAGCCTTTACTCCAGTGTTAATTTAGCCCCATTGCTAAGCCATGGCCTTCTCAAAGAGAAGCACAATACACACCTCAGGATAAAGGCGGAGACTAATCAGCTTGGGAAGTCAGTATGAGAAGATATGAACATACTGAAGAGTAGGAGGTCATTAGTCCGCTGAAAGCTGGGAAGAGAAAGTAGCGTAAGGGGAATGGTATGCTATCCTGAGACCTGAATGTGCAAAGGTCTCGAGATGGCAAGTATATGGTGCTGTGTGAAAAAAAATGATGCAAGGTCCAATATGCATGACAGAGGGCATAAAGGCAAGAATGGAAGAGATAAGCCTAGTAAAGCAAACAGAAACTACGCGGGTAAAACAAATGAGTTTAAGAACCACATTTCTCAACCCTTTAGATTATCACATATAGGTTTTAACAAAGTAGATCTTTTTTTTTTTTTTCTTAAGGAATCATGTTTGGAGTGCAAAAGGATAAAGGAAACACACTGATATTTCATTTTACAAAATTCATTGTTAAGCTTTTGTTAATATGTAATTTGCTTTAGTCCTGTTGCTCCATTAGAGTATTGACTTTGGAGCTCTGAAGACTTGGGTTAAAATCTTAGTTCTGATTTTTACTAGCTGCACGATGTTGAGCAAGTTCCTTAATCAGAATCTTTATTTTCTTTGTCCATTAAGGGGTAAGGGAGGATATGGGTATGAGCCCACTTACAGGGCTGGTATAAGTTAAAAAGACACATAAATATCTGCCAGTGTCCAGCACACGGTAGACTCTTGACATATGTTAATAATCCCCTTGAATGAAAGACCTATGGGGAAAAAATTCCTTTTGTAGTCCAGTTCTCAACCCAGGTGGCACATTAAAATCATGTGAGGAACTTCAAAAAACGTTGATGCCCAGTCTCCACATAATGTAATTGGTCTGGGATGAGGGTTGGGCATGGTATGATTTTTAAAAAGCTCAAGTGATTTCAACATGAAATGCAAGGTTAAAAACTGATGACCTGGCCAGGAAAGGCTAAATTTTTCACCCTCTGAAATCAAGGGATGTGTGTGTGTGTGTCAACAACACAAGCAAAACATGAAAACATGAGCTCCATGAAGAGAAAAACAACTGCAGGTCATAACAGACACTGACGAGAGCTGGCAATACACTTGGCTGACTTCTTAGATTCTATTTTTAATGTTAAGTCCACACTGGTTATGTAACAGTGGGGCTAATGGTTTTACATAATAAATCCTTTTGAATTTGTGAAACCTAGACTGCTGATTTTATAAAAATCTTGATTCTCATTTCTTTAGAAATTATTTCTATACAAATTTCTTCATATGGGAAAGCTTTTTTTTAAACAAGCTAGTTTTTTAAAGCAGTTTTTTTTTAATCCCCCATTCATTTTAAGGTTCGTTCACTTCTAAAAAAGGACTGTAAGAAAATTAACTTAGGCTAACACTGAAGATACATAACAGTTTGATAAAACTTAAGAATATACATATGAAACAGCTTATATTTTAGAATTATTTGTTTTTTGGGGATAGCAACTTTTAATTCAAATTTCCTTACTGTTGCACTTCTTAGTTACAGGTTTGCATTATCTAAGATTTAACCTTACTCCTCTGATGTTACTGAGTTGCTAATAATAACCAGTTAGCATTTCCTAGTATGTTTTTGTAAAATGTGAATAACTTACTCTTCTCTACTTCAGGAATATTTAGTTTCAGAAATCTAAACTCATTAGAAAAAACGTATGATGAAAGGATATATAAACTATCACATTTTTATGAGAAAAAATACTATATATAAATGTACAGTATTTTTGAAATAGTCATTTTAAAAGAGCTCTTTATATGGAATGTATCATGTGAAGTACACAATCATAGGAAAAGATGGACTGAGAATTAAAGACCTGGAACAAAGTACAAAGCATCAAAATGAAGATCTCCAGTAACTGGACAAACAGTGCCAATTATTTTTTTCCTAAACTGTGCTGGGCACACAATAAGCATCCAATTCCACTTATTATAAGATGATAGCTTTAAAGAGGTGTATGTGAAAAGAAGACAACTACTTTTTTAAGGATTATCATACAAAGAACAGAACTGAAGAGAAAAAAATTATAGATTTGAACTTAAGACTTAGCTTGAAAATTTTTGTTCTTTCCACATGTGCATTAATGTAATAGGCTGTTTGAACCTTTCGCATGGACCCCCCAATGCCTCTAGCATCATAATGAATTTTTATCTCTACATCCAAAGGATCTACCAACAATTTAAGGTATGGAGATAAAAGTCAGGGATCTCCAGGGATATACTGCCCTGCTTCTCTGATTATTTAGCTGGAAGAGAGGCAGTGGGAAGATGCTTGAATGGAAAATGAGCTAGAATCCTTCCTTCAATTTGATATGTTAATGCCATAAATCAGAGTTGCACAGGCACCTGCTTAGTGGATAGCTTACTGGAGCTTGTGTGACATCATATATATTTCCTTCTTTGCATATCTCTAAACAATTTTTTACTTTAATTATGTCAATAAACATCTTTGAAAGAAAGACTCAGATTTGTAGTTTTTCATTTTTGCTAGCAGTGAAGCCTAATGCTTCTTAGCAGCAATGAGCAACTTCATTTAAACTGATTACTCTGACTAAGGAAAGAAAAACAACAATAGTACTCTACTCAGTCTTCAGAGTCAAACCTCACAACAGTTGGAGCTAGTACACGGGTTAGGAATATGGGAGAAAGAAAAGACCTAATATGACAAATAAATCTGTAATTAACAGGGATCTGTTAGAATCAGAACAGTCCTGAGTATTACCTTACTAAAAAAGTTCAGATGCATAGGTTTTGAATGAAGTTTCTGATTATTCTGGTTCCAAATATGTTGAATTCAACAAATCACGTAAAAAGTTACTGTATTTTTAATGTTAAAAGGAAGTCTTCAAGTTTTTGGTACTGGTATGAGTTATCATTTGAATACTCTTCAGTGTTACTATATTTAGTCAGCTTTCCATATCCTCAGGCTCTGTATCCTTAGATTCAAACAACTTTGGATAGAAAATTTAAAAAACCAATAAATATCATAAAAAATAGTACAAATGAAAAAACAATATAACAACTACATAGCACAACGTAAGTGCTATGCAATCATATCTAATCATCTGGAGATTAAAGTATATGGGAGGATGTGCACAGGTTATATGCAAATACTGTGCTATTTTATATAAATAAGGGACTTGAGTATCTGTGGATTTTAATATTGGGGGATGGTGTTCTGGAACCAATCCACTGCAGATACCAAGGAAAGACTCTAACTAGAATTCATTTTATCATTTAAAAAAGTCAATACATATTATCTTGATACATAAAATCCTTGAGAGACCTGATATTCATAGATAAAGCTGCACAAGTATAATTGCTTTTATGAAAGTTCCTAGAAGCATCTTAGCCCAATATCAATCTATCAAGTATTAAATCACTTTACCAATTTCAATAAATGCCAAGACTGATATAATCTGGTCGTAAGTTGCTATCAAGTAAGTGGATAACTGAACACACAGGATAGCTCAGAAATTCACTATTGGGATAGGAAAACCACAGAAAAGCATGATAACTGGTTCATTCATTTATAAGGAGGAGAACCTTCATTAAATCTGCAAAGAATTTTCAGTTTTTAATCTAATCTGCCTTCCTAATCTTCCTGGTGATTGGAAACAGGTTAGGAATGGGAGGTAATGGAATAAACATGAGGATTTCTGTTTTTTAACCACTGTCATAAAAGCTTGGGAAAAAGATAAACCCCAAATCATCGAAGAACATTGTTTCCTTAAAGTGTTTTCAAAATAAATATGAGACCAATCTTCAGAACAATGCACAACTGTGGATAAGTTAAAACCTTTAGGAAGGGGGATAACTGGGATAACTCTTGAGTACTGTATAATCAAGAACCAGGAGAACTGACATGTTTCCAGTTTCCTGGCAAAAGAAAAAGTGTAGGAAGGTAGGGTTTGGCATTTTAACATTTTATCTAAAACTACGAAAATAGAAACAACAGTGCCAAACATATGACTGAAACAAACAAACAAAAAACCCAAATGTAAAACTCTAAAAATATGTGATCAATGTTTAATATTCTGAGGAATAAGTAACAAAATCAAGACAGATTTTTTACTTAGCTGGGTTAATTTCCTCTGAATTCTTCTAAGAGTTAAAAATGAACTATCACATTGATTGATTTAGAACCATCAGATTTTACTTCTGGAAAATCTATTACCTTTCAAAAAGTTATAATTTTAATGTTAGCACGAAAATTACTTCCTAACATTTCATTAAAATTTTGCAGCCAAAGATTCCTATTTTTGAATTACAGTACTGCAAGGCACATACAGAACTCACCTCCTTCAAAACCACAGAAGATATACTCCCTGAAATAGAATTTTAAAATCCTTGAACAATTAGAAATACTATAAAGTTAGCATTTTTTAGGTAAAAATGTTGCTCCTACAGGATCATGCAACTTTCTTAAAATCAATTCAGCACATATGTATAAAGAATCCTTTTTAAAAACATTTGTACTTGAAATACAGACACAGTGATGCTGAAGACACTAAACAAAAACTGAAAAGTACTATATCTTGATAAATTTTGTTATTGCCTTCTTTAGAGACTTTATAATCTCTAGTTGATTTTCAAGGACTTGAATTTAATAATGGGGTAATTACACAAGACGTAAAGGATTTTTTAAAAACAAGTATTTTTTTTTACCTCTAGCATCAATTCTTTTATAAAGAATGCTAAATAAATTACATTTTTTGTTCAGTAAAACTGAAGATAGACCATTTAAATGCTTCTACCAAATTTAACGCAGCTTAATTAGGGACCAGGTACATATTTTCTTCTGAACATTTTTGGTCAAGCATGTCTAACCATAAAAGCAAATGGAATTTTAAGAGGTAGATTTTTTTTTCCATGATGCATTTTGTTAATAAATGTGTCAAGAAAATAAAAACAAGCACTGAGTGTGTTCTCTTGAAGTATAAGGGTCTAATGAAAAATAAAAGATAGATATTTGTTATAGTCTGACATTTTAACAGTCATAGTATTAGACGTTTCGTGACCAGTGCATTTTGGACTCTCTCAGGATCAAAATACGAGTCTGCCAACTGTATTAAATCCTCCTCCACCCCCTCCACCAGTTGGTCCACAGCTTCCTGGTGGGTCGTTGTCATCAAATCCATTGGGCCGAAATGAACATGAAGCAGATGCAGCTTGGAGGGCCCGGGCTCGAGCATTCAACTCTTGTTCCTAAAATTAAAAATAACTTTTATGAAATTAAAATGCTAAATACAATGGATCGTTATATCACCTATAGAAATATTTTAAAACTACCTTAATCCTTATAAACATTCTTCAAATCTCAATAACTTTGAAACTAAAGCACCTAAGAAAAAAAAATTTCTCTAAGAAAATATTACAGTTCCTGCAACACTCTCTAAAACATACTGGAATAGATTCTTTTCTAATATATTTAACATAGAATTCAAAGATTATCACAATAGATTATCTATTCTCCAGCAATTGGGGCTATTTTGGAAGTGGGTGATTACAGTTAAATGTATGAATAAAGGAAGAAGACTGAATTTTTTTCTGGCCTTTCCATAGACTATTTCTCAATAAATAATAAAACAGGTCTCAAAGAACACTGACAAGTAAAATGAAGCCTAACTCCTCACAGTAATATCTAAAATGTTTCCTTATCAGGAAAACTTTTATCAGAAATCAGTCATATTTATCTAGATGCCAAGCATATGTTAGGTATTCAATAAATATTAATGATCTCAGATTAGAATACTATTAGGTGCTTAGCTTCAAAGGGAGCAAATATGAATAAATAATGGCAAATTCATTTGGCAAGGTATACAACTGGATTCTAAAACTGGGACCCACAAACTCTTTGGAAAAATATGCAAAATATTCTGGCATGTGCTTATTTTTCTGGGAGAGGATCTACAGATTTCAAATGGGGTTGGTAAAAATAAGGTCTAAAAGTTACTGGTCACAGCATACCTGAACTTGTTAGCATAATCGTCCTGAAGAGCTTTCAAAATACAGTTAACATTAATAACGAAAACACTATTATTTCGATTTTTCAACTTAAGGCCTAGTGATTTTGTTCCATCTGGCAAGGTAATACTATTTTATAATTTCTAGCTAAAATGGTTTAGTTTATTATTCTTCCCTCTTCACAAAATGCTCAATTTTTCGTTATGAAGAAAAGACCCAGGCATACCCTGACACCTATCTGTCATATTATAGATACTTTATTTTTCAGTAGCATGCAGCATCTTCTGTTCAAGTCCCAGTACACAAGATGATCAAGAATCACCTATTTTTATGGCTGAAAGGGACCTTTGATAAATCCTTGTAACAAAATGGCTTAACTAACCAGTCTGTTAGGACTTTTAAAACTTAATTTGCAGGATATTTCTTAAAAACATTTTTGTGATCTACAGTGTCATTTACAACATTTAAAATTGCTGGCTCTTTGGTATAATATCTACCTACAGAGTATTTTTAAGGTGATATATATATTAATTTATCCTTTGATCTATAAAATTAACGTAGGAATTATAAATGTTTTACAGATTGAAATTAAGTGCCATAAGTAACATCAGAAACAGACAGAAACCCCCCAACCAAAGATCCTCATTGTTCTAGCTCTATAACCTATTAAACTATCCAAACAAGCGATGAAACTATGACTCTGTATCTGAGAAACAATGCACGGTTTCAGATATATAGACAATGTTCTGTAACGAATTAAAACTGAACAAACATGTAAGGTAGAGTTCAAGAAGTTCTCCTTGAACTTCTGCTACTAAAAGATATGGCAAATCTTGCATAGACGTTTTTATACAGTGATTCCCTTATAGAAACTATGTCGAATGACATAAAATATAAAATTAGTAGCTCCATTGCATCTGTACCCATGAAACCTACATTATATTTCAAGATATACAACATCCCAAAAAAGTAATATACTTTTTCTGCTTTATTATTTATAGAAATATATGGCTGACAGAAAAAAATGTGTGGTATTCTGTTTTCTGATAAGCTTAGACAATGCATAAAAATAGGAAAAACTGTCTTTTATTTTACTTAATACAGGTAAGAACATTGTGTACAATGTCAAAATTATGATTATCATAGAATGTGTAATTTATATCACAAATTTATATCAAGTACTAAAGTTAATTCTAATTTCAGTAGTAGACTATAGATCTAGTCACAGGAAAGTTATTGCTCCTTGAGACAAATAATTTTCAGTATATTTATATTTCTCATTCAAGTAAAACTGTTGACATTAATCCTTTTATTTTTCTTTAAACTGCACATATATATTGAATATACTCTTCTGAATGTATGAAAAAGAAAATAATTAAGAAGTTAAGAAGAACTACTGCCTCCTCCAAAGAAACAAAGGAAAGAAACCAAGCAAGAAAAGATGGGAAGTGGTCTGTGGCTGATGCACGACAGATGGGTGGGTAATCTGGACCATACAATGATGATGCATTACACAATCTCTCACTGTATCCTAACCAAAGGCTTAGTTTTTATATTCCAGACATTAAAACAATGGAGATACTCCTAATGGAAGCTGGACTGAAGGGAAAGAAATATATGAAGGGGAAATAAATATATGAAGAGAAAAGTCCTTTCAAAAATTTACTTCGAGATCCACAATTTGCATTGTTTTCCCAAATGTCAGGCTATGATACACAGAGTAGAGAATGGTTTGTCACAAAAGATTTTTTGCCTGGGTTTTTCAAAACCACGGATCTTGCCAATACTCAAAAGAGCAACATTTTCTAACACTTGTAAATCTGGTTGTGGCTAGATTTAAAATTGAAAAATGAAATCCTAAAATGTAAAAATGAAATCCTAAAAAAAGCTTCTTAAAATTATCACAAGGTGAGTTTCTAATCTGATTATGAAGTATTAAAATGAAAGCAGCTACCCTGATATGTACTAAAATGGTAAATTCATTAGCAATATTGTTCAAGAGCAGAGGAACTCAAAATGTTCACTTCACATCCTTACTTTTACGATTTAAGTTTTTATAGCTGTTTTATAAAAAGGTATTATGCTATTTCTTATAGTCCAGACATAGTAATCTATTATAAAGCATGACATATATTTATAATAATTATATCTCAAAAATGGATATAAAAACAAAAATGATAGAATGAAAACACACATGTACATGCTCCAGGTGTTTAAGAAGTGATAGCTGAAAACTGCTGTATACATAATCTCAACGCTATAGTTTTCTATTGCCTGGCAATTATGAGCACATGTGCATCCACATAACAGAATAAAGAACGTAGTCTTTTAACATGTACTTAAAATACCAGAATGATCTGATTAAATGGTATGAAAAATTTCACAATTTGAGCCTTTATTAATCACTGTATTTAAAAGTAAACAGGCTGGGCACAGTGGCTCATGCCTGTAATCCTAGCACTTTGGGAGGCCAAGGTGGGCAGATCACTTGAGGCCAGGAATTTGAGACCAGCCTGGCCAACATGGTGAAACTCTGTCTCTACTAAAAATACAAAAAAATTTACCAGGCACGTTGGCGTATGCCTGTAATCCCAGCTACTTGGTTATCCGAGACCTGAGATTTGCTTGAACCCAGGAGTGGAGGTTACAGTGAGCCGAGATCACACCACTGCACTCCAGCCTGGGTGACAGAGCGAGACTCTGTGTCAATAAATAAATAAATAAATGTAAATAATCACAATCTAAATATAAGTTCCTAATTGAGTTGATTATTGGGCCACATGCAGTGGCCCAGCACTTTGGGAGGCCGAGGAGGGAGGATTGCTTGAGCCCAGGAGTTTGAGACTAGCCTGGGTAAAATAGCAAGACAATCTTTAAAAAATTTTTTTTAAAAAATTAGCCAGGCATGGTGACACATGCCTGTAGTCCTTAGCTACTCAGGAGGCTGAGGCAGGAGGATCACTTAAGCCCAGGAGTTCAAAGCTACAATAAACCATGATCACGGCACTGCACTTCAGCCTGGGTGACAGAATGAGACAGTCTCAAAAAAAAAAAAAATTGAATATTTATTATTGTATTTTTGCTTTAAAAGGGTACTCTGATAATGAAACTTTGATTTACTACCTAGTCTTAATACAGGTAAATACCTTAATATAAAATTTGGTGGTATCTTTTCTTGCATCAAACAACTTGTCAATATGAAACTTAAGATTGAATCTAGAACAACTGCACAAAACTGAAAAACTGAATTAACAAAATACATAATGCTTTTTCTTTATAATAAAGTAACATACGAGTCTTAAAATAATAATGAAAAGAACAGCTCCTCATGCTCAAATATTGTATAATCAGAAAGTAATGGGGTAAAAGGCAAGATAAACTGGAAAATCACTTGGAGCTAAGCTACAAACAAGTGGTTGCTATGGCTATACAAGCATTTGGGATTCTAATCACAGAAATGAGAGTAGTTTTTTATCTTTCAAAACCCATATTTCTCCTCTGACTAGTGTTTATATGATATCTAGTAAGAAGGACACAGTTGAATACATTCTATTTCTAGCATGTTGATCATAAGCCATCTGACTAGATGTTAGAGTCTTCAGTAGTTAATCAGTTCAAACAAATATTCTGATTTTCTATTTTTTTCTGTAAAGTTTATTGTTTTTGTCACTCAAGAACATCGCTATACTTCTTTAAAAATGTGTATTTTATAACGCAGTAAATTTGAAAGCTTTTGAGAAAATTTCCCTCTAAAAATCAGTACTATAGTGGCTCATTTCTTATTCTATCTGTATCTTTCAGGAGTGACTTTCAAACACAGAATTTTCAAAATGTACTCATTCAAACTCAAAATCACTTAGACTACCCAATTAATGTACCTAGAATTTCACCTGTAATTTACTGCTAGCCCTGTATGTTGAGAACAAATTAGCAAGTTTCAAAAACAAAAAAAAAATACTTTCAGCAAGAATTTTAACTTTTTATTAGCCTTTATTTAAGTAATAAAATCACTAACTCCTTGAAAAAAGTATATTTATGAATAAATTTATCTCATATAAAACCATTCCTTGGCTTCGATTTACAATTGTTCTATTATCTCCTTGGTTTTACTAACCACATCCTCAAAGAATATGAATATCCTTTCTTTACATAGTCTACATTTTAGTGTTTTTTAATCTTATCCACCTAAATATCAATAAACAGCCCTTAAAACATTTACACAAAAGTCTTGAGGGCATAAATACCACATTTAGCAGTTATTTCCTCTGGTGGGTGAGGCTGAGAGGAAGAGGGAGGATATGTCCACTTTTGTAAACTTTCTGTATTTTGTATGGCATGATTTCAGAATGAGCCATCTTTTGTAAGGAACAAATAAAGTCTTCTGCATTACATCTAATTGCCACTTTTCATTTAAATTGTCACAATATTAGAAAGGCAATTTAGTTATACAGGTTGAGAATACTTCATGTAAATCCAGACCTATATTTCAGAATTTAATAAAAACTCATGTTAGATTTCAAAATGAGGGTACTCATTTAACTGTGTCAATTGTTTAATATTTTCAACAAATAAAGCTTGTATTTCCAACTTACCTGTAAATATAGTTTATTGTCTTTTGTTATAGCATCCATAAGTTCTTTCTGTAGAGGTGGGTCTCCATTTATCCAGAGTCCACTGGTTGGGTTATTACCACTTAAACCATTAGTACTATGCTGTTTTTTATACAAAAGCACATAAGCTGTGTCCTTTGGAAACCTGCTCGTAATTTTCTGGACTGACTGAAATGAAGTAAATGTCACTCTACTGTCATTAAATAAAAACCATTCTTTTGACATTTCCTTATTTTCCAAATCCTGTTCAAAAACTGCACTGGGACTATCTCTCCCTAGTAAATGACTCTGGGAGGATGCTAATGCCAGAGCCTCAGACTGGTGGTACATCTGATATGAAGAGTCTGTACTTGTGATATTCCTGGCATAAGAATAGTAATGCCCACTTTCAGAGGATATACCAGAGTGAACCACAACGGAACTTAATAGATAGGGCACCAATTTTGTGCAGGAAGCTTCATCAGTCCCTGAAGGCTTTAATTTTTTAGCAAGGTTCTCACTAAGATCAGTGAAGTCAACATCTACAGACCAACTTTCTGACAATGAAGAGAAAGAAGTAATTCTTTTAACTGGCAACTCCAAAACCAGTGGCAGTGATACATTGTCTAAAATTTTCCTTCTCACATGATACTTCTGATCATATGAAAATCTCAGGAGAGTAAGAATAAGGTATTCAGGTTCCTCCGTGATTTGCATAGTTTTCTCAGCATTTTGCAGAGAGGCACAGTTTTCACAATAATATTGGTTATCACCAGTAAGAATCTCTGGAGCCAAAAAATAATTTAGTAAGTCAGTTACTGAAGGTGTGGTTTCACCTCCTGGTTTCTGAGGTACATCTTTATTAACAAGAATCTTGTTAGATTCGTTAGGGACAGAAGTGTTTTCAGAACAGTAAAACTCATTAGGAGGACTGCCTATGGTTTTTTCATTCACAAGTGAGTCACAGATGAAGGCAGCTGTTGTTGGATTATAAACTACTGGTTCTTCTGAAGGACCGGGTACAGAGGCTTGCATTAGACCACCATCTTGTATACTGGGTGATGATGCTGGATCTTGGACAGACATGTTTTCCAAAGAAGAGGAAGGACAAAAGGCAAGCGAAAGATCTGTAAAGGCTTCCACTTTTTGTGAGGTACTCCTGCAGTTCAAACAACGTATGTGAGTTCGTAGTTTTCCTCCAAACATTTTTTCTATTAAAGTCTTCTCACCGTCACTTGTACGAGGGGTCTCTGTTAGTACTGCTGCTTTACTAGCTACTTCCTGTAAAGAAGTTTCACTGCATTCCAGAATTTCAGAAGGCTTGTGTGAGGCCTGAACTTTCAAGATCTTTTCTTCTTCATGGAGCCTGCAGCAGAGGATATCATTATATAGCTACTTAAATTAACTTCAAATGTCATTTCTATTTAAAAATATTAGTGGCTTCTATAAACTATTCTAATCAAATTTAATGTAAACAAATCAGGTTTTTCCTGTTTTAATTAAAAGAAAATTGAACAGTTTTGAGAATGCAGAAAAAAAGCTGGGTGGCTATTACTACTCTATATTCTCATTACACTTTCTTCATACTGCTACTTAATAGCATGTATTACATTGCAGTTAATTATAAACGTCCCTTAACTGTCTTATATATCTCTGTCTTCCTGACATCTCATAGAAAGTCAGGCACAAATAAACTACTGAATAGATTCTTAGCTGAATGGAAGGAAGGCTGCACATACCAAGCCCAACTAACTTTACTAGTCATTCCACAGAGCAGAACAAAGACAGGGAGATACAGATGATAACAGGTTTTATTAATTAAGTGGTCAGGCGACAATAAAACATACCAAACCCATACAATTATGAACTGGTCTAAAGGAGTGGTTCTTAAATTTTTTGGTGCCAGGACCCCTTTATACTCTTAAAAATAATTAAAAAACAAAGAGCTTTCCTTTACATGGGTTGTATTTATTGATATTTACTGTCAGAACTGAGAAAATAAAATATTAACATTTAGCAAACAATAATAAACCCATTATTTAATATTAGTAACATTTTAAAAATGAAAAAGTTGTATTTTCTAAAACCAAAAAAAAGTAAGAATGGCAGTGTTTTACATTTTGCAAATATTTTAAGTATCTGGCTTAACAGAAGACAGCTGGAGCCTCATATCTTCTCTGCATTCTATTGTTATATGTTTTTTGGATGAAGCATATAAAGAAAATCTGGCCTCACACAGTTACGCTGTTGGAAAAGAGAAGACCTCACAGACTCCTGAAAGTGTTTTGGGAACCCGCAGGGGTCCTTGTTTCACACTTTGAGAACAGCTGGTCTCAAGGAAGAAAATTCAAAAAGGAAAATAAATTAAAAACAAAAGAAAATATAAAAAACATACAAGAAATGCAATAGTATTTTAAAGAGTAATATTTGAAATATGTTTTTAAAGGTAAAAGCAATATTAAGTAGAATTAAACTGTTATGAAAGACAACACTCAAATCACAATTTTAAGAATACTTTTTACCTGTCAAGGAGAAATCTGAGGTATTCAGAACAGTCTTGCTGTGATCTGGGAGTAAACCATGGAGGTCTGGAAGCCTCAAAGAATATCCGAGGTGCGTATGCTTCCCTCTTTTGAGAGCAATTGAGAAAATATAAGGAAGTGATTCTTATAGCATGAACCAAGTAACTGAAATCTTAATATACAGTGTTTAATAAAGGTTATTTACAGTTAACATTGCATCAGCCAAAAGTGCCGGACGTGGCAACTTAGGGACAGATAAAATTATTTAGAAATAAAGTTAGGTAATCTTTAGTCATAACTTCTCACTCTGCAGAGGAGAATTGAGAGCTAGAGAAACAGGTGACTTGCCCAGGGTCATACAGCTAAATGAGTAGCACAAGGCATTAAAGTAGAACCCATGTCTAACTCTTGATATAAAGCTCCTGGTATCATCCCTCTATGACAGTCATGTTTGAGTCCACAATTTTTTGAAAAATCAAATCTAAAAAAGATTAATGTATATTTTGTTAGTATATATTTTGAACAAAGTAATAAAGGAAATACTCTAGAGTCATGCATACCTACTTTAGGCAAAAATTTCCTTGAGCAGATACATGTCATATATGTGCAGATTGTGAGTACACTGGTTAGAAACCTTTGCTAATTTTTGTTTTAAAGTATAGAGGCTGCTTAGTGATTAAACTTTGGACTCTGGAGTGAACCAGGTTCAAATCCTAGATTTTGCCATGACAAAAAAGAACTGAAAAGGCATCTCGAAGATGTGATTGTAAGTTGAAACTTTGGAATTCTCTTGACATTTTGATTATTTGTGGCATAACTTCATAACAATGAAGTTCTCAGTTAAGAAAAATTTTACCCAAATTAAGGGTGTTTATAGCATTCTGAAGGAAGGAAGTTTAGCCTACATTAAACATGGGCTTCAGAGCTGTTTGGTTCATATCTCAACCCTGCTGCTTGCTTGCATGACCCTGAACAGGTAATGTAAGCCTGTTTTCTTCATCTGTAAAATGGGGATATACCTTATTACCTGACAGACTGTTTTTGATGATTAAGACATAAAAGATTTAGACCAGGGGTTAAAAAAAAGTAACTGTTCAATAAGTGTTGTTTTATTAATTATAAGAAAAAAGGACTTTTCAATTATATGGGAAAATCTATCTGCCTAAAATAATCTCTGTCAGGCTGCTACCAGAGACAGTCTCAACTGTGACAGAAATTTAATCAGGCTCTTTTAAATTTCTACTTTTCTTGGGAGGAGGAGGGAAACCTCCCCTAAGATTTTTTTTCCTAATAGCTCTGATTTAGTAAGTTAATAAAGTATATATCTGCCTACATATATATTTTATATATAATAAATACATACTAGTGATAAAGCACAAAAATCAATTTACTAGGAAACAACAGGGAGTGAGGAAGGAGATAGTTTTCATTTCGTTTCCCTTGGTCTTGATATGGTAAATTTAATTTGTGAACATACTTTCCCCAGATAAAGAATAATAAAAATATCTGAGTATATAACTACTCATAGGCCATTACTATCATCTCATATTAATCCTGTCTAGATTCTTTCCATTTAAGAAGTTATATTTGAGATATTTCTCAGCTTGTAGAAAGAAAACAAAAGCATTCCCATCAACTGAACCCCATCAATTCTCAACCTATTGTTTCTTCTGGTCCTAACTACTGCTCCTTTAGACCTCTGTGAGATAAAGGCAATGAAAGTAAAACCAGAAAAATAATAATATATATTATAAATAATGACATATATATTACTCATGTGTATAGGCTCAAAATCTAAACTAAAAGTTCTTTGAACATAAAGACTCTTTTTTTTTTTTGAGACAGGGGCTCACTCTGTTAGCTAGGCTGGAGTGCAGTGGCACGATCTCGGCTCACCGCAAGCTCCACCTCCTGGGTTCAAGCAATTCTCCTATCTCAGCCTCCTGAGTAGCTGGGATTACAGGCGTGTGCCACCATGCCTGGCTAATTTTTGTATTTTTAGTAGAGATGGGGTTTCACAATGTTGGCCAGGCTGGTCTCAAACTCCTGACCTCAAGTAATCTGCCTGCCTTGGCCTCCAAGTGTTAGGATTACAGGCGTGAGCCACTGCGCCTGGCCAAGACTCTTCTTTTAATGCTTATCACTGACTGCATATAGCGTCTCTTAATAAATGTCTGTTGAGTGAATATTTACTATATATGACCACCTTGGTGCCATTAACATAAATTAATGACCCCGGATTAATGTGTGGACATAAAAGATCACCACGAAATTTTAAGCTCTAGAACTTAACAGATAAACAGAACTGCAGAGATCTTTAGTTATAATGAATAGGTATACATAAGAAAAGAGAAAAAAGCCCAGGCACCACAATATTATTTTATTTGCTCATTATTGTACAAATCTACTAATTTAATATCAGGAAACAAAGATGCACTTAAAAATAATTCTTCATGAAGGAACTTATTTATTGGATAGGAAATCATATTTTCTTTGTAAAAATTTCTAGATCAATGGGTCAGCGTAATATTCAGCTACAATAATGGGAAGCAAGAGAAAAATATAAAAACTTAGGGCATATCCTGAAAATAAAAAAAATCTAGATATTTTAGGCAGGATCTCTTTAGCATTTCTAAGTGGATTTGTTATACTGGGTGAGATATCTATTATATTATTTCATCAGTTAAAAAGGTTAGGTATAAGGTAAAGTTTAATGAATATTACCACGCAGTTAACATAAACGTACTATATACACATACACACTCACCTGTGTATGGGCCAGAAAGGCAAAAAGATGCTGTAATTTTTTCATTAATGAATTGCACCCATTTAGATTTAAAGATAATACTTGTCTCCTGAAACTGAAAGAGAATATAATGATTTATATATATGTGCGTACAAACACATGCATTTATTAAAAGCTTTTTTTTTTTTTGAGACAGAGTTTCCTTTTGTTGCCCAGGCTGGAGGGCAGTGGCACAATCTCAGCTCACCGAAACCTCAAATGATCCACCCACCTCGGCCTCCCAAAGTGCTGGAATTACAGGCATAAGCCACTGTGCCTGGCCATTTAAAAGCATTTCTTAAAAGCTAAAAGCAAGTTAGTTCAAGAATTTATTATCCTTAAAGTAAAACTTCATTTACCTAATGGTCCTTTTCCTAAGGAAGTTATCTATCTAACAGTAAAGAAGGAAGGGAAGAATGACAATAAATTAACATTTACTATAAAGCCTGTTAATGGACTATGTGCTATCACATATTATTTCTATTTTCTGGATTAGCAAATACAAATAGGTTAAGCCATTAATTTATAAGATAAGTAAACTTAAATTCTTTCAAATCTTCATGAAATAAAAAAATATGCTGTCATTAAAACACACTATAAAATTAAAGTCATTTAAAGAATAGAGCGTGGGAAAAGGATAAACTACTCAAAAAAAAAAAAAAAGTAAAGGGACAGCTGGGTATCCATCCGGTAAAAAATGAAGTTACATAAGATTATACACCAATACAGATACCACAGGACTAATGAGCTAGATATAAAATACAAAACTACTGAAGTACTTAAAATAAAGAAACAAGAAATTTAGAGGGTAAAGGCTTTTAAAAGTCCAGATGCTACAAATGAAAAGTGGAAGACTGGAATACATAAAATTAAAAAATTATAAATAAAACACCCCACAAATTTGAATTGTGCCTTGAAAAAAGCATGTAGCAAAGGATGATTATCCAGAGTATATATAAAGCAACATGAAAACAAAAAAGACCCAACAAAAAGATGTACAAAGAAAAGAACAGGTTATTTGGAAGAGAAACACAAATGAATAAAGAAAAATAAGAGAGGGAAAAACTCTATAATTAGCAGCAATATGCAAATTAAGAGACATTTTTCTTCATATTGGCAAAAAATTAAAAAGGCTGATTTGTTGCTAAAGGTACAGGTTCTAGGTACAATCTTATATTGGTATCAGAGTTCAAAATGCTACAGCTTTTTTGGAGAGCAATTTGAAAGATATTCAAAGGATATTCAAAGATATGGAAAATATTCAAAGAAAAATCCTCTGTATCTGTATAAGGGCAGAGAGATGTTAATTATAAGCAAAACAACCTAATATTCATCAATAGGAGCATTATTAAATAAAGAAGTATTTATTAAATACTAATTTAACTTATTTATTAAATCTCATTAAATTAAATGAGTATTTAATAAATAAATGATGGCATACACATTTACTGGGAATGACACGGATCTGTATTGCCCCAATATGGGAATATTTCGAATACAAATTATTAAATGATAAAAGCAAGTGGCTGGAAAAGAATATATAAATAGGATTCTCTGCAAATTTTCTTTAAAAAATGCATTTGTTTTCATATTAAATACAAACATGCAACTGTACCAAAAAAGGTCTGGAACAACGTAACTGTTAACAAATTACCTTTGGAAATGGGAATGTCTGCTTTTTATTCTATATAAAATTTATTTTTAAACTATGAAGAAGAATTCATATATTACTTAAGAAATAAAATATGCTGTCTTCCCATTCAGAGATAATATTATTGGCCACTGTTCAATAAGAGATAACCTTTTATTTGCTCTTGCCGTTATAACTGCTTTGGTTTTTTGTTTTCTCTGTCATCTGTAAAAGGAGATGTCTGGACTAGATGACCTCTGGTGGTAAGATGGGGATTCTTTCAGTCTTATGCCTAGTATCACTTGTGTCTAAAGATATAGCTGCTCTCTAAAAAAAAAAAAAATTCCAAATACAAACAAACCAAAAAATTAAATGCTAAATGAAACCAAAAACACCTGAGTGCTGATATTATAATCTGGAGCCCAACAATAAAATAAAGCAAATTCTTCTCTCTCTCTCTTTCTTTCTTTTTTAGATGGAGTCTCACTGTGTTGCCCAGGCTGGAGTGCAGTGGCACAATCTTGGCTCACTGCAACCTCCGCCTCCTGGGTTCAAGTGATTCTCCTGCCTCAGCCTCCTGAATAGTTGGGATTACAGGCACACATCACCATGCCTGGCTAATTTTTGTATTTTTAGTAGAGACGGGGTTTCACCATGTTGGTCAGGCTGGTCTCAAATTCCTGACCTCATGATCCACCTGCCTCACCCTCCCAAAGTGCTGGGATTACAGGCGCAAGCCACGGCACCCAACCAAATTCGACATTTCATAGTTTATGATTCCTCTGGGCAGGCATAACAACTTGGAAAAGCTTAGAACTTAATTTGTAAACCTCTTTGGGCAAGTTCCATGAATAGCTTATTGGTAATCAGGAGAAAAATTCAATCATGTTTTTGTCTTCAGGAAAAGTTTATCGTTATTTTGTACCTTTGCAGATAGCATTCACATAACTAACAACTTCTGATTTCCTATTTGCTTAGGTGCAAAAGAAAATGGATTTGAAAGAAAATTCTTAAGAGGGGAAAGGAACATGTCTGTTTATACATGTGTTCAGTAATTATTGCCCTGGGGTGGAGCAGAACTTAAACTTCTCAAACAGCAACAAAGTTGTTGATCTGACAAATACCAAAATACTGACCGGCAGATAAAATTATATATAACTTCCCTCAAAACACGTATAGGTTAAAAAAAATTACAGTCTCACAGGATAACAACAATGAAGTACTCTAGCACACTTAAACTCTTTGGAATAGTAATTTCTTTAAAGTGGCATTTAAATGCAATGAATAATAAGCAGAATTAATGTTAACTTTTCTTTTTTTGAGACTGACTCTCACTCTGTAACCCAGGCTGGAGTGCAACAGCACGATCTTGGCTCACTGCAACCTCTGCCTCCTGGGTTCAAGTGATTCTCCTGCCTCAGCCTCCCGAGTAGCTGGGATTACAGGTGCCCACCACCACGCCTGGCTAATTTTGGTATTTTTAGTAGTGATGGGATTTTGCCATGACGGCCAGGCTGCTCTCAAACTCCTGACCTCAAGCTATCCACCCGTCTTGGCCTCCCAAAGTGCTGGGATTACAGGCGTGAGCCACCACACCCAGCCTAATGTTAACATTTTCATAGTTTCTGAGCACTAAAAGCAGTTTCATTTCTGAATAAGGCAATCAAAGTTAACATTTATGCCATTTATAAGGAATAATGTGTAGACAATTCTATCATCTTATATTTCATCAGCATGCATCAACTTCTACAGTTAAAATGAAAAGATTCAAGTTTAAACTTACTCTGTGGCCATAAACAAGGCTTGTATAACACTGTTCATATAACATGTATTTCCTAGGTTAATAAGACCAGTTTTCCCAGTTTCAGATTTTCCAGAAAGTCTAGACAAGCAAGACGCCAAAGAATTGGATTGAGAAGTCCAGGCACTTTGATTGAGAATTAACTTAATCTTCTCTTCACTGGGCTTAGGAAAATCCTATAGGTCATAAAGAAGAAAAACAGTTTAAAAGTAAAGTAAAAATTATTTTTGTTGTTAAATTAATTAACACCATTAAGAAGATTCTTACACCGACATTTGAACTTTCTTTTCCCCCACTTAGTTTTGAAGTAACTGGCAGTACTTGGCTAGTCATGAAAATATCAAATTTCACTGTATGGCAAAAATAAATATTGTCTAATAACAGATTTTATCAAGTTAAGGAATACTCAAAAGCTGGAAATTCAAGTCACATTTGAACTCTTTATGTTCTCTATATGCCAGCAAAATGTTTATAAAATAAAACTTTGGGGTCAGAGAATACACTGCAGTGCTATTCAAAGGCAGTAGAATGAAGACTTAAATTTTAGCACACAGTTAAACATAAGTAAACAATTTGTTTTCAAATTTTGTAATAAAAATGTCTCCTTTTCATTAAATACTAATATTTACTCAGTATTAACCCTTAGAAATAAAATCCCAAAGTAATTAAGAAATGAGAAATGAAAGCATCTATGCACAATGACCTTTAAGAAAAATAAAACTTAATCTCATGTTACCCATATAGAAAATTATTACAACATATGGATTTTTCTTATCAACTTTGTGAAGTATGAGATAACATTTCAAGTGTAAATTATTTCAAGCATGAATAGAGCACTGGAGAGTAAGGGAAGTTGGTAAAATCATTAGGGCTTATCTGGATTGCTATTAGCATCTGGCACTTAGACCTTAACAAACAAACATTTTCTGAAGGAGTTTCAATCTTCTCATTTTTGTTGTTGTTGACAGCTAAGAAAAAGTGCTTTCTTTGGGCTTAGAGCGAGCCCATTGTTTCTTCTGAGCCTATATGAGTTATCAGAATTTTCAACATGAAAAACTCTGATGAACTAAACAATGGCAATCAATTAACAAGTGCAGCAACTATCATCTATGGATCCAGGGACAATGTAGAAAGAGATTAATATTACCATCAAATCCACTTCACAATGCTCCTGAACATAATCTACTTCTGAAGTGTCAAAGTGTCACCCCAGCAATATACATTAATTGCTTAACAGTCTTTGTGTTCTGAGCTCAACCAAAATAAGTTTGATTTAGTTAATGATACAGTAAAAAGAACTGTTTTTAATCCACCTCAGATACAGAAGTAAAGATAATAAGACCTTTATGTTGAAATTCAGATCTCAAAAAAACCATCAATAGAATTGATTTCTAATAATTTCTGATTGAGTTTGGCTGAGTTCAGTTCTCCTATTCTTTTGCTATACACTGATTATGCAGTAAGTTTACTGAGAGGAAAGTATGTTTATTGTGATCCAGTCTTCAACACAAACAGAAGTGCTTTTTAGGCTAGGCACAGTGGCTCATGCCTGTAATCCCAGCACTTTGGGAGGATGAGGATCACTTGAGCCTAGGAATTCAAGACCAGCCTGAGCAACATAGTGAGGCCCCGACTCTACAAAAAATAAAAAGTTAGCCTGGCGTGGTGGTGTGCACCTGGAGTCCCAGCTACTTGGGAGGCTGAGGCAGGAGGGTCACTTGAGCTCAAGATGTAGAGGCTGCAGTGAGCCGTGATCATGCCATTGCACTTCAGCCTGGGCAACAGAGCAAGACTGTCCAAAAAAAAAAAAAAGTGCTTTTTAGAACCATTTCCATATAAAATTGAAACACAGTATAACTCCACAAATAATTCAAGTAAAGATTCGAAACATTGATGAACAGTCCACAGCAAAAATAGAATTAAAAAAGAGGCCAGGTGCAGTGGCTCACGCCTGTAATCCCAGGACTTTGGAAGGCCAAGGCAGGCAGATTACTTGAGGTCAGGAGTTTCAGACCAGCCTGGCCAACATGGTAAAACCCTGTCTCTACTAAAAATACAAATTAGCCGGGCATGGTGGCAGGTGCCTGTAGTCCCAGCTATTCAGGAGGCTGAGGCGGAAGAATCGCTTGAATCCAGGAGGTGAAGGTTGCAGTGAGCAGAAATGGTACCACTGCACTCCAGCCTAGGTGACAGAGCGAGACTTGGTCTCAAGAAGAAAAAAAAAAAAAAGATTAAAAAGGGGAAGAAATCAAAGTCAAATATTTTATTAAACTCCATTTCCTGTATTCTAAGATGTACTCTACATATACTTTAACACTTCTAATATTGGGGTGCAAATCTGATGTATGCATTAACTTAACGTAGCATTTCTTTTTAAACAAATTTCCCAAAAAGCTATTATAAATTTAAAGATATGCCTTATAATTGATGACACTGCAGAAATAAAGAAATATGGTTATTAATTTAGAATGGTGACTCCAGCAAGAAAGCTGTTACTCCCTAAATGAAACCTGATTCTAACTGCATTTTTCAAATAAAAAGCATATTACCATAAAATAGTAAATTGAGTAGCTGGTTATAAGAATGTTTCACCTTATTAATATAACACAACTCCACAAATATTGGTACAACTATCATCATACCTTTATTGCCTCCAGAATAGGTTCATAGAGATCTGGAAATCCAGAATAATGATACATCATACAGTGTATCAATTCTGTTAATTGTACTAAGAAGGCTGTACTTGAAGGCAGACCATCATTTTTGAAAGAATGAACCAAATTAACCACATGAGGAACAATCTGAAAAGAAAAAAGGATAAACAATGCTGAATTTATACAAATTGGTAACACATTCTCTAGCCTACAAACAGAACACAAACGATATATGATCAGCAGATACTTTTCTGTATGTGCAGTCACAGAGTTTTTCTTGTTATTAAGTTAAACATTTCTAAAATATCAAGGTAAATCTAGTTTTCGAAGTCGCATATGACTGTAATCTCATATATGACCCCTCTCCTCATCCTTACACACCATCTAAAACATAAACTAAGGTATAAAATAGGAATCTTAGTCATTGCCACCATTCTGAAAAATGCTGTAGGTTGAAATTGTTAGGGTTATTATATTTACCAGGTCATTCAATGGGAATAAACTTTTGAAAAATAATCCTGGAATTAGCTAAAGAGCTCCATCTAGTGTGAATCTAAAATTTTTTACTTGAAAGAATTAAAAGTACATTGCACATTAAAGTCTACTTCAAGAAAATCTTTACATGAGTAACTAAAATTGCAGCTCAGGTAATGGGATTACTTTTAGATAAGCACAGAGACCATGCCTTATGTTAGAGTGGCTATTCTTACTAACAAATCCCATTTCACAGCAAAAGATGAGATGGTTCTAAAAATAAAGGGCATCAGAAACTTCTGTTAGTTTTAAAGACCTGGGGCTAAAAATAAAAGTGAAATCTAAAATGATCATTGCTCATAAACATATAGAATATTGTTAATATTGATCATCAGCACAACCATGTTCTTTCATTGTAAAATTAAACTAAAAAGTCATCAATCCAGAGCCAATCATATCTTTAGGAGGTTATTAAAATGAAACAACTTCTATTTTACAGACATAGCTCTTTCCATTAGTATGATACTATATTTTTTTCAATTAATTTTTAATTATAATCTGATACTACATATTTACACTTCTTATGGTAAAAGGTATCTTCTGTTCTATTTGTAGAACATTTTGGGGTTGCTAACTCATGGTAAAAAAGTTATAACTATTAGGGTCGTACCATCAAACAGCAATAACAGCAATTATAGTAATAACCCACTAATTCCCCGTCCTTCCCACAAAAAGAACAATCATAGTCTTACAACACAGTGCTATTTCCATTCTGCTCTGTCTAGCTTTACATTTGTGCTTAAATCACACTGTAGCTTTTGCATTACCTTCTTACCTCCATCACAGGTACTAATGTGACCATAAAACTACCAGTTCCTAGTGAGTTCATTCTATTGCTATCATCTTTACATTTCTAAGCAAATATGAATTATACTTCTGTCGCATAAAGCCACATTTATCAGATATTCTCTTGCTAAAAGTCAGAAATCCAAAATTATTTTGTTTTCTCAAAGGTGAAGGGAGACAGAAGAGGCAAAAATTTTAGAAGTAATTATTAAATTTATAATTCCAAATCTGTCAAATTAGATTAGGTCTTTGTAATCAGGTTATATGGTTGTCTATTACTATATCTCAAATGGTCAACATTATCACGACATGGAAATAAGACTTAGTCTTTCACAGTTATACAGATATACTTCCAAGCAGGCTATTACTTTCTAAATGTGTGAAAGTTGATTTTTTTGAATAAGTGAAACTAAATGTTTCTTGACATTATTATAATACTAAAGTTTTTGAGGAAATGTATAAAACTTATTTAATTAGAAGCTTTGATTTTTTTTCTTTCTCCATTATTCCTATCTGCCATAGTGTCTGTTTAAAATAAATTTATTCCACTGGGTAAAATGCATAAGAAAAGCAACCTGACCCATAACACCACATATTCTAACATCAACCTTGGCTTGCCCTAAGATATTCTAAACTTATGATGAATTATGATGATGCTGATTCCAGATTATTGCTCATACTTAGCAACTCCTAAGCCCAAGTCCTTTACTGAGTTATTTGGAGTTATAGGTGATTTAACTACCACATTACCCACTACTAGATTAAGGAATGTCCTCAATATGGGCAATAAACATTAGAATGAATGATAAAGTTATGTCAGAGAATCTCCTTCCTAGAAATTTGGAAAACATCTTGAGTTGATTTTTGTATATGGTGTAAGGAAGGGGTCCAGCTTCAATCTTCTTCATATGGCTAGCCAGTTGTCAAAGCACCATTTATTGAAGAGGGAGCCTTTTCCCCATTGCTTGTTTTGACAGCTTTGTCAAGATCAGATGGTCATAGGTGTGCAGCTTCGTCTGTGGGCTGTCTATTCTGTTCCATTAGTCTATGTGCCTGTTTTTGTACCAGTACCACGCTGTTTTAATATACTACTGTAGCCCTGTAGTATAATTTGAAGCTGGGTAATGTGATGGCTCCAGCTTTGTTCTTTTTGCTTAGGATTGCTGTGGCTATTCAGGTTCTTCTTTGGTTCCACACAAATTTTAAAATAGTGTTTTTTTAGTTCTGTGAAGAATGTCATTGGTAGTTTGATTGAAGTAGCACTGCATCTGTAAATTGCTTTGGGCAGTACGGCCATTTTAATGATATTGATTCTTCCTATCCATAAGCATGGGATGTTTTTCCATTTGTTTGTGTCTTCTTGATTTCTTTGAGCACTGTTTTGTATTTCTCATTGTAGAGATCTTTCACCTCCCTGGTTAGCTGTATTCCTAGGTATTTTATTCTTTTTGTGGCAATTGTGAATGGGATCGCCTTCCTGATTTGGCTCCTAGCTTGACTGCTGTTGGTGTATAGGAATGCTAGTGATTTTTTTACATTAACTTCTTATCCTGAGACTTTGCTGAAGTTGTTTATCAGCTGAAGGAGCTTTTGCGCTGAGACTATGGGGTTTTCTAGATACAGAAACATATAATCTACAAATAGTTTCACTTCTTCTCTTCCTATATGGATGTCACCTATTGCCTTCTCTTGCCTGACTGCTCTGGCTAGGACTTCCAGTACTATATTGATTAGGAGTGGTGAGAGAGGACATCCTTGTCTTGTGCTGGTTTTCAAGGGGAATGCTTCTAGCTTTTGCCCATTGAGTATAATGTTGGTTGTGGGTTTGTCACAGATGCCTCTTATTATTTTCAGACATGTTCCTCTAATACCTAGTTTATTGAGAGTATTTAACATGAAGGGATGTTGAATTTATTGAAAGCTTTTTCTGCATCCATTGATATAACCATGTAGTTTATGTCTTTATTTCTGTTTATGTGATTTATTTGTGTATGCTAAACTAACCTTGCATCCCACAGATGAAGCCTACTTGATCATGATGGATTAGCTTTTTGAAGTGCTGCTGGATTTGCTTTGCAAGTTGAGGATTTTTGTATCGATGTTCATTACATCAAGGATAAGACTTAAATGTAAAACCCCAAACTTTAAAAACCCTGGAAGACAACCTAGGCAATACCATCCTGGACACAAAGATTTCATGACAAAGACACCAAAAGCAATTGCTACAAAAGCAAAAATTGACAAACGGGATCTAATTAAACTTAAGAGCTTCTGCACAGCAAAAGAAACTATCAACAGAGTAAACAGACAACCTACGGAATGGGAGAAAATACTTATAAACTATGCATCTGACAAAGGTCTAATATCCAGCCTCTATAAGGAACTTAAACAAATTTACAAGAGAAAACCCTATTAAAAAGCAGGCAAAGGACATGAACAGACGCTTTTCAAAAGAAGACATATATGCAGCCAACAAGCTTAAGAAAAAAAGCTCAGTATTACTGATCAGCAGAGAAATGCAAATCAAAACCACAATGAACTACCATCTCATACCAGTCAGAATGGCTATCATTAAAAAGTCAAAAAAGAAGACATGCTGGTGAGGTTCAAAAAAAGGGGAACACTTATACACTTGGTGGGAGTATAAATTCGTTCAACCATTGTGGAAAGCAGTATGGTGATTCTTCAAAGAGCTAACAGCAGCACTGGCATTTGACCCAGCAATCCTATTATGGGGTATACACCAAGAGGAATATAAATCATTCTACCATAAAGATACATGCACATGAATGTTCACTGTAGCATTATTCACAATAGCAAAGAAATGGAATCAATCTAAATGCCCATCAGTGACAGATTGGATAAAGAAAATGTGGTACATATACACCATGGAATACTATGCAGCCATAATAATAAGATCATGTCTTCTGCGGGAACACGGATGGAGGGCGAGGCTATTATTATCCTTAGCAAACTAACCCAGCAACAGAAAACCAAATACCCCATGTTTTCACTTATAAGCGGGAGCTAAATGGTGAGAACTCATGAACACAAAAAAGGGGACAATAGACACTGAGGTCTACTTGAGCGGGGAGAGTGGGAGGAGGTAGAGGAGCAGAAAAGATAACTATTGGGTACTGGGTTTAATAACTGGGTAATGCAATAATCTGTAAACCAAACCCATGTGACATGAGTTTACCTATGTAACAAACTTTCATGTTTCCCTGAATCTAACAAGTTAAAAAAAAAATGTGGAAAACAAAGCCTTTTCTCAAATGTCTTACACATGATTGTGCCTGAAGACAAGGACAAGTAATTGATGTTTTTTTTCTTGGAAGACTTTGCTAGTACACCTGCTATCTTAGAGTTTGAGTTCTGTTTGTATTATACATATATATAAGGTTACTGCTTGATGATTAAATTCACCAAAATTAGGGCAATTAACTGCAGAAATCACTCATCCTAAGTGGTAATGTGTAATGTAATTACTTGCTAGTAAGGTTTACTTACTACAAAGCCTGTGGACTTTCCTTCAGTGGAAATGAGACACTGAGCAACCTATGTGAATATATTCTAGATAAATAAAAACAAATGGAATTCTGAACTTCATTAGTCTCCTCTAAAGTTTGTTATGGTGAATCAGTATTCCTAAGATTTTTCCACTGTGGGTTTATTGACAATGAGTTTCTAGTCCTATAAAACAGGATTAGTCTTTGGAAGAATTAAGTAACCACACAAAGGCACTGTTTTCCTATGATGCCCTAGAGTGGTAAATGGACAGCTGACCAAAATTACAATTTGTCATTTCTCATCTGCAGTAACTGATAATCAAATAATTGAAATCAAATAAACGCCAATGATTCAGCTGGCTTAACGTGGTAGGATTCTAGATGTATTTTAAAGGTGGGGTCAACAGGATTTGTAGGATGTAGGCTGAGAGTGAATGAAAAGCCTGCAAAGACTGGTGTGTTTTCATGCTTTCAAAATTCTAAAGCAGTGGTTTTCAATCATTTTAATCCTTCTATACTGTTCATTTGTGCAACAGACATCCATCAGTGACATCTCCCATGTGAACAGTAACTCTCAACTGCTGGTAGTTGTTGCAAGTGGAGTAGTTTGAATGAGACACGAAAATATATTCCTAGGAGGGAAATCTCACAATCTCAATTTTCTAGGAAATCATAAAGCTATATGAAAACAGATTTGGGACTAACTTGCAATATTTTCACTACATAAAAATGTGACTCAATATTAAACTAAATTTTCAAATTGAGGCTTTTTCAAAGTAGAACGTTTATGTCATAACTTACCAAATGGAACGCCTCTGGAGAATGCTGAAAGCTAAGCAGCATGTGAGAAAGAACTGCAAGAGCACCAGGTCTCACAAGAGGAAACCAAAGTCGATTAAAAACCTTCAAAATAAGACAAGACACCTTCTTAAGAATTTGCAGGAAAATCATTAATCCAACAGTGGTTATTTTCCTAGAGCTAGAATTTATTTATATGAATGTCCCCCTTCTGGAAAGTTCTAACATAACTTATATTATTAAACTTTGGGAGAAGGATGAAGTTAGGAAATAACGTGACAGAGATCAAGGGTAATGTAACTGGCCTAACCAACTGTTAAAACTCCCCAATTAAATAAAAATTTGTCAAACTATGTTTACAAGGCAATAGCTCCCTAGTCCACTATTCATTCAGTTCACTCAACAAATATTTGTTAAGCACATACTATTACTTGTCCTAGTTCTAGGAACTAGTGCTACAACAGTGGATTAAAAAAACAAAAAACCATCTCTCTCTTACAGGGTTTACCATCTAGAGGGCAGGTAGAAACAATAAAAAGTAACACATGGTGGTTAGTGTTATTAAGAAATTTAAAGCAGGGTATGATGAATAGGGAATGCTGTGTAGCAAAAAAATCTGCTGTTTTATATAGCGTTCAATAAATGCCTCATGAAAGAAGTGATATCCAACTGTAAAACTGAAGGAATTGAATAAGCCTTGCAAATACCTGGGACAAGAGCATTATAGGCAGGGCAAACGGCATTGCAAAGGCCTTGAGGCCTTCAGGCTGGTGTGCTACAGATGAAGAAAAAAGGGCAGTGTAAGTGAAGCAAGAGACCGAGGCAGTAACAGTGGGAAATGGGACTAGAGAAAAAGTGGGCCAGAATACATAGGACCTTGTGTGATAAGTACAGGGGACCAAGGACAGGAGCAGGAAGGCTGCTGCAATCTTGCAGCAAGGGATGATAATGTAGGACCAGGGTGGTAGGATTCTGGATATATTCTAAAGGTGGTATCAGTAGAATTTGTAGGATATGGGCTGAGAGGGAATGAAAAAAAGATAAGAATAGCTTCAAGGTTTTTGGCTTGAGCAAGTGAAAGGATAGAGTAGCCTCTAGGTCTGGGAGGGAAAAGTCAGGAATAAGATTGTAGATAAAGTGAATCTGAGATTCATGTAAAGACAGATGGATACATGAATATGGAGTTCAAGGGAGAAAAATGGACTAAAAATATAAATCTGGCAGTCATCAAATTAGAGATGTTGTTTAAAGCCATGGAACACCTATGCTGTGAGTATGCACTGAGAAGAAAATGGACCAAAGACTGAACTGTAAGGCATTCTAAAAGTTAGAGTAAGTACAGGAGACTGATAAGCCTGTGAAGGAGGACAAAAATCAGGAGAGTATAATGTCCTGGAAACAAGAGGGAGTGATCGACTGTGCCAAATACTGCTGACAGGTCAAATGAGACGAGGCCTGAGAAATGACTCTTGAGTTTAGCAACACTGGAAACCACTGGTAATTTTGGTAGAGTAATGGTGGTAAAAGCTTGATTAGCTGGACTCAAGAGATAATGGAAAGAATGTTTTCATATTGGATATTTGAAAATGAAAAAATTATTTTAATTACTTATACTTTTTTTTGAGACGCAGTCTTGCTCTGTCATCCAGGCTGGAGTGCAGTGGTGCTATCTTGGCTCACTGCAACCTCTGCCTCTCAGATTCAAGTCATTCTCGTGCCTCAGCCTCCTGAGCAGCTGGGACTACAGGCATGAACCATTATGCCAACCTAATTTTTGTATTTTTAGTAGAGACGGAGTTTTGCCATGTTGGCCAGGCTGGTCTTGAACTCCTGGCCTCAAGTGATCTGCCCGCCTCAGCCTCCCAAAGTGCTGGGATTACAGTTGTGAGCAACCATGCCCAACCTAATTACTTATATTTAAATGACATTTAAAAAAATTTCTAAAGCCTATTCAAACTGTTATTCAAAACAAAACAACAATAACATATTCAAAATTAGATGCTTTCAAGGATACCACCCAAAGAAAAAAATATTGATTTTATGAGTCTATATATTCTAATAGATTTCCATACTCCCACTTACCAGTTCTATTTTCAGCAAAGTAACATCTATCAAAATAGTAAACTTCTGGACAGCTGCCAGTCCTTTCAGGAGTGCAATTACCCATGTATCCACATGCTGAGCCAATGGCCAGGATAGCCAGTCAATCATTCTGAAATTGAAGGAAAATGAAACAATCATTATTGAAAATATTTTCATTTAGTTAGTGATAACAAGAGTTACAGTAGATAATCACTCACTTTGTGAATAAACATTTACTGAATTTGCTGGTGAAAAGCACTGACCAAGATGTAGAAGTGAATGTAACAGGTGCTTGTTCTCATGGAATTTCCAATCTTGTAAACTGACAGTTTCTCATATCCAACATATTTCCATAAAAAGAATTTCTGATAAATTATTTTGCATAAACGCAAAACTTAAAATTTATGCTATATAGTGGCACAGGTTGAGTATTCCTTATTTGAAATGTCTGGAACCAGAAGTGCTTTGGATTTTCAATTATTTGCATTACATATTTACTGGCTGGGCATTTCAAATCCAAAAATTTGAAATCTGAAATGTCCCAATGAGCATTTCCTTTGAGCATCATGTCAGCACTCAAAAAGTACTGGATTTTCAAACATTTCAAATTTGGGATGCTCAACCTGTATCAAGAATTTATTAGGCAAATTTACTCTAAAAAGAGCAGCTGAAATGTAATCTGAACTAAGACATATGAATATGATCCAAGATTCCTCCTTCCTGGTGAGTACAGTCTAATATGAAATGTACTGTTTAAAAAGACTGTATTTTGAACTGTGAAAGAGGTATCTTTTTCAAATCCGACTATACAAAGAGAACAAAAAGAAACTTCAAATATATAAAAAAGCACTAAGTCTGTAAATATTGTAATGGCTTCATTTTGCACTAATGAGTGCTTTTCTTGAAAGAAAACTCATTAAATTACCCAATTTAGTGAAAAAAAAAAAAAAAGTAATATAGGATTGGACAGAGACACTCCCTAAAGTTAGATCTCTACCACAATGAAGATTGATACAACTCTTTCAGAAAGCAGCTGAAAGTCAGATGCAGTGGCTCACGCCTGTAATCTCAGCACTCTGGGAAGCCAAGGCGGCTGGATCACCAGAGGTCAGAAGTTCGAGACCAGCCTGGCCAACAGGGTGAAACCCCATCTCCACTAAAAATACAAAAATTAGCCAGGCATGGCGGCACGTGCCTGTAATCCCAGCTACTCGGGAGGCTGAGGCAGGAGAATGGCTTGAACCTGGGAGGCGGAGGTTGCAGTGAGCCGAGATCACGCCACTGCACTCCAGCCTGGACAACAGAGCGAGACTCCGTCTCCAAAAAAAAAAAGAAAGCAACTGAAGCAAATGTTCATATAATTTGACCTAGTAGTCCTATTTTTGGGATTATATACTAAGAAAATAGAAAGGGGAAAAATGAGTTTTTGAAGCCAGAGTGACTGGTTTAAAAAGCTCAATTCACCATTTATTAGCTAGGGGACCCTAAATACCTACATAGATTATTTAACCTCTCTGTTTCCTCACCTGTAAATTACAGATAAACATGCTTATTTTATAGCACTGTTGTGAAGATTAAATGAATTAATCTATAACACTGGAAACATTGTGAATGCCTCTCTTCCACCAAATGTTAATACATGTGGCAATAAATAAATACCTTGATTATACAAAATGTAAATATAAACACTAAGGACATAAATACATTACTAAAACAACAACTACTATGTTAAAAGGACTGACATCTTTTTTCTTTTTGAGACACAGTCTCGCTCTGTCACCCAGACCGGAGTGCAGCAGCATTACTTCAGGTCACTGCAAAGTTCGCCTCCTAGGCTCAAGCGACCCTCTCTCCTCAGCCATCTGAGTAGCTAGGACTACACAGCTGTGCATCACCACAACTGGCTAATTTCTGTATTTTCTGAGATGGGGTTTCACCAAGGGGGTTGCCTGAGCTGGTCTTGAAATCCTGGCCTCAAGTGATTTGCCCACCTCGGCCTCCTAAAGTGTTAGGATTACAGGTGTGAGGCACTGTGCCTGGCCAAAGGACTGACATCTTCATTTATATGGTTATTTTCACAACAGTTGTGTTATATAACTATCTACATTAACACTGGAATGTTTTTTATTAAGGTTTTTGCTTTTAAAATTAAAATGTCCATTCGGATATTAAGAGTGGTCCCAAAGTCCAAATGCATGTTAACTACAAGTTATGTGTATGTTCCCTCCATTCTCTACACAAACTTTATTTCCATTCTTGTTTTTCTGGCCTTTTCCAACAATGATGGTTACAAGTGATTAACATAGTCCTTGACAGCTATTCCACGTCTTCCAACTATTGTTGGGGTGATTCTCATAAAATTTTGTGGCCATTCTACTTATACAGAGTAGCAAAGCAGAGACACACTTGCATATGTGTACAGAGGGTATTCACTGTAGCACTGTTTATGGTATAGAAGAACTGCAAACAACCTAAATGATTGTCAATAAGGAAATGGCTACTATGGTACTGATACTATGCAACAGTATATAGAGTTTTAAATAATAAGATAGATGTACATGAATCTATCCATGAGGAATCTAAAATGGAAAGAGCTGAGAAATTGTTGAATTAACAAGGAAAAAAAAAACCACTGCAGTTTTTTTAAAAAACAATTTTAGTTTAAAAGAAAATCATGTGAATATATATGTAAATATGGACATAAAAAAGATGTAATCTAAAGGCAGGGTATGTGTGAGCACATCTTGGCTCTGTGGATTCTTTGCATCATGGGAAGTCACACTGTCAGAGCAGAACCAGACAGGGCTCACCAGAATACAGGTCTCAAGGCCAGTCTAAAGAGAGTACTGAGAGAGGACGAGAGCAGAGAGTAGAAAATTCCACTTGGCCATGGCTTTTCATTATCCTTCATTACTCAGTCAGCCTTTTTCTCATCCTTTCCATTTCTGCCTTTCCATCTCAAAAGCTTCCATTCTTTACCTTATTTCATGTATGCCAATCTCCTGACCACCTATAAATAAACTTCATATCAGATGTTACACAAATCAGAAGGTGCTGTGGTCTGAATGTTTGTGTCCCTCCAAAATTCGTATGTTAAAATCTAATCCCCAGTGTGTTGGCATTAAGAGGTGGGGCCTTTGTCAGGTGACTAGTGAGTGGGATTAGAGGCTGAAGGGGGCACCCCTGCTCTTTCTGCCAAGTGAGGACACACAGAAAGCTCCATCTAAAGGAACAGGCCCTCACCAGACACCAAATCTGCTTGACCAATTTAATGAAAAAAAAAAAAAAAAAAAAAGTAATATGGGATCTGATAGAGACACTCCCTAAAGTTAGATCTCTACCACAATGAAGATTGGTACAACTCTTTCAGAAAGCAACTGAAGGCCGGGCACAGTGGCTCACACCTGTAATCTCAGCACTCTGGGAGGCCAAGGCGGCTGGATCACCTGAGGTCAGAAGTTCGAGACCAGCCTGGCCAACATGGTGAAACCCCATCTCTACTAAAAATACAAAAATTAGCTAGGCATGGTGACCTTGGATTTCCCAGCCTCCAGAACTGTGGGAAATAAATTTCTGTTGTTCATAAATAACCCAATCTAAAATCTGTATTTTGTTACAGTAGCCCAAACAGACTAAGAAAGCATTCATGAAATAAATATTTGTGTATTATATAGCAGGTACTGTGTTTGGTGCTGAGAATATAACAGTAAGATATGGTTTCTGTCCTTAAAAAGGAAAGAAAAGTTAGGAAATTTGTCAACAATTACACAGTTATCAAATAATAGTACTGGCATTTAAACTAAGCTCTGCCAGCATAGAATACAATGTTTTTTGCCACACTTTAATTATATTTCAGTTCCGTTTCAATTTGATTGGACTTGCACATGTCTGAGGTTCTTCTCCAGTACAGGCAGGCACTGCAAGATAAGCTATTTTTATGGTTAACTATAGGAATCTTATCCACCATGTATCAGTGATTATCAATTTGAATTCCAAGGACACTTTCTTTTAACTCTGGTATACTGATTTAATATCTTACTATTTAAATAACATTTAACTATATACTTGTCATTTATGTACTCCACGACCTGTCTCCATTAGACTGTGAGCTTGAGAGCAGTAATCTCTCATATATCTTTGGATTCCCAGCACTTAGTGCCTGGCACTGAGTAGGAACTCAAATTTGTTAAATAAAGCATTTCTTTATATAGCTAAAGAAAAGTACATGCAACTTTAAAACCATAACAGTAAAACTGGCAAAAATTATGAAAGACACCAAGATTGGTTTAATCGTAATTTATGGAGAATAACAGCAATTTCCATTTTTACATGGCAGCTTGTGGGCTATAGGCAGCCTTCCCTTTTATTTGTTCCAATGTTTTAAACATTGAGAAATTTCACACAGAAAACTGGATTTCAGGCTTCTTTTGAAAAATCAGATAAAACAAGACTGGATTCCAATTTCCTTGTATTAACAGACAACTGGACTTGATGATCAGTTTTCTCTTTTAGAAGGTACTTATGTATCCCATTCCCTATCATTTCACTTATACCTGGCCTATTTCATATTTTAATGTTACCTGTTTGGTCCTGGTACGGTATCTACATTTGCATTTGCATTTCTATGGATTATAGAAAATGACTATAAACATGATCACTGCTATGTTTGGGAAAGTATAGTGCATGGGGAGGTATAAAGTGGGAGGTGGATGGTAAAAGCAAATATCACTATCCCTTTCAGTTACATTTTCTGTATAAGAGTAATTACTTCAGGTAGATTATGGGTACATAGGATCACGCAGGCTACACTGGAAATGTAATACAAAAACTGAGTCACAACTCCCCGTAGAAAAAAATAAGTAAAAATTAATTCCCAAATACATCTTGAAAAAAAATTCCTAAATTGGGTACTATAACTGTTTTTGAAGAGGCTGGAAAATTAAGAGCACTGAATGCCAAGAAGTGGAATATGAATTCGACTTAGTAGGTAGTGGAAGTCACTACAATGTCTTAATTAGAAGAGAAAAATCAGGAGTCCACATGGTTGACATAAGAAAAGTAAGTCACTGCTAGCAAAAAGACCAACTAAAAAACTGTGCAACGAGGAAAGCCTGATTTCTTCAAGGTAGTGGGGATAGAATAAGCATCATTTTAAGAAATGTCCTAAAGAAATAATCCAAAGGACTTATTAATTATGTTAATCAAAGGGAATGAAAGGATGGATTTGAAAATTGCTTATAGGTTTGTGACCAGATATCTAGAATTATTGTCAATTTAAGTAAAAAAAGAGAAAAAATAAACACCAACATCAGGCCATGAAGATAAGTTCTGCCTCTAAGAGAGTGACCCTAAGTGAGAAACTTGACTACCCTGGTTTGTTTCTTCATTGGTGACTATATCATAACTGGGAGCCAGATTTAAGTTCAAATACTGGATTCACTGTTTATTACCTGAACGAGCTTGGGTAAATTATCTAACCTCTCAGTTTCCTCAACTATGAGATGGGGCCAATAACAGTACCTATTTCAAAAGACTGTGGTGAGTATTAAATAGTTTATGTCATGTAAAGAAAATCTGCTACTATTACCCTATGCAATGAAAGTGATGGACCAACTAATTTCTAATTTCACTTCCAGCTGTAAAATCTGTAATTCTCTGAATGTGTTTTACTAGGAGGAAATAGAAGTTATAATACATTCATCCCAAAGAGAAAGACACTTTAGTGCTGTTACAGTCACACTGACAAAAGTGTGCTGCTGCTAAATACGGCACAGAAGGAGTTACATTATGAGGAGATGAACAAGATAACAGTTTCTTAAAAATAAATGAACAATGAGAACTTCACATAAAGACTTGGAAGTCAACTACATACAGATCAGAACTGATAAAGTGATGATAATAATGGGAAGGAAGAAAATAAAAAGAATAGATACAGAAAGAAATTCCTAACAGTATGGTGTCAGAGACAAAAATTTCAAGAACAATGAATAGAAAGATATCAAGGAGATGAGAATAAAAATACAGATTATCAAACACAGCAAGGGGATCATCAAAATTAAAAGCAATGGGGGTAGAGGTCACACAACAGGAAAAACATTTACATAAGAGTTTTCTCAAACGTACAAAGCACCTTCACAAATCTCGAAAGTCAAAGAGGGAATGAATAGTATGAAACTGGAAGTAAAAGTTACAGATAAATTGATTCAATTATGTTTAAGAGCACAAAAAGAAAGAAGAAACGCTAGAAGAGGAAGACCTTTTTAAACAATGAAGTGAAAAGGGGGATACGGTGGAGAAAATCAAAGTCCCCAGAGTTTGTGTTACAGAGAGTGAAGTTAGTACAAATGCAGCTGAGAACTCAATATGAATAGCTCAGTTTATATGTTACCTTATAATTTTATAACAGGGGCACAGAAACCATTTTGTCCAAATCCTTATATTGTATGTAAATGTGCTTAATATACACACACATGCAGGAAAAGAATTAAAAAACAAAAACAGGCAGGTATTAAATAAGAACAGACAGACACAAAAAACTCAATTAGAAAAAAATAGTCATTGAAATAAAGAAACTCAGTAACTAAGTAAGCTCTACAGATGAGCACCTTTGAAGAGAAAATTAGTGAACTATAAAATAGTACTGATATTCTTCCCCTCAGATATCCACAGGTTTGCTACTTCACATCCTTCATGTCTTCACTTCATGGTTACCTTAGTGAAGCCTTCTTCATCCATCTTATTTAAAATTGCAAACCACTTCCTCACAACCTGTCCCCCTTCCTGTCTACTCCTATCCCTCTTTTTGTCTGCTTTTTTTTCAAACATGTATCACTATCTAACATACTAAATTATTTTACTTATCATATTTAATCAAATCTAAAACAAAACCAATTTTAAGATGCATAATTAGCTTATATACCACTAAGGCAAGAAAAGCCGTGCCAATTTAACTAGGACATGAATGACTAGGCATTTCTACATTTAAACATCTTTGAAATTAGAAGACATGTTGGAATCAGTGAAGTGTGTTATTAAATTACTGTCTGCCTCCCCAACTAGAATGCAAGCCTATAAAGGCAGATATTTTTATCAGTTTGTTTGAGGACATTTTGAACACTGCCTGGCACTCATGGTAAGTACTCAGTAAGTGTGGTTTGAATAAATGAATGAATGACTGAATAAAAGTGCCAAAGTGCTAAGAAGGGCAAATAATATTAAGATTATACCTAGAAATGCAAGAATAAAATTACAGAACATCAAGGATAAAGAGAACATAAAAGTTTCCAGACAAGCTGACTACTCACAAAGGAATGACAGTCAGATTGACAGCTGACTTCCCACGAGCAACAACAGATGCCCAAAGGTAATACAGTATTATTTTTAAAATGCTAAGAGAAAATGGCTATCAAATTAGAATTCTGTATCTTGCCAAATCATCTATTTAAAACTGAGAAAGAAAAAAAATTCAAACAGGCAAAGGCAAAGAGTGTATTACACATTGAGCCTGGTTGAAAGAGAAAGTAAAGTATATACTTACTAAGGAAGAAAGAAAAAAAAACGCAGAAGAAAGAAATAGGTTGCAGGAAACAATAATGGGCAGTGAAATACTGTATACTGATAATCCAATCAACATCTGAGTGTATAATATGTGTATATGTGTGTATATTTTGGTAATTAAAAAAAGTTGAATTGAAAATAGATTTGTGAATTATTGGGATGCCTGTCAACGCTATAAACAATTCCAATCTATTTGGAGAATCTTTACATATGTCATTCCATGATTTTAGTTTTAAACATTCGTAAGTTTTTCATTACTCACAAAATACAAAATACTTCCTCTTCCCCAAATCTACAATTACCATTAATAGTGTCATGAAGAAGTACCTGCAAAGGGCTTGGGTCATACTTGCATCTTTTACATTTGGATCCGTAGTAAGGCTCCTGATGAGAACTGTAATCATCTGAAGAGGAATATGCTGCACAAGGCTTGCCAATGCTACAGAAGGTTCAAATGATGCATCTGTTTTTTCAATTAAAAAGAAAAGGGAACATGGCAAGTAGGTTCAAGTATTTAAAAAGAACAACACTTTACAAAAAAAAAAAGTCATTGCAGCAAAGGTGTTAACTAGGAAGGATTATTATGCTACACCCTCATGGGTAGACTCTTAATTTACAAGGAATGTTAAATTACAGGAATGAAAGATTAGGAGTGAACAGCAATGATCACTCATACTATAGACAGAATACTGAAATATATTGATATGGTTAGTCCATAAGTTACTTTAATTTTTCATAATTTATCGAGTTATTGTTGAGCTAAAATATTAACTTGTAAATCACTAATCAGAAAGGAAATATAAAGAAACATAAAGTATCATTTCAACTTCCACTTCAGACCCTCCAAAATAACTTTAAACTTATTGATCATTACATCCCTCTAAGGAAGATTTTGAAAAAATCTCTTAAAGTAGAAATGAAGGTGACTTTTGGGGGCACTTAAGTATCATTTCAACTCCCACTTCAGACCCTCCAAAATAACTTAAAACTATTCATCATTACATTGCTCTAAGGAAGATTTTTAAAAAATCTCTTAAAGTAGAAATTAAGGTGACTTTTGTGGAGATTTTGCTTAAACTGTATACAAATTAAGCAAATCCAAGACAAGTACCTTTACTGCTACAGTTCAAAAAATTTGGGAGGAACCTAACAGTTATGACAACACAGGCAATAGAAGTAAAATTACAATAAGAAAAAAAAACAAACCAACTCAGATACTGCAAATACATCGTTTGTAATTCTTTCGTAAATATATTAAATTCATCAGAACACAGAACGTTTGTTAAAACTCCACCTTTACTTCTGGTTCTTAAGATAAGAAGAGGACACATCCCTCACAAGTTCAATTTGAACAGCCACACAGTCCCCACTGGTGTTATAAATGAAGGAGAATGCTTGTACCAAGTAGAGCGGAAATGAACATGATTTTGAATCTATTCAGACCTGAAAGGTCCAAGACAGAACAACGAAGGTAGAGGTACTGGTAAAATTCCTCGGCGAGAAAGCATTTTCTAGGCAAGTATCATGTGACCCTTCTCTGCTTTCTGAGAATGCAGTTCATGGGCACAAAAACAAATATTTAAATCCTCGTACTCTTCCTTCCCTCATTCTATCTGTATTCCTCCTTTGTCTACTAGATACTGTAGACAAAAAATGTCACTATTTAAAAACTTCATAGTTATCTGGGATAATCCAGTAATAAAACAAACTGCACAATCCATTAATTCAAAAATGAGGAAATACAAAAATGGGGGAAAAACTCATTACAAAATTAGAGACACGTACAATAAATACTATGGTAAACATCATGCTACCATTAGTCACTAATGAATGGAAGCTTTCTGCAGTAGCTGTCATCCTCAAAGCATTCCAAATAACTTGAGCAGAGGCTGGGTAATTAAGCAACTTGTTTAGTGCCAAAGGTCTTAGACCTGGACGTTCTCAACCTTTAAAATGGGAACGCTGCCTGTTTTTAAAGTACGATGTGACGTCCTGAATAAGGTAGTGAATGTGAATAAATTTGGGATGAGGTATTAGGATTTGCTCTCGCTTAAGAATGTTTTTAGGGCAGGAGGAAAACATGGTGTGAATGTGTGTGTGCAAGAGAGACATATACTGATTTTTTATGAGATATTCTGAAAGATAATGACCCTTACCTGTGGAAGAGATGCTTGCAAAAACTTCTTGCAGGGAAGGCAGTAGTGTGGCAGGCTCGGCCTTCCAGATGTTCTGCAGCAAGTTACTCACTTTTGTCACCTGGGAGACATATTCCCGCAGCTCTCTTTCCTGGGTGGACACGCACTGGAAATGGCCTATCGTTCGAACCAGCTGTTGACAGAACGTGATGGACAATTTCCCCTTGGGGATGCATTGCACAAAGTCGGTCAGAAGGTCGCTCAGTCGGGCACAGAGCTGCGGCTCCGGCCTCTCACACACCATCCGTAACACCTCTACCTGCAGGAGGCTAAAGAGATCCAGCACCGACGGACAGCTCATAATCAGCTTCAGGCCGTTGTGAATGTAGTCCAGGATGGCTACATCCTTCCTGTCCAGAGAGTGGTAGCCCTGATGAAGGAGGCCCAACACGAAGGTCTTGTTGAAGAAGGACTCGAACTCTGGCCGGTGGTATCGTGCGTAGGCCTCCAGCACCTGGTGCCCCACCTGCCGCTGGAAAGGGTCCTGGCCCTCCAGGATGAGCCGGGTCGTCAGGTCAAACATGGCCTCGCACTGCGCCTCGTCTAGCCAGTGCTCCGCCGATTCCACCACCTTCCGCACAATCACCCGCTTGAGGGGCAGGGGATGCGAGGAACTCACAAGGCCCTCCAGGATCTTGTCCATTGTCGCCACGCTGCAAGGCCAGGGCCAGGGGATAAGGAGCGGGTGGCGGCAGCCCCGAGGTGGGGCAGGAGAGCCCCGGGGCGGAGATGAACTTGGAGCGCCGCAGCAGCAGCGCGACGGGCCACGGCCACCGCCGCCTCAGCAGCCACATTTATGGCGCAGGGAGACCCATCCAAGCCGGGGCGGGAGCTAGCGAGCCTGGAGAGCCTAAGAACCGACACCTGCGGCTGGCCTAAGGCGCCAGAGGCCCGTACTCCGCCGCCGCCCCGGGCCCTCGATCCCACTCAGCATCAGCGCCGAGGGGCCTGTCGGGCCCCCCAGCGGCGTCGGCGGGAGCTCAGGGCCCGGGGCTGCTAGCCGGCGGGTGGAGGAAGCACGCCTCCGAGTTCCGGGTCAGGTGTGGGCGTCCAGTCTCCAGCAGGTCGTGAGAAGAAGCCGGTCCTGGGCTGAGTCAGGAGGCGCTGTCACGGAGAGTGCTGGGATCAGCCGGGGAGAAGAGACCGAAGCGACACCCTTTGACCCGGATTTTGAAGTGCCGGCAAACAGGAAGTGAAGGACCTAAGAACCTCCGGAAGGACCGCCCCTCCGCCCCTCTGCCCCTCCGCCCCTCCGCCTGTCCGCCTCTCTCCTTCTCCCTTGTTCCCTCTCTCCCTCCCTGCTCCCCCACCTCCCTCCCGAGTCGTAGACTCCCTTCCCCCCGGCGCTGGGAGTCTCCTTCCCGCCCCGCCGCGCAGGTGCGGCGACGGCCGCGTCACTGGAGAGTGTGTCGAGTCACAGGCGGTCTTCCGCGCGGAGCGTCCCCGGCGGACGCTGCGCAGATGGCTGCGACTGTAGGATTCTTGCCGGCTAGTCTTCGTCGGTTCCGCCTGCGTCAGGTTACTCGTGAAAACTCGAATAAGTGCTATCGATGTGAAATCCGAGGAAAAGAGCATTTGGGGGAAAAGTAAGGAAAACTCAAAACTCGGATTGAGAAGTCTGCCTTGGCTCATTAATCAAGAATTGCGCTTGCGCGCCTAAATGTGACTGCCTTTATCCTGCGATGTCGGTATTGAAGTAAGAGCAATACTGGCGGCGTACCTAGCATTTAGCGACCATCAGTATCAGTAGCAGGCCTCTAGCAAAGAACCAGTTAGTGAGCTTTGTACCATATCGAAAATTATAAGCCGTCCAAAAAAGTGTGAGAGTAAGGAAAATGGCAGATTAGAATCAAAATATTTTTATACCTGTGTCATACAAGGGTACTTTGAAAATAGAAAACCAGGTGGAAATACCACAAAACTTATTGTATATGTTGACACCGAAGATGGTTTACAATAGGGAAGAACAGGTGCAATCATGCTTGTTCTGTTTCATGCCAAATTCCGAAGATTCACAGTAAGAATTTAATCAGAGGTCTTTATATTGGAAAATATTGCCTAACTGTAGCCTGCTTCAGGCTTGGTTAATATAGTTGTGAAACTAGACATTAAGGCCCTGTAATACAGACAAAACTTTAAAGAAATAGGTCATTTAAAATGTCCCGTAGAAAAATGAACAAAATTCTGTTACTTCAGTTTGCTAAATAGTGTTTTGTTTTTTTACCAAGTTACAAACACGATTACACTAATATATTCACACGTCGATTATGGTAGTCTTAAGAAGAGCAGTTTAGAGGAGACAGGAGCTTGAGTAAAAGGGAACTTAAGACCAAGTTGACTCGTAGGAAGATACGGAAGATAAAAGAGAATTGAGGTAATTAATCTATCAGTCATGCTAGAGACAGGAATGATTTTTCCAATAGGAGGTGAAGGTACACAGATGTTTGTCTTTACTGGGAATAATGCCACAGTGGAAGACAAAGGTAATATAGAAAATAAAATATTAAGAAGGAATTAAGTATTAAGAAGGATCGTGGATTTGAGGTGGAGTGGAGGAAATTTGGAATTAATCTTTGTGCTAAGAAACTAACAGGACGAATGAAGATTGCTGAATAGTACCAGCGAAGTGATTATTCCAAAGTAGACAAGAAAAAAATATTGGTAAATTTAAAACTTGACAGATTACTTTGAATTGTCTATAACATTTTCTTCTTTCTGTTAATATTAGGTCTTGAAAAATTGAATATTACAAAATAAGATGTCTGAGAGAACATAGTGCTATTAGTCCATATAAATTACATGTCATAATATTAGACTTCCAAAAGCACCATGACTCTGTATTTTTAAAATACCTCTTGAATGATAGATGCATGAAATGAAATACTAGGTTTTTATACCAAGATATTCAACGCTTATTTCCTTCTTTTGCCACTGGTTAAAAAATGTATGTAATATGCTCTTTTATAAGATTTCAATTGAAAGTGGCCAACTTTAAATTTATTTTATAGCATAACTAAAAGTTCTATAATAATACCATGTTCCTTTTTAACATTTTAAAATATTTTCAGAAGTCTGTGGAAGATTTTTTTGCAGTGAATCATGCCACTAATCATTGGATTAGTGGGTGCTATTGTAATGGGCTTTAAAATTTCATATAAAGATTTAGTCTAAGGCCTCAATTGCCAACTACATGGTTTTACAAATATGTTAGATCTGAGAATGGAAGCTGAGTGATGGGGATGAAAGAGAAAAAGCACAGGATAAGGAGTGATTGTTTATTTAGCAACCTCTGTGTGCCTGGAACTCAATATATTACACTTTATCCTTAGTTCTCAAAACGGGGTTTTGGAAATAGATGTTAATAGCTACATTTTATAGATAAGGTATTGAAGCCAAAGGAGGTTAAAAAAAATAATCAAGTCTGACTCTAGAGTCTCTATTATTTCCATCATACTATTAGATGAAAAGTGTGTGTATGTGTTTATGTTTGTGATAAGCAAAGAGAAAAGGCAGTTCCAAAAGCAGTGGTTAGAGTTGGCCAACTGCAATAACATTATTGTGAGGTTAGTTTTCTCTTAGGAAATTTATATCACCTAATAGAATCAAAAGCAAACTGATTGTATAGATTAGAGAGGACTGTGATAAATAAACCATCATATGAAGTAATTACAAATAATCCCTGACTTTATGAAATTTATATTCATATGTTTTTTAAGTTGTAAAGAAAAAAAGACTGTAAAGAAACACACCAACCACTTTGATATGGTTTTTGTTTTAATGACTTAAAATGGACATCAAGCTAATCTTACGACACTATTTCATTTAATTTTTTTCACAGTGCAAAGTGAAAGCAAGTTTATTAAGAAAGTAAAGGAATAAAAGACAATTAAAAATTAAAAATATACCATTGGCTACTTCATAGGCAGAGCAGCCTCACTACCCTATTTTAAATCTTCCAGTGCTTCTCCTCTTAAAATTCAAATGGCTACTGTTGACTTTAAGGCCCTCCATCAAGTTGCTCTTGTGTCTTTTCCTACTGTTCTCATTTATTATATGTTTACAGCCTTTTTCTGTTCTCTAGAATCTAAGCTTCATGAGGTCAAAAAGAACCCCTTAATTTTATTAGTTACTTCTATATCTAGCAGTTAGAACACTAGGGTAAACAATCTATCAATTTTTTTTGTCTGTGAGATGAAGTCTCTCACTCTGTTGCCCAGGCTGGAGTGCAGTGGTGTGATCTCAGCTCACTGCAGTCTCAGCTCACTGCAATCTCCACTTCCTGGGTTCAAGCAATTCTTCTTCCTCAGCCTCCTGAGTAGCTGGGATTATAGGCACCCACCACCACACCTGGCTAATTTTTGTATTTTTAGTAGAGATGGGGTTTCACCATGTTGGCCAGGCTGGTCTTGAACTCCTGACACAAATGATCCTCCCATCTCAGCATCCCAAGGTGCTGGGATTACGTGAGCCACCATGCCCAGTTCAATCTAACTATTTTTTGAATGAATGAACTTTTAAAAAATGAAATGAAAAACATGGTTTAGAAAAAGTCGTAAGGAGTCTACACAGTAATTTCTAGAACTAAAAAACAAACTCAGCAGGGTTTCAGAATATAAGATAATAGACAAAAATCAGTTGTACTTTTATGTACTAGCAATGAACACATGGAAACCAAAATTAAAAATATACCATTGATAATTGCTCAAAATAAAAACTATGTAGGTGTAAATCTGACAGTGGATGTACAGGACTCATGCTGAAAACAACAAAACACTGATGAAAGAAATCGAAGATCTAAATAAATGACCATATACATGGATTGGAGGACTCACCATAGTGTAGATGTTAATGATCTCTAAATCGATATGCAGGTTTAATACAATTCCTATTAAAACTCCAGGCAGGTTTTTTTTTTCTTCTTCATATACAGGCAAGATTATTCTAAAATGTATTTGGAAAAACAAATCAGAGTAGCTTCAACAATTCTGAAAAGGAGGAATTAAGTGAGAGGGATCATTTTACCTGTGTTTGTTCTTATGCTGCTAATAAAGACGTATCTGAGACTGGGTAATTTATAAAGGAAAGGTTTATAAACACAGTTCAGCATGGCTGGGGAGGCCTCAGGAAACTTAAAATCATGGTGGAAGGGGAAGCAAACATATCCTTTCACATGGCAGCAGGAAGGAGAAGAACGAGAGCTGAGCTAAGGGGGAACCCTGTTATAAAATCATCAGATCTCGTGAGAACTTATATCACGAGAACAGGAAGGGGGAACCTGCCCCCATGATTCAATTATATCCACCTGTTTCTTCCTTCAACACGTGGGGATTATGGGCATTGCAATTCAAGATAAGATTTGGGTAGGGACAGAGCCAAACCATATCACTACCCAAAAATAATACTCATTGTATGCCAGGGTAATTAAGACAGTATGGTAATGGCAGAGAGACACATAGATCAGTGAAATGGGCAACAATAACCTAGACCCACACAAATACACCAAACTGATTTTTGACAGAGATTCAAAAGCCATTCAGTGAAGGAAGGATGGTGTTTTCAACAAATGGTGCTGGAGTAACTGGATGTTCATAGGCAAAAAAGAAATGAGAAAATTCTATAACTGGGAGAAAACAACAGTACCACTGGACTGTACTGCTACAGGGTTTCACAGAAGCCCCAAACTTATTTGGTCAAATCTTAGTCCTGGAGGAATTCCAACCTTCCAGGGGAACCCAGTTGTTACAATATGTAGATGAACTTTTAATATCTGGCAAAAGGAAGGCCGAGTGATCAGAAACCACCATAATCTTGCCTTATTTTCTTTGAGAAAGGGGATTGCGAGTCTCTAAGAACAAATTGCAGTTTGTAGAAAAAGAAGTTAAATATTTAGGACACCTGATTGGTGAAGGGAAGTGGATAATAAACTCAGAATATTGGGAATAGTGGGTTTGCCTTTGCCTAAGACAAAGAGAAAACTCCAAAAATTTTTAGGTTTAACTGGCTACAGTAGGTTATGGATTGACTCATATGCTTAAAAGACAAAATTCTGTATCTCAAGTTACTAGAAGAGGAGCCCAATCCCTTGTAATGGTCCCTAGATGAAATTAAGGCAGTGAAAGAGCTAAAGCAGGCCCTCATTACAGTCCTGGTCCTGGCCCTCCCATCTTTAGAGAAACCATTCTATCTGTTTGTAACAGTAGACCGGGGCATGGCCCTTGGGGTGCTCACTCAAACCTGGGGAGGGAAGAGGCAACCTGTTGCTTTTGTCTCCAAGCTTCTCGATCCTGTCTCTCAGGGGTGATCTGAATGTGTGCAAGCAGTAGCTGCGACAGCCCTGCTGGTAGAGGAGAGTCGAAAGCTAATGTTTGGTGGGGCCCTAATAGTAAACACCCCACACCAGGTCAGGAATATATTAAATCAGAAAGCTGGGAGATGGTTAGTGGATTCTCAGATTCTAAAATATGAAGCCATATTACTAGAAAAAGATTATTTGGTTGTAACACCAGATACTTGCCTGAATCCAGCCAGTGTCCTATGGAAAGGAGACCAGAACAAAGAGACATCAGATCATAACTGCTTAGATACCATAGAATACCAAGCCAAAGTTAGACCAGACCTTAGGGAAGCTCCACTACGTGATGGATTAGACTGTTTGTGGATGGGTCATCCGGAGTGATAGATGGCAAGGGACTTAATGGTTATGCTGTCTTTGATGGAAATAAACACTCATTATGTGAGAAAGGTAGATTACCTAATGGCTGGTCGGCCCAAAAATGTGAATTACATGCTCTTGACCAGGCCCTAAAGCTCCTTGAAGGCCAGGAAGGAAATATATATACTGATTCTAAATGTGCCTATGGGGTGGTACACACTTTTGGAAAAATCTGGACAGAGCGGGGCCTAATAAATAGCAAGGGAAAAGAATTGGTACACGGGGAACTGGTCAAACAGGTTTTAGAAAGTCTCCTGCTTCCAGCAGAGGTAGCCATAGTTCATGTAAATGATCATCAGAACGGGAACACTATAGAAGCTGTAGGAAACAGGTTTGTGGATGAAGCTGCTAGGCAAGCCTCCCTGGAGGAAGAAATTAGACTATTTAGCCTGATACCAGACATCCCTAAGGTGGTATTAAGGCCTCAGTTTACCAGAGAGAAGAAGGAAGAATTAGGCAGGATAGGGGTCACTCAAACTGAAGATGGGAAATGGGTACTTTCTGATGGGAGAGAAATGATAAGTAAACCCCTGATGAGAGAACTGATGTCTGTATTACTCCCCAAAGGGAGTCACTGGGGACCCCAGAGTCCGTGTGATGCAATATTTAAGAATTATGGATAGATAGGGATTTATACCCTCGCTAAACAAGTATGTGGAAGTTGTGTAACTTGTCAAAGGATAAACAAAGAGGTGATTAGAAAACAGTTCATGGGAGGAAGACCTCCTGGACTAAGACCATTTCAGAGCATTCAAGTAGATTTCACATAAATACCCAAAGTAGGAAGACTGAAGTATTTACTGGTGATTATAGGTTACCTTTCCAGCTGGGTGGAAGCCTTTCCCCTTCCAACAGCCACTGCCAGGAATGTAGTCAAAATAATATTATAACAGACTGTACCTAGATTTGGCCTGGTGAAAAACGTTGATTCAGACAATGGCAGCCAATTTACCTCCCGGGTGTTAAGGGGAATTATGGAAGGTTTACAAATTAGATGGGATTATTACACCCCTTGGCATCCCCCTTCCTCTGGAAAGGTAGAAGGAATGACTGAAACTCTCAAAAAGCATTTCACCAAACTAATAAACTAAAATGCCTTGGACAAAATGTCTCCCAATAGCACTCCTTAGGAAGTCCCAAGAAAAGACTTGGGATTGTCCCCCTATGAGTTATTATATGGGCTCCTGTATTTGGGCAGAGCTACAGATCTTCCTACTATGGAAACCAAGGATCAGTTCTTAAGAAATTATATACAGTCATTATCCTCCACCCTGTCATCCCTTAGGTTAAAAGGACTTCTGACTCAAACTCCTCCTCTTGAGTTTGCAGTTTGCCACTTCCAGCCTGGCGACTAGGTGCTGATTAAGACTTGGAAAGAAGACAAGCTCCACCCAAGCTGAGAAGGTCCCTGTCAAGTGCTGCTGACCCCTGAGATGGCCATATGTACAGCTGAATGGGGGTGGACTCACTATACTTGTCAAGGGACTGGTAAAAGAGACCCTGGAAGGGTGGGAAAAAGACCAGTGGAAAGTACATGGGTCACCTGAGGAACCCTTAAAATTAACTCTGAGATGAATCTAAAAAGAAAACATGGGCTGGTCCCATTTCTGGAAATTAATATGGCTGGGATGGGCTACTATGCAAAGAGAAGAAGGTCAAAGTAGAAACTATCAGGGGACTCCTCCCTACCCACTCAGGTTGGTAATTAATGTAAACAAGATGGTGGCACCCAAGACTATAAGATTTGATGACTGCCAAGGTTTTTACCTTGTAAGAATTTGGAAAATCAGAGACAGCTCTCACATGTGGATAAATATCCACTTCATATGAGGTGCTTGGAATAGTCAAATTAGAGGTTTCTAGGGGCTAGGGAGAAAATAAATGGGGAGTTATTGTTTAATAGGTACAGAGTTTCTCTTTCAAAGAATGAAAAGTTCTGTAAATGGATAGTGGTGATGATTGCACAACAGTGTGTACTTAATGCCACCGAACTGTACACTTAAGAATGGTAAATTTTAGGTTATATTTTACCACAATAAAAAATTAAAATCAACAGTAAAGAAATCAATCCAATTAAAAATGGGCAAAAGATTTCAAGACACATTTCAATGAAGAGGATTTACATATGGCAAACAAATGGAAAGTTGTTTAACATTTCTAGCTAATAGGGAAATGCAAATTAAGACCATGAGATATTATAACACATTTATTAGAGAACCACTAAAATAAAAAATGGTGACAACATTAATGCTGGCAAAGATGCAGACAAACTGATTTCTCATACATTGCAAGTGGAAATGCAAAATGGTTTAACCACTCTGGAGAATTGTTTGGAAGTTTCTTAAAAATTAAACATGCAGCTATCATATGATCAAACTGTTGAACTACTAGGTATTTATTCCAGAGAAATGAAAACTTATGTTCACACAAATACATATACACAAATGTCCAAAGCAGCTTTATCTGCAATAGCCAACAACCAAAAACAATCAAAATTGTCATCAGTAGGTGAATGGCTAAACAAACTATGGTCATCAGTATGCTGAATGGCTAAACAAACTGTGGTACATTCTTACTGTGGAATATTACTTAGCAATAAAAAGAAAGAAACTATTGATGGACACAACTTGGATGGATTTCAAGGGCATTTTTATGCCAAGTGAAGAAAACTAATCTCAAAAGTCACATACTATGTGATTCCATTTGTACGACATTCTCAATATGAGGAAATTTTAGAGATGAAGAACAGATTAGTGGTTGCCAAGGGCTAGGTATAGATGGGAGAGGCAGAGGGATGAGTAGAACTTTTAATAAAGGGGTAGAATGAGGGTAATTCTTGTGGTGATAGAATAGTTCTGTACCTTGATTGCGACTGTTGCATGACTCCATGTGTGGTAAAGTGGCATGGAATTATACATATGTTGTATCAATATCAATTTCCTGATTGTGATATTATGCTATAGTTATGTAAGAGGTAACATTGAGGTATAACTGAGTGAAGAGTACAGAGGATTTCTCTGTATTATCTTTGCAACTTCGTGTGACTGTATAATGATTTCAAAATTAAAAAGTTTAAAACATTTAAGTCTTTAATCCATCTTGAATTAATTTTTGTATAAGGTGTAAGGAAGGGATCCAGTTTCAACTTTCTCCATATGGCTAGCCAGTTTTCCCAGCACCATTTATTAAATAGGGAATCCTTTCTCCATTTCTTGTTTTTGTCAGGTTTGTCAAAGATCAGATAATTGTAGATATGTGGCATTATTTCTGAGGACTCTGTTCTGTTTCATTGGTCTATATCTCTGTTTTGGTACCAGTACCATGCTGTTTTGGTTACTGTAGCCTTGTAGTATAGTTTGAAGTCAGGTAGCATGATGCCTCCAGCTTTGTTGTTTTGGCTTAGGATTGACTTGGCAATGCAGGCTCTTTTTTGCACCAAAAGCAGTCCTAAAAGGGACATTTACAGCAAGAAATGCTTATGGCAAAAAAGAGAAAAGATCTTAAATAAACATTCTAATTGAAAAAAAAGTTTAAAACACAACACCCCTTAAAAAACCAACCCTGGCCATAAGTGGCCTGTACTTTCAATTAGGTGACTTTAGTCTGCCCTGTTTGATCTTCCCCACCGAAACAAACCCCAAACTCCATAATATTTAGAAACTAAGAGATTGGAACTTCCGACATCATGTTTTTTATTTATTTATTTATTTTTGAGACAGAGACCCGCTCTGTTGCCCAGGCTGGAATGAAGTGGCATGATCTCAGTTCACTGCAATCTCCGCCTCCTGGGTTCAGGAAATTCTCCTGCCTCAGCCTCCCAAGTAGCTGAGATTACAGGCGTGCACCACAATGCCTGGCTAATTTTTGTATTTTTAGTAGAGACAGGGTTTCAACAGGCTGGTCTTGAACTTGGCCAGGCTGGCCTTGGAAATTCTGGCCTCAGGTGATCCGCCTGCCTCAGCCTCCCAAAATGTTGGGATTACAGGTGTGAGCCACTGTGCCCAGCCAGGATTATGTTTTAAGAGGCAAATGGATTCATGACTATGCATAGACAGTGGCCTATGCAGCCTATGAGGCCTACTACACATTAATTCTTGCTCTTATCTAACTAGATGTAAATGGGAAACAAGTTATTAATAAATCATTGTTGCTAGAAATAAGGGTTTTAGTTCTAGTATTTATTAAATACGATTAAAATGTAGGGATTATATATATATCTATTTGAATTCTGTGTAATAAGGATTCCAACATGGGCCCTCTATCAGTTGGAATTGCTGTGACAGATTCTTTATGAAAAATAATCTAGAGAGTAATTGTCTCAGTCAGCTTGGGCTGCCATAACAAAATACCATAGACTGGGTGGCTTAAACAGCAGAAATTTATCTTCTAACAGTTCTGGAGGCTGGAAGTCCAAGATCAAGATGCCAGTAGCGTTAGTTTCTGGTGAGTGCTCTCTTCCTAAATTGCAGATAGCTGTCTTCTTGCTGTGTTTTCACGTGGCCTTTCCTCTGTGCATGACAGGAGAGAGAAGGATCTCTGGTTTCTCTTTTTATAAGAACATGGGTTCTATTGGATTAGGCCCCACCTTTATGACCTCATTTAACCTCAGTTACCTCCTTAAAGGTTCTATCTTCAAATGCCCATTGAGGCTTAGGGCTTCTACATATACATTTTTTTGGGGGGGAAGGAGGAAAAAATTCAGTCCATAACAGAAACCAATTTTTTCTCTGTGGATTGCATTATTGCTATTACCTAATAGACATAAAGCTAGTTTTTCTCAATGAGACACCTAAAATTGAGTGACTTTTTTGAGTTGTTGCCAGATCTATTAATTAAAATTTTAATTGGGGTAGGGCACAGAAATCTGTGTTGTTAGTAGACCCCAATTGATTCTTCTGCATTACCACGTTTGAGTACATTAATCTAAGCAAACCCTCTCCCCACATTAAATTGCGGTTGAGAAACTAGATGGGGAAAAGTTAGGCGTCTTATTGACACAGCTATAACTTTACTAGGTTATGAATTTCTCAGTGTATAGTGGATTGCACTAAAGACTTTGGAGGGATGGTATAAAAAGAAACTCACTTTGAGAGACTTAAATATTGAAGGCATCTTAGACTGCTGGCAAAAGCCATAGCTGAAGAAGCAAGGAGACTAGGATTAAAATTCAAGCATGGTGAACCTCTGCGAGCGTCCATTCGTCTGATGCTAAATAATTCATCTTAATTAGATTAGTAACCTAAGACTTGATATTATAAGCAAGGGCAATTTAGGTAGTGATAATACTTACAAGATCTGCTTCAGATAGAGTTGGTCTAAACAAAGTTTCTTAGAATACTAAATTGTTTTTTAAATTAAAAAATTCGATTGCTGGTTGGCAGTTTAATTCTCTGTGGGGTATATGGAATTTACATTCAATATGATCCAAAGATGCATGATAAGTAAGTAAAACATATAGTGTGTTAGTTGGTGTAAAGTGCTATGAGGAAAAGTAATTCAGGGAAGGGGGTGATAGTAATTACAGTTTTAAGTAGTATGATCACGAAATGCTTGTTAAGAGTGGTGACATTTGAGCAAAGCTCCAAAGGACCCTGCAGACATCTGGGGGAAAGAGTAGTCCCACAGAAGGACCAGCAACTGCTATGGCTGGTGTGGCTGGAGTGATTTCAAGGGAGGCTGTTAGGAACGGAAGTCAAATAGCATGGGCTATTGCAAACACTTTGGCTTGTACTTCAGGTGAGGTAGAGAGACATTGGAGGGTTTTAAGCAGAGAGATGGCATGATTTGACTTGATGTTTTAAAAATATCAGTCTGCAATATTATCAAAGTCAATTCTTTCCAAAGTTATTATTTTTTTTGGAAATTTAATATAGTCACAACTACAGTGCCACCAGGTAATTTTTTTCATGGAGTTAAACCTATGTTCAATATACAGTTTAATTGGGAAAATTAAATGTGTTTAATTTAAATTTAAATTAAATAAAACCATACAAGTACTAGAAAACCTAGGTGAATTAATTTTAATCTAGAAGTGAGGAAACCTTGCTAACTGTTACTCAAAATCCAGATAAAATAAGGAAAAAAATGGAAAAGTTTATTACATAAAAATTAATAATTTGTATGGGAGGAAAGAAGAAAAATAGAAGATAAATTACAAGTTAGGAAAAAACATTTGCAGGTTAGTCATGGGCAAAAAAGGAGTTTGATATACCTACTATATAAAGAGCTCCTGAAAATAGATTGGAAAAAGGCCAACAACTCCATAGAAAAGTGGGCTAGAACAGTTTACAAAGAGATGGCCATCCGCCATGGGAAGAGATACGCAACATCACTCTTAATAAAATAAATGTAAATTAAAATTATGCTTAAATGTATTTCTCATGTGTCAGACAAAAATTCCAAAGTTTGACCACATGCTTTGTTGTTGAGGCTGTGGAGAAACAGGCATTCTCATACATTGCTGATGGGAATGTAAAATGATATATAGAGGTGAATCTGGCAATAATAAAATTACCTGCATTTCCATGTGATCCAGCAATCTTACCTGAGGGAATCTATCCTTAAAACATACTGGTAAAAATATGAAAACACATGTACTATATGTGTGCAAGTCTTCTTATGATAGCAGTCTTTGTAGTAACCAAAGACTACTGTAAGTAAACCAAGTTTCCATGAGTAGGGGAATGGCTGATAAAGTAAATCTGCACAATTGAGTCCATTAAAAAAAAAAGAGCGATCTTCAGAATATACTATTAATTTTATTTATTTTTTATTTTTTATAGTTTGAAGAGTTTTTTTATTATACTTTAAGTTCTAGGGTACATGTGCACAACGTGCAGGTTAGTTACATACGTATACATGTGCCATGTTTGTGTGCTGCACCCATTAACTCGTCATTTAACATTAGGTATATCTCCTAATGCTATCCCTCCCCACTCCCCCAACCCCACGACAGTCCCCGTTGTGTGGTGTTCCCCTTCCTGTGTCCATGTGTTCTCATTGTTCAATTCCCACCTATAAGTGAGAACGTGTGGTGTTTGGTTTTTTGTCCTTGGCGGTAGTTTGCTCTGAATGATGGTTTCCAGCTTCATCCATGTCCCTACAAAAGACATGAACTCATCATTTTTTATGGCTGCATAGTATTCTGTGCTGTATATGTGCCACATTTTCTTAATCCAGTCTATCACTGTTGGACATTTGGGTTGGTTCCAAGTCTTTGCTATTGTGAACAGTGCCACAATAAACTTACGTGTGCATGTGTCTTTATAGCAGCATGTTTTATAATCCTTAGGGTATATACCCAGTAATGGGATGGCTGGGTCAAATGGTATTTCTAGTTCTAGATCCCTGAGGAATCGCCACACCGACTTCCACAATGGTTGAACTAGTTTACAGTCCCACCAACAGTGTAAAAGTGTTCCTATTTCTTCACATCCTCTCCAGCACCTGTTGTTTCCTGACTTTTTAATGATTGCCATTCTAACTGGTGTGAGATGGTATCTCATTGTGGTTTTGATTTGCATTTCTCTGATGGCCAGTGATGATGAGCATTTTTTCATGTGTCTTTTGGCTGCATAAATGTCTTCTTTTGAGAAGTGTCTGTTCATATCCTTCGCCCACTTTTTGATGGGGTTGTTCATTTTTTTTCTTGTGAATTTGTTTGAGTTCATTGTAGATTCTGGATATTAGCCCTTTGTCAGATGAGTAGGTTGCAAAAATGTTCTCCCATTCTGTAGGTTGCCTGTTTACTCTGATGGTAGTTTCTTTTGCTGTGCAGAAGCTCTTTAGTTTAATTAGATCCCATTTGTCAATTTTGGCTTTTGTTGCCATTGCTTTTGGTGTTTTAGACATGAAGTCCTTGCCCATGCCTATGTCCTGAATGGTATTGCCTAGGTTTTCTTCTGAGGTTTTTATGGTTTTAGGTCTAACATTTAAGTCTTTAATCCATCTTGAATTGATTTTTGTATAAGGTGTAAGGAAGGGATCCAGTTTCAGCTTTCTACATATGGCTAGCCAGTTTTCCCAGTACTATTTATTAAATAGGGAATCCTTTCCCCATTTCTTTTTTTTGTCAGGTTTGTCAAAGATCAGATAGTTGTAGATATGTGGCATTATTTCTGAGGGCTCTGTTCTGTTCCATTGGTCTATATCTCTGTTTTGGTACCAGTGCCATGCTGTTTTGGTTACTGTAACCTTGTAGTATAGTTTGAAGTCAGGTAGCGTGATGCCTCCAGCTTTGTTCTTTTGGCTTAGGATTGACTTGGCAATGTGGGCTCTTTTTTTGTTCCATATGAACTTTAAAGTAGTTTTTTCGAATTCTGTGAAGAAAGTCATTGGTAGCTTGATGGGGATGGCATTGAATCTATAAATTACCTTGGGCAGTATGGCCATTTTCACGATATTGATTCTTCCTACCCATGAGCATGGAATGTTCTTCCATTTGTTTGTATCCTCTTTTATTTCATTGAGCAGTGGTTTGTAGTTCTCCTTGAAGAGGTCCTTCAAGTCCTTTGTAAGTTGGATTCCTAGGTATTTGATTCTCCTTGAAGCAATTGTGAATGGGAGTTCACTCATGATTTGGCTCTCTATTTGTCTGTCATTGGTGTATAAGAATGCTTGTGATTTTTGCACATTGATTTTGTATCCTGAGACTTTGCTGAAATTGCCTATCAGCTTAAGGAGATTTTGGGCTGAGATGATGGGGTTTTTTAGATATACAATTCCATCATCAGCAAACAGGGACAATTGGACTTCCTCTTTTCCTAATTGAATACCCTTTATTTCCTTCTCCTGCCTGATTGCCCTGGCCAGAACTTCCAACACTATGTTGAATAGGAGTGGTGAGAGAGGGCTTCCCTGTCTTGTGCCAGTTTTCAAAGGGAATGCTTCCAGTTTTTGCCCATTCAGTATGATAGTGGCTGTGGGTTCATCATAGATAGCTCTTATTATTTTGAGATACGTCCCATCAATACCTAATTTATTGAGAGTTTTTAGCATGAAGGGCTGTTGAATTTTGTCAAAGGCCTTTTCTGCATCTGTTGAGATAATCATGTGGTTTTTGTCTTTGGTTCTGTTTATATGCTGGATTACGTTTATTGATTTTTGTATGTTGAACCAGCCTTGCATCCCAGGGATGAAGCCCACTTGATCATGGTGGATAAGCTTTTTGATGTGCTGCTGGATTCGGTTTGCCAGTATTTTATTGAGGATTTTTGCATCGATGTTCATCAGGGATATTGGTCTAAAATTCTCTTTTTTTGTTGTGTCTCTGCCAGTCTTTGGTATCAGGATGATGCTGGCCTCATAAAATGAGTTAGCGAGGATTCCCTGTTTTTCTATTGATTGGAATAGTTTCAGAAGGAATGGTACCAGCTCTTCCTTGTACCTCTGGTAGAATTTGGCTGTGAATCCATCTGGTCCTGGACTTTTTTTGGTTGGTAAGCTATTAATTATTGCCTCAATTTCAGATTCTGTTATTGGTCTATTCAGAGATTCAACTTCTTCCTGGTTTAGTCTTGGGAGGGTGTATGTGTCGAGGAATTTATCCATTTCTAGATTTTCTAGTTTATTTGCATAGAGGTGTTTATAGTATTCTCTGATGGTAGTTTGTATTTCTGTGGGATCGGTGGTGATATCCCCTTTGTCATTTTTTATTGCTCTATTTGATTCTTCTCTCTTTTCTTCTTTATTAGTCTTGCTAGCGGTCTATCAATTTTGTTGATCTTTTAAAAAAACCAGCTCCTGGAGTCATTGATTTTTTGAAGGGTTTTTTGTGTCTCTGTCTCCTTCAGTTCTGCTCTGATCTTAGTTATTTTTTGCCTTCTGCTAGCTTTTGAATGTGTTTGCTCTTGCTTCTCTAGTTCTTTTAATTGTGATGTTAGGGTGTCAATTTTAGATCTTTCCTGCTTTCTCTTGTGGGCATTTAATGCTAAAAATTTCCCTCTACACACTGCTTTGAAGGTGTCCCAGAGATTCTGGCATGTTGTGTCTTTGTTCTCGTTGGTTTCAAAGAACATCTTTATTTCTGCCTTCATTTCATTATGTAGCCAGTAGTCATTCAGGAGCAGGTTGTTCAGTTTCCATGTAGTTGAGCGGTTTTGAGTGAGTTTCTCAATCCTGAGTTCTAGTTTGATTGCACCATTGTCTGAGAGACAGTTTGTTATAATTTCTGTTCTTCTACGTTTGCTGAGGAGTGCTTTACTTCCAGCTATGTGGTCAATTTTGGAATAGGTGTGGTGTGGTGCTGAAAAGAATGTATATTCTGTTGATTTGGGGTGGAGAGTTCTGTAGATGTCTATTAGGTCCGCTTGGTGCAGAGCTGAGTTCAATTCCTGGATATCCTTGTTAACTTTCTGTCTCGTTGATCTGTCTAATGTTGACAGTGGGGTGTTAAAGTCTCCCATTATTATCGTGTGGTAGTCTAAGTGTCTTTGAAGGTCTCTAAGGACTTGCTTTATGAATCTGGGTGCTCCTGTATTGGGTGCATATATACTTAGGGTAGTTAGCTCTTCTTGTTGAATTGATCCCTTTACCATTGTGTAATGGCCTTCTTTGTCTCTTTTGATCTCCATTTTATCAGAGACTAGGATTGCAACCCCTGCCTTTTTTTTGTTTTCCATTTGCTTGGTAGATCTTCCTCCATCCCTTTATTTTGAGCCTATGTGTGTCTCTGCACATGACATGGGTTTTCTGAATACAGCACACTGATGGTTCTTGACTCTTTATCCAATTTGCCAGTCTGTGTCTTTTAATTGGAGCATTTAGCCCATTTACATTTAAGGTTAATATTGTTATGTGTGAATTTGATCCTGTCATTATGATGTTAGCTGGTTATTTTGCTCATTAGTTGATGCAGTTTCTTCCTAGCCTCGATGGTCTTTACAATTTGGCATGTTTTTGCAGTGGCTGGTACCGGTTGTTCTTTTCTGTGTTTAGTGCTTCCTTCGGGAGCTCTTTTAGGGCAGGCCTGGTGGTGACAAAATCTCTCAGCATTTGCTTGTCTGTAAAGGATTTTATTTCTCTTTGCTTATGAAGCTTAGTTTGGCTGGATATGAAATTCTGGGTTGAAAACTCTTTTCTTTAAGAATGTCGAATATTGGCCCCTACTCTCTTCTGGCTTGTAGAGTTTCTGCCGAGAGATCAGCTGTTAGTCTGATGGGCTTCCCTTTGTGGGTCACCCGACCTTTATCTCTGGCTGCCCTTAACATTTTTTCCTTCATTTCAACTTTGGTGAATCTGACAATTATGTGTCTTGGAGTTGCTCTTCTCGAGGAGTATCTTTGTGGCGTTCTCTGTATTTCCTGAAATTGAATGTTGGCCTGCCTTGCTAGATTGGGGAAGTTCTCCTGGATAATATCCTGCAGAGTGTTTTCCAACTTGGTTCCATTCTCCCCGTCACTTTCAGGTACACCAATCAGACGTAGATTTGGTCTTTTCACATTGTCCCATATGTCTTGGAGGCTTTGTTCATTTCTTTTTATTCTTTTTTCTCTAAACTTCTCTTCTTGCTTCATTTCATTCAGTTGATCTTCCATCACTGATACCCTTTCTTCCAGTTGATTGAGTTGGCTACCGAGGCTTGTGCATTCGTCACATAGTTCTCGTGCCGTCGTTTTCAGCTCCATCAGGTCTTTTAAGGACTTCTCTGCATTGGTTATTCTAGTCAGCCATTCATCTAATTGTTTTTCAATGTTTTTAACTTCTTTGCCATGGGTTCAAACTTCCTCCTTTAGCTTAGAGTAGTTTGATCATCTGAAGCCTTCTCACAACTCATCAAAGTCATTCTCCGTCCAGCCTTGTTCCGTTGCTAGTGAAGAGCTGCGTTCCTTTGGAGGAGGAGAGGTGCTCTGATTTTTAGAGTTTCCAGTTTTTCTGCTCTGTTTTTTCCCCATCTTTGTGGTTTTATCTACCTTTGGTCTTTGATGATGGTGACGTACAGATGGGGTTTTGGTGTGGATGTCCTTTCTGTTTGTTAGTTTTCCTTCTAACAGTCAGGACCCTCAGCTGCAGGTCTGTTGGAGTTTGCTGGAGGTCCACTCCAGATGCTGTTTGCCTGGGTATCAGCAGCGGAGGCTTCAGAACAGCAGATATTGGTGAACAGCAAATGTTGCTGCCTGATCGTTCCTCTGGAAGTTTTGTCTCAGAGGAGTACCCGGCTCTGTGAGGTGTCAGTCTGCCCCTACTGGAGGGGTGCCTCGCAGTTAGGCTACTCGGGGGTCAGGGACCCATTTGAGGAGGCAGTCTGTCCGTTTTCAGATCTCAAGCTGCGTGCTGGGAGAATCACTACTCTCTTCAAAGCTGTCAGACAGGGACATGTTAAGTCTGCAGAGGTTTCTGCTGCCTTTTGTTCGGCTATGCCCCACCCCCAGAGGTGGAGTCTACAGAGGCAGGCAGGCCTCCTTGAGCTGCGGTAGGCTCCACCCAGTTTGAGTGTCCTGGCTGCTTTGTTTACCTACTCAATCCTGGGCAATGGTGGGCGCCCCTCCCCCAGCCTCGCTGCTGGCTTGCAGTTTGATCTCAGACTGCTGTGTTAGCAATGAGCAAGGCTCCGTGGGCGTAGGACGCTCCCAGCCATGCGCGGGATATAATCTCCTGGTGTGCCGTTTGCTAAGACCATTGGAGAAGCACAGTATTAGGGTGGGAGTGACCTGATTTTCCAGGTGCTGTCTGTCACCGCTTTCTTTGACTAGGAAAGGGAATTCCCTGACCCCTTCCTTGCGCTTCCCGGGTGAGGTGATGCCTCGCCCTGCTTTGGCTCACGCTTGATGCACTACACCCACTGTCCTGCACCCACTTTCCGACACTCCCCAGTGAGATGAACCTGGTACCTCAGTTGGAAATGCAGAAATCACCCATCTTCTGCGTTGCTCACGCTGGGAGCTGTAGACTGGAGCTGTTCTTATTCGGCCATCTTGTCTCCACCCCCTACTATTAATTTTAAAAAGTATGGTAGGAAAAGAAGCTGTATTGATGTTTATAAGAAGCTATCTTTTATCTCCAAAGGCATGGGGGTAGAAATACACACACACACACACACACACACACACACACACACACACACACACACGTATTTGCTTATTTTTTAAAATGAGTAAGCCCTAGAAAGGATACACATAAGGGAAGAAGAACATATGACTTGACTTCTTTGAAAATTTGTTTTGCATGTTTGATTTTAGGACGATGTAAATATTTTACCTAATTATAGAACACAATAAAGGAAAAAGAAGAAATCTCTACAAAATGCAATGAAACAAACTTACTTGTGTAATATAGCACTTTGGTTCATAACACACAAAAAGGAAATATTCCTAGTGATTTTATTTTTTTTGAGACAGTCTCACTCTGTTTTCTAGGCTGGAGTGCAGTGTTATGGATCACTTGGCTCACTGTAATTTCTGCTTCCTGGGTTCAAGCAGTTCTCCTGCCTCAGCCTCCCAAGGAGCTGGGACTCCAGGTGTATGTCATCATGCCTGGCTAACTTTTGTATTTTTAATAGAGATGGGGTTTTACCCTGTTGGCCAGGCTGGTCTCGAACTCCTGGCCTTAAGTGCGGCGGGAATATTGCTTGAGCCCAGCAGTTTGAGACTAGCCAGGGCAATAGTGAGGCTTCATTTCCATTAAAAAAAATTTAAAAAGTAGCCAGGTGTGGTGGTGCACACCTGTTGTCTCAGCTACAAGGGAGGCTGACACAAGAGGATCCCTTGAGCCCAGGAGGTTGAGGCTGCAGTGAGCCATGTTCACACCACTATACTGTAGCCAGAGTGATAGAGTGAGACCCTGTCTCAAAAAAATAAAAAATCTTAACCAATCAAAATGCATAGACCTTATTTGAATCTCAATTTAAACCACACAAAAATTAACATAAAACACTCGAGGAAAAGTGAACCCTGGATGGATATTTGATAATATAAAAGAAGTTTTTAAAGGTTTAATAATGGCATTGTGATTATGTTTTAAAAGAATCCTTATCTTTTGGAGATACATACTGAAATAGTCACAGATAAAATATAGATTTACTCCAGAATGATGTAGGAGTAGGGTTGTGGGTTTCACTGAAAAACAATGGCCTATGATAATTGTTGAAAATAGGTGATAGGGATAAAAAGTTAAAAAAAAACCCACAAAGAATATTCTAGATCTCTTTTTGAGAGAAGACTTAAGGAAGGCATGGGGGATTACAGCAGAAGCAGGGAGATTAGTTAAATCACTATTGGAGTAATCTAGGAGATAGTTGGTTGTGGCTTGGACCAGGGTTATTAACAGTGGAGGTGGAAAGAAGTGTTAAGATTCCAAATACAGTTTAAAGATAGCACTCTTAATATTTGTTAGATTGAATCAGGAGGGTGAGAGAAAAAAGAAGTCAAGAATGACTCCAAGGTTTTTCATCTGAGCATTTTGGAAGATGGAGTGACCAATAACTAAGATGGTGAAGACTGCCAAAGAAGCAGGTTTAGGAGAGATGAACTTAATTTGGGGTATATTATATTTGAGATGTCTACTAAACCACCAAGTGAAGATGTTAATTAGTTGAATATATGAGTCCTGAGTTTAGGGAAAATTTTAAAGCTAGAGATAAAATTCAAGTTATTCACACATGGTGATATTTCAGGCACAATGTAATTGAGATCACTAAAGAAATTAGAAGAGATCTAGCTCTAAGTTAAGAACTCCAGCATTAAGATATTTGAGAGAAAAGGGGTGTCATAGTTCATCTGAGCTGCTATAACAGAATACCTTAGACTGAGTAATTTATAAACAATAGAAATTTATTTCTCATTGTTCTGGAGGTGGGCAAATCCAAGATAAAGGCATCAGCAGATTTGAAGTCTGGTGACAGCTCTCTTTAATGTCAGTGCCTTGTTGTGGAGTCCTCACATGGTCACATGGAAAGAGCTGGGGGCTCCCTTGAGCTGCTTTTATAGGAGCACTAATCTCATTCATGAGGACACTGTCCTCATTACCTAGTCACCTCCCAAAGACCCCACCTTTTAATACCATCCTCTTAGAGTTAGGTTTCAACTGTAAATTTTCAAGAAGACACATACATTCAGACCATAGCAAGGAGGGAACAAAGGAAACTTTGAAGGAGTAACCAGTGAGGTTGGAGGAAAACCAAGAGAGTGTGGTATCCTGGAAGCCATGTAAGGAAGATAATTAGCTGTGTCACCTATTGCTAAATAGTCTAATAAGATGAGGATTAAGAATAGATCACTGGGTTTAACAACATAAAGATTAACAGTTGGATGGAGTGGTGAGTATTAAAGCCTAATGGTAAGCTCAGGAGAAAATGGGAAAGTAGTGACAGCAAATGTAAACACTCATTTCAAGGAGACTTACCAAAGGAAAGGAAAAAATGGGAGTGGTAGCTATAGAGTGAAGTAGGATCAAGCAAAAGTTTTATTTTAAGAATAGAAAAAAAGTATGTTTGTTGGGCTAATGGATAAAAAACTTAGAAGAGGAAGAAAAATTATTGATGCTAGAGAAAGAAAGAAAAGTTGCTGAGACAATGCCCTTAAGTAGGCAAGAAAGAATGTAGCATGCAAATTAAGTGGTTTTCCTTTGCTAGGAGAATGAACAAAATTCACTCATTGTAGGTGAGTGAATGTGCCTGTGGTGATTGCTTCTATTTTCTCAGTATAATAAAAAGCAAGATCATCAGTTGAGAATGAGACTGACAGAGGAAGAGATGGAGATTTTAAGAGAGAGGTGAAGTGATGTAATAGTTGTTTAGAACACTGGAAATAAGTATAATTCCTAGCCAGCATTAAGGGCCTGTTTGAAGTTAGTGATACCAGTCAATTTGTTCATTTTGTTTTCCTCCAGCTGCGTTCACATGTACAGGTGTACAGGTGTAAGCATGGAATAGGTAGAGAGTTGGACAGAACCAGGGTGGTGTCTTAGCCAAGTACAAGGAAGCAAGCTAAGGGCAGGAAAGTTAGGCTGTATGCAAGGGAGGGATTATGATGGACCACGGAATTTAAGCTGAATAAAAATGAAGTGAGTAAATAATATAAGGGGCGAAGGACAATAAAAAGATGTTAGGATCAATGAATTACAGGTTCTGGTAGGTCAGAGGGTTGTTGGAATTCTCCAAATTCCAACTAGAGGGAGTGAGCTGGAAAGATAGGAGTTGGTGCTCAGAAAACCGAATGTTTTAAATTGAAATGATAGAGGGGCTGTAGTTATTGGGAATGACATTTAGTTATGACCATGAGAGTAAGTGGCTGGAAGAGGGGGGAGGGCAAAACCATTAAAGGAGATCAAGTCAAAGAACTGTGTGACAATATACTGGAAAGGTAATTTATGTGGACATTGAAGTCAGCCGAGAATTATGACAGGAATAAGGTTTGTGACAGTATCAGTGAGTCAGGAGCTACAATCTTGAGGATATGAGGTAGAAGGAGAGTGACTTGGAGGTTGTTTGAGCACTGCATCAGGGAAAGGTTGATAGCGCTATAGTTTGATTTAATAAAATCTAAATGAAGGAGGGAGGCGGAATAGTCTGGAAGGAGTAACAAGTAATAAGAATGTCACCTTCTTAATCTCTAGACCCAATAGCAGTAGAGTTTGAGGGAAAGAACATCTACCTTTTGAGTAAGCTGCAGACAAGAGGGCTACAGGGTTGATCAAGTAAAAATTAAGTGAATGTTGAGGTGATTTTGCTGGTGACTGTCTGAGTCTTAGCATAGTGGAAAGATTTCAGGAGTTGGGCAGAGATAAGAAATGGAGTTAAATAAGGGGATGTTCAGAACCTTTTGGGAATTAGAGTCCTGAGGATGAGTTGATTTTGACTTTTTGTGGCAACTAGAATCAACAGGCATAAAGGGCATAATAAACTTAATCTTGATGAAAGTCTTTAATAAAAGCTTTAAATTCACAATTGAAGCTATAATGAAACAAACGTGCAACCTCAATGCAGATTCAAGGACAAGCTTGGTTTTAGATTAGTCATGAGTGAAATGCCTGTTGGCAAAATGTCTGCCTTGTGAAGGCCTTGTGACTGAATTGTGAAATTATTAGTGCTAATTACAGAATTTCTCTATTACAAAGGGGCCCAAGAGAAGAGAGTGGTGGGATTGGTGGAAAAGCTAAAAATTGGATTCTGTTTGTTTATTGGTTTGTTTGAGATAAAAAGATAATGAGACTTGTTTTAAAGACTTGTAATAGAAACTTCGAATATAATCTACAAGTACATTGTTGCAAAGCTAAAGAAAGTGTGTCCTCTTTTAGTGGAACTTATAGGCAATGGCAGTACTATTTTTTTGTCTAGTCAAAAAATTCTTCTGTCTTAATATATCTCATAATTAGGTTTCATATTATGCTATTGATCAAGTCATCTGGAGGTGATAGATCGCAAGGATAAATTATTAAGCTTGGCTTACTGAAGATGCATATTTTAGTTATTTAAGTGATTCATTTGCTCTACTCCAAGTTTTTTTGATACTTACCAATGATATGTCTCACAGTAGCTTTAACTTCCTATAGATTATTATAAGATTAATAAAAGACCTTAGAAAAAGAACAGAGTTTCAACTAATCAGTAGTTAAAGGCCACAGGCATTATCTAATTTGGTTAGATTTTTATAGTTAGATTACGGGTCAACCCTACATTTCAACTCTCCTACTTCAGTTCCCAGACTCTTCAAATTTTGTTAAGAATAAGTCTAAACCAGACTAAGTGGTTACACTGTTAATTCATGCTATCCAATCTCAGCTGTGCCCTCAGTGCTGTTAACAAAGTTTTATATTTATCTCTAAATATTTCCTATTTCCCCAGTGCCTAAGCATGCCATACCTGCCTCTCTTTCTTTATAACAGCCTTCATTCTTACTGCATTGGAAAGATTGAGGATTGTTAACAACAACTTTCTTAATTTGTCTCCTCTTCAATAGAAAAAAAAGGTTTTGTATAATGTTTTTCTTCCTTTTCTTAATCCTGATGCTTTTTTACCTTCCATCCCTCCCCACCTTCTGTGATATGTTGCTTCATCAGTCATATCCTTGTATCAACAGTCTCTCTCTACCATTCTGGCTTTCCCTCAACAGACAGACATCTTCCTTTCCTCAAACTTGAATTCATCTTATCTATTTGCCCTTTAGGAGCTCACCGTATTTTAACAACAATTTATATAGTGACACGTACCTTATACCATTTAAATAGCATGAAAAATAATGTTTACTTGCCTCTGATAGCCCAGGAGTCATGCCTTAGTGAGCCTCGGTGAAAATTTTTAATGCAATTTGTGTTATTGTTGGAGGCATTTTTTTGAAACAAATCAGTAAAATTATTAAATGTTAGAAACAGATCATGTGAGCTATGCTATTTACCTCATGCTGTTTATTGTGGGCCGTGGGATGTTTATTACAGAGTCAGGCAGGGTTTGTCTGTTCTGGGATTTTATTTTACCATGCCCACAAGCTAAAAAGTTAGCCTGTTACTGTTTCATCCATGCTGATGGAAGACATGTGTTTCCTGGGTCAGAGAGGAAGTACATTATTACTTATTACAGTAAGAAGCAGGAGCATCAGTATGTTTGTATTGGTTCACCTTGTTTCTCATTCTCATGTGGGCGACACAGAGGACCAGCTGGAAGCCATGCAGTAAGTCGTGTTACAAGACAGCAACACTGAACTTGGGGTTCCGCAGCTTTTATAGTGAATAATAAGCAAGACTGCTCTTTTTTCTGGGGTGGAGGCATTACTTTATCACTCAAAGTTGCTTACTACAATCTCAACCTTGAGAAATGTTCTGGACCAGAAGTGGTCAGGGCCTTGCATTCTTGGCACATCATAAAAGAATGTGCAGGATGCTAAGGGCCAATGGCAGATGGCCCCTTCGAATAGGTCCTTTCAGTTCTGGGATCTCTTTCTAACAGTGCTTAGGGAAAGAAATTCTTCACATCAGGATTTTTAAAAACAACAAACATGTATTTTCATGTACAGTCGAGTTATGTATAGATGTATAAAATTAAATATAAGTTCTTCACAAATGGGATAGTGATGTCAATTTCCATTTCTTCTGTAGCAAGTATTTATCTTTGTTCTGGTGCAATCTAGATTTCTTTTCTACCATGTCCTCCTAATATTCCATTGGAGGGTTCTTATCACTTCCAAATCTGCCATGGAATGGTGGTATTTTATATCAAAGACCTTATTATTTCCAGAAATGTCATTACCTCTGCACACCTATAGCCTTAGAACTAAAGTGTAGTATTTTTCTAATATGGCTGCTGTGCACTCGTTTTCTGCAGTGGCAGAGGCTATCTACTCCCCTTGGCAGGAAAACTTGTTCATGATTGATATCTAGACTAAAAACAATTATGATAGGCAGAAACATGGCCACTACAGTGCTTTCTGAGTAACATTATTAGATAGTCTTCCATTTGCCTGCATTACCTTCAGGGATATTGTTTAATAATTTTTTTTTTTTTGACGGAGTCTCACTCTGTTGCCCACACTGGAGTGCAGTGGTGCGATCTCAGCTCATTGCAACCTCCACTTCCCTGGCTCAAGTGATTCTCCTGCCTCAGCCTCGTGAGTAGCCGGGATTTCAGACATGGGCCACCATGCCTGGCTAATTTTTGTATTTTTTATAGAGACGGGGTTTCACCATGTTGGCCAGGCTGGTCTCAAACTTCTGACCTCAGGTGATCCACCTGCCTTGGCCTCCCAAAGTGCTGGGATTACAGGCATGAGTCACTGCACCCTGCCTGTTTAATCATTTTATTCTCGATATTATGTAGGTTGATATTATGTAAATTCATGGGAATATGATTTAATATACAATCTATAGGTTTTTTAAAATGGTTATTTTTAATGAATAAAATGGAATAAGACTAATTTGAGTACCTATAGCTTATAATGATCATTTGTGTAATATGGGGTGGCATGCCTATGTCATTCCTAAATATAATTTTAAATCAAATCAATACTCTTTTACATTCCAAAAATAATATTTTGGTCATATATGTTCATCTAATTAGTGCTGTTGGCAAAGGTTATAGAGTTGGCTTGTACTTCTTTTTTCTTTGCTTATTCTTATTGTTATTTATAAGAAAACAGGAGATGAAATAGCTTGCATAATCTGGGAGCACAGAGAGAAAAAAGAAACTCACCAAAACTATTGATATTCTTCTGGAAACTTTAGTTTCATTAGTTTAATTGTTTTATAACAGTTTATATCCCTTTTTGGGGCAGCATAGGGGGTTATGCTCAGTGGAGTATCAAAGGGTCATAACAGTCTGAGAAATAGAATAAAAATAATAGGTAATTTTCTATATTTCTCATTTCTCCTGACATTAGTAACTCTCTGGGTGGAAGTCCCATATATTTAGAAATTGCGTTAACATATTAAGGTCATTGTGGTGCTAGTCAATAAATTATACTTTCATCGTGCTAAGATAGTATGATGGCCATTCCAATGGACTTTCAGAGACAGGAGAGTATAGCAAGGCAGGGTTACTTGGAATTAGGAAAAAGAGCTCTACTGGGGAGTTAGATCACCTGGGTTTAAAAGTCGATGCCAAAATTTACTAGCTATATGACCTTGGGAAAATTAAATATTATATATTAATATATATTATATCATATAATATATATTAATATATATTAATATAATATATCACATAATATATATAAATATATAGCCTCAGGCTTCTCATATATAAAATGGTAATAAAAACAGAACATAGGGATTTTTGGATTATTAACGAGACAATCCATGGAAGCACTTCACATAAATGCCTGTCACATAATATTCACTTTATAAACTATAGCTCTTATTGTTCCTTAGGATTACAGTGATATATTAATAACAATAGCTAATGAGTTTGGCACTGTTTTAAGCTCTTCCCAAATATTAAATAATTTAATCCCCAAACAATCTTCTGAGGCAGTGATCTTAACATAATAAACTGTATTCTCAAATCAGACACGCAAAAGTTAAAAACTTTACCCTGCATCATTCTTCGCTAATATTTATTACAAGGAATTACAAGATATACGCTTAGCATTAAGAGTCCCAGGACCAATAACACTGCTCTTCATATCATTTCTTGATGAATCAGGATTCACTCTGGCATAGATTAACATATGAGGTCCTTAAAGACGTAATGCATGTGGCTACATTACTTACACAATAGGTAGTTTTTTTAAAAAATGAATGTCACTTTTCCATTGTATACTCAGATATTACTAGTTTACATGGCACTTCCCAGGACAATGAGACATAAATCTCTATATTCCAGGTGTACTTACCGTAACCAATCAATATATACCAAGTAAATCCAGCTAATGGCATTCCAGAAATTAGGACTATCTAGCAAATAAAATTAATGTGCTTTCCAGGATGTTTGTCATCAGAATGTTCATAAGAAGATTTAACTATGTCACCTTTTTTCTTTACTAAAGCCCTCCCTCTACTAAAGAGAGAGGATAGATTGCAGGCATATCACTAAGTAGTTCTTCCTAGGCAGGTACTAATACAATTTCCATTTTAAGGTTAACCTTCCTTAACAGCACAGGAAGGTTAAGTTAGTTGCATAAAGAAAACTAAGTAGTAAATGATGGAGCTGTATAAAAAAGATTATCGTTGCATATCCACATATACAAGGCAATGAATTGTGTAAAATATTCTCAAACTCATATTAATATCTCAATAACTTAAAATTTGAAAGAAGACATATATACCTCAATACATTGAGAGAGAATATTATACAATTCTTCTTGTGTTCTCTTTTTCAGGAACAGCACCACTGTTTAGTTATGCAAACCAGAAATATGGGAGTTAGCCTAACACTTTTCTCTTATTCACCTGCATATCCAAGACCCCCATAACAAATACTGTTGTTTCTACTTCCTAAGTAACTCTGTAAGTGACTTATTTTGCTTTACTTTTCCCTTATCCCTTCATCCAAGTACTATATTATCTCTCCTTAACTACTGAAATAATATATTTCCAGGTGAGAAAATACCCTAAATTAGAACACACTTAAAATCCAGTCTCCACAACACTTACAAAATCTTTTCAAAATGCCAGTTTGGGTCCTGGGCTGAGTAAGATGGTGGAATAGAAGGCTCCACTGATTGTCCCCTCCACGAGGACACCAATTTAACTAAACACAAAAATCATCCTCATAGGAACCAAAAATCAGGTGAGCACTCACAGTACCTGGTTTTAACTTCATATGGCTGAAATGGGTAAGAAGATGTGGGGAAAGTCTTAAATCAGCAATGCCACCCTTTTCCATCTCCTGGCAGTGGCGGTGTGGTGTGGAGAGCATTGCTGTGTGCTGCGAAGAGGGAGATTGGGCAATTATGGGTCATTGAACTGAGTGTTGCCCTATTATAGCAGAAAACAAGACTGAGCTTATGCCCACTCAAGGAGGGAGTATTTAAACCAACCCTAGCCAGAAGGGAGTTTCCAAAGCCAGCAGTCTGAACTTGAGTTCCTGCAAGCCTCACCACCACTGGATAAAGTGCTCTGGGGCTCCAAATAAACTTGAAGAGCAGTCTAGGCCACAAGGACTGTAACTCCTAGGCAAGTCCTAATGCTGAACTGGGCCCAGAGATGGGGGAATGGAGGGACATGTGACCTACTGAAACACCAGGTTGGGTGGCTAAAGGAGTGCTGGCATCATCTCTCCACTAACTCCAGGCTGCACAGCTCATAGCTCCGAAAGAGACCCCTTCCCTCTACTTGAGGAGAGGAGAGGAAAGAGTGGGGAGGACTTTCTCTTGCATCTTGGATATTAGCTAAGCCATAATAGGATAGGGCACTGTCAGAGTCTTGAGGTCCCCTTTCTAGGTTCTAGCTCATAGATGACATTTCTAGACATACCTTGGGCCAGAAGGAAACCCATTGCCTTGAAAGGAAGAATCCAGTTCTGGCAGAATTAATTACCTGCTAACTGAAGAGCCCTTGGGCCCTGAATAACCAGCAGTGATACCCAAGTACTACATCAAGGGCCTTGGGTGACACTCTGGGATGTGCTGGCTTCAGGTGAGACTCAGCACATTCCCAGCTGTGGTGGTTATGGGTTGAGACTCCTACCTGAGAAAATCAGAGGAAAAGTAAAGGAGACTTTGTCTTGCACCTTAGGTACCAGCACAGTCACAAGAGGGTGGAGGACCAAGTAGGCTCTTGGGGTCTCCAATTCCAGGACTTGGTCCTTGGGTGGCATTCATGGACCTGCCCTGGGCCAGAGGTGAGCCCACTACCCTGAAGGTGGAGTCCCAGGCCTGGCGGCATTCACTGCAAGCTGACTAAGTAGCCCTTGGGCCTTAAGAAAACATTGGTGGCAATGTGGAAGTACACCTCATGGGCTTGTGGTGGTGGTGGGCACAGGGTGAGGCTTATCTGCCTTTAGAAAGGGGAGGGACTACATCTTGTTTGAGTGGCAGCCCAGTTGCAGTACAATAGAACACCAGGTAGACCTCTAAGATTTTTGACTCTAGTCCCTGGCTCCCATATGGCACCTCTGGACGTGCCCAGGGCCTGGGGGAACTCACCAACCTGAAAGGAAAGACACGGGCCTGGCTGGCTTTGCCACCTGCTGATTGTAGAGCCCCAGGGCCTTGAGTGAACATAAGCCATAGCCAGGGAGTTGTTACAGCAGGACTTCGGCAAAACTCACTGCTGTGCTGGCTTTAGGTCTGACCCAGCACAGTCCTAGTGGTGGTGGTGGGTGGTTGTATCACTCCACCCTCAGCTCCAGGTGGCTCAGAACAGAGAGAGAGAGAGAGAGAGAGAGAGAGAGAGAGAGACTCCATTCATTTGGGAGAAAGTAAGGGAAAAGAACAAAAGTCTTTGCCTGGTAATCCAAAGAATTTCCCTGGATTTTATCCAAGATCATTAAGGTGCTACTCCTCTGAGTCTGCAAGAACCAGTGTTACTGGGCTTGGGGTGCCCTCTAAAGCAGATACGGTTTAGATCACAACATCCAAGTTCTTTCAACTATCTGAAAGTCTTCCCAAGAAGAATGGGTACAAACAAGCTCAGACTGAGAAGACTACGATAAATACCTAACTTTTCAGTGCCCAGACACAGAAGAACATCTACTTGCATCAACACCATCCAGGAAAACATAGCCTCACCAAATGAACAACATAAGGCACCAGGGATCAATCCTGGAGAAACAGAGATATGTGCCCTTTCAGACAGAGAATTCAAAATAGCAGTTTTTGAGGAAACTCAAATTCAAGGTAATACAGAAAAGGACTTCATAATTTTATCAGATAAATTTAACAAAGAGATTGAAATAATTAAAACAAGCAGAAATTCTGGAGCTGAAAAATGCAACTGGCATGCTGAAGAATGCACTAGAGTCTTAATAGAATTGTTCAAGCAGAAGAAGGAATGAGTGAGCTTGAAGACAGGGTATTTGAAAACAGTCAGAGGAGACAAAAGAAAGATAATAAAAAACAATTGAGCATGGCTACAGGATCTAGAAAATAGCCTCAAAAGGACAAAAATAAGAATTATTGGCTTTAAAGAGGAGGTAGGAAAAGAGAAAGGGATAGTAAGTTTATTCAGAGGAGTAATAACAGAGGACTTCTCAAACCTAGAGAAAGATATCAACATGCAAGTACAAGAAAATTACAGAACACTAAGGAGATTTAACCCAAAGAAGACTCCCTCAAGGCATTTAATCAAACTACCAAAAGTCAAGGCTAAAGAAAAGATCCTAAACAGAGCAAGAGAAAAGAAACAACATACAATTGAGTTCCAATATGTCTGACAGCAGACTTTTCAGTGGAAACCTTACAGGCCAGGAGAGAGTGGTGTGACATATTTAAAGTGCTGAAGAAAATGAACTTTTACTGTGGAATAATATGTCTAGTGAAAATGTCCTTCAAACTTGGAGAAAAAAATAGTTTTCCAGACAAACAAAAGCTGAGGAATTTCATCAACACCAAACCTGTTCTACAAGAAAGGCTAAAGGGAGCACTTCAATCAGAAAGAAAAGGATGTTAATGAGCAGTAAGAAATCATCTGAAGGTAAAAAGCTCACTGGTAATAGTAAGTACACAGAAAAACACTGAATATTATAACACTGTAACTGTGGTGTGTAAACTACTTTTATTTTAAGTAGCAAGACTAAATTATGAACCAATCAAAAATAATAACAACTTTTCAAGACCTAGTGCAAAAAGATATAAAGTAGAAACAACAAAAAGTTAAAAAGCAGGGAGATAAAGTTAAGGCATAGAGTCTTTATTAGTTTTCTTTTTGCTCATTTGTTTCTTTGTTTATGCAATCAGTGTTAAGTTGTTGTCAGCTTAAAGCAAGGGGTTATAAGATAGTATTTGCAAGCCTCATGGTAACCTCAAACCAAAAACATATAATGGATACAAAAACAAAAAACCTAAAAAGCAGGAAGCTAAATATATCACCAGAGAAAATCTCCTTCACTAAAAAGAAGACAGGAGGTGGATTAGTCCATTTTCATGCTGCTGATAAAGACATACCCGAGACTGGGAAGAAAAAGAGGATTAATGGACTTACAGTTCCACGTGGCTGGGGAGACCTCACAATTATGGTGGAAGGCAAGGAGGAGCAAGTCATGTCATGGATGACGACAGGCAAAGAGTGAGTTTGTGCAGGGGAACTCCTCTTTTTAAAACCATCAGATCTTGTGAGACTTATTCACTATTGATAGAGCAGCATAAGAAAGATCTGCCCCCATGATTCAGCTACCTCCCACTGGGTCCCTCCCACGACATGTGGGAATTGTGGGAATTACAATTCAAGATAAGATTTGTGTGGGGACACAGCCAAACCATGCCTGGAGGGAAAGAAGGAAGAGAAGACCACAAAACAACCAGAGAACAAATAACCAAATGGCAAGAGTAAGTCCTTACTTATCGATAATAACATTGAATGTAAATGGACTAAACTCTTTAATCAAAAGACATAGAGAGGCTAAAAATGAATAAGAAACCAAGACTCTATGATCTATTGCCTACAAGAAATACACTTCACCTTTGAAGACACACAGACTGAAAATAAAGGGGAACACACTTCACCTTTGAAGACACACAGACTGAAAATAAAGAGATGGAAAAAGATACTCCACGCCAATGGAAACCAAAAAAAAAAAAAAAAGAGCAGGAGTAGCTGTATTTATATCAGACAAAATAGATTTCAAGATGCAAACTGTAAGAAGATACAAGGTCATGACATAAAGATAAAGAGGATATCACAATTTAAAGTATATATGCACCCAATACTCCAGCACCTAGATATATAAGTCAAATATTATTAGAGTTAAAGAGAGAGATAGGCCCCAACACAAAAATAGCTGGTGACATCAACACCCTACTTTCAGGATTGGACAGATCTTTCAGACAGAAAATCAACATAGAAACATTGGACTTACTCTGCACTATAGACCAAATTGACCTAATAGATATTTACAGAGCATTTAATCTAATGGCTGCAGAATATAGATTCCTATTCTCAGCACATGGATCATTTTCAAGAGAAGACTCTATGTTAGGTCCCAAAAAAAGTCTTAAAACTTTCAAAAAAAAAATCAAAATCACATCAAGCATCTTCTCTGATCACAAAAGAAGAAAAATAGAAATCAGTAACAGGAAGAATTTAGGAAACTATATATATACATGGAAATTGAACAATATACTTCTGAATGACCAGTGGGCCAATGAAGAAATTAAGAAGGAAAATGAAACATTTCTGGAAAAAAATGATAATGAAAACACAACATACCAAAACCTATGGGATACAGCACAAGCAATACTAAGAGGGAAGGTTTATGGCTATAAATGCCTATAATAAAAAAGAAGAAAAACTTCAAGTAAACACCCTAATGATACATCTTAAAGAACTAGAAAAACAAGAGCAAACCAAACTCAAAATTAGTAGAAAAAATAAATAATAAAGATCAGAGCAGAAATAAATAAAATTGAAATGAAGAAAATAACACAAAAGATCAATAAAAAAGTTGTGTTTTGAAAATTTAACCAAATTCACAAAGCTTTAGTCAGATTAACTAAAAAATGAGAGAACCAAATAAATAAAATTGGAGATGAAAAAGGACACATTACAACTGATACTGCAGAAATTCAAAGGATTATTAGCGGCTACTATCAGTAGTGAAATATTGTTAAAGTCAGTGTTGTTAAAATGTGCATACTACCAAAATTATTTGAATAACTATTTGCCAATGAATTGCCAAATCTAGAAGAAATGGTCAAATTCCTAGACACATACTACCTACAAAGATAGAGCCATTAAAAAAATCCCAAACCTGAACAGACCAATAACAAGTAAGGAGGTTGAAGCCATAATCAAAAATCTTCCAGTAAAGCAAAGCCCAGGCCAGATGGCTTCATTGCTGAATTCTACCAAACATTTAAAGAAGAGCTAATACCAATCCTACTCAACTATTCCAAATAATAGGGAAGAAAATACATAAAAAAAGAGAACTGCAGGCTAATATTGCTGATGTATATTGATGCATAAATTCTCAATAAAATACTAGCAGACTGAATTCAACAACACATTAAAAAGATCATTCATCATGACCAAGTGGGATTTATCCCAGAGATGCAAGGATGGTTCAACATATGTAAATCAATCAGTGCAGTATATCAACATAATGAAAGACAAAAAACATATGATCATTTCAATTGATGCTGAGAGGGCATTTGATAAAATTTAACATCTCTTCATGATAAAATTCCACAAAAACTGGGTATAGAAGGAACATACCTCAACATAATAAGTATGTCATAATAAAAGCTATATATGACATACCCACAGCTAGTATCATACTGAATAGGCAAAACCTGAAAGCCTTTCCTCTAAGATCTGGAATATGACAAGGATGCCCACTTTCACCACTGTTATTAAACGTATTACTGGAAGTCCTAGCTACAGCAGTCAGACAAGAGAAAGAAATAAAGGGCATCCAAATTGGGAAGGAAGAAGTCAAATTATCCTTGTTTGCAGATGATATGATCTTATATTTGGAAAAACCTAAAAACCACCAAAAATCGATTAGAACTGATAAAGAAATTCAGTAAAGTTGCAGGATACAAAATCAACATACATAAATCATAGCATTTCTATGTGACAACAATGAACAATCTGAAAAAGAAATTTATAAATTATAAAGAATTAAATACCTAGGAATTAACCAAAGAAGTGAAAGATGTCTATAATGAAAATTATAAAACTATGATGAAAGAAATTGAAGAGGACACCAAAAAATGAAAATATCCAAGTTCATGAATTGGAAGAATCACTATAGTTAAAATGTGCATACTACCAAAAGAAATCTACAGATTCAATGCAATCTCTATCAAAATACAAATGACATTCTTTGCAGGAATAGAAAAAACAGCTCTAAAGTTTATATGGAAATACAAAGGACCTAGAATGACCAAAACCTTCCTAAGGAAAAAGAACAAAACTGGAGGAATTACATTACCTTAACTTCAAATTATACTACAGAGCTATAGTAACCAAAAGAGCATGGTACTGGCATAAAAACAGACACGTAGATCAGTAAAATGGAATAGAGAACACAGAAACAAATCTGCACACCTACGGTGAACTCATTTTTGACAAAGGTGCCAAGAATGTACACTGGGGAAAAGCCAGTTTTTGCAATAAATGATGCTGGGAAAACTGGATATCCATACGTAGAAGAATGAAACTAGACCCCTATCTCTCACCACATACAAAAACAAATCAAAATGTATTAAAGACTTAAATGTAATACCTGAAACTATCAAACTGCTACAAGAAGACGTTGAAGAAACTCTCCAGGACATCGATCTGGGCAAAGATCTCCTCAGTAATACCTGATTAGCAAAGGCAACCAAAGCAAAAATGGACAAATGGAATCAAGTTAAAAAGCTTCTGCACAGCAAAGGAAACAATCAACAAAGTGAAGAGACAACCCACAGAATGGGAGAAAATATTTGCAAACTACTCATTTGACAAAGGATTAATAACCAGGATATGTAAGGAGCTCAGACAACTCTACAGGAAAAAAGCTAATAATCTGATGTAAAAAATGGGCAAAAGATTTGAAAGGACATTTCTCAAAAGAAGACATACAAATGGCAAGCAGGCATATGAAAAAGTGCTCAATATCATTGATCATCAGGGAAATGCAAATCAAAACCACAATGAAATATCCTCTTACCCCGTTTAAAATGGCTTTTATACAAAGACAGGCAATAATAAATGCTGGTGAGGATGTGGAGGAAAGGGAACCCTCATATGCTGTTGGTGGGAATGTAAATTAGTGCAACCACTATGGAGAACAGTATGGAGGTTCCTCAAAAAACTAAAAATAGATATAATCCAGCAATCCCACTGCTGGGTACATACCCAAAAGAAAGGAAATCAGTATATCAAAGGGAAATCAGTATATCAAAGAGATATCTGCACTCTAATGTTTGTTGCAGCACTATTTGCAATAGCCAAAAATTGGAAGCAACCTATGTGTCCATGAACAGATGAGTGGATAAAGAAAATGTGGTACTTATACACAATGGAGTACTATTTAGCCATATAAAAGAATAACAATCTGTCATTTCCAGCAGCATGTGTGGAACTGGAGGTGATTATGCTAAGTGAAATAAACCAGGTACAGAAAGATAAACATGACATATTCTCCCTTGTTTGTGGGATCTAAAAATCAGAAGAATTGAACTCATGAGATAGAAAGTAGAAAGATGGTTACCAGAGGCTGGAAAGGATAGTGGAAGGGTTGGGGGAAGGTGGGGATGGTTAATGGATAATAAATAAATAAATAAATAAGACCTAGTATTTGATAGCACAACAAAGTGACCATAGTCAATAATAATTTAATCGTAGACTTAAAAATAAAATAGTATAACTGGATTGTTTGTAACACAAACGATGAATGCTTGAGGGGGAGGGATACCCTGTTTTACATGATGACTGTGATGCATTGCATGCCCATGTTGAAACACCTCATGTACCCTATAAATATATACAACTATTTTGTACCCATAAAAAATAAAAAAAAGAGAATATGCAAGTCTAATTATTTTATATCTTACTTAAAATATGTTAAGAATTTCAATTCTTAAAATGAGAACAGCAGTCTTTATTATGGTCTATAAGGCACAGTATGGTCTAGCCCCTAACTTTATTTCTAGCCTCAATTCACACTATTCTCTGCCTTGTTCTGTGTACTTCAGCCACACTGGCCTTTTTGCAACCCCAATAATTCCACTGCTTCCTCTCCAAGTGGCCTTTGCATATTCTCTTCTCTTTGCTTAGGCATTCTTTCCTTTCTCTTTTGCCTGGTTTATTTATCCTTCTGACCTTAGTTCAGTTATTTTTTTTTCCTCAGTGAAGCCTTCTTTTATTTGTCTGACAAGGCCAAATTCCCCAGTTGTAGGCTCTCAACACATTGGCTCTAGGTAATTTCACTGAGGAACAGTTAAGTGAGAGTTAATTCCATAAATGACCAATTTGCTGAAAGCAAATTTGGCAGTAGACAATTTGCAGAAAATCCATTCATCATCCTAGTCTAGGATGGTTCTTTGCAGCTGTCTTTCTGGCAGTGACAGGGATAAGCAGAAGCCTAATTCTGAAGACAGTAACTGTGAGAAGCCCACCATTTGCTTACATTGGAGTACTGGATCGCTGAGCATTAGCGAAGGGATTGGCATTTGAAATGTGAGAACATGGAATTGACATTCAGCCCAGACAGACAGTCAAATTCAGGGTTAAAGAGCTGTCATGAAAGGATGCATTAAATGTCTGTGAAATTAAGACTTCAAAAAATCCTCAATAATTCAGTGAATTGCTCATTTGGTGAAATGATGATTTGGCAGACTACTCTTTATCAAATTGATTTTCTAGAAATTGGCTTTTGGCAAACTAGCTTTCAGTGAATTTTCCGTTAGGAAATTCAGTGAATCAGTCATTTGGAAAACTGACTTTTGGGCAAGTTGGCTTTATGCAAATTGACTTTTGGTAAGTTGGTTTTCTTATAGCATCATACGCCTCACCTTGTAGCATTTAGCATTTTTTATAGTTAATTTTTTCTGTTTGTTTTATGATTATTGGATTTGTGGTGCTCTCTCCCACTGTATGTAAGCATTGCAAAAGGATGGGTAATATCTGTTTTTATTCACTATTATATTCTCAACTCCTAGCACAATTTCTGGCACATTGTAAGTACTCAGTGAATATTTATAGAATGGATGATAAAATAACACTTTACAACAGATCAAAATTGAATAACAGTAGATTTGGGGCACACATAAGTGGGACTTAATTACCAAATATCTAGAGGACTTGATGGTGAGACAGTTGCTTATAGAAAAGTAGCCTATATAAATGCTGCATATGTATAAGATGGTACCATTTAAACTTTAGTGATAATAGTGAACCTTTGTATATCACTTAGTTTAGAGCAGTTATTAACTCATTTAATTTTTACACTAATACTTGGGGGTAGATTTCTATTCTTATCCTCATTTTATAACTGAAGAAGCAGAGGCACAAATGGGATAAAAGGAATTTGCCCAAGGTCATGCAACTGCCTGAACACAGGCAGTCTGGCTCCAGCATTAACCAATGTATGTGGCTCTCTTGATTAAAGAAAATTGCATTTTTGTCAAAATTAGTTGGTGGGGAATGAGCAGTTTGTAACTTGTAATTTCTCTTATGGTAAACATTATGGAGGAGGAAATAGGTTATGAGGAAAGAAGGATATCAATATAGATATTAACATAATCTAAGAATGCATTGTCATGGAGGATAATGATCGATGGCCTAAAAGATGGCTGGAGGTGATGGGAGAAGGGGGTTTTTAAGGTCCTTTATATCTTCATCAGCCTCCTGAAGAGCTATTTCCAAACAATACAATATATGTTTAAAAAAAAGCATATTTGCTTTGCAAGCACAGCATCAACACAAAAGTTCCTGTATTTGTGAAGCAGGATATTTCCTTGACCCCTTCGTGTGTGGGAACTGCAGTGCGCGGGTGCTAGAACTAGCCGGCTGCTTTGGTGCCAGCAGCAGGGGTGGACTCTACTCCCTTGGTCCCACTGCATTCCACCCCTCGCAGGAGGCAGAGCGCAGGTGAGCAAGTGCAGGAGCTGGGGTGAGTGTTTTTGGGATCCGGTAGAGCAATTCCCTGTGGGCCTTGCGGCAGTGTCTAGTGGGGTGTCTGTGACCCCTGAAGCCCCAGAAGAAGTGTTACAGTGGCCTTTTAGCTTTGCCATCCATGGATGGCTTAAGTGTTAACAGCTCAGTGGAGGATCAGCATGACAGCCTTTTACACCTGCAGTCATGGCACCCAAGTTCTTGTCTGGTGTCCAGGAGTAATGAGGTCACATGAATGAATTGGACATGGTAAGTGCAGGAGATTTTTATTGTTGATGAAAGTGGCTCTCAGCAGGAAGGAAGGGGAGCTGAAAAGGAGATGGAGTGGGAAGGTAATCTTCCCCTGGAGTCTGGCTGTCCCTGGCCAGACTCCTCTCCGAAGCCATGCCATCAAGCTGTCCCTCTAAAGTCAAACTGCTTCTCTCTGACATCCAACTGTAGTCTCTAATTTCCAGCTTCTTCTTCACTCTCCAGTCTGAGTTCTGGGGATTTTAAAGGCACAGGATGGGGGCAGGGCAGGCCACTGGTAGTTTTGGAAAAGACAGCATTTGAGTGGGAAAACCAGGATGTATGTTCTCACTTTGGGCTGCAGTTCCAGGCTTTTCAGCTTGAAGATGGGTCCCTAGCTGGGGATCCCCTCTCCTCTGCCCAGAATTTCCCTACCTTCTGTCCCTATCATTTACAATAGAACTAAAAACAGTGTCCTTGCTTTGCAAATTCAGCTTTACAATTTTCTTTCTTTCTTTCTTTCTTTTTTATGAATTATACTTTAAGTTCTGGGATACATGTGCAGAACATGCAGGTTTGTTACATAGGTATACATGTGCCATGGGGGTTGGCTGCACTCATCAACCCATCATCTGCATTAGGTATTTCTCCTAATGCTATCCCTCCCCTAGCCCTCCACCCGCTGACAGGCCCTGGAGTGTGATGTTCCCCTCTCTGTGTCCATGTGTTCTCATTGTTTAACTCCCACTTATGAGTGAGAACATGTGGTGTTTGGTTTTCTGTTCTTGTGTTAGTTTGTTGAGAATGACGAGTTCCAGCTTCATCCATGTCCCTGCAAAGGACATGAACTCATCCTTTTTTGTGGCTGCATAGTATTCCATGGGGTATATGTGCCACATTTTCTTAATCCAGTCTGTCATTGATGGGCATTTGGGTCAGTTCCAAGTCTTTGCTATTGTGAATAGTGCTGCAGTAAACATACATGTGCATGTGTCTTTATAATAGAATGGTTGATAATCCTTTGGGTATATACCCAGTAATGGGATTGCTGGGTCAAATGGTATTTCTGATTCTAGATCCTTGAAGAATCGCCACACTGTATTCCACAATGGTTAAACTAATTTACACTCCCACCAACAGTGTAGAAACGTTCCTATTTCTCCACATCCTCTCCAGCATCTGTTGTTTCCTGACTTTTTAATGATCACCTTTCTAACTGGTGTGAGATGGTATCTCATTGTGGTTTTGATTTGCATTTGTCTAATGACGAGTGATGATGACCTTTTTTTCATATGTTTGTTGGCCACATAAATGTCTTCTTTTGAGAAGTGCCTGTTCATATCCTTTGCCCACTTTTTGATTTTTTTCTTGTAAATTTGTTTAAGTTCATTGTAGATTCTGGATATTAGCCATTTGTCAGATGGATAGATTGCAAAACTTTTCTCCCATTCTATAGGTTGCCTGTTCACTCTGATGATAGTTTCTTTTGCTGTGCAGAAGCTCTTTAGTTTAATTAGATCCCATTTGTTAATTTTGGCTTTTGTTGCCATTGCTTTTGGTGTTTTAGTCATGAAGTCTTTGCCCATGCCTATGTCCTGAATGGTATTGCCTAGGTTTTCTTCTGGGGTTTTTATGGTTTTAGGTCTTATGTTTAAGTCTTTAATCCATCTTGAGATCACTTTTGTATAAGGTATAAAAAGGGGTCCAGTTTCAGTTTTCTGCATATGGCTAGCCAGTTTTCCCAGCACCATTTATTAAATAGGGAATCCTTTCCCCATTGCTTGTTTTTGTCAGGTTTGTCAAGGATCATGTGGTTGTAGATGTGTGGCGTTATTTCTGAGGCCTCTGTTCTGTTCCATTGGTCTATATATCTGTTTTGGTACCAGTACCATGCTGTTTTGGTTACTGTAGCCTTATAGTATAGTTTGAAGTCAGGTAGCGTGATGCCTCCAGCTTTATTCTTTTTGCTTAGGATTGTCTTGGCTCTAAGGGCTCCTTTTTGGTTCTTTATGAAATTTAAAGTAGTTTTTTTCTAATTCTGTGAAGGAAGTCCATGGTAGCTTGATGGGGATAGCATTGAATCTATAAATTACTTTGGGCAGTATGGCCATTTTCACGATATTGATTCTTCCTATCCATGAGCATGGAATGTTTTTCTATTTGTTTGTGTCCTCTTTTATTTCCTTGAGCAGTGGTTTGTAGTTCTTTTTGAAGAGGTCCTTCACATCCCTTGTAAGCTGGATTCCTCGGTATTTTATTCTTTTTGTAGCAATTGTGAATGGGGTTTCACTAATGATTTGGCTCTCTGTTTGTCTATTATTGGTGTATAGGAATGCTTGTGATTTTTGCGCATTGATTTTATATCCTGAGACTTTGCTGAAGTTGCTGATCAGCTTAAGGAGATTTTGGGCTGAGACGATGGGGTTCTGTAAATATACAATCGTGTCATCTGCAAACAGAGACAGTTTGACTTCCTCTATTCCTATTGGAATACCCCTTATTTCTTTCTCTTGCCTGATTGCCCTGGCCAGAACTTCCAATACTATGTTGAATAGGAGTGGTGTGAGAGGGCCTCCTTTTCTTGTGCCGGTTTTCAAAAGGAATGCTTCCAGGTTTTGCCCATTCAGTATGATATTGGCTGTGGGTTTGTCATAAATAGTTTTTATTATTTTGAGATACATTCCATCAACCCCTAGTTTATGGAGTTTTTAGCATGAAGTGCTGTTGAATTTTATCGAAGGCCTTTTCTGCATCTATTGAGATCATCATTTGTTTTTTGTCATTGGTTCTGTTTATATGATGGATGATTGATTTGCATATGTTGAACCAGTGTTGCATCCCAGGGATGAAGCTGAGTTGATCATGGTGGATAAGCTTTTTGATGTGTTACTGGATTCGGTTTGCCAGTATTTTATTGAAGATTTTTTTCATTAGTGTTCATCAGGGTTATTGGCCTGAAATTTTCTTTTTTTGGTGTGTCTCTGCCAGGTTTTGGTATCAGGATGGTGCTGGCCTCATAAAATGAGTTAGTTACGAGTTGCTCTTTTTCTATTGTTTGGAATAATTTCAGAAGGAATGGTACAAGCTCCTCTTTGTACCTCTTGTAGAATTCGGCTGTGAATCCATCTGGTCCTGGGCTTTTTTTTTGTTGGTAGGCTATTAATTATTGCCTCAATTTCAGAACTGTTAATAGTCTATTCAAGGATTTGGCTTATTCCTGGTTTAGTTGTGGGAGGCTCTATGTGTCTAGGAATTTATTCATTTCTTCTAGATTTTTCTAGTTTATTTGCATAGAGGTGTTTATAATATTCTCTAATGGTAGTTTGTATTTCTGTGGGATCAGTGGTGATATTCTCTTTCTCATTTTTTATTGTGTCTATTTGATTCTTCTCTTTTCTTCTTTATTAGTCTGGCTAATGGTCTATGTATTTTGTTGATCTTTTCCAAAAACCAGCTCTGAATTCACTGATTTTTTGAAGGGTTTTTAGTGTCTCTGTCTCCTTCAGTTCTGCTCTGATCTTAGTTATTTCTTGTCTTCTGCTAGCTTTTGAAGTTGTTTGCTCTTGCTTCTCTAGTTCTTTAAATTGTGATGGTAGGATGTCGATTTTAGATCTTTCCCACTTTCTCCTGTGGGCATTTTAGTGCTATAAATTTCCCTCTAAACATGGCTTTAGCTGTGTCCCAGAGATTGTGGTACATTATGTTTTTATTGGTTTCAAAGAACTTACTTATTTCTGCCTTAATTTCATTATTTACCCAGTAGTCATTCAGGAGCAGGTTGTTTAGTTTCCATGTAGTTGTGAGGTTTTGAGTGAGTTTCTTAATCCTGAGTTCTAATTTGACTGCATTTGGTCTGAGAGACTGTTTGTTAGGATTTCTGTTCTTTTGCATTTGCCGAGGAGTGTTTTACTTCCACTTATGTGGTCAATTTTAGAATAAGTGTGTTGTGGTGCTGAGAATAATGTATATTCTGTTGATTTGTGGGGGAGAGTTCTGTAGATGTCTATTAGGTCTGCTTGGTCCAGAGCTGAGTTCAAGTCCTGAATATCCTTGTTAATTTTCTGTCTCGTTGATCTGTCTTATATTGACAGTGGGATGTTAAAGTCTCCCACTATTATTGTGTGGCATCTAAGTCTTTTTGTAGGTCTCTAAGAACTTGCTTTATGAATCTGTGTGTTCCTGTATTGGATGCATATATATATTTAGGATAGTTAGCTCTTCTTGTTGCATTGATTCCTTTACCGTTATGTAATTCCCTTTTTTGTCTTGTTTTGATCTTTTGTTGGTTTAAAGTCTGTTATATTGGAGACTAGGATTGCAGCCTATGCTTTTTTTTTTTTTGCTTTCCATTTGCTTGGTAAATATTCCTCCCTCCCTTTATTTTGAGCCTCTGTATGTCTTTGCATGTGAGATGAGTCTTCTGAATACAGCACATGGATGGGTCTTGACTCTTCATCCAATTTGCCAGTCTGTGTCTTTTAATTGGGGCATTTAGCCCATTTATATTTAAGTTTAATATTGTTATGTGTGAATTTGATCCTGTCATTATGATGCGAGCTGGTTATTTTCCCCGTTAGTTGATGCAGTTTCTTCATAGTGTCGATGGTATTTACAATTTGGTATGTTTTTACAGTGGTTTGTAGCGGTTGTTTCTTTCCATGTTTAGTACTTCCTTTAGGAGCTCCTGTAAGGCAGGCCTGGTTGTAACAAAATCTCTCAGCATTTTCTTCTCCGTAAAGGATTTTACTTCTCCTTCTCTTATGAAGCTTAGTTTGGCTGGATATGTAATTCTCAGTAGAAAATTCTTTTCTTTAAGAATGTTGAATTGGTCCCCACTCTCTTTTGGCTTGTAGGGTTCTGCAGAGAGATTTGCTGTTAGTCTGATGGGTTTCCCTTTGTGGGTAACCCGATCTTTCTCTCTGGCTGCCCTTAACATTTTTTTCTTCATTTCAACCTTGGTGAATCTGATGATTATGTGTCTTGGGGTTGCCCTTCTCGAGGAGTATCTTTGTGGTGTTCTTTGTATTTCCTGAATTTGAATGTTGGCCTGTCTTGCTAGGTTGGGGAAGTTCTCCTGGATAATATCCTGAAGAGTGTTTTCCGACTTGGTTCCATTCTCCCTGTCACATTCAGGTATGCCAATCAAACTTAGGTTTTGTCTTTTCACATAGTCCCATATTCTTGGAGGCTTTGTTCGTTGCTTTTCATTCTTTTTTCTCTAATCTTGTCTTCACGCGTTATTTCATTAAGTTGATCTTCAATCTCTGATATCCTTTTTTTGTTTGATCGATTTGGCTGTTTGATAATTGCGTATGCTTCCCATTGTTCTTATGCTGTTTTTCAGCTCCATCAGGTCATTTATGCTCTTCTATAAACTTGTTATTCTTGTTAGCAATTTGTCTAACCTTTTTTCAAGGTTCTTAGCTTCCTTGCATTTGGTTAGAACATGCTCCTTTAGCTCGGAGGAGTTTGTTATTACTCACCTTCTGAAGCCTACCTCTGCCAGTTCTTCAGACTTATTCTCCATCCAGTTTTGTTTCCTTGCTGGTGAGGAGCTGTGATCCTTTGGAGGGGAAGAGGCATTCTGGTTTTTAGAATTTTCAGCCTTTTTGTGCTGGTTTCCCCCATCTTCGTGGATTTGTCTACCTTTGGTCTTTGATGTAGGTGACCTTCAGATGGGGTTTTTGTGTGGATGTCCTTTCTGTTGATGTTGATGCCATTCCTTTGTTTGTTAGTTTTTCTTGTAACAGTCAGGCCCCTCTGATGTAGGTCTGCTGGAGTTTGATGGAGGTCCACTCCAGACCTTGTTTGCCTGGGTATCACCAGCAGGGGCTGCAGAACGGCAAAGATTGCTGTCTCTTCCTTCCTCTGAAAGCTTAGTCCCAGAGGGGTACCCTCCAGATGCCAGCCGGAGCTCTCCTGTATGAGATGTCTGTTGACCCCTGTTGGGAAGTGTCTCCCCATCAGGAGGCATGGGGGTCAGGGACCCAGTTGAGGAGACAGTCTGTCCCTTAGCAGAGCTCGAGCGCTGTGCTGGGAGATCCACTGCTGTCTTCAGAGCTAGGAGGCAGGAATGTTTAAGTCTGCTGAAGCTGCATTCCCAGCCACCCCCCTTCCCCCAGGTGCTGTGTTCCAGGGAGATGGGAATTTTATCTCTAAGCCCCTGACTGGGGCTGCTGTCTTTCTTTCAGAGATGCCTTGCCCAGAGAGGAGGAATCTAGAGAAGCACTCTGGCTACAGTGGCTTTGGTGAGCTGTGGTGGGCTCTGCCCAGTTCAAACTTCCCCGTGGCTTTGTTTACACTGTGAGGGGAAAACCGCCTATTCAAGCCTCTGTAATGGTGGGCCCCTCCCCCACAAAGCTCCAGTGTCCCAGGTTGACTTCAGACTGCTGTACTGGTAGTGAGAATTTTAAGCCAGTGGATCTTAGCTTGCTGGGCTCCATGGGGTGGGATCCACTGAGCTAGACGACTTGGCTCTCTTGCTTCACCCCTTTTCCAGGGGACTGAATGGTTCTGTCTCGCTGATGTTCCAGGTGCCACAGGGGTATGAAAAACAACTCCTGCAGCTAGCTCAGTGTCTGCCCAAACAGCCACCCAGTTTTGTGCTTGAAACCCAGGGCCCTGATGGTGTAGGCACCCGAAGTAATCTCCTGGTCTGCGATTTGCGAAGACTGTGGGAAAAGCATAGTATCTGGGCTGGAGTGCAACATTTTTCACAGCACAGTCCCTCAGGGCTTCCCTTGGCCCACGGAGGCAGTTCACTGACCCCTTGCATTTCCTGGGTGAGGCAATGCCTCACCCTGCTTTGGCTTGCCCTCCATGGGCTGCACCAACTGTCTAACCAGTCCCAGTGAGATGAGCCAGGTGCATCAGTTGGAAATGCAGAAATCACCTGGCATCTCCATTGATCTTGCTAGGAGCTGCAGACTGGAGCTGTTCTTATTCACCCATCTTGCTAGACACCCACAGAAATATTTTTACTTAATTTTAAAAATTTGAGGTAAATGTTATGAAAAAAGTATGGATGTAGTAGGAAAAAACTTAAATTAGTCTGGAAATTTAAGGAGGGTTTCCCTGAGAAGGCATCATTTAAGCTAAAGACAGAAGGTTGAGCAGGGTGAGGAGATTTAAGATTTCCAGGGAGCAGTCAAACAGCTTGTGCAAAGGTCCTAGATCAGGAAGGAGCGTTCAAGGATCTGAATGAAAGAAAGCCAATGAACAGGTACAAAATGAGCAAGAAGGTAGGGGCTCAAAATTAGCAAGGTTAAGAAGCAAGACATTGCTAATGCATCCAGCTTTACAATTTTCTGAATGTTTCCTTACCAGATTGTTGCTTCAAGTTGATTCTATATAGAAATTCTCTGCTGACACCAGTTCTCATAGGATCACCAGAAAGAGAATGAAAGCAAAAGAGTCAGGAAAAATATCAGCAATCACTATATTGAGTGGAGTATCAGATTAAATAGCTCATGGAGGACATGTTGGTATTATTAAAATAGCAATACAAAGCATGATCTTACTGTGTAGAAAGATAGAGCTCAGAGAGAGAAAATGAGAACTTACTGCTTTATTGTAAACTTTTGTATTTATCATTTGGTGGGGAGGAGGTATTTTCTGTATGTACTACATCAATCTTTACAACAAATTTGCAAGTTAGGTATTATTTTTCCTACTTTACAGGCAATGAAATGGGCTCAGGGTATGTAATTTCCCCAAGGTCATATATATAGTGATTTTGTGTTTCTAACCAAGATTTGTCTTATTTCAAAGCCCATGTAATTTTTACTGCACCATACTGCTCTTGTAGGATATTTTAAATGGTAGGGAGAATAATTATAGTGTTAAAAATTGGATGTTTGATCTCAAGCACATATTGCGCGGAATGTGAAGAAAAGCAAAGTGTGTGCTAAGAAATGAATGTGAATGATACAAAAGGAAATAGTTACATGCCTGTGTGAATAGAACCTACTTAACTAGATGGAGTAATATGTTACCACAGCCATCTGCTAAAACGTAACAGCAATATATTGGCAACAACAGGCATCTTTGGTTTGAAAATAGGACTGACTGAGAGGCTGCCCTTGGGAACACCCCACTGAATTTACCTCCAAAGATTCAACATATACTTGAAAGGGATTTAATATATCAAATGAAAGATAAACTACTGCTTCTTGCAAAGTTTCTTTCCTCAATAAGATGAAATGTTGATTATTGCTAAAAGTTTTTCTAAAGAATGTAATAGATATAGACTAAATCTAAAAGATTTAAAAGGATTCAGGCAATCCTTCAGAAAACTTCATCAGCAGTTCTTAATTGACCTTGTAGAGAATTAATTGCATTAACTTCTATAGAAGCAACAGGAATGAATTTATGTAAATTTCTCTAATCACATTGTGCTTTCTATTTTTTTCTGCTATTGCCACCTATGGAAAATGCTTTTGTTGGGTTAGAAGTTAAATATATTAGTAGGCATATTCATGGTTTAAATTTATTTTGAGATGAATACGATATTTTTTCATATTGTGCTAAAAGCCTGGCTGCTACAAAAAATAAGCATATACACATCTTTAGATCTGTGTACTTGTTTATTTCAGACAGAGCTAAGAAAGGTAGAGTATCCTTCAAAGAAAATAAATAAGCTTTTTTCATATTATAAAGAATTAATGGGTGTAAACATAGTTTAATATTAATCATATTGATGCTCAAATTATACTATATTTGTACAGGAGGAGTTTATTCAGGTTGACTCCTGAATCCTCGTGACATGACCCTAGTAGTCCCTATTGCCTTCGTGGATCTCTGGTATGACAAGATGTTATAGGCTCATCTTGAACATTTCCTGTCCCACCTCTGGAGGTAGCTTCTTCTCCAAATTATCCTTGTTCCTCTTTGGGGGAAGGAGTATTTAGAGACCCCATTCTGGATGCTACTAAATTTGTCTTATTTTTGTTGTTTCTGAGTGATTTCCATTGTTTCTGAGGGATTTATGAGCTTTCCTTCTCTCTCTTTCTGTCTTGATATATGTTTAAAAATAAAATCCATAATGAGGTCACACTTATATTTCCAGTCCAAATTCAGGACATAATTGTTACTTAATCTTATTGATCATGAATCTGCTTGTCTCCTTTCAAAGATCCTAAAAATCTCTGTGATCAACAATATAAACATAATTTCTTATTTGACCTATCCTACAATACACATCAAATAATCCCCCCACAAAATCTACTGAGATTTGGGCTCCAAATATTGTAGAGTCAATCCAATTATTTACTAACAATTTTTTTTGCAATAAGATTTTATTTTAGAGACAGACAGAATTTTGAAAATTACCCTTCTTTTTAGAGTTGTCTCTAATCTTTAGCCATTAAAAAAAAAGCTGAACAAGTTCCATTATCAACCCTTCAAATGCCTTCACACAATGACATAAATTTGTGACTAGGATTTATTGTATGATGATATGGAAACTGCCTTTTGACCTACATCATTTTTGGGGGTATGATAGCAGTAAAAGTTGTATATTTCCTTCTATTTCTGTATGAATAAGGATGCTTCATTGATTTTGTGGTTTCATCTGTGAAAAAACTAATCTTGATCTTCCAATGTCTATCTTCTATAGCTTTTTAATAACATAGTCCAAGATGAGATTATATGACAGATGACATTACTTCCAAAGAAAGCAGCAGTGAAGATATTAGTTATTCCATAATGCGTGTTGTACTGCAGATTCATTTCAATGCAGAGCTAATTGAACTATGAAAAATAAGATGTTCTCACTATTTCCTCTAGCTCTTTTGCATTGATAATCAATAAAGTTATATTGCTTGTTTGTTTTTAAGGGGTGAACAATATTAATTTAAGTGTGTGTTTTTGATTAAAAATGTGATTCAGTTAATGACAGATAAAATGCTGCCTTATGAAATTGTTTTTTTGTTTTTTTTTTTCTTTCCGGAGCATGGTTAAATGGTTAACAGAAAATTTCCCAGCTATTTGTACATTTTCAGGTTAATTATTTTACTTGGTCAAACTAAGCCATACTTTTCTTGGGTAGCATTTTTCCAGTCTGAGTGATTTAGAGGGAGGCAGCTTGATTAAATTTAAATCAAGACAAGAAAAACTGTTACTGGCAGTAGAAAATAAAAGGTAGGCTAACATCTAATATATCAGTATTTATGTATATAAATAAAATTAGTTTGTTCCAGACTATCTGGCTTAGAAGTATTCTTTCTCAACTCATGCTGCAAGTTTTCTTCCACTTTAGAATAGGAACATAAGATTCAGTGGTATAACTTTTCAACAAGTTTTCCATAATATATCAAATGATAACTATTAACCAATATGGTTTAACCTTACTCAAACTTTTTATGCTTCAATTATTATGTTAAATTAATAAATTATCAACTAAATCTTCTTTTCATGCTGCATTCCTTTCAGGACTCAGAGTTCTCCAGGTTCTTGACAATTCAGAATTTTAAATACACCTATCAAAAATTAAGTAATTTCAGTAACACCTCTTTCCACCCCCTTATGAATAATCATGTAAGACTCCCATCAAAAATTCAGTAATTTTTGATTACTGAAGGGAATAATACTGACTTCAGTAATAGACTTCCTTCAGTATTGAAGATAGCTATAAACATTAATTCTCCTTTATGTTGTGCATGATCAAAAAAGAATCAAGAACTGGCGTCTTGTAATAAATGATCTTAATCACTTGCTTGCTTTGGTTAAGCCAAGCTGAATGCATATGAATAGCATTTGCTGTGGGGGCAGTTTGCCAATAGGTGGGAAATATGATTTGTGTCTGAAAGTTGATTCTAAGTCTTCGTTTTTATTATTAACCTGATACTAATTTTCAGATGGATCCAAGTTGTGGATAGTTTTCCCTCCATGTGTGATTAATTGAGTCTATACTGTTCACTTCAAGTTTGTTGCATTTCTATTTTATGGTAATGAGTTTTAGGTCAGATTTTTGGGCAGTAGTATGACTAATGGGCTCATGAGGATCAAGACTGGACACAAGGACACCAGTTAGAATGATAGCTAAGGGAGAACAGAGGCTTGAACTAATATAATGTAAGTAGGGAAGATGTAAATGAAATAATCTGTATTTATTCAGTACTTACTATGTGTTAGACACAGTGATATTGAGGAAGGACAGGTAGTCAAGGAAATAACCATGTTCTTGTGATGTAGCAACTATGGTGACCGTTTGGTCACCATAATAAGCCTCAGCATTTGCACTGTAATTGAGCTCAGTCAAACAAAGATATCTTCAGTGCGGAATTTCCCCTCTACAAAGCTTGGACGTTTTGATTTTACCTGTTCTCAGACTGACACTTTGCTCATTATAATAGTAAAAAAACACACCCATGGGTGGAGACTTAAGATGCTAATGAGACATGCAATGTATGAACAAGCATGTACAGCTACTGTGCGTGTGCACCCAGAAGACCACGCAGAATATGCTTACTAGTAACACCTCTTCCCACCCCCTTTGAATAATCATGTAAGACTCTCATAAAGGGAGTCTCCCTAGTTCCAGTCTTTGCCATCTCACCCTTAAAAGCAGCCCACCCGAAATTCTCACAATCTCATGGTGTACTGTCTGTTCTAACTTTCAAAATTTCTTTTGCAATAAATTACTCTATGCTGCATCTTCTTTGCTGTGTGTCTCTTGTTTAAATTCTTTTAAACTAAGAAGAATCAAGGTGTCACAACAGCCATCAACACTATGTAATATATGTGAATTGTTCCATTTAATACTCATCACATCCTGTGAACTGGGTTCATTCCTCATTTTACATAGGAGAAAAATGAAGTCCAGAGACGTTAAACAGCTTATGTTTAATGTTATGTAGTCAGCAAGTAGTATAGCTGGATTTGGCTCCAAAGTCTGGGCACTCAACCATTACACAACAGGCAAAAATATTGAAGAGGTAGAATTTAGCACTTACCTAGAAGCAGGGATGTGAATGATGAAGAGCTCAGATATGACTCCTAGGATTCTGGATTGGCCACCCTGGTTCATGATAATGCTTGTCTCTGGGTCAGAGAATACAGAAGGAGGAACATGTTTGGAGGATGAGAGAGTGACAAATTTAGTTCTGGATATCTTGAATTTGAGGTACCTTTGAGGCACATGGATAGAGAAGTCAAATAGATTATGTGGATCTGGAGCTCCGGCAGGAGCCTGGGCCAGAGTGCTTGGCATGATGCCTGGCACAGAATAACTCAATGAATATTTGTTAGATAAAATAATAGATGGAGAGAAAGAAAAAGAAAAGAAAGAAAAAAAGAAAGAAAAAGAAAGAAAGAAAGAAAGGACAGAATTGGTAATTGGGGTTAAGGGAGTAGATACAATTTTCAGGGGCAATGTGCTAAATGAAAAGGAATGAGAACCAAGAATAATTCTTAGGCACATTAGTACTTAATAGTCAGATAAAGGAAGAGGAACTTGAAGAGGCAATAGAGAAGTACAAGAACCTTAAGATAATAATATCAGAGAAGCCAAGGGAATTGAGGATTTCAAGGGAGACATTGTTAACAATATTAAATGTCATAGGAAGGGATCTAATAAAATGATGATAACATATAGCTAACACTTATATAGCACCTAACATGTCTCAGGCAATGCTTTAAGTACTTTATATGTGTTAGTTCTTCAAGACGCATCTGTGATATAAAATATTTTTATCACCATGCTTTATGGATAAGAAAACAGAGCTAAAATAGTTTGTCTAAGGTAAGTGTCAGAGCCAGGATTGTGAACTCTGAGAGTGACTGCAAAGTTCATGCTCTTAAGTGACTATGGTATGCTTGCTCACAAAAACAAAGGCCAAATGTATTTATTACATGTGGCAGTGAAGAGGTTGTTTATGGCCCTGAGAGTGCAGTTTCAGTGGGGTAGTGCAAGCTAAAGCAGAGCCCTGGGTCAGATGAGGAAGTCAAGAGTGTAGTAGGCTTCTCTTCCTAGAAGCTTGTTTATAAAGGAGAGAAGAAAGGGTTTGCCAAAGGGATACCAGGGTGGAAGGAATGATTTCTAGCATGGGAAAGATTTTGGCATATTTATATGTGATATAAGGAGTCCTTAGAGAGAGGTGGAAATTACTGGAAGACATGGTAAATGAAGAGATTGGCAAATGTGAGGTCTAAGGTGCATTAGGAGATATTCAGTCTGGACAGGAGAGGTGAGCACCTGTTTTACAAAAGGAGAAGGGCTAATGGGTGGGTAGACATACATATGAGTTTTTTTTTGATTGGATGAGTATTATGTGGATGGAATTTATGTTTAATTTTCCTGTTTTCTCTATGAAGACTACAGTCACATGTCACTTAACAATGGGGATACATTTGAGAAATGCATTGTTAGGCAATTTCATCATTGTGCATGAACATTATAGAATGTATCTACACAAACCCAGATAGTATAGCCTATTACACACCTAAGCTGTATGGCGTAGCCTATTGTTCCTAGGCTACAAACGTATACAGCATGATTACTGTAGGCAGTTGTAACACAATGGTAAATATTTGTGTTTACCTAAACATAGAAAAGGTATAGTACAATATGTAAAATCCAGAATCCAGAATCCTAGGAGTCATGCCTGAGCTCTTCGTCATTCTCACCCCTGTTTCTAGTTAAGTGCTAAATTCTACCTCTTCGATTTTTTTGCCTGTTGTGTAATGGTTGAGTGCCCAGACTCTGGAGCCAAATCTCAGCTATACCACTTGTTGACTACATAACAGTAAACCTAAGTTGTTTAATATCTTTCTGGACGTGATTTTTCACCTATGTGAAATGAGAAAGGAACCCACATATAGTAAAAATATGGTTTAAAGGATTAAAATAAAAGGTACACCTGTATAGGACACTTACCATCAATGGAGCTTGCAGTATTGGAATTTTCTCTGGGTGAGTCCGTGAGTGAGTATGAAGGCCTAGCACATTACTGTATACTACTGTAGACTTTATAAACACCCTACACGTAGGCTACACTAAATTTATAAAAACAATTTTTTCTTTAATAATAAACCTTTGCTTACTGTACATTTTTTACTTTATAAACCTTTAAATATTTTTAACTTTTTAAAACTATTTTGCAGTAACACTTAGCTTAAAACACAAACATAGTGTATAGTCATACAAAAATATTTTCTTTCTTTATATCCTTATTCTATAAGCTTTGTTCTATTTTTAAAATTATTTTTAGTTTTATTTTTCAAACTTTTGCTGAAAACTGAGATGCAAACACCCACATTAGCAGAGGTCTACACAGGGTCAGGACCATCTATATTATTAGTCTTTCACCTCCACATCTTGTCCCACTGGAAGGTGTTTAGGAGAAATAGAGTGCATGGAGCTATCATTGTCTTCTTCTGAAGTACCTTCCTAAAGGATCTGCAAGAGGCTGTTTTACGATTAAATTTTTTTTCCCTACAAGTAGAAGGAGTATGCTCTAAAATAACAGTAAAAAGTTTAGTGTAGTAAATACTAGGTGATAGGAATTTTTTAGCTTCATTATAATCTCCTTGGACTACTACTGTATAAGTAGTTTGTCATTGACTGGAATGTCGTTTTGTGGTACAAAACTGCACTTGTGACTTTGTTTTTTTTTTTTTCTGAGCAGCAATCCTTTTGTTGGAGCTATTCCCACTGTACTTCTCTCTCATATAAATTTTGAGGGTTTCTCTAATAATTAGATTTTGTTCCCTGTCCTCCATGTGACCAAAATGAGTCCAACCAGTTCTTAGTCTTTTAAACTTGTGTAAAGACTCTTAGAGGCAAGAGGTGATTGGAGCTGAGTCATTTGATGGTAATGATGTTTTCAACTCATTGGGCTTTCACCCTTGCTAAGATTGTGTCCAGATTTTCCTTTAGTCCTATGAGTGCTAGTAAATCTTTTTCATTTCAATAATCTCTTTTCCTTAAATTGCTTGTAGCAACTGTTCTATCTGATATAGTCTCTTGAGGGAACATGAGGAATGCAGCATGGAGTAAAGAGTTTAGAACTTTGAGTTACGCCTGATGGAAAAACCAAAACAAGACCCAAATAGAGACAGAGAAAATGATTGCCTACCAATATGGAGGCCCTGCTGACCAGGAAATCATTCCCTTCATTTGTAATTGCTTTTTTCCCCCCTGTTGTTTCTATTATTCCCAACTACTATACAACATGGAATGTGGGGAGTAAGGAGACAACTCTTCAAAAATGGTTATACAGACTTTTTTGAATTTTTTTTTTTTTTTTTGAGACTGAGTCTGGCTCTGTTGCTCAGGCTGGAGTGCAGCGGCATAATCTTGACTCATTGCAATCTCTACCTCCTGGGCTCAAGTGATTCTTCCATTTCAGCCCTCGAGTAGCTGGGACTACAGGTGCTGTGCCACCATGCCTGGCTAATTTTTGTATTTTTAGTAGAGACAGAGTTTCGTCATGTTGGCCAGGCTGGTCTTGAACTGGACTCGAGATCCACCCCACTCAGCCTCCCAAAGTGCTGGGATTACAGGCATGAGCCACCATGTTGCTTTTTAGTTAGGTGGGAAAAATAGTTTTTGAGGCAAGTTTCATTGTGTTTTATTTATTTATTTATTTAGAGACAGAGTCTTGCTCTGTCTGGAGTGCAGTGGCATGATCTCAGCTCACTGCAACATCTGCCTCCTGGGGTCAAGTGATTCTCCTGCCTCAGCCTCCTGAGTAGCTGGGATTACAGATGTGCACCACTACTCCCGGCTAATGTTTGTATTTTTAGTAGAGATGGGGTTTCACCGTGTTGGCCAGGCTGGTCTCCAACTCCTGACCTCAAGCGATCTGCCCACCTCGGCCTCCCAAAGTGCTGGTATTACAGGCATGAGCCACCACGCCTGGCCCATTGTATTTATTTATTTTTTTAAAAAAGCCTTGTAAGAATTTTTAAGTTAAAGATTGTCAGAAGGCAAAATTAATGTTTGATTTATTTGGAGTTATTTAAATGCTGAACAAAGTCTTAATTCTCAGCTAGATTGTTCATCATAGATTGCTCACACTATTAAGGACATTTCCCCAAGTAAATTTGTGAGTGCCAATGTACTATAGGAATTGTCCATAATTTCAGACTTAAATGATTAGCTTATCAAAAATAGAATCTGACCCCAGGACATGTTCTATTCAGACAGATCATCAGTATGCAATTATCATATGTTGTCTGACATTTCCCATAAATAATTTTTCATGATCTTGTATAGTTTTACAGCTCATGTATCCTTTTGTTGCTGCTAACTTTTCTTATATCGTGAGTTTGTAGTAAATCTTATGGTTGACAATAAATTATAGCACAGTAATAAATAAAAATGTGTTCATGGAATGAATAGCAAAGAAAAATATGCTACTAAGAGATAGTTTAATGAATAACTTTTAAAATTTCATTTTGGACAGGATTAAATTTCAGAAAACATTTGAACAAAAATTTTGACTCCTGGAATTGTATTTTTCATACTCAAGAAAAATTGGGTGTGTTCTTTGGTACTGTGTGGGAATATAAACCACACACATATCTTTGTACTGGCAGTGTGCTCTTGAGTGAGTTATTTAACATTGTTTTCTAATCTGTAACATGGGAAAATGATACCTTATAGTGTTAACATAAGTGTAATTCAAGTGGCCCCCAATAAAGCATTCATATAAAATCACTTAAGCTTTGTTATCTATGATGAGTGATCCAGTACTGTGTCCAGTATTCTAAGAAATTCCCACTGAGCTTTAAATTGTTTTAAAATACTTTTCCTGGACTCTTCAGAGGTGTTTCAGGGGTTCTGTGAACATGCAATTTGAATATCATTTTAAAGTTCAGTTCTTATTTATTGCACACAAATGCACATGTACTATTGTAAGGCTTAAAACACAAGCAGCAGTTCTGTCCTCCATCCTCCCTATCCCCAACCCTCTCCCAACCACTTTCAATTCTTTTTAGCTTGTTTCTTCTGTTATTTCTACTATATTTCTATATACTACCCTTTCTTGCTTTTTAAATTTTAAACTTCCTGTTGACTTCCTAATATGGAAGATGAGGCTACAGCTCTCTTGTCTCCATAGAAATACACATGGCCTTTCCCGCTATGCTTTCCATACACCTGAATCATAATTTTTGGTTCAATGAATAGTAATTGTATACATAGTTTTAAATATGTAAATATTGTTCATAGCTAAGCCATGTTTATATTTCCTTTTGTGTACAATTTTTGTTTTTCATGGAGTTAAAAATTGCTTCATTTTAAAATTTGCTTTGTTTTCTATATTCATTTTACTAATTCATCCCCCCCAAGTTTTCTACAGAATCCTGGAATTCTTCTCAGTGTAGTCAATACATTGATAGTTTGTCGGTTTTAATGAAGACATCCCTCTCAGAGCCTGTGCCGTTCTGCAGTTGGGATTGATGCGTCTCTAGGCCTGCAGGGACTTCCCTTCACCATCATATGGGAATCCTCTGTGACTCTACCCTGTGTGGATTCTTCTGTGCCCTGTTTTTCATGTCTTCCTCTTTCTTAGTTTATTCCCTTAATTTGGTGGAGCACGTTCTCCAGTAGCTACCTAAAAAATGGTGAATTGGAGGTAAATTGTTGAGACCTTGCATGTCATAAAATATCTTTTCTACTCTCATTCTTATATAATAGAGAGATTGGTTTCAGCATTAATGTAGAAAAAAATTTTCCCTTAGTGTTTTGAAGGAATTATTTTTTGTCTTTTCAGTTCAATATGTATAATTTCCCTCCACAATTTTTTTTCTGAATTAATAATGAACTTAGATTTAGCCACATGCTTTCAAGGAGTTTTGAGTCTATAGGGGAAGATTTGGAATTAAAAAACTAATATTTGATTTTTAACTTATGTCAGGCAATAGTACAATATATTACTGATTTAATTTTTCATGACATTTAATTTTGTAGTAAAGCAACTGGGGCTCAGAAAAGTTAGGCAATTTGCTTGTGATCACTCAGATAAGTAGAAATTTAAACACAAGTATAGTTGACACTAAAGCCCATGTTTTTCCTGTTCTATAAGGCTGCCTTGCAACTGTTTGGTTTAGTCGTGCTTTGGGGCATGAATTTTTGTTTCATATCTGCCTCTTTCTGGCAAATCATGAATTAATATGTATAAAGTGCTTAGAGAAGTATAGTAGGTGCTGTATAATGTTCGATGTGTAATTATTAAAATTGATTTGGCTAGTCCTTTCTTTGGGTTCTGCTCTTCCTCTTTCCCACCTTGTTTGCCTAGTTAACTTCTCAATTGTGAAGTTATCAGGTCCACTTTCACTTCTCCAGTGAAGCCATTCCAACTAGACAAAGCCTCATCCTGCCCTAAACTAGGTAAGTTTCTATCCACGTCTCACATTATAAATGTATGGGACTCAGTACCTTTTTTTCATATCACAGTTGGTACTTACATGTTTTTGTATTTGTTTCAAATTTGTTTTCCCCACTAAAGTCTAATCTCCATGTTTGTTTTCTTCACCTTTATACCCACAGAACCTAGCAAAGACTTGAAATATAGGTATTATGTAAATAATTGTTGAAATTTTGTTGAATAAATGAATACTGAGCACAGGAAAATCTAAATATATGTTTTCTGTCCTACTGCAGTAGTATATTTTACTAGAAAGTTAATTAAAAAACAAACAGCTGCTATCATCTTTTCAGCATTTCTTATGTACTGTAGCTCAGAGAAAACCATTCTCCCTATATGCTTGCCTCAGAGAAGGTGGAGGTTGCAATTCATTAGTGGGTTATGAAGTCAATTTAGTGAATTGTGATCAGCTTTAAAAATGATATAAAAGAGAAGAGAAAGTGTCAGAGTGCATCACATGTAGTAAGAGGTATTATTTCATGAAACATTTGTTTCAGATTATATTATATAAAATATATATGATTATGTAAAGAGGACCACATTATGAAGACTATTTTTTATTGTGGATATGGTCATAAAGTTTTGCCAAGCCAGTATTTCTAGAGCAGGGTTTGGCAAACCTTTTCTGTAAAGAACAACATAGTAAATATATTCCATTTTGTGGGCCATATGGTCTTTGTCACAAATGTTCAGCTCTGCCATTATAGTATGAAAGCAGCCATAGACAATAAGTAAACAAATGGACATGGTTATTTTCCCATACAACCATACAAAAACAGAAGGCTGGGAAGATTTGACCCAAAGGCTATATTTGCAGACCCCTTCCCTAGGGGGACAGGTTGGCAGGGAAGCTTTTATCCCTCTCCCTATTCTGTTTGTTGGAGAAGATAATGTAATTAATTTGGGATAATCTGATTAATCTGACAGTTCTTGCTTAGTGGATGAGAAAATAGGGAAATAGGCCACTCCCTAAGTGAAGGTACTTTAGACTTTCATTCTCATCCTTTTTAGCACATTCTGTAAGTCAAAGAAAGTCAGAAGGCCAGCTCAGATTTAAGGGGTTGGGAAATAGACTTTACCTCTTGATGGGAGGAGCCAAAATAAATTAGTAGCCACACTTCATCTATCACAGTCCACTCCCTGGCTACAATTACAGTTGACCCATGAACAACATGAGTTTGAACTGCATGGGTTCACTTCTATGAGAATTTTCTTCCACCTCTGCCACCCCTGAGACAGCAAGACCAACCCTCCCCTTCCTCCTCCTCTTCCTTCTACTCAACGGGAAGATGATGAGGTTGAAGACCTTTATGATGATCCACTTCCACTTAATGAATAGTAAATATATTTTATCCTCCTTATGACTTTCTTAATAGCATTTTCTTTCTCTAGTTTACCTTAATCATGTATATAATTATATAATGCACACGAAATATATGTTAATCAGCAGTTTATGTTATTGGCAAGGCTTCCAGTCAACAGTAGGCTATTAATTGTTAAATTTTGGGGAAGTAAAAATTATACATTTTTTTTTGGCTCTGTAGGGAGGGGGATTTTGCATCCCTAACCTCTGTGTTACCCACAGATCAACTGTAAGTACATTTCTCCTACATGTAAATTATGCTCATCACTTCTCAAAACCCCCAAAGTCTTATTCAATTTTGGTATCAAGTTTGACATATGAGTTTATGATCTTCATCAAGCCTGTAAACAGATGTGGCTTCTTGAAGTAATTTTTCTGGTTTCAGAGAACTGTGAATTAGAAGTTGCCATTGTTACCAGTACATGAGATTGTGAAATCAAGCTGAGCACATGTTGTCAGGGTCTGTACTCCAATGTAGGAAATGTTGCTTGATTAGGGCCTAGTTTTGTCCATGGCAGTGGTTCCCCAAGCCATTGTTTTCTGTGATTTTTGCCTCTACCCCCTGGGCTCTTGCTGTACTCTAAAGGGTTCTTCCTTGTCTGTTATATAATAAACTATTTGATTGGCCTTTGTCCCTAGTGCCTTGGAAGGAGAATCTAAACTCTTGGAATTTCCCAAAGGATAGAAATGTCTTTGTTGTTCATGAGTCCCTTGGATAATACCTGAATTTATGCTAATGAAGTGGCTCATGGGGGCCCTAGATAGCTTCAAGATGTGGATTACTCACCAGAAAGACCAATTACATGATCAGAGGGTTAGGACTTTGAGGCAGCCTAAACTCCACGGAGTGGAGTGGGCTGGAGATTGAGTTTACCTACATGGCCAATGACCCTATTAATCATGTCTGTGTAATGAAACCCTATATAAAAACTCTAGACACTGAAGCTCAGTGGAGTTTCCTGGTTGGTGATATATAGATGTGCTAAGAATGTGACACAATCTGATTTCACAAGGAGAGGGCATGAACTCTGTGTGTCCAGAACCATTCCAGACCTTGGCCTATCCGTGTCTCCATTGGCTGTTTCTGAGTTGTATTCTTTATCATGAAATATAATTTTAAGTGTAATGCTTTCCTGAGTTGTGTGAATTGTTTCAGTGGATTATTGAACCTGAGGGGGATGTGGAAACCCCTAAATTTGTAGCCAGTAAGTGAGAGAGATGTGTTACCTGGGTACTCCCTGGACTTGTGGTTGGCATTTAAAGTGAGGACAATCTTGTGGTGGACTGAATCCTCAACTGTGGGGTCTGCACTAACTCTGGGTGGTTAAAGCTAGATTTGAGTTGTAGTGTATCTAGTTTGAGTTGAAATGGAATAGTGGGCTAGGTGCAGTGGCTCATGCCTGTAATCCCAACACTCTGGAAGGTGGAGGAGGAAGGATCCCTCAAGCCCAGGAGTTTGAGACCAGCCTGGGCAACAGAGGGAGAAAGACCAATTACGTGATCAGAGGGTTAGGACTTTGAGGCAGCCTAATCTATAGGGAGGGGAGTGGGCTGGAGATTGAGTTTACTCATATGGTGATGACTCAATCAATGTCTTAATGCAGACCCCATCTCTCCAAAAAGTTATTTTATTTTATTTATTTATTTATTTTTTAATTAAAACTCTCAATAAATTAGGTATTGATGGGACGTATCTCAAAATAATAAGAGCTGTCTATGACAAACCCACAGCCAATATCATACTGAATGGGCAAAAACTGGAAGCATTCCCTTTGAAAACTGGCACAAGACAGGGATGCCCTCTCTCACCACTCCTATTCAACATAGTGTTGGAAGTTCTGGCCAGGGAAATTAGGCAGGAGAAGGAAATAAAGGGTATTCAATTAGGAAAAGAGGAAGTCAAATTGTCCCTGTTTGCAGATGACATGATTGTATATCTAGAAAACCCCATTGTCTTAGCCCAAAATCTCCTTAAGCTGATAAGCAACTTCAGCAAAGTCTCAGGATACAAAATCAATGTACAAAAATCACAAGCATTCTTATACACCAATAATAGAGAGCCAAATCATGAGTGAACTCCCATTCACAATTGCTTCAAAGAGAATAAAATACTTAGGAATCCAACTTACAAGGGACGTGAAGGACCTCTTCAAGGAGAACTACAAACCACTGCTCAATGAAATAAAAGGATACAAACAAATGGAAGAACATTTCATGCTCATGGGTAGGAAGAATCAATATCGTGAAAATGGCCATACTGCCTGAGGTAATTTATAGATTCAATGCCATCCCCATCAAGCTACCAATGACTTTCTTCACAGAATTGGAAAAAACTACTTTAAAGTTCATATGGAACCAAAAAAGAGCCCGCATCGCCAAGTCAATCCTAAGCCAAAAGAACAAAGCTGGAGGCATCACGCTACCTGACTTCAAAAAGTTTTTTAAAAATTAGCCAGGTGTGGTGGTACATGCCAGTAGTTCCAGCTACTCAGGAGGCAGAAGTGGGAAGAGCTCTTGAGCCCAGGAGGTTGAGGCTACAGTGAGCCATGATAATGCAGCTGCACTCTAGCCTGAGTGACAGAATGAGACACTGTCTCAAAAAAAAAAAAAAAAAAAAAAAAGAAAAAGGAAAAAAGAAAAAAGAAATGGAATACTGTCCCTAATACATAACTTGTGCTTGCAACTACACAGCTTTCTCAACCTAGAGGCTGATTCCTGTCTGCCTCTATGTTGGCTTTCATGGGCAATGAACTCCTTGATGGAGATTATTGTGTAGGATGTTTATTAGGGAGTGCTCATGGGACCAACACTTGTTGAAGGGAAGGGAAGAGAGTGGGACTGGGTAGGGGAGAAATTGAGCTGTGATGCAGTCTTAATAGAAGACTCCACTGTCCCTACAGAGTATTCTAAAGATGAGATGACTCCTCAAAGCTGTTTAAGATGGGGCAAGAGGCCTTAACCTTTAAACCATAGTGTTGATCAATCATCATGTGTAGGCTACTCTAGGAAGGGGTATGCCTTTGGATGAGGTGGTTCTCTTCAGAGGTAGCAATCTAAGGAGGTTGAGAGTGGAAGGCTGTTTATCAGCAGCACTTTCAGAGGCTGAAATAATAAACTATTCATTCTTGAAGGGGAATCTAGGTGGTGAATCACAGAATCCACCATAGTCCACTCTTTATATTGCTCATATCTACTTCTTCCTAAAAGTTTTGGAAATAACTTCACCAACATTCTGGTGGGTCAAACTTAGAAGAGAAAGATTATTGGAATGAACTACAACCCCTATTACTACAACTGGTATTGCAATGATTCTCATTCTCTACCTCCTTTATTATTCATTTTATATTGCCTTCACCCTCAATTAGAACCTGTGGTCTCAGTCTCAGTGGCTTATTTGGTAGCATGGTCCAGCCAGACCCTCATTCCTGAGGGGTTTGAGCCCCTGACCACCATGCCCTTCTTGGGTCAGAGTCACTGCACTTATCTGTTTACCATCAAAATTGGGCAAAGGAGTATCACAATATACCCAAGTGTATCACCTGTTATCACATATGTTATTCCTGTCCCTATAGCATAACAGCACTCCTACCTCTCCCTGTTGATCAGGGACAATTATCCTTGCCAAAATTATGACTTGTTGCCTACTGGTCCTTTAACACAGTTGACTGAAATACCCAGACAGTCATACTTTATAGTTCAATGGGACTTTTGCTGTAAACTCTAGTATAAGCTTTCTCCCTTGGGAAACAGTACCTCTAAATCCACAAAGCCTAGCCTTGAAGGTATGAGAAGTATACATTCCTGAGATGGATCACTGGGAAGAATAGGAAGCAAGAGCACCTTGGTTCCCAGAGAAAAATATTCTTTCTACTAGGGACCTGGCACCATATAAAACTTTCTGATTTGAAGTGTACACTGTCTTGGAGGATGGAACTCTACATTCAAAAAGAATCTCATTCAAACATGCTTCATGTATGCCTTTAACAGGCTATCCCATTGCTTTATTAAACTAGTTGCTTCAGGATGGTGTAATATGTGATATGACCAGTGGATCTCATTGTCATATACTTGTACTCACACCTTCTTTGCTGAAAAGTGTATCCTTTAATCTGATGCAATATTATATGTAATCACATGCTGGTAGATCATTCAGTCAACCCATTGGGAGAGGTGCAGGTTAAGGTGCTGAAGGCAGAAAAGAAAAACCAATACCCAGAATTTTTTTTCATTTTCATCTAAAGGGTAACAGTGGTCCACTGGGTAAAAGTGGTCCAGTGCTGTCAACTTGCCAGCTTATGGTGGGCTGGCCTCTTCAAGAGATGGTACTATATGGAAGACTCAGCATTGTTCTTTATTATTGGCAGGTTGGACATTCAGAAGTGGTAGTAGCTAGATAAGCCTTGGTAAATGGGAGTTTATGCTACTGCACTCATGTATTTCCTTCATCCCTGACACCAAAGCTACTCTGTTCAGGTGCCCATTGTTCCAGCACTAGATGGCTGATGACAGAATAGTTGCCATCACCTTACTGAATTATTTTGTTTACCTGATTGCTTAATGACTCTTCTGTGATGCTTGCTTTGTAGTAGGCATTAATTAACATGCAAAACAAAGACTTTCACATTTCATGACTACTTTTATATACGTACATTCACATACCTCTACTTTCCTTTTCCCCACTCTTTGTACCAAATTTTGCAGATTGGGTTCTCCAGAAAGTAGAATCTTAGGTGGAAATTAGTGTGTGGGAGGCTTATTAGGAATGCTTGTTGGATCAATGCCTGTGGAGAGGTAGGGATAAAAAAAAAAAAGCCTGATTGGGCAGAAGGAAATGATGAGCTGCTATAATGAAGTCTGAATGGAGGACTCAGCTAACTGTATGGGTAGTTATAAAGCTGGATTGAGTTGGGGAGAAAGGGCTGGGCCTTTATACACACAGAATTGTCAGTTATTGGATATGGGACTCTTAAGAGAGGCATGACTTTGATCAAAGTACTCTCTTTAGTTATGGCAAGTCCCAAAGGGGGCTGCAGCATAGGAATGTCTGCCAGAGCAACATTTCCAAATATTAAATGATAAATCCTTTATTCCTGAAGTAGGATCTGGATGATGCAATACAGTGTCCATCACTGTAGAAAATTGAAGTCCTTTTTTCAATTTGAATAATCTTAGTTACTTTTAGTTCAAATCCATGATTTGGTTTGAAACAGATCTCTATCAGAATGAAGCAACAGATACTGGAGAAAAACACCTTTACGATTCTTAGTAACCATTTGTCTAATTGAGAGAGTCTACTAGGTAGAATCTTAAATCTTTCTGAGGTCTTAGCTAACACCCTTGAGTCTTACAGCCACACTCTTGAGATAATCTTTACTCTAAGGAAGGTCATTTCTTGCTTTAAGAATTTTCCTGAAGAGGGTTGGCATGGAGAACAATTTTATATTCTAAGTTATCAAGTTCTGGGCCCTCTAGATTTTTTGTATATTCTATTTTCAAACTGAAAAACTCCTTCTTTATGTAATCTCTTATGTCTCATACCTTAGCCCGAAGAAGATAATTGACAGTTTCAATATTCTGTATAACAACCCATTAGCTGGATCCCAAAATTCTTTAGGTACATGATCTAACTTTCAAGTTATTTCAGATAACAGTTTCACCAATTATACCCCCACTACATACCATGAGTTTCATTTTTCTAGACTCCAATAAAAAAAAGTCACAGCCTCACAGAACCACTAACAGTTTGTTCACCATTTCTTCTGTCATTCTTGCTGCATTTTTGGCCACTGCTCATGACTTGGCACAAAATCCAATGATGCCTATTTTGTGTTTTGTTAAGTCAGCATCCCAATTCTGTGTATAAATTTCTGTATCAATTATTTTGCTGCATAACAAAGCACCCCCAGATGTGGCTTAAAACAACAACCCATTTACTTACTTATGATTATGCAGTTTGGTTGGATTCATCTGTGTTCTTCTACTGATTTTTCCTGGGGTCACTTTTGTGGCTGCAGTAATCTGGCTGCTCCACTGAGAGTATGTCTGGTTGTTAGCTGGGACTGTTGGCTGGATACTTTTGCTTATCTACAGGTCATCTCTTCGAGGATAATTTGGGTTTCTTTTGCTGTATTAGTCCATTTTCACACTGCTATAAGAAATACCTGAGACTGGGTAATTTATAAAGAAAGGAGATTTAATTGACTCACAGGTCTGCATGGCTAGGGAGGCCTCAGGAAACTTACAATCATAGCAGGAGGTGAAGGGGAAGCAAGCACTTTCTTCACAAGGTGGCAGGAGAAAGAAGAACAAAGGAGGAATTTCTAAACACTTATAAAACCATCAGATCTTGTGAGAGCTCACTCACTATCAGGAGAATAGCATGGAGGAAACTGCCCTCGTGATCCAATCACCTCCCTCCCTTGACACGTGGGGATGACAATTTGAGTTGAGATTTGAGTGGGGACATAGAGACAAACCATATCATATGCAGTGGTGGCAGGGGTTCAAGGATGAGAATAGAATTCTAAAGGTTGAGACCAACACTTATAAATCACTTAGGATTAATTTGGCAAATTCTATTGGTCAAAGCAAGTCACAATCCAGCCCTGACTCAAGTGATTGGAAAATAGACTCCACTTCTTGATGAGAGAGACTTAAAATAATTTGTGGCCAAATTTAATCTTTACATTTAAAAACACTAAATACAAATTCTTTTTTGGTTAACTCTCTTTTGATATCTTCTCTAGACAATGTCTCTCATATTCATCCATTCTTTTTTTTTTTGAGACAGAGTCTTGCTCTGTTGCCCAGGCTGGAGTGCAGTGGTGTGATCGCAACTCACTGCAACCTCTGCCTCCCAGGTTCAAGAGATTCTCCTGTCTCAGCCTCCTGAGTAGCAGGGATTACAGGTTCATGCCACCATGCCTGGCTAATTTTTAGTGGAGATAGGGTTTTACCATGTTGGCCAGACTGGTCTCGAACTCCTGACCTCAGGTGATCCACCCGCCTCGGCCTCCCAAAGTGCTGAGATTACAGGCATGAACCACTGCACCTGGCCTCCTTCATTCATTTCTTTACTTATTCAATTAAATTTAACAAATATTTATGGGGTACCTAATATGCATCAGGCATTGTGACAACCTTTGGAGATGCAAAGATCCATACTTTGGATATTGATAACATTATAAAGCTAATTTAAAATTACAAAATTCTGAGCGCTCCATAGGGTTTTTATTTTCTTGAGTTTAAAAAGTTTTATCATTGTGAAAAGCTTATAACTTAAGATTCAATCAAGCAAATAAAACTGAATGAAATGTCAAGATGAACAATGCTTTCCTGTGAATGAATTTTTCTAACTTCATTTTTAGAATTGCTTGGTTTCAGATCATATATATTAATAAACAGTAAACAAAGATTTGTTTTTCTCAAAGAAAAAAAAGAGGGCTTTTGGTTTGTTTGCTTTGTTTCAGGGGTTGAGATTTTAAAAAAATGTTTTATCAGTCAAAAGGGTTCTAGGTTCATCTCAAACATAATTTCCTCCAAATGATTCCCTTACCATCCCCTCCCCTTTCTCAAGAGTTAGTTGCTCTCTCTTTGTGGACCACAACTGGCATAGAACTCTGATATGGCATGGACAGCATATTGGGAAGTATTTGTTTGGAAAATTTAACTTCACTCAACTATGGCCTTCTAAAGAGCAGGGGCCTGTCTTTCCATTCTCTGGATCTAACACAGTGCCTCACATATAGTAGACATTTAATATTTTTGTTAAGTACATGAATAAATGAGGTGATAGTTTGGCATACATGAATTATGATAAAGTTAGAAATTATTCCAATTGTTTTGTAAACTGCTGAAGTGTCAGACCTCCTTGTTAAAGTCATAGAAATTTAAAGTTAGAAGAGACCACCATTGAGTTAATAATATCAATGTTTTTTTTTTTTTTTTTCTGTTTTAAATAGTTGAGCAAACAGGCTCGGGGGCTTAAGGGACTGTCTAAGGTGACACAGTTAGTTTATAGGTTTGTTTTCATTATGACTGAACTTTGTCTTTTCACCCACACTGGTCATATTGGGAGCCTTTTTTTCAGAGTTTTCAGTCTTTTCTCAGAGTTGTGTCCAGGTCAGAAAAGAAGAATGAGAAAAGCAAAGAATATGTATATGTTTGAGGAATGGGGAATGGGTTTGGGGCTACAGAAGCTCATGGAGAAAGACCAAAAATTTTGAATATGTGAGTTAGATACTTTTTCTTATTCCCTTTTTTCTTTTATTTTTTCCTTATTAGGGGTCAGGAGTCCTAGAGAGAGGAAGGGCTTTTAATGAATTATAGTGAGCATCCCTGCTTCCTGACCCATTTGATTCAGCACTCCAGGAAATAGAATGTGTGTTTCTTTGTGATCACATGTCTGTGCATAGGTTTTCAATCTTGAATAAATTATTCCCTGGAGAGTATGAAAGGAAAGCATGACTTTCTGTGCTTTCACATCTTCCCTTTTTTCTATCCTCTATTATAAGCCTGGAACTGCCCTTCAACTGCCCGGTGATTTGGGCCACCTTTTTTGCTTCCCAAGTGCATCATTCATGAAAATAACATATAAAAGATATATTTAAGATTTTTCACTTATTCAAAAAATAGGAATTACTGGTTTTAAGCAGATTCTTCACTTGGCAAAGGACTTTACCATTAGATTACAATAACCGTAAAGTCTACTGTAAGCATAAAGTGTCACAGAGCACTTAAAATATAATATTAAAACTTCTGTTTTTACTCTGAGTTTTCAAAAGGTGACATAGAATACATAAGAGTTGGCAACTGATTCTCTCAGTGGCATGTCACCAGCTGGAATCATCTCTCAGTAGTTCATATCACGTTCAGTTTTGCTGGTCCAAAAACTGACTTTGATTTATTTACCTGGAGGTGATAAGTCTCACACTGACCCAGCTTACAAGAGATTTATTTCTCCACTACTTCATTGAAACTGCTTTTATTGATGTCAACCACTACCTCCCTTTTGCCAAATCTAATGTTAATTTTCTGTCCTTATGTTATTCACATTCTCAGCAATATCTGACTCAGCTGATTGCCCACTTATTGAAACTTACCGTACTTGGTTTTCAGGGCACTACATTGCCCTGGTTTTCTTCAGAGCTCCCTGGCTTTTCTTCAGGCTCTTTCACTTGCATGCATTCTCTGCTTGATCTGTGTATTTGGGGGTGTTCGGGTTTCAGTCCCCAGCCTGGGTTTCTTCTCTATTTATGCTCTGCTTAGGTAATCTAATCCAGTCCCATCACTTTCAATGTTATCTATATGGTAACGACTTCCAAATTTTTACCTACATTCCTGCCCTCTCCATGAACTAGACTTGTGTATCCAACTGCCTGCTTGTTGCCTCAAATTGGATGTCAATAAGCATCTCAAATTTAGCAAGTCCAGAACTGAATACTTAATTTCCAGCATCTGCCACCCCTTGCCAACTGGCTTTTCTCATCCTCTTCCCCATCTCAGCGAATTCTTGATTCTTTTCTTTTCCTCATCTCCCAAGTCTAGTCCATCAGCAAGTCCTGTCAGCTCTACCTTCAAAATATATCCCAAATTCAAGTGCTTCTTCTTTGTTCCTAACCGCTTGGCAACCACCTATATCTGAGGATGTTAGGTACATTGACATTTACGATAAATATTTCTTCTTTTTTATCATTCTTTTTTCAGTATATTATATCCTTCTTTCCTTATTATGTAGATGTATATTCATACTGGGTATATATAGGCATATGTATAATACACACATGTATTATATATGTATATATATAAATATATTCATATATACATATATTTTGCCTAAATTATATTTGTCACTAAAGGCCAAATACATGTTTCTGTACTAACAGTACTTGTGACACCAAATGTGTGGGTTTTTCACACACTGCAATTTTCCAGTTCTCTGTGGACACCAACTGAGTGTTCTACAATTCAACTTTAATTAATTCTGACACTAACTTCCCAGAGTTAGTGCAGACCCCATTGGTTAAAGGATCAGTCCTACAAGACTGCCTTCCACTTAAGATGCCAATTGCAAGTAGTGGATCCCCAGCTTCCCACACTTCTGTTCAACTTGACTACAAATCAGAGGTTTCCATAACCGTTACACCTGTTCAAGACATGGTGTTCAGTTTCTCCACGGATGTCTCCTGTGGCTTTTGTAATTGCTGTTAATACCTAAAACCCATGTTTGTCCCTTGCTTTTACAGTTTCTCCAGGGTTGATTTGAGGTGAGACAGCCAGCAGCCCATGCTAATTTGCCATATTGAAAAGTGTAATTTAAATTTAATGGGGTCAAAACCCATTTACTCTTATACAAATATTGAATAATCATTCTTTTTTTTTAAGTGAGCTTTTATAATGCTTCTGTCTTTGACCTAGGAAATAGTTATCTATGAGACACAAAAATCCAGTGAAGTTTAAGGTTTAGAAAAAAAATTTTTTTCACCCACCTGTGAAACACTAAATCCTCTCTGTTTCTTAGCTTTTATGAGGACAAATGTAGGGCTTTTAAAAATCATTACAACTCTTTATAGTTGATAGGCAATCAGAAAACCAGGTTTAATATCTAATGCTGTGAGTTTCTAGCTGTTTAAATTTGGACAGATCTCATACATTTCTAGAAGATCTTATTTATAAATTGGAAGAGTTGGGGTCCATGGCCCATTAGGTTCCTTTCTGCTCTAATTTTAAAACTATAATTGTGTGGCATTTTCAATAACTTATTTTACCTGCATTTAAAAAATATCTCACTGTGTGAAATCATTGTCTATCATTAATGAAAAGTCTTATAAAATCTCTAAATAGTATGTAGTGTTAATAAAAACAAACTGCTAGCCTGCCAGATTAGCTCTTGGCATACAAATTCATTCAATCTACTACAAAATCACTGCTAATCTGGCAGGCTAGTAGTTTTAGCAAATAGCATTCAATTTTATGTGTACGTGGGAATCATAGGGAGTCTGAAAAAAAATGGATTTGAAAAATATATTGCTGCCTAGGCTCCATTTAAAATAATTAAAGCAGAATCTCTAGGCATAGGGACTAGGCATAGATATTTTTCGAAAGCTCCCCTGGTTTTTCTAATTTGCAAGAAAGGTTGAAAGTAATTAAAGGCTAACAAGCTAAAAATAATTGAAGTGGCAAAAGTGAAAGGATTCAATTCAAAGAAGTTCAAAATATAAAGAACAATTTAGAAGCAAATATATAACAAATTTAATAACAATCCAACTGAATTCTAGAAATACATAATTTAATTTTTCAAAAGGAAAATTAATGCTAAAACACATATTAAAGCCCCATTTCCAATTAAAGTTTTGACATATTTTCTTAGAGATATTGGATATAATCTACATAATGATTTTTGTTTCTCTTCAGACTTGTTGGGTAATAAAATTAAACATCCTATTAGGTCTTGGGCATTTTGTCATTTGATCTCTGAGATGATTTTGTTTCTAAATATGGGTAAATGCACTCAAGCAGAGCTTCAGAAGGCTGAAGTATATGTAACAGGGCCTCATCATCTAAGGACTAGTAATGATTAATAACAGGTGCGTTAGATTCCTAGGGCTACTCTGACAGATTACCACAAACTTGGTGGCTTAAAACAACAGAAATGTGTTCTCTCACTGTTCTGAAGGGCAGCTGTTAGCAGGGCCATTCTCCCCGCTAGAATCTCTAGGGGAGAATCCTTCCTTACCTTTTCCACTTTCTGGCAGCTCCTGGCATTCCTTGGTTTGTGGCTGCATCACTTCGATCTCTGTCTCTGTCTTAATATGGCTTTCTTTCCTGTACCTCTGGATGTCCTTTTCTGTCTTTTATAAGGACACTTTTATTGGATTTAGGGCCCACCCTAATCCAGTACGATCTCATCTCCATCCTTTCAATTACATCAGCAAATATCCTATTTACAAATAAGGTCACACACATTCTGAGGTTTTGGGTGGACATTAATTTTAGGGGGCACTATTCAACCCATTAAACCGGTAAACACCATGTATGATGAGTCTGTTAAATGTGAGGGGTAAATTTTTATGGTAAAGAATATGTATTTGTGTGGGAGAAGGGGACATTTATAGAGCATTTTCCTGAGAAGTGAAATGAAAAGTAATCCTATATGATATGGGCTATAATTGCAAATGTGCTAATTCACAGTGTTAGATAATAAGATATAACATCCTTTGCCTTATGTTTTAGTTCTTCAGAAAAATCACAAGGAAGCTCATATGTACAAAAGTACTCACTGGTGGACTTCATTTATTTTATATAAGTCCTCTTTTTAGAGTTTTATTTTAATAGTTTTTGGGGAACAGGTACTTTCTGATTACACCAAATGTGCAACCAAATGTGTGTGGATAAGTTTTTTGTTTTTTTTTTTACTTTAAGTTCCAGGATACATGTGCATAAACTGCAGGTTTGTTACATAGGTATACATGTGCTGTGGTGGTTTGCTGCACCTATCAACCCGTATCTAGGTTTTAAGCCCTGCGTGCATTAGGTATTTGTCCTAATGCTCTCCCTCCCCTTGTCCCCCACCCCGCAACAGGCCCTGGTGTGTGATGTTCCCGTCCCTGTGTCCATGTGTTCTCACTGTTCAGCTTCCACTTATGAGTGAGAGCATGTGGTGTTTGGTTTTCTCCTCCTGTGTTAGTTTGCTGAGAATTATGATTTCCAGCTTCATCCATGTCCCTGCAAAGGACATGAATTCATTCTTTTTTATGGCTGCATAGTATTCCGTGGTGTATTTGTTCCACATTTTCTTTATCTAGTCTATCATTGATGGGCATTTGGGTTTGTTTCAAGTCTTTGCTATTGTAAATAGTGCTGCAATAAACCTAAATAAACCTAATAAACCTAAATAGTGCTGCAATAAACCTAAATGTGCATGTGTCTCTTTGATTTCATTTTTAATAATTGGTAATCATGAAAAGTCCTGGAAATCCTGACTGAGTTCACTTGTAGCTGTCTAAGCAACATCAGCCCAGAAACTTGTACTTAAGAGTTAATTCTTTGAAGTGTCAATAGTTTAAAGTACCTGTTAGAGTCTTTCCATAAGCCTCTGAGACTCTTCTTTTTTGTCAAAGAAGACCTGTAGTGTTTTGTTGTTGTTGTTTCCTTTCCTCTTAAATAATCAGAGACACAATAAAGCCAAAATAAAGCACAGAAAAATAAAGCACAAAATAAGGCACAGAAAATTATTCTGGTAGAAGTCTAGCACATTTAAAATATTAAAAGTTCAATTTCCATATTTTCTCAGGATATTAGAAATATTTGATTTATCTCTATAAGCTAATCAAAACATTAGATAAATCAAAATATTTGATTTATCTCTATAAGCTAGTCAAAACAGAGATCCTTTAAGAGACCTTAAAATCTGATTTCTTTATACTCTCCAGAGATACAATCACTCAATGAGGAGTAAAATCCTGTGACCTAAGTTAAAGTCTCATGCCTTTCAACTTCACAATCACAAATCTAAAATCAATTATACATTTTTTATTAGAATCACGAAGCCAATGTTACATTCTCCAATGCACTAATTCATTTAAGCATCAATTTCAGAACTTTATTCATTATCTCCAAAGTATTAATACTGTGATTTCATTTACTTCATTATTTCTTTCATCTAAAACCATTTTGAGGTATAAAAGGCACTTCCCACTAAGAGAACAATTTTGTCATCTCAAACAGGTTGAGGTTACATCACCAATTCATGTTCATTCTATTGTGACTATTTTAGGCCAGACATTTGACAGTGAGACATGAAATCTGCTTTTGCAGATGTGCGTGTGTCTTCCTCAGCAACAGCTACATTATCCTGTATGAAAACAGGGCCCTTCGAGTCCACGCATTTTAGATTTCACAAACTATTATTCCTGGGCTAAAGTTATACCCTTATTCAATTCTTTTTTTTTTTATTTGAAAAGGGAGAAGTCAGCACACCTACCAAGGGCACAGGTAACTTCTTTTATATCTTGATGGGATTCTGCATTTCTTGAATGATCATACATGATTTTAATGTATTAAATTATTTTAATATGTTAAATGTATTTTAATATATTAAATGATGATACTTTGAGTGTGATTACCTCACATACTGGCTGAGATGACTCTGTAGTCATCCAATGATATCTCAACTTAGCATAATCTAACATCTTAGTGCTTACAAAAAACGAAAGCAAACACCAAAACCAAACCAAACCAACCCTACCAACTGACCGACTGACCGACTGACCAACCAACCAAACAACAACAACAACAACAACAAACTGATTACAACCATTTATTCTTAAATGAACACATCCTTTATGGGTCTCATCTCTCCAATCTGCTTTTCAGAATATCTATATAAGACTTGTTGAACCAGCTATGAAGAGAATATAATTTTACGTATTTCGTTACATAGAGAAGAATTTTATTGCTTCTACTTATTACTGAAATTACCAAGTGATTCTGCTGAAAATGATACCCATTCCAAACACAATTTTTAAATGAGAAAACTCAGAATAAAAACACATTATCTATAGCTGAAATCTGTACCTTCATCAGACATTCTTATTTTCCACATTCTCCACCCTAATCAGAAAAAACCCTGCTTCTCTGCATTGACCCATTTTATTTGTGTTTCTCTAACATAAAAAATCTATTCGAATTCCATTTCTATCTCCACTCATTTTCTCAGGAACATTTTCCTTGCCCAGAATTTCCTCTAGTTCCTCTTTAGATTTTCTAAACTCTAGCTATCCTTTCAGGCTAAGCTTGAGTCCTTGTATAAGACTTTTTGGATTATTCCATCCATCAGGAACCTCTCTGTCTCTCTCTCTGAAATCTTATGTCATGAACAATCTGTTTCAACAGAGTTATCAGTAGTTTAAGAATATTAATTTCCATTTCCCCAACAACAGTCAAATTTCTTTAGGTAAAGAACCTGGCATATCATTAGTACAAATTACCAGCAGGGCTTAGTATAGAGCTGAGGACATAAAAGGATATTAAAGGAGCCCCATTAGAATCAAAACTTCTTTGGGGCAGGGACTGCATCTTTTATCATTTTATTCCCCACTTCTAGTACCTGGCATTACACTCATTAAGCATTAGTTGAACGAAACAAATGGTTCTCAGTAAATACTTTGTAATCTAAAGATTGTTCTAGCCAGTTCTTAAGTAAAAATATAAAGTGATGTTGAAGTAGTTTGTTTTTCATATTGCAAGTGGATAGGACTGGAAAAACAGTTATCTTAATTACTAGTGATTACCAGGAATTAATGTTACTGCAAGCTGTTGAACAAGCATGAAATTACTGTGCATTTGCCAGCTAGTGTTTTTACTCCAATACCTTTCTATAGAAATACACCTGGCTTGCTATGGCAACAAAATATTTTGTTTATTTTACCTACACCCCATAATTTTATTCTGGTCATAATCTGATACACCTAATTTATTCAAACTTGAAATTCTGTGTTCAGTAAAGCTAAACTTGAACCAGGCTTTAAAGTAATCTTCCTGCCTTCTAGGTCACCACTCTCTAAGAATTTATCTTGGGATTTAAAATTTTATATATGTAACATTCACTTTTTCGCATGTTTTCTTCCTTCGTAGTAAGTAGCAAAACTCAATCACCCTCTCAGGCAAGTCTTCGGTGTAATACAAAATGCTTTCTTACAGATGTTGAGTATGCGAGCTATATATAGATAGGCAGTCATAGGTTCATAATATATGTTTGGCTAGCAGGTATTAAGTGTGACTAATCACACATGCATAAATCTTAAAATACCTACTGAAAAAAATTACCAATAACATCAATGACATTTAGGTATTAGTACGCATTTACTGAAAAATAGGAATAATTCTCTGTATCAGTTATCTATTGTTGTATAACAAATTACCTCAAACTTAGCAGTTTAAAACAATACCTGTTTATCTCACAATTTCTTGGGACAAGAATCTGGGCAGGGCTTAGGTGGCTTCTTTTGTTAGGCTCTCAGAGAGCTGTAATCCAATAGTCTCTTTTTTAAATCAAAGGTTCAAGCGCATAATTACATTTTTAATTTTAATTTTAATTTTTTATTTTTTAGGGTCTTACTATGTTTCCCAGGCTGGACTCTAACTCCTGGGCTCAAGTGGTCCTCCCACCTCAGCCTCCTGAGTAGCTGGGACTGTAGATGCATGCCGCCATGACCTGCCAAAATCATATTTTTGAAGGTCAGTACTGAACATTAACTCAGTCTTTCTCTTTCCATTCTTTCTGCAATAAATTCTTATCTACCCCAGGAAATCAGATGGCTAGCTAGAGTAAATATTGTGAGCTCTGGAAAACATTTAAAATATGCCATGATTGCAACCCATTCAGTTAGCTATTATAGTAATATTATTATTATCTTGTTCATTTGTGTATTCCCGGTGCTGGGAATATGGCACATAGTAGGCTCTGTTAATAAATGTAAGGTGAATAAATAGATGAGTGTATTTAAGAGTGAATGAACAGGTGAGATAGTGAAAGTCTTCTCAGGAAGCTTGTTTTGTAGCATTACAACTCTGCACACCTCTTCCTGTCTTTTACTCTCCAAGCTCCTATTTGCTCAGATCCCTGAGAAATCTGTATTATTTCCCAGGTTTTCTTTTAGCTTGTATTCACTGTCTATTACCTTCTGAAAGCTTTATACCTCTTTTAGTTAAGCTATGATCCTCAAAGTACATCTCAGCTTTTACTGAATTTAAAACTTTTTTTTGATGAAACTGAGTCTTATTTCTTACTAGAAAATTAGAATTTAATCTGATATATGAGTCTTTAAAAACTACTTGGTCTTTTGTAAAGAAAGTAGAGATTATCTGTTCAAACCTATCATTTTTGTTTCATGGTATTAACTGAGTTAGAATGAGGAAAATAAATAATAATAACTTCAATTTAAATAATAGCTAACACTTATGAAATATTTATTTTGGGCTCGATGCTGTGTTAAACTCCCTTTACTCACATAACCGTATTTAAGTTTCATAACAACCCGGGGATACATACCAGAATTTCTCTCATTTATTGGTGAGAAAATTGAGCTTCAGGCTACAGGTTAAGTGACAATCACTTGCTGAAGACCTACAGCTGGAGATTACTGAAGCTGGCGTGAACTGTCTTGAGAGATTCCAGAGTCTGTATTCTTTATATTCTGATGTACTTCCCTAGAACCATAATCATCACATTTTTGTAAGAAAATCTTGAAAATAACTCAAAAAGAATTTAAATAAAATTTAAATGAAATGCTGAACACAGAAAACTTTAAAACAACATGGTTTAATTTAAACAAATAAATATGTAAATATAAGCATGTGAGTTAAGATTTCCATGGAATAACATTAAGAAAAAAACTGTCGTTGAGGGGAACAATGGAATGCTTCAGAATTATTTAACACAAAAAAGCAGAGGTTATTTTATATCATACTAACAGAGCCAAGTATGGTAAAGAAAACATCTGGTGACTGAGAGGTACACAGCCAACAAAGTCACCCAGAGAACTTGAATTAGAAAGTAGAACTGATTTCCAGAAATTATAAGTGGAGGCTAAAACAAGGTTATGGCACCACAAAAGTCTGGAAGAAACTTTTGAAATCACCAAGAGGCCAAGTTTCTTGTCCAAGACAACATAGCTCATTAGCAGGGGAGCCAGGAGGAAAAACAGAATAATACAACAACAGGACAACAGTCTGTTATGCTCTTTATTCTATATCTTATTTACTCAGAACTGGAAGTAGAAGCTTAGAAAGCATTTATGTATTTGTGTTCTCAAACCACACACATATTATACATGCAATTACAAGGACCAGAGTTGAATGTGAAGGGTAGACATTTGGGAATTTGGAAAACTATTTGCCAGACAAATAAGAATGTTCTTAAAATATGTTACTCAGGGCTGGGCGTGGTGGCTCATGCCTGTAATCCCAGCACTTTGGGAGGCTGAGGCAGGCAGATTGCCTGAGGTCAGGAGTTTGAGACCAGTCTGGCCAACACAGTGAAACCCTGCCTCTACTAAAAATACAAAAAAATTAGCCGAGTGTGGTGTGGTGTGCCTGAAATCCCAGCTACTTGGGAGGCTGAGGCAGGGGAATTGCTTAAACCAGGGAGATGCAGTGAGCTGAGATCATGCCACTGTACTCCAGCCTGGGCAACAGAGCAAGACTCTGTCTCAAAAAAAAAAAAAAAAAAAGGAAAAAAAAAGTTACTCAGACTTCTATCAGCTTGGAATTATATATTATTTTATAAGGTTATCCTATAAATATTTCAACTTGTTTTTCCTAGAATATCCCAAATAAAAAGGCAATAAAAACCAAAACCCAAACAAAACAATGTCTCTCTCTCTCTCACACACACACACATATACAGTCACCCACACACACACGCCCATCACATCCAATATCCACATTATTAGAGTTCTAAATTTCTAAATTATTACATTCAATGAAATGTAATAATTGACAAAATTTTATTTTATTTTATTATTATTATACTTCTAGGGCACATGTGCACAGCATGCGGGTTTGTTACTTATGTATACATGTGCCATGTTGGTGTGCTGCACCCATTAACTGGTCATTTACATTAGGTATATCTCCTAATGCTATCCCTCCCCCCTACCCCCACCCCATGACAGGCCCCAGTGTGTGATGTTCCCCTTCCTGCGTCCAAGTGTTCTCACATTGTTCAGTTCCCACCTATGAGTGAGAACATGTGGTGTTTGGTTTTTTGTCCTTGCGATAGTTTGCTGAGAATGATGGTTTCCAGCTTCATCCATGTCCCTACAAAGGACATGAACTCATCCTTTTTATGGCTGCATAGTATTCCATGGTATATATGTGCCACATTTTCTTAATCCAGTGTATCATTGATGGACATTTGGGTTGGTTCCAAGTCTTTTTTTTTTTTTCATTGTTATTTTTTCCAGACTTTTTTTTTTTTTATTATAGGTTCCAAGTCTTTGCTATTGTGAATAGTGCCGCAATAAACATATGTGTGCATGTGTCTTCATAGCAGCATGATTTATAATCCTTTGGGTATATACCCAGTAATGGGATTGCTGGGTCAAACGGTATTTCTAGTTCTAGATCCTTGAGGAATCGCCACACTGTCTTCCACAATGGTTGAACTAGTTTACAGTCCCACCAACAGTGTAAAAGTGTTCCTATTTCCCCACATCCTCTCCAGCACCTGTTGTTTCCTGACTTTTTAATGATTGCCATTCTAACTGGTGTGAGATGGTATCTCATTATGGTTTTGATTTGCATTTCTCTGATGGCCAGTGATAATAAGCATTTTTTCATGTGTCTGTTGGCTGCATAAATGTCTTCTTTTGAGAAGTGAATAATTGACAATATTTTAATACTCCCTGTTCATCCTCCACTTTTAGTCCTTCATTTCCCCAATCATCCTTTAAATCAATCTTTGTGCAAATCTCTAGATATTTCGTAATGACAAATTTCTAAAACCTAGTATATTAGGCATTGATTTAATCTATCTCTGTGGAAACTACCAGGAAACCAAGTAACACTGAAATTGGCCAAAATTAATCTTAATTTCTCAATTATATTTCTTCCCTAATTAGGTTCTGATTAAGCCTTCCTATATTAGGAGACAGTAATTCTCTTGGCTTTTATCTTAAAGAAGCCTGACCATAAAATTGACTCTAACACTTCATGCATTTAACAACTTTAATAAAGATCAAAGACTTAAACTCTGATAATAAAGATGTACGTGTGTGTGTGTGTGTGTGTGTGTGTGTGTGTGTATTGATGTTTGGTAGGGCAAGAAAGAGGAAGGAGGTGGAATAGATGGAAGCAGAGACAGATATGAGGTGAAGCTAATTGAGAGTAGAATAGGAAATATAATTAGTTTATCTTTCGTGCATAATATTTATGTGGCTTGTAGTCATTTCTGCATGGTTATTATCAGCTATTAGCTATCCTAGTGTAGCAACGGGTTCTAGGAATATGTCTGTCACCTGCTGTGTCAGTTAACCCATTGTTATGATATGAAGGTATACAGGACCAGAGGTTATTTTGGCATATAAATTGTCTCATGGGACCAGGAATAGAAGTAAGTGATTAGTGGATGAGAAGCAAGGATTAAAATGTCTGGAATCAGAAGCTAGTCTGTGGGAAAATTTCCCAAATCTTTCCTTTACAATGAAAGAAACTTGATGATAGAGATTTTAAAAATTTGACAAAAATTGTAAAAACGTACAAGGCATTTCTTATAATGAATTGTAGAGATAAAAGACACTTTCCCAAACTAACAATAGTTAAAAAACCAAATTCCTTTTAATCGTGCTAGAGGAAATAATAATTATTTTTTATTCCATCTATAGAAAATATTATAAAATTTTTGCCCTATGAAAAGATGATCAAAGAGAATGCAGCCAAAAAATACAGAAAAACATAAATGAATGCTAGGCAGTTAATAAACATATTATTATTCTGGTCTTTGTCAACGTTTTAAGACTTATGACTTGTGATTTTTCTCATTCAAAATAATATCCATCAATAAGACTTGTTTTTAATATACGTTTTTGGATTCTTTTTCTAGAAGTGAGCACCTCAAATTGTATAAGCTTCAGGCCTCTGCAAAACCTTGTTATACCTTTGGATAGAAGTTCATACTATTTAGAATAGTCACATGCTCAACTTTGTCAAATATCATTATAAGAGAGTCCTACAGTTGCACAAGTCCTTACCTCCATCGCTCCATTGTAGAGGAATTGTGTCTCATTCCCTTCAGAGTGGTCTCTACATCACCACTGCATCCATTCTCTCAAGCCTCTCCAGATTCTTAGTCTGTTGTTGATATCAGTGCGTGCAATTTATAATGTCTATTTAGAACTTACAGAATAAACAACCTTTCAGGTTTAAATTAGATCAGTTTTTTTTTTTTTTTTTTTTTTTTTCAGAAGCAATTATTTTATTTTCCTTTTTTTTTTTTTTTTAATGTTTTTTTTTTTTATTATACTTTAAGTTTTAGGGTACATGTGCACATAGTGCAGGTTAGTTACATATGTATACATGTGCCATGCTGGTGCGCTGCACCCACTAACGTGTCATCTAGCATTAGGTATATCTCCCAATGCTATCCCTCCCCCCTCCCCCGACCCCACCACAGTCCCCAGAGTGTGATATTCACCTTCCTGTGTCCATGTGATCTCATTGTTCAATTCCCACCTATGCGTGAGAATATGCGGTGTTTGGTTTTTTGTTCTTGCGATAGTTTACTGAGAATGATGGTTTCCAATTTCATCCATGTCCCTACAAAGGACATGAACTCATCATTTTTTATGGCTGCATAGTATTCCATGGTGTATATGTGCTACATTTTCTTAATCCAGTCTATCATTGTTGGACATTTGGGTTGGTTCCAAGTCTTTGCTATTGTGAATAATGCCGCAATAAACATACGTGTGCATGTGTCTTTATAGCAGCATGATTTATAGTCCTTTGGGTATATACCCAGTAATGGGATGGCTGGGTCAAATGGTATTTCTAGTTCTAGATCCCTGAGGAATCGCCACACTGACTTCCACAATGGTTGAACTAGTTGACAGTCCCACCAACAGTGTAAAAGTGTTCCTATTTCTCCACATCCTCTCCAGCACCTGTTGTTTCCTGACTTTTTAATGATTGCCATTCTAACTGGTGTGAGATGATATCTCATAGTGGTTTTGATTTGCATTTCTCTGATGGCCAGTGATGATGAGCATTTTTTCATGTGTTTTTTGGCTGCATAAATGTCTTCTTTTGAGAAGTGTCTGTTCATGTCCTTCGCCCACTTTTTGATGGGGTTGTTTGTTTTTTTCTTGTAAATTTGTTTGAGTTCATTGTAGATTCTGGATATTAGCCCTTTGTCAGATGAGTAGGTTGCGAAAATTTTCTCCCATGTTGTAGGTTGCCTGTTCACTCTGATGGTAGTTTCTTTTGCTGTGCAGAAGCTCTTTAGTTTAATTAGATCCCATTTGTCAATTTTGGCTTTTGTTGCCATTGCTTTTGGTGTTTTGGACATGAAGTCCTTGCCCACGCCTATGTCCTGAATGGTAATGCCTAGGTTTTCTTCTAGGGTTTTTATGGTTTTAGGTCTAACGTTTAAATCTTTAATCCATCTTGAATTGATTTTTGTATAAGGTGTAAGGAAGGGATCCAGTTTCAGCTTTCTACATATGGCTAGCCAGTTTTCCCAGCACCATTTATTAAATAGGGAATCCTTTCCCCATTGCTTGTTTTTCTCAGGTTTGTCAAAGATCAGATAGTTGTAGATATGCGGCATTATTTCTGAGGGCTCTGTTCGTTCCATTGATCTATATCTCTGTTTTGGTACCAGTACCATGCTGTTTTGGTTACTGTAGCCTTGTAGTATAGTTTGAAGTCAGGTAGTGTGATGCCTCCAGCTTTGTTCTTTTGGCTTAGGATTGACTTGGCGATGCGGGCTCTTTTTTGGTTCCATATGAACTTTAAAGTAGTTTTTTCGAATTCTGTGAAGAAAGTCATTGGTAGCTTGATGGGGATGGCATTGAATCTGTAAATTACCTTGGGCAGTATGGCCATTTTCACGATATTGATTCTTCCTACCCATGAGCATGGAATGTTCTTCCATTTGTTTGTGTCCTCTTTTATTTCCTTGAGCAGTGGTTTGTAGTTCTCCTTGAAGAGGTCCTTCACATCCCTTGTAAGTTGGATTCCTAGGTATTTTATTCTCTTTGAAGCAATTGTGAATGGGAGTTCACTCATGATTTGGCTCTCTGTTTGTGTGTTGTTGGTGTATAAGAATGCTTGTGATTTTTGTACATTGATTTTGTATCCTGAGACTTTGCTGAAGTTGCTTATCAGCTTAAGAAGATTTTGGGCTGAGACAATGGGGTTTTCTAGATAAACAATCATGTCGTCTGCAAACAGGGACAATTTGACTTCCTCTTTTCCTAACTGAATACCCTTTATTTCCTTCTCCTGCCTGATTGCCCTGGCCAGAACTTCCAACACTATGTTGAATAGGAGCGGTGAGAGAGGGCATCCCTGTCTTGTGCCAGTTTTCAAAGGGAATGCTTCCAGTTTTTGCCCATTCAGTATGATATTGGCTGTGGGTTTGTCATAGATAGCTCTTATTATTTTGAAATACGTCCCATCAATACCTAAATTATTGAGAGTTTTTAGCATGAAGGGTTTTTGAATTTTGTCAAAGGCTTTTTCTGCATCTATGGAGATAATCATGTGGTTTTTGTCTTTGGCTCTGTTTATATGCTGGATTACATTTATTGATTTGCGTATATTGAACCAGCCTTGCATCCCAGGGATGAAGCCCACTTGATCATGGTGGATAAGCTTTTTGATGTGCTGCTGGATTCGGTTTGCCAGTATTTTATTGAGGATTTTTGCATCAATGTTCATCAAGGATATTGGTCTAAAATTCTCTTTTTTGGTTGTGTCTCTGCCCGGCTTTGGTATCAGAATGATGCTGGCCTCATAAAATGAGTTAGGGAGGATTCCCTCTTTTTCTATTGATTGGAATAGTTTCAGAAGGAATGGTACCAGTTCCTCCTTGTACCTCTGGTAGAATTCGGCTGTGAATCCATCTGGTCCTGGACTCTTTTTGGTTGGTAAACTATTGATTATTGCCACAATTTCAGAGCCTGTTATTGGTCTATTCAGAGATTCAACTTCTTCCTGGTTTAGGCTTGGGAGAGTGTATGTGTCGAGGAATGTATCCATTTCTTCTAGATTTTCTAGTTTATTTGCATAGAGATGTTTGTAGTATTCTCTGATGGTAGTTTGTATTTCTGTGGGATTGGTGGTGATATCCCCTTTATCATTTTTTATTGTGTCTATTTGATTCTTCTCTCTTTTTTTCTTTATTAGTCTTTCTAGCGGTCTATCAATTTTGTTGATCCTTTCAAAAAACCAGCTCCTGGATTCATTGATTTTTTGAAGGGTTTTTTGTGTCTCTATTTCCTTCAGTTCTGCTCTGATTTTAGTTATTTCTTGCCTTCTGCTAGCTTTTGAATGTGTTTGCTCTTGCTTTTCTAGTTCTTTTAATTGAGATGTTAGGGTGTCAATTTTGGATCTTTCCTGCTTTCTCTTGTAGGCATTTAGTGCTATAAATTTCCCTCTACACACTGCTTTGAATGCGTCCCAGAGATTCTGGTATGTGGTGTCTTTGTTCTCGTTGGTTTCAAAGAACATCTTTATTTCTGCCTTCATTTCGTTATGTACCCAGTAGTCATTCAGGAGCAGGTTGTTCAGTTTCCATGTAGTTGAGCGGCTTTGAGTGAGATTCTTAATCCTGAGTTCTAGTTTGATTGCACTGTGGTCTGAGAGATAGTTTGTTATAATTTTTGTTCTTCTACATTTGCTGAGGAGAGTTTTACTTCCAACTATGTGGTCAATTTTGGAATAGGTGTGGTGTGGTGCTGAAAAAAATGTATATTCTGTTGATTTGGGGTGGAGAGTTCTGTAGATGTCTATTAGGTCCGCTTGGTGCAGAGCTGAGTTCAATTCCTGGATATCCTTGTTGACTTTCTGTCTCGTTGATCTGTCTAATGTTGACAGTGGGGTGTTAAAGTCTCCCATTATTAATGTGTGGGAGTCTAAGTCTCTTTGTAGGTCACTCAGGACTTGCTTTATGAATCTGGGTGCTCCTGTATTGGGTGCATAAATATTTAGGATAGTTAGCTCCTCTTGTTGAATTGATCCCTTTACCATTATGTAATGGCCTTCTTTGTCTCTTTTGATCTTTGTTGGTTTAAAGTCTGTTTTATCAGAGACTAGGATTGCAACCCCTGCCTTTTTTTGTTTTCCATTTGCTTGGTAGATCTTCCTCCATCCTTTTATTTTGAGCCTATATGTGTCTCTGCACGTGAGATGGGTTTCCTGAATACAGCACACTGATGGGTCTTGACTCTTTACCCAACTTGCCAGTCTGTGTCTTTTAATTGCAGAATTTAGTCCATTTATATTTAAAGTTAATATTCTTATGTGTGAATTTGATCCTGTCATTATGATGTTAGCTGGTGATTTTGCTCATTAGTTGATGCAGTTTCTTCCTAGTCTCAATGGTCTTTACATTTTGGCATGATTTTGCAGCGACTGGTACCGGTTGTCCCTTTCCATGTTTAGCGCTTCCTTCAGGAGCTCTTTTAGGGCAGGCCTGGTGGTGACAAAATCTCTCAGCATTTGCTTGTCTATAAAGTATTTTATTTCTCCTTCACTTATGAAGCTTAGTTTGGCTGGATATGAAATTCTGGGTTGAAAATTCTTTTCTTTAAGAATGTTGAATATTGGCCCCCACTCTCTTCTGGCTTGTAGGGTTTCTGCCGAGAGATCCGCTGTTAGTCTGATGGGCTTTCCTTTGAGGGTAACCCGACCTTTATCTCTGGCTGCCCTTAACATTTTTTCCTTCATTTCAACTTTGGTGAATCTGACAATTATGTGTCTTGGAGTTGCTCTTCTCGAGGAGTATCTTTGTGGCGTTCTCTGTATTTCCTGAATCTGAACGTTGGCCTGCCTTGCTAGATTGGGGAAGTTCTCCTGGATAATATCCTGCAGAGTGTTTTCCAACTTGGTTCCATTCTCCACATCACTTTCAGGTACACCAATCAGATGTAGATTTGGTCTTTTCACATAGTCCCATATTTCTTGGAGGCTTTGCTCATTTCTTTTTATTATTTTTTCTCTAAACTTCCCTTCTCGCTTCATTTCATTCATTTCATCTTCCATTGCTGATACCCTTTCTTCCAGTTGATCGCATCGGCTCCTGAGGCTTCTGCATTCTTCACGTAGTTCTCGAGCCTTGGTTTTCAGCTCCATCAGCTCCTTTAAGCACTTCTCTGTATTGGTTATTCTAGTTATACATTCTTCTAAATTTTTTTCAAAGTTTTCAACTTCTTTGCCTTTGGTTTGAATGTCCTCCCGTAGCTCAGAGTAATTTGATCGTCTGAAGCCTTCTTCTCTCAGCTCGTCAAAATCATTCTCCATCCAGCTTTGTTCTGTTGCTGGTGAGGAACTGCGTTCCTTTGGAGGAGGAGAGGTGCTCTGCGTTTTAGAGTTTCCAGTTTTTCTGTTCTGTTTTTTCCCCATCTTTGTGGTTTTATCTACTTTTGGTCTTTGATGATGGTGATGTACAGATAGGTTTTCGGCGTAGATGTCCTTTCTGTTTGTTAGTTTTCCTTCTAACAGACAGGACCCTCAGCTGCAGGTCTGTTGGAATACCCTGCCGTGTGAGGTGTCAGTGTGCCCCTGCTGGGGGGTGCCTCCCAGTTAGGCTGCTCGGGGGTCAGGGGTCAGGGACCCACTTGAGGAGGCAGTCTGCCCGTTCTCAGATCTCCAGCTGCGTGCTGGGAGAACCACTGCTCTCTTCAAAGCTGTCAGACAGGGACACTTAAGTCTGCAGAGGTTACTGCTGTCTTTTTGTTTGTCTGTGCCCTGCCCCCAGAGGTGGAGCCTACAGAGGCAGGCAGGCCTCCTTGAGCTGTGGTGGGCTCCACCCAGTTCGAGCTTCCCGGCTGCTTTGTTTACCTAAGCAAGCCTGGGCAATGGCGGGCGCCCCTCCCCCAGTCTCGTTGCCGCCTTGCAGTTTGATCTCAGACTGCTGTCCTAGCAATCAGCGAGATTCCGTGGGCGTAGGACCCTCTGAGCCAGGTGTGGGATATAGTCTCGTGGTGCGCCGTTTTTTAAGCCGGTCTGAAAAGCGCAATATTCGGGTGGGAGTGACCCGATTTTCCAGGTGCGTCCGTCACCCCTTTCTTTGACTCGGAAAGGGAACTCCCTGACCCCTTGCGCTTCCCAGGTGAGGCAATGCCTCGCCCTGCTTCGGCTCGCGCACGGTGCGTGCACACACTGGCCTGAGCCCACTGTCTGGCACTCCCTAGTGAGATGAACCCGGTACCTCAGATGGAAATGCAGAAATCACCCGTCTTCTGCGTCGCTCACGCTGGGAGCTGTAGACCGGAGCTGTTCCTATTCGGCCATCTTGGCTCCTCCCTCTAAATTAGATCAGTTTTGAGGGATGTACTTAATGTCACTAAGCCATGTTGGCAGTATGAAGTGGGGATTTGTTTATTTGTTCATTCACTAAATAATTAACATGTATGCATTGGTTTTCTATTGCTGTGTAATAAACTATCCCTAAATTTGGCTTAACATAAAAACAATCATTTATTTTGCTCATGAATCTATATTTTGGAAGGGCTCAATGGGGATAGTTCATCTTTGCTCCACATAATTTTAGCTGGGGTGGCTTCACTGGGAGCTGGAGAATCCACCTTAAAGATAATTCACCCACATGGCTGGCAAGTTGGTGTTGGCTGGGAGTTCAGTCAAGGCTCTGGGCCAGGTACTTTGGTACCTTTCCACACAGGCTGCGACATTGACTGCTTGGGCTTCCACACAGCATGTGAATAGATTTCAAGAGCCGGGATCCCAACAGAACAATGCAAAAGTGGACGACATGTTTATGACCTAGCTTCAGAAGTCACATGACATCACTTCCTTTGTAGTGGTTGAGACAGTGATAAACATTCACTCAAGTTCAAGGGGAGAAGTCCCTCCTACTTGATGGAATGAGTGCCAAGGTCACATTTGAAGAAGAACATGTGGGATGCTATATTAGTTTCCTAGGACTGTTGCAACAAAGTACCACACAATGGGTAACTTAAAACAACAGAAAGTTTTATTCTCACGGTTCTAGAGGCTGGAAGTCTGAAATCAAGGTGTTGCAGGGCCATATCCTTTCAATAGCTCAAGAAAGAAACTGTTCGACACCTTTCTCTTAGCTTCTGCTGTTGACAGCGATCTTTGGCTTGTAGCTGCATAACTTCAATCTCTGCTTCCATTGTCACATGACATCCTCTTGCTGTCTGTCTCTTTCTGCTTTTCTTCTGAGGACACCAGTCACATTGCATTAAAGGCTCATCCTACTCTCTAGTATGGCCTCATCTGAACTAATTACATTTGTAATGACCTTATTTCCAAGTTTGGTTACATTCTGAGGTACTGGGAGTTAGGAATTCATTATGTCTTTTGCTGGGTCACAATTCAACTCCTAACATATGGGAAATGTTACGTCTTATTTGGGAAATACAACCAGCCACATTGTACTAAGTAGCAGTCACTATGTTATATGTAAGTAATTAATTAGTGACCTTTAGAATGTAGGCTCTATGAAAACAAAAGTTTTTGTGTAGTCTGTAGAACGCTGCTAATATAGTATAGGCACACTCTTGAAAACAAGTCATTATACAAAAAGATTCCTGCACATGCACGTTTGTAGCAGCACAATTTGCAATTGCAAAAATAAGGAACCAGTCCAAATGCCCACCAATCAATGAGTAAAGAAACCGATATATATATAATATATATATACACACACATATATATATGTATATACACACACACACATACACACATAATATATAAATATAATGGAATACAACTCAGCCATAAAAAGGAATGAATTAATGGCATTCACAGCAACTTGGATGGAACTGGAAACTATTATTCTAAGTGAAGTAACTCAAGAATGAAAAACCAAACACCTTATGTTCTCACTCATAAGTGGGAGCTAAGCTATGAGGATGCAAAGGCATAAGAATGACACAATGGACTTCGGTGACTTGAGGGGAAAGGGTGGGAAGTGAGTAAGTGATAAAGTGCTACAAATTGCATTCAGTGTATACTGCTTGGATGATGGGTGCACCAAAACCTCACAAATGACCACTGATCATGTAACCAAATGCCACCTAGTCCCCCCAAACCTATGGAAAAAAATATATATGCACTCTTTCTACATAAATAGATAAAAGGATAAAAACAGATAAAGACTCTGAGTTAGAGTTTACAGTTTTGACTAAAACAAACTTCAATCAAATTATCACACAATAATACAAGTACAAACTAAATACATGCTATGCATTCATATTTAGCAAACAGTTACTAAGCACAAATTGCCTGCTAAGCATTGCTCTAAGTAGTGGGCATAGAGGAGTGAATTAAATGGTTTTAATCCTTGTGCAATATCAGAGAACAGATAAACCAATATATAGATACTAAGTTAGACTTTCATAAGTATTATAGAGAAAAATCAAGAAAGAGAAAGGAGACAGGGAGTGACACTGCTGGTGATATTTTACATGGAATGCTCCTTAAGTCAGTATCACCAAGAAGTTAACATTTCTGCAGAGATCTGAAAGAAATAAAAGAATGGGTCATACACATATCAGGCAATGTGCTCCAGGAAGAGGGAAGGTCAAGAGCAAAGGCCTTGATAAGAAAAAGGGTTTGGCATGTTTGAGAACTGCAAGGAAGCTCGAGTGGAACACGCAAAGGGGAAGAGGGCAGGAATTGAGGTCCGGGCCTTCTAAGCAAGTGTTAAGACTTTGATTTTTGCTCTGAGTGAAATGACACCCATGGAGGGTTGTGAGGAGAGGGACTGGTATGATTGGACATATGCAGGATCTCAGCTCCCATGTGACTTCTGTTTTCGGCTCCTGTGTCATTCCCAAAATAAAAGGTTTACATGATTATGAGAATATGTAGCAGGGGGATGTAATCTAGTGTATATGTTGGGATTTGAAAGGACATCCTGGAGATGATAATTCTTGAATTTTATTTCAACTTGATTTTCAACAGATACAAAAGTTCCATTCTTTAGCTTTCTCATATTGCATGTCAAAGTATCTCCAGTATTTCAAATACCTATATGAAAAGAAAAAAAACATTTAGTGATGATTTTTTTCAAATGGCATTTTATTTAGGAATGATAAGGATAATCCACATCTGCACAGGGGAAACTGAAGCTCTCTGTATTATCCTGTCATGTAGAAAATATTCTCAGCATGAATGATAAGAGCTAAAATATGTCACTTGTTAAAGGGGAGAGAGTAAAAATTTAGTTTTATATGTTATGAACATGCCATGGTTATAAAGTCAATGCAACCGTTTTTAATAACACAATGATCTAAAATTACTTCTTTACCATATACTACCCCCAAATGAAGAAATGATTTTTAAAATTCCAAAGTGAAAGTTGTGAACCCAGAAAATCTGAGACAGTCTCAGTTAATTTAGAAAGTTTATTTTGCCAAGGTTGAAGGTGCACCTGTGTCACAGCCTCAGGAAGTCCTGATGACATGTGCCCAAGGTGGTCAGGGCACATCTTGGTTTTATACATTTAGGGAGATATGAGACATCAATCAATATATGTAAGAAGTACATTGGTTCAGTCTGGAAAGGCGGGACAAGTTGAAGCAAAGGCAGGAACACTGGAAGTGGGGAGGGAGCTTCCAGGTCACAGATAGGTGATACAGAAATGGTTACGTTATTTTGAGTTTCTGGTTAGCCCTTCCAAAGGAGGCAAATGAGATATGCCTCTATCTCAATGAGCAGAGGAGTGACTTTGAATAGAATGGGAGGCAGGTTTGCCCTAAGCAGTTTCCAGCTTGAGTTTTCTTTAGTGATTTTAGGGGCCCAAAATATTTTCCTTTCACATTTCTCCCCTTTTCTTTTTTAAAATCTTTTGGAGAAAGCATTTTACAAGAAAATGAGTCTCTGGCCTCAGGTTTCATCTGATCTCTCATGGCTAGGACAGTTTATTCCTAGATGGGTAGGTCCGAAAAGCTCATTTTTAGCAGGTCATGAAGTCTCAGTCCTGTGAAGAGAAAACAGGGGAGAGGAAGGGAGAAAAAACAACAACAAAATAACAACCCTGGAAAAATTGACACAGGCCTCATTACTCTGAAGTCCATACATTAGTAGGTAGGTATGAAAGTGGCTTATGTACATAAATAGGTGAACTTTAGGTTGTCTGACTTCAGTTCGCAGGGTTTTAAGAAAGCACCATTAGTTTTCAGTGACTCCAAAGTAGGAAAAATAAAAAAGAGAAGGAAAAAAATTGAAAACATTATTTTGAAGACTTGTAGCCAAGAAAAGTAAAAATTTGGTCCAGACTGTAGAAAATAATAAAAATTGGAAAAAAAAAATTAGTCACGACTGGAATCTAACAACAGGTTGTTCACCAAAAGACTCAAACTCTGTAAAATATTTGAAGAGATTTATTCTGAGCCAAATATGAGTGACTATGGCCACATGACACAGCCCTCAGGAGGTCCTGAGAACATGCACCCAAGGTGGACGGGGTACAGCTTGATTTTATGTGTTTTAGGGAGGCATGAGACATCCATCAAATACAATTAAGAAATATATTGTTTTGGTTCAGAAAGGTGGGACAGCTCAAAGGAGGGCTTCCAGGCTATGGGTAGATTTAAACATTTTCTGATTGACAATTGGTTGTTTATCTGAAGACCTGGGATCAATGGAAAGGAATGTTCAGGTTAAGATAAAGAATTGTGGAGACCAAGTTTTATTGTGCAGAGGCATCTCTCAGATGCAGACTTCAGAGAGAGAGCAGGTTGTAAAATGTTTCTTATGGGACTAAAAGAGTGCCTGGCTCTTAGCTGATTATCTCTTGAATCTGTAAAGAAAGGAAGAAAAACAAAGGAGAAGGGGGATTCCATAAGAGGAATCTCAGATAAGACTTTTTAAAGCCTAGCCCAGCCACAGATCTGTGCCATCAAATACCCATGAGTTGGGTGAAATTTCCTCTCCTCTTGAGGTTCCAAGATAAGCCTGGGGCTTCTGAGCTTGTGAGGAAGTGATATTCTTTATTTACCACAGGTCAGAAACCCTGTACAGGGACTGTGTACACAAAATATGAGGCCAGTTTTTCCAAGGGCTTTATTGGCTCCATAAGTCAAGTTTAATTCCTTAAAGGAAAGCACACCATTCCAGTCAAAGCGTTGGTAGAATAACCAGTTTCTCCAATTGTGTCCTGTTACAAATGAAAACACATTATTGCACTTATGCAAATAACTGTATTGTAAGTTAAGAACACTCACAAGTAGTTTCCAATTCTGGAGAAATCAGGTAGAGAGAAAAAAATATGCTCCAAATTTTGTTTATAGGAGTATACTAAATTGTTAAAAGCTGTCAATAGCTCAAAGAAAAGTTTTAAGACTCTGAAAAACAAATAAACAAAAAGGATCAGCAAACATATTAAGCAAAAAGTCAAAAAGATTGGTTCAGTCCATGCAGTTAATTCCTGTTCTGCCTGATACTCATGATCGTTTTAGCTCTCCATGAGTCCTGAAAGTTTTTCCTCTATTCTCATGTCGCAGCTTCCAAAGTTATTGGAAACCTGCATTCAAGAACACCTGTTGGAGATTTATAGCTGATTATAAAACCATCTTTTAAAGAGGACTGAAACAAGACAACAATTATCCATGGATGAAAATAAGTTTTAAGGCAGCCATAGTTAAAAGGCACAATTGACAAGGAAATTTGTTACATCTGTGCTACACAATAATTTTAACATAGCAATTATGATTATTACTGATAATGTACACGAAGTTATACCAGAATTACAGGAGTTTCCCATAACTTTGGAACACATACCAATAATATATTTATTTGGTACACATACCAATTTATTGGTATGTGTATTTGGAACACATACCAATAATGTATTTACACAAATACAGCCCAAAGAAACCCAAACACCATTTCATATTTGACAATGCTTCCTGTATAACTTTTTATACCAAATAAGCCAAATTTCATCATTTTTGGACTTTAGAGAACCTAATGTCTTAAAGGATAAATTAGGTTGGAGAAAGACATAATTCATAATTTGATTTTGCAAAGTCTGTCAAATATAAAAGGTTTAAGACCCTTGATATTACAAAATAGGATTACAAGTCATTGTAAAGTAATTTGTTTAACAAAATGATAATTCAAGGATTTCAAAAAAAGCAATAATCTTCATTATTTGAGAGAGGAGACTTAATTTTCTAAACAAGAAGCCCTAATAAAAACAGCATGAAACCAATTACATTTGTTTTTCAAAATTTTGTAAACAATCTATAAAATTAAATCTTGATTATAAAATATAACTTCCATAAGCCTTTTATAACCTTTATTAAGGAGTTGGTTAATGCTTCAAGAAAACCTTGTTAATCTGACTCAAGGGTCCATATACTGGTTTTGCATCAGTGTGCCTTTAACATTAATAATTAATTTATAGATAAACTGAACTTATTTTATCTTTCAAAATTGGCCCTTACAATCTTACACTCCCATTTCTTCTGCAATAGTTCCTGGGCCTTGAGGAGTTGAATAGCTTTAATTTCTTGCCCTGTGTCTCAGGAAAGCAGTTTATCTTGATTGGCATCTTCTATGGGGCCTGAAGATGAGGCTTTAATTGCTGTCGGTGTTTAAGATTTAGCAGAACTTGGTGTCCTTTTTGGACCCAGGAGTTAAAGCCCTGTAACTCAATGTACAAGGACTTCAAAAGCACATACGGGGAAATACATGGATGTAATAACCTTAATTTAAAATTTTCTTAGTTTTTTTTTCCTAACCAACTAAAACTTAACAATAATATGACAACCTGATTATATTAAAGTTTTTGGTTTTCTTTTTTAATATATATAAATCCTCTTATTGTGACTTACATGGACCATTCATGACTTTCTGGTTTGTCGTGAACATCCCTCCTTTTTAAATAACCAGCTATTTCATTTTAGGACTAAATTTACCATACAAGATTTTTTTCTTATATAAAATTATTTTTCTTTAAGCTTTTTTACCTCAAAAAAACTTCCTTAATTTTATAACTTCCTTTACATATTTTTTTATTTCCTGGTTCCTTTTGCCTTGTTTTATACATAACCTTTAAATAAGCTTTGAATTAGACAAAAATTTTCACCTTTTTTTTTAAAAAAAGATACACTTCAATGTTTTTCTTTTCATTCTTTCTTTTTTTTTTAGCAAGAATGTTTTCCTACAATATATATTTATTGGGAAATACCCAAATAATGAAATATCTATTATTTAATTTAACTTTACATTCTAAATTATGACCAGTTTGCCTACAAGTATTTATCCCATTACATTTACCTAATTATTTTATTTTAATTGTTTACCTAGATTATTTATGAAAGCTGTGATAGTCATGATTTAAAGTTCTGAAACCACCATTGCAAAATTATAGCTGAGACAGTGCATAAAAGAGTTGACCTAACTGACTCCATCTTGCTCATAACCTCCAAGCCATCCTTTTTCATTCCTGGGCATAGACTGAACTAATTTTGGGAGAAACTTAGTGTATAGTTTAGCTTTGAAAGAAAGGTGATAACAGTCCTTTCCCCAAACAAACCTCCTTATTGTCTGTGGACTAGACTGCCTAAAGCTGCAGGATTAGAAGTTATGGTAGTCTTACTAAATTCAAGATGCAGCTATTTTCATTAAACCCATATCAGTGTCTTATTTATTAAAAATTACTTGCACAAAAATCATTCTGATTTGGGATGGGTTTACAGTTTTGTAACCCCTATGGCAAATTTTGACACCTTGTAGTATTTGGCAGGGATAAGTATGAAATTGCTCAATTAACATTCAAACAAAAACGTATGCTGGGCAATTCTTAAGACATTTCTAATATTACTTTACCAATACTTTTTTTTTTTTTTTTGAGACAGAGTCTTGCTCTGTCACCCAGGCTGGAGTGCAGTGGTGTGATCTCAGCTCACTGCAAGCCACCTCCGGGTTACGCCATTCTCCTGCCTCAGCCTCCCGAGTAGCTGGGATTATAGGCGCCCACCACCACACCCAGCTAATTTTTTTGTATTTTTAGTAGACATGGGGTTTTACCATGTTAGCCGGGATGGTTAGCCTGACCTCGTGATCCACCCACCTTGGCCTCCCACAGTGCTGGGATTACAGGTGTGAGCCACCGTGCCCGGCCACTTTACCAATATTTTTAAAGCTAACTTGTTTATTAAAAATTTTACTTAATTTTATTAAAAATTTTATTGTAAAATTTACAAAATATAAACTTGAAAAAGCATTTGACTAGTCTTTTCTTTTTTAGTATCTAATTTAGGCGCTTTTAATTTTTTTAAGCCAGTTAATTAGAGCTCTTTTATGTGTTTTTAGTAGTAAAACATTCTGTACATAACACGTAAATACATATAAAAATGTATTAGGCTTGCTGTGGAAGTACATTTTATAGATTTATAAAGACCCTCCCCCCCTGTTTTTTTCTATCTTAGACTTTCAGATTCTTGATAATCTGTTTCACAACCCTAAGCAGTTGTCAGCTAAATAGCCTTAAATTTGCATATTAAAGGAAACAACTGAGGTGAAAATCAAATAGCAAAATTTACATCATAAGGTACAGAGCAAAAGTCTGGTGATGCTAGAGGGAGATGCTTTTAAAGTGCACTCAAAATTTTTTTAAAGTGAAGACATTTCTGAGTGTCTAAACTACATTCTTCCTTAAAAACCCAAGAGTAGCCTCTGTTGCAATACTATTTTAGTCAAAAAATCGGGTGAAAACAGAATTCAGTCAACTGAAGAGAAAAAAATAAAACTTTTGCTCAAAAAAAAAGGCAAGGTCTTAGGAGAGAAAAACAAACAAAAAAACCCCAAAACATGAAGGCCTTTTAAATACATGCACAAATGCATACATACATGCACACATCTTGGATGTTAGCCTTTTAATTAAGCTGACTTTTAACTATTGAGCTCCTTTAACAACAACAAAAAATCTTTTTAAATTTCATTACCATATTTCAGCTAAGACAAAATGCTGCTAAACTAACAATGATCACACAAATTATACAATTTCTGAGAGCTCTAAGTTTAAGCAGAAATTAACACCAGCTTGTTGTTAATGCTAACTTTAGTTATTTAAAAAGAATTTGGAAGACAGAATCCCAAACCAGTTTTTTACCTCGTGATGGGCCTCAGGCTGTAGATTGCTCTCTACCATCCTAGAGGTAGGAAAAAAACCTCATCTTCCTTCTTGTAAGCAAGCTCAAACTCCATAAAGGAGTTATCTGCCTTCCATTGTCATGGAAGCAGGAAAACTTGCCTTCCTGTTGGAAGCAAGTAAAACTCCAAAAAAAGGGAAGTTGTACAGCAAAATAAACTTTAAATCTAGCCCAAATTTTTGGAGCTCAGGGATTCTCTGGAGGGGGTGCTCTCAGACCTCAGCAAATTGTCCCATTGGTTTGAGCCATAAAGTTAGTTCATGTTGGTACCAAGCACTGATAGGAGATTTGTCAAAGGTCAGGGGTATCTCCACTCAGAATCCCTTCGTGATTACCAAAATGTGAACCCAGAAAATCTGAGACAAGTCTCAGTTAATTTAGAAAGTTTATTTTGCCAAGGTTGAGGACGTGCCTGTGATACAACCTCAGAAAGTCCTGACCACACGTGCCCAAGGTGGTCAGGACACAGCTTGGTTTTATACATTCAGGGAGACATTGTAGCACGACCAGCCACAGACAGAATTCCTCAGACACTGGGTTAAAGAAGGAAGGAGCTTTATTTGGCTGGGAGCTTTGGCAGACTTGTGTCTCAAAAGCCGAGCTCCCCATGTGAGCAATTCCTGTCCCTTTTAAGGGCTTACAACTCTAAGGGGGTTCGCGTGAGAGGGTCATGATCAATTGAGCAAGCAGCGGGTACATGACTGGGGGCTGCATGCACTGGTAATCAGAACGGAACAGAACAGAACAGGGATTTTCACAATGCTTTTCCATACAATGTCTGGAATCTATAGATAACATAACCGGTTAGGTCAGTGGTCGATCTTTAACAACCAGTCCCAGGGTGTGGTGCCGGGCTGTCTGCCTGTGGATTTCATTTCTGCCTTTTAGATTTTATTTCTTCTTTCTTTGGAGGCCGAAATTGGGCATAAGACAATATGAGGGGTGGTCTCCTCCCTTAACATGAGACATCAATCAATATATGTAAGAAGTACATTGGTTCAGTCTAGAAAGGCAGGACAACTTGAAGCAAAGGCAGGAACACTGGAAGTGGGGAGGGAGCTTCCAGGTCACAGGTAGGTGATACAGAAATGGTTACATTATTTTGAGTTTCTGGTTAGCCTTTCCAAAGGAGGCAAATAAGATATGCCTCTATCTCAATGAACAGAAGAGTGACTTTGAATAGAATGGGAGGCAAGTTTGCCCTAAGCAGTTTCCAGCTTGAGTTTTCCTTAGTGATTTTGGGGGTCCAAGATATTTTCCTTTCACAAAGTGTATCCAGGGGTATGGAAACATTACACAATGCTGGGATGTGCTGGGAAACATAACTCTAGGTCAGAGTTTGGCAAAGTTGGACCTGTGGGCCAAATCCTGCCCATTGTCTATTTTTATAAATAAAGTTTTATTGGAACAGAGCCACACCCATTTATTTAAAATTTTTTTTACAGCTGCTTTTTGCTACAGTGGCAGAATTGCATAGTGGTGACAAAACTGTATGATATTCAAAGTCAAAAATATTTATTATCTGGCCCTTTACAGAAAAAGTTTTTTGCCTCTGTTGAAGTGAGATTAAAGGGTAGGTGCTGAAACAATAGTCCCTAATGCTCTCCAAATCTTGGAAAGGTAAAGTGATTATTGCTAGTAAGGAGGAATTTGTGAAAATGACCTTTTTCACAATCAAAGTATTTATTGATGAATAAATGAACCTGGAGCCACTATGTATAACTGTTCTAAATGCATTTGGAAATTGCTCACAAAACTGTTTCTATACCTCTTTTTCATACTGGTCAGTGTCATCACCCAATTGCCTAAGCCAGAAATCTAGCTAATGTCCTAAATTCCTCTTGCTCCTTCCTTACTTTATCAGCAACTCATGTACCTCTCTCTGTTCTTACTGTCATCATCCTGGGCCAGGCCCCCTGGAATTCCAGACTTGCTTGGAATTCAACCAACATTTCCTAACAGCCTTTCCCACCTCCACACATTCTTCTATATTCAATTTCTATCCTACAGTGTGACCTTTTAAAAGGTCCCAATCCCCTATTTATATCCTTCAATGGCTTTTTATTGCCTTTAGAAAAAAAAATCCAAACTCTGGAGCATAATTTATAGAGAGTTCTTCACAAATGGCCTTTATTTGACTAACTTCTCTTTACGCTTCAGGTCCCAGTTTATCTATTAATTCCTCCAGGGATCCTTCTCTGGTGCTCAAGTCTGGGTTGTCACCCTCAAATGTTCTTCTAAGGTGCTTTACAGTTTCTTGTTTTAGAACAAAACACATTGCATTGTAATTGTTTGTTTAATTGTCTGTCTGAGCAGTCTAACACTGCCAGGGCAAGGACCATGTCTTCATTAACTGGGAACACACTGGGAGGGAAACAGATATAGTCCCTGTTGTAAAGACATTTGCAGCATGGTGAGAGAAATTGACATTTTCTAAGTAATTACTCAAATATAAGCAGAACAATCCTTTTTGGAGATTTTTAAACTGGGGTTCTCTATTCCTCTTTACTGAAATCATTCTTGTCATCTTAGTGTTCTTCTCCCATTCATTGATTTAGGAAGAAGGCAAAGACAGACTAGAATAATGAGATCACTGATAAGTTTTGAATTTAATAGTTCATAGTATGACAGTAATCTTGAAGGCCAAGCTTTCAGTTGCAAGAGGTAGTCACCCCAAGGAGAAAAGGGGTTCCTGAATTCCAAAAGCTTCCCTTTAACCCATTTCCCATTTAGCAATAAAAGGTGCAGCTCACTTCCAGGGCTCATTTAATTATACATAAACATGCTTTTTGAGGCCGAAGCAAATCTGACTGATTTTTAATGTGAAAATAAAATACGAAAACTGTTCATGGAGTTATTTCTAAACAGCACTTGTCTCTAATCCTAATGTAACAGAAAAGTATATGATGTTACATTAGGATTGGAGATAAGTACTCTCAGGGCAAATGGGAAATGGGTTAATAATCAATACTCAAAGCTTGGGGGACTAAGATAAAATTTTACTCTAACCTCTAGGGCAGGGAGGGTGAAGGAAAGTTATACAGGGAGAAGACAAAAGCCCTCCTTGGATCAGGTAGAGGATCCTGAAACATGAGGGAGAGAACAGCAAAAGAGTTTTCCATCCTTGCTTTCCTTTCCATAACTCAGGGAAGCCTCTTAGAGAAGCCCTGAGTTTGTCATGATGCTGGAGAAACATGATACCTTGGAGGTTGACAGCAATGGCTGAGGCAGGTGATCAGGTGAATGGGCTTGATACAGGGATAGAAGTCTAGAATTCCAGAGTCTTTTAGAGAGGGAAGATTGATGGAAAAAACATGCTGTAGGAACTGACAAAAGGTCTTGTTTATAATTGTATCTCAAGCATCAACTAGAGTTTACTGGCACATAGTAGCAATTAATACATATTTAGTGAATAAATTGAACGAATGAGGAATAGAAGAACAGGAAAGAAACTGAATTTTTATTTATTTAAAAGCAATTTATAAAGAAAATTGTCAGGTTGACCCCCAACATACAGTCTCTTAACTGAGGAATTGATAGTCATTCTTTAATTTCAGGAGAGCAACCTTATGATTGAGTGATCTGAAGGAACTAACAAAATCCTTATGTTCTTCTTATGTTCTTGGTTCATCTACATGGCTCCAGAATATGACAGATTACTTGATCTAAACTTTCTGCAACATATTTCATTTCTTATATTAATTTCTGGTACAACTGTTCCTGTCTAGTGCCTAGCACAGTGTGTGGTACGTAGTCAACACTCAACACATATTTGTTGAATGGATTGCTAAAGAATTCATTTAGGCTGGGCAGGGAGGCTAACGCCAGTAATCTCAACACTTTGGGAGGCCAAGAGAGGTGGATTTCTTGAGTACAGAAGTTCGAGACCAGCCTGGGCAACACGGCAAAACCCTGTCTGTATTAAAAGTACAAAAACTACCCAGGTGTGATGGCATGTGCCTGTAGTCCCAGTTACTCAGTGGGTTGAGGCAGGAAGATCACCTGAACCTTGAGAGGTTGAGGCTACAGTGAGCGGTGATCTTGCCACTTCACTCCAGCCTGGGAAACAGAATGAGACCGTGTGTCAAAAAAACAAAAAACAAAAACAAAAACAAAAAATCATCTAATCTCCAGATCTGAAAACTTTGGAGGAAGAAAAGATTCCCTTCTCTCTTAAGTCATATTTGTGCTAATTATCTGCTAAGCATCTGGTATAAAGTAGGTTCTCCAAAATATCTGTTGAAGAAATTAAATGAATAAAGAGGGAAAGAAGGGGAAGAAAATTTTGGCTCACCTTGCATACTTCTACCACAGAGATCTTTCCAAAGAACTTATGTCAAGCTTAAAATCTGTTCTCTCTTCATTGCCTTCAATATTATTTTAAAATTTGCTTTTGCCATGAAACCCTACTTTCACACTTTCAATCTCATGATCATATAAACATTGTTAGAGGATATATTTTAAAAATAATTAGCTTTTTTCCTTCTTTTATGCCTTTTAAGAAGAATGGATTCTTAGGAAGAACCTTTCTTTTGCTGAATAAGGTATGTGAGGCATGAGTTGTAAAAGCAAGTGAAGGTGGTAGTCTATACATAAGAGATAGAGAAATGTAGGCATCGGGGTATATGGTTGTAACCTACATGGCATCCTTAGGTGTAGATTATCTGCTGTCTACTGAAGGATGTTTGATCTGTTCTAATTCTTGCTTTCTACTATGGTCCACTGCTGACCTCTCTGCCGGGTAAACTTATGCATTCCTCTTTCTCAGCTTGGACAAGATGTGATTCAGATTTTCCCTTCCTGATAACTTGGCCTCTCTTTAGCTCTTGATAGTTCTGAGACACTTTTGAGTCTTTTTCACACCCTCCATTTGCCATTGGCCAAGAATGTTCACCCTGCAACAGCAGCAATAGCTTTGCCCCTGCTATGGCAGATCCCACAATTGGCCCATGGGTTCTCATCCCAGTATCTCTGTCACACAGGAATAGAGGGGCAGCCCTCTATCTCTGTGGCTGACCATACCTCTCCACTGTCTTCCTTATACTAGATGTGGCCACTTGTTTGTCAGAGGCCACTCTGCAGAATGATGTCCTCTAATACCTTCAGATAGGGAATGCTCTTCCCCACTTGTTACAACCTACTTATCCCACAAAACCTTGAAGCCAGGAGGTTGGGGCACAGATCTGATTGCTAATATTCCTGACTTCTATCCCTATTTCCCCCCCAAACCATGAGGTTGGAAAGAATGGGCTTTCTCTTTCTTTTCCTGCATGATGAAAATTTCTATTTTATATCCTTCACTTCCTTAAAAGACTTTTGCCTTTCCATTTTCTTAAAGCTATGATTTGAGTGGGCCTAAGGAAATAGAAAACCTGTTTACCAATAGGGAACACACATAAGAAGCTATTGAAAATATTTTTATCCTTGATGTGCTCTGAGAATTAGAGATTTAGATGAGAACTAGGTGTACTCAGGTTTCTGTGGGTTCAGTAGGTTAAGAAAATATGTAACACTTTCTCATAAAGTGGAAGACTAGAAATTAATATTTAACCCAGGCTCTAAGGAGAGAGGATTTCTTTAGTGATCAGAGTTATTCCTGGAAGTGGGGATATAGCAGTTTCATTCTGAGTTCTGGGAACACTTAACTCTTGTGTAGTAACTGAAGTTTATACCCTTGTACAATTGCACTTAACTATTCTTTTACTATAATGTCTCTGCCCAAAAGTCTGTCACCTTTAAATTTATATGATTTTAGAGCAGGGACCTTGTCTTTTTTTTTTTTTTTTTTTCATTTCCCATCATTGTATCTCCAGCATTCAGCAGCATAATACCTGGCATGCAGTAAGTGCTCAAAAGTTATATTTGTTGAATAAAAGACACCATTTAAACCTATGGTTAACAAGTAATATTTCACTTTGAAAGTGGCAATATTATAAAAGGCCACAAGATGGGCTCATTACTCTGTGAAAGTTTGTGAAATATTCCTGAATCATGACATTAACCGTTTTTAGGAAAAAAATGGGGGAGACTTCATATACGTTTCTGAACCTTAAGGAGGAATTAAAATACTTTTGGTGACAGATCCTAGCAACCTTTAGCCATTTCCTTATGCATTTAAAAATTGCATTAAAAGAAAAATCACAGTGTTATTTAATTATCATTTCCTCCTCCAGCTTTGAAAAACAACAAGGTTTTATCTTTATTGCTCTTACCATATTTTCCTTAGTAGGAAACTGAAATATGTGTCTTGCTATTTATGGGATAATAAATTATATTTCTTGTTCTTAGTCTTCAAAATGTTGTTTGTCACTTTTTTTTTTCATTCAAAAGAGTAAGCTTCACCAAAGTGAATAGCCCTTTTTCCTAAACCAATGTGTTTTGAAAACTGACCCTATATTAGGAGATTCTAAATTGTTATCTCATTTGATATTTATTAACCAAATGAGGAAACTGAGGCTCAGAGAGTGTAAGATTTGCCCAAGTCATCTATTATATAGCAAAGATGGTACTTAAGCTCAGTTTTGTTGACTATAGGTCTCAACAATTTCATTCCTTCAACCAAACATTTAATGAGTGCCCTGCTGGTGACTGTCACATGCCAGGGGTTTGAGACATGGAACTGAATAACGCATTGTTTCTTTCCTGGAGAGCCTCTAGGTCTGTGGTGAAACTCTTCAGCATTCCAGAGAATGTCAGATGGTATGTATGGTGCTCCTGTAAGGGATTACAGAGTGCAGGTAGGGGATGTGGGGAGGAAGGGGGAAAGGACTAACTAGTTAGTCTCCTGTCCTCTGTTTGTCTACTGGAACTGCAGTCCTAAGCCTTTCTCAGGTATTGTAACATTGTCTATTGAATGGGTCCCATGAACTTACCTTTGACATATTTTATTCATTAATATTTATTAAACATATACTGTGAACATATACTGTGTTCTAGCAGCTGGGTATATAGAGGTGAAGAAGGAGGAAAAGAGCTAAATTTTAGTGGGAAGACATAATAAACAAAAATAAAAGCAAAAGCAAAAGCAAAAGCAAAGAAGCAAGAGAATGTAAGCTGGTGATAAAACGAGATGAGATGATAAACAGTGACTGAGGAGCTACTCCAGATGGGATTGCCTCTTTCAGTAGGTGGCATTCCAGCTAAGCCAAGAATGGTAAGGAGGAGCCAGGTTGGCAAATTCTAGGGGAGGGCATTCCAAACAGAGAGAACAGTCGGTACAAAGGCCTGAGGGGGAAAGAGGTTATTGCTCTCTCAGTTTGGGAAGAAGGAGACAGAGCTGTGTGGCACTAAAAGATTCATCCAATATCATCAGCTTGTTATTTAAGCAGCTGACATTAGACATCTAATGTCCAGGCTTCCCCTGGAGATAAGCAGTCATTGGTGTGTGTCTTTATAACAGCTGCAGGAGTTGCTGCTCATTTTAAGTGACTGGCATGCACTATCAAGCAAAAGAAAGAACTGCTCTGGAATTGGCTGTTCTTTAGCTGAGGAAATTTAGGATTATGTCCTCTTAGGATGGCTCCAAGCCAAACAGGACATCCTGGCATCTGAAGTCATGATGCAACTGTAATGCTTTTCATGTATTCACCATGCTCATATTAACTATCTACTGCCAGACACTGAGTATAAAGTAGGAAACAAAGTCTCTGCCTTCAAGGAGTTTGTATCTGATGACATTAAGGCCAGTTGTTGCAGAATGGCTTATGTAATTTACACATGGTTTGCTTAGGTTCTCTTTAGTTTATCCATTATTTGACTACATTTAGAACTCTTGTATTTATTGGGCATTTGAACAAAGAGGGAAGTGACACCAATTTTCAGGATTTCAATTTTCCCACCACAATACCAGCTGAGTTCTTTTTATAGTGGGAATTCTTCTCTTGAAGATACATGCCATTTCAATTATTCTTGCCTATAAAGATCTTGAGCATTACCACTGGCATCATTGATATCTGCCAGACAGAATGTCTTATTTCTACAGTTCTGTTCTATAATGTAGATTCAGACTCACCCAGTGCTTTCTCACCCCTGCTTAGCTTCTGTCTCTCAGGTCAGGGTCATTTCTACATGGTTTCTGGCCCCATAGTTTGTTATATGAGAAGCAGAAACATATCACTCAATGGCCCAAATCTCCTAAAGCCAATTGAAATCTTTCCATAATTTAGGCTAGCTAGAAGAAAAAGTCAGGGGAGAAAAAACCAAACTACACTGTACACTAACCTTTTGATACAAGGGATGACATCACCTGTGTGAATATGGTATAATTTATGTCCTCACATCTTACTAATTCATTGGAAAATCCTCCCAATAGAACTTGCAACCCCCATAGAAGAGCTATTTTACAATTTTTTCTTGTCATTGGAAGCAAATATTAACAGACTCTGTGTATGGTCTATTGTTCTTAATCAAAGTTTTGTAAATAGTTTCCTATTGCCTTTTGTTAGTTGTCTGTTGCTGCAATAGCAAATTACCACACATGTAGTGTTATGAAGCAACACACGTTTATTATCTTAAAGCTCTGTAGGCCAGAAGTCTGACAACCAGTCTCACTGGGCTAAAGTTAAGGTATCAACAGGCTCAGTTACTTTCTGAAGGCTCTAGGGAGGAATCTGCTTCCTTGCCTTTCCTGCTTCTAGAGGTCATCTGTACCATCTGACTCCTGGTGTCCTTCTTCCATCTTCAAAGTCAGCAACTTTGCATCTCCATGACTTTTTAACCCTCACCAAGTCTCTCTTTAACCAAAGCCAGGAGAGGTTTTCCATTTTTAATTATTCATGTGATTAGATTGGGCTTACTTGGATAATACAGGCAGTCTTTTCCTCTCAGTGTCTGTAAGCTTAATCACATTTTAAAAGTCCCCTTTGCTTTGCCATGTAAGGCAACATATTCATGTGTTCTGAGGATGAGAATGTAGACATCTTTGGGGCCATTATTTTGCCCACCATACCTTTCTCTAAAAAAAAAAAAAAAATAATAAGATGCATTGAAAACTGGATGCACATAACTCTTACAAATCCCCTGTATAGAAATCCCCATTTCAAATGTTGATATATATGTATGTCTCTCTAAATAAAGGGAGAAAAAGGTATTCACTTTCTATCACAAATAAAGTGAGGAAAAGTTTTGATTAAGTCATTTTGACATTAAAACTCCCATCCCTTCCCCTCCCCTCCCCTCCCCTCCGTTCCACTCCCCTCCCCCTCCCCTCCCCTCCCTTTCTCTTCCTTTCCCTCCTGAATGTAGATGGAAGGAAAGTGAGAGGAATATCTGTGGTTTTGGCTACTCAGCTTCTCTTGTCTTCTTGTAACAAAAATGTCCTCTTAGCCTTTGGTGGGGGAAGTGTGGGTTCTATTTTTTAATTCATATTGTGATATTCTGGTAGAGTTTCCAATCATAGTACTCCTCTAGCTACTTGTCTCAGGGCTGTGCACATGATCCAGTTCTATCCAATTAGATTATCATGTTCCCCTGGACACTGTGATTGGCTCAGTAGCCAACCAGAATACTTCCCTGAGATTTGTTTCCTAAGTAGCTCTCTGGGGGAAATTTTCTCTTTCTTTCTTTACTGCAAAAAGCTGAAGGAGTATGATTTAGAGCTGCTGGTTCTATGTCTCTCACTACTTGGGGAAACTAAGACTGATGAGAGATGATCCTGGGGAGTTACTCCTTGAGGTCTTCAAAGCTTCTTTGCTTCCTCTTTGAGTCTATGATTATGGAAGTGTGTTACTAATTAATCTCCCTTTTGTTTAACCTTTTTTGTGTTGAGAGTTGTTTCTTGCAGGTAAAAAAGTCCCAATCAGTAGAGGTGGTTTTCCCTCTCCTAATGCCTATTTTCTTTGACTTTGCTACTTATCCTGTTAATTCATTGGGTTTCAAAGGCAAATCTAAAGTTGAGGATGTCTCTTATGGGAAAAAGATTAAGAAATAATCAGAGGAGATTCTGAAATGAGTCCAGATTATATTGCTTATGCTAATTCTTAGGTTACATTCTGGAAAACTTCACCCCCTATTTTATAATCCATTTTAGACTATGTAACTCAGCTAATTAGAGAGAATTATGTACAGATGCCAGTAATCCTATTAATACAATGCAGTAATATGAAAGCTTGAAATCCAAACACTTTCTGTTTCCATTCTGTTTCAATTATCAAGTTTCTACAGTGAAATTAAAATCCTTAAAATAAAATCTCCCCTCTCATTTCTTTTTATTTTGCTTCTGGAACTAATATATTCCCAAGAAGACCTTCAAAGGCAAATTATTCTGAACTCAGATCTCTCATGCATCCAATTTTCCAAAGTTCAGTAAGTTATAAAAGAACATTTTTATTGCAACCCCATATCTAGAACATTCTGACCCGAATATAGGAAGTGCCAATTTCCCTATATAATTTTGATTTTTCCCAAGAGTATAGTTCTGAGACTCAAAAATGGTTGTCCCTTGGTGTATGTTTTCAACATACAAGCAGAGGTCCAGCATGTACTTTTTAATGCATTGCAAAATACAATTCCAGAATGAATTGGTGGTTAGAAGAATGGCCCAACAACCATATGAAGTCAAGCTACTCACTTCACATTAAATCACAGAATGACCTCTAAGTGGAGGTGCTCAACTACATTTACTGAATAGAACATCTCTTCTATATTCTTTTGAAGTATGGAAATAATTCCTCATCTCTAACCTGGGGTGATCACCATCACAAAACAAATTTAGCTTAGTGCTCAAAATGATGTAGTCGTACTTCTACTAGCTACTGAATTGAGCGTTTGTCTCAGTTCCCTAGGACAAGAGACACATTTCATGCAGTGAATCAGAACCAGAACTACCTAATCCTCTTGGTAAATGGGAATAGTTCATCTCAGCACAGGTACTTTAATTAATTTATTTATGTAGTTGCTCACCATGTATTTGCTGAACGTAAGTTAGGTACTTGATATATAAGGTGGATAAAACAGACCTGATTTCTGCTCTCATTGAGCTCTTAGCCTAATTGGAAATGCAGACACCAAACAAATAACAAGTAAAAGTATAATTAAAAATTTTCTTGTGGCAGAATTCTGTGAGAGAGAATAATGGTAGGGGCACACTTTAAGTTGGGTAGCCAGGAAGACCGCTAGAAGAAGATGATATTTCATCTGAGATCTGAATTTGAAGGATGAAAAAGAACTAGTCAAGAGAGGACTATAAGGAAGAGGGTCCTAGGTGTGGAAGGAGCATCCAATGGAGAAGAAATAGCAATGTTAGAGGGTTATGGTTCAGCAAATAAATTGCAGTTCTTAAAGAACCTTATGTGCACTGTGATCTGGAGCTGGTGAGTGAGAGAGTACTAAGAGTATACAGAATGTACATTCTGTGTTTGAAGGAAGTGTAGGGAAGGCAGACAATTATATAATGCTTAGTTCATCTTAAATCAGGTTAAGAGTTCTAAATTTTATTCCAGGTATGTGAAGTTATTGAAATATTTTGAAAATAAGACAGTCATTATCTCATTTACATTTCAAAAGAATCACTTCTGCTCCTGTTTGGAGAATGGACTGGAGGGAAATCTTAGTCAAAGCAGGGAGACTTCTTAGGAGATGATTACAATATACTACACAGGAGATAAAGTGACTTGGACTAGAGTAAGGCCAATGAAGATGGGAACAATCAAATGTATTTGAGATATGTATTTGAAGAGAGCATCAACAGATTTTAATCATAAGTTGGATATGGGGAATGATGTCAAGAAATCTGCTTTGAGTGGCTGGATGGGTAGTGGCGGAATTTAGTGATCTGGAAAAGACTTTTGAAAGAAGAGATTTTGAAGCTAGGACAAGAGTTCAATTTTAGAAATGTTAAGCTTGAAAATGCTTGTGGTACGTCTCAGTGGAGACCTCAATTAGGCAGCTGTGTATACTAGTTCAGAAGTGAGTTTTGGGCTAGATATTTGAGATCAAAAGAACATAAATTCTGTTTTTTACCTTTTATCTTGAAATAATTTTGGACACACAAAAAATTGAAAAATAGTATAAAAATCCTGTATATATCCAGATTCCCCAAATGTAAACATCTTACATAATAACGGTATAATGATAAAACCAGGACATTACCATCAACACAGCCCTATCTAACCTACAAACTTTATTCAAATTTTACCAATTATTCTTTTTGTCATCTAGAATCTAAATTTAGGATGTTCTTATGTTCTTTTTGTCATCTAGAATCTAATGTAGGATCACACATTGCATTCAGTTGTAATGTCTCCTTAGTCTGCTTTGATTTGGAATAATTCCTTTGTCTTTCATCACCATGACATTTTTGAAGAGTATTGGCCAGAAATATTGCAAATGTCCCTCAGTTTGGGCTTGTCTAAATGAATCTAGATGCCTAAGTTCAAAGCATACATTTTTGATAAGCAAAATGTTTCAGAAGCAAAGAGAAGAGTGAACTGCTTGTGCTACTGAAAGAGTGGGAAGATGCGACGTTCAACTTCCATCACTTGCTTAAAAGAAAACTGCTTTCCTTGGATGTACTCCATTTCCTCCTCCTCTTCCCTGTGAGTTGGAATGCAGGCAAGGTGATGACCACTTGGAGCATAAAAATGAGGACAAAACTCTTGAGGTATGGAGCAATTAGAAGAAACCTGGATCTTGGGAAAACCTCATGGAACCAAGCTGTCTCATGAGCCTAGATCACTTGTCTATCTCTATGAGGGACAATAAGCTTTTGTCTTCTCACCGTATTTTAAGTCTTCTTTTTCATAGCACCATAGACTGCACCTTAACTAATATAATAAATAAAAGAGTAACCTTTGAGTACCATTACTAGCAGAGGAAGGCCTTCCTGCATCTTACCATTATTTCTGGCTACGAAGCTAGTGGGGAGGGGCAGAAGTGACAGGGTTAGGAATAAAGAGGAAACTCACCACATGCCACTTTTGTCTTTTATTTTTTTCTTTTCTTTTCTTTTTCTTTTTTTTTTTTAGATGAGGTCTCACTCTGTCACCCAGGTGGGAGTGCAATGGCATGATCATAGCTCACTGCAACCTCTAACTCCTGAGCTCAAGAGATTCTCTCACCTCAGTCTCCAGAGTAGCTGGGACTACAGACATGTGTACCCTATGCCTGGCTCCCATACCTCTCTTTTGCACAGCAGATTTCTCTTCTGAAGAACCTGAATGAGGATAACCTTTAACTTTTAATGAATTTCAGAGTTTTGACTATTACACGAGACCCACCATTTTAATTACTGAAATCAGATTAGTCTTGGGACTACAGAAATCAGAAGATGCTTATTATTTGAAATGGTGGAAAAGTTATCAGTCCTGTGGTAGAATTTCCTCAGAGGACAAGAAAGAACCAACCTAATAAAATTTCAACAGGCAACAGGGGGCAGGTACAATTACTTTGTTTGTACTTCATTCGGTTTCTTCCTTAAACATAATAGTTCCATACAAATTTGAAAACAAAAAGATTGAAAAATAATAAGCTAAGTATTCAACTAAATGTTAAAAATAACAATAATAGAGTAAACACAAACAGTATAAAAGAAAGAAAATAATAATGATAGGAACATAAATTAAGAAAATGGAAATCAAACAAACAATATAAAATTAAATAAACCAAAAGTGAATTATTGGAAATGATTACAAAATAGATTAACTTGGTCCAACATTGAACAAGATAAGCTAAGAGAAGTCATAAATAAACAATAGCAGTAATTAAATAGTAGGCATAATTACATGTGAAGTAAAAGTAAAATGGTGAAAAAAATAGGAGACTACTGTAAACAGATTTATGTTACTGGGTTAAAAAAGAGCTGGGACAAACACCTTTCTGGAAAAATGTAAATCACTAAAATTTATTAAAAATTAATTACAAAACCCAAAAGACTTATAAGCACTGAAAATTTGAACAAGCATTTAAATATCTACACACAACAGTGGTACTGATCTCTGAACCTTTTAAGGATGAGTTTTATGAAGGTTTTAAGGAAAAAAAAACCCCAATCTTATAAAACATGTCTATACAATAGTAAAAGAGGATATATTCTTAATTTCCTTTAATAAGTCCAAGAACCTTGATACCCAAAACAGATAAGATACTATGAGGAAGAAAAATTAAAGGTCAGTCTCATTTATGAAGATAGTTATAATAATACTGAAGAAAATATTTTCAAACTATATTTACTACTGAATAATAAAAATAAGACATCTTAACCAAGCAAGGGTCACATCAAGAATATAAGGATGGTTTATTTGTGCTACTGAAAGAGTGGGAAGATGTGATGTGCAACTTCCATCACGTAGAACTAAAATTCTATAAAGTAATTTATTATAATCACAGACTAAAGACGGTTAAAACATAATACAATAGCCCGTTTATCCTGTATTGCTGCTGTAAAGAAATCACTACACAGTTACGAGCTGAAAACAACACAAATTTATTATCTTAGAGTCTGGAGGTCAGAAGTCCAAAGTCAGTCTCAGTGTGCTAAAATCAAGGTGTTGGCAGAGCTGCATTCCTTCTGGAGGCTTAAGGGGGAAACTTGTTTCCTTGATTTTTCCAGCTTCTAAAAGCAGTCTACATTCCTTGGCTGTGGACCCATCCTGTACCTTCAAAACCAGCAGCGTGGTATGGTCCAATCTTGTTCTCTCTGACTCTGACTCTCCTGACTTTCTCTTACAAGGATCCATGGTTACATTTAACTTACCTAGAGAATCCAGGATATTCCTCCCATCACAAAATTATTAAATACATTTGCAAAGATCTTTTGCCATATAAGGCAACATATTCACAGGCTATTGGGCTTAGGACATAGACATCTATGAGAGCTGTTATTTTGCCTACTACATCTTAGAAAAAGAAATCGATAAAATACAACATGCATTCAAAATTTTAAAATAAACAGCAACAAGAAAACTTAGCATTAGGAATAGAAAGACATTTCTGTAGTCCAGTGAATGGTATCTTTAGGAACATTTTATTTTAAAATCAGGAGCTACACAAGAATTCTTATTGTCACTGCTTCCATGCAACATTGTGCTGGAGCTCTTATCCAATGTAATAGATAAATAGAGAAAGAAATGATAAAGCACCAGGCAAGAAGAAAAAAAATTTTAGACAGTGATTTTCACATAGAAGATCAAAGAAAATCTACAAACAAATATTAGAACCAATGTGAAAGATCAGCAAGGCTGCTGAATAGAAAATAAATTTATTGACATTGATGTAGTTCCCATATACCAGCTGTAAACAAATACAAAAGGCAAAATGTAATTTTAACTTTTATTCAATCCCTACCTTATGTCATACACAAACATCAATTCCATGTAGATTAAGTACTTAAATGTTTAAACCAAAACTATGAAAATTTTAGAATTTTTATACCTTGAAGGCAATGTGAGAAATTAACTTTATAACATAAAGTAGGAAAGAAATTCCTAAATATTATTTTAAAAACGAGACCCATAAAGAAAAGACTAAGTTTGGCCACTTTAAAATGATGAATGTCTCTCTCAAGAGACACATAAAGAGAGTGAAAAGACATCACAAGTGGGAAGATATTTTACAACAAATGTAATTGAAATAGGATTAATATTCAAGATACATAATGATCTGCAAATCAACAAAAGAGAGACTCAATAGAAAATAGAGAAAAAGTTTTAATATGCACTTTATAAAAGTAGAGATTCAAGTGACTAGTGGAGATGTAAAAAGGTACTCACATCATTAGAATTAGAAAAATACAAATTAAAACCACAACGAGATACCACTGTATACCCAACATATGGGACAAAATGAAAAAGCATTTTATCTTTGGGATGCAAAGATGTTTCAACATAAATAAATCCATAAATGTGATACACCACATAAACAGAATGAAGGACAAAAGCTATATGATTATCTCAATAGATGCAGAAAAAACATTTGACAAAATTCAACATACTTTCATGATAAAAACTCTCAACAAATTAGGTGAAGAAGAAATGTATCTCAACACAATAAAGGTCATATATGACAGGCCCATAGCTAACACCATATTAAATGATGAAAAGTTCAATGGGGGAGAAGCTTTTTCTCTAAGATTAGGTGTAATACAAGAACACTCACTTTTGCAACTTTAACCAACATAATACTGGACATACTAGGCAAAGCAATTGAAACAAATAAAAGGCATCCAAATTGGAAAGGAAGAAATAAAATTGTCTCTGCAGACACATAATCATATACATAGACTCTGCAAAAAACTGTTAGAGTGAATAAATGAATTCAGTAAAGCTGCAAGATAAAAAATCAACATCTGAAACTTAGTAGCATTTATGTATACTAACAACAAACTATTTGAAAAAATTTAAGAAAAAAATCCCCTTTATAATGGCTACCAAAAAAATTGGAATGAATTTAACCAAGGAGGTGAAATATCTGTATACTGAAAATTATAAAATGCTAATGAAAGAAATTGAACAAGACACAAACAAATAGAAAAATATCCCATGTTTGTAGATTGGAATAATTAATATTGTTGAATAAAACTCAAAGTGATCTACAGATTCAATGCAATTCCTATCAAAATTCCAATGACATTTTCCACAGAACTAGAAAAAACAATTTTAATATTTGTATGGGACCAGACTGGATAGCCAAAGCAATCTTAAGCAAAAAGAACAAAGCTGGAAACATCACACTACTTGATTTGAAAATATATATAAAGCTATAGTAATCAAAACAGTATGGAACTGGCATAAAAACAGACACATAATCAATGGAGCAGAATAGAGAGCCCAGAAATAAATCTACACATTTATGGTCAACGGATTTTGACCAAGATGTCAGTAACACACAGTGGGTAAAACACAGTTTCTTCAAGCATTGGTGCTGGGAAAACTAGATATCCATATGAAGAACAATAAAATTAGACCCTCATCTCTTATCATATAAAAAATCCATTCAAAATGGATTAAATACTTAAATATAAGGCCTGAAACTATAATTCTACTACAAGAAAACATAGAGGAAAAGCTCTATGACAGTGGTCTTGGCAATGAGTTTTTTGGATGTGACCCCAAAGGCACAGGCAACGAAAGCAAAATAGACAAATAAGATTACATCAAACTAAAAAGCTTCTTCACAGCAAAGGAAACACTCAACCTAGTGAAGAGACAGCCTACAGAATGGAAGAAAATATTTGCAAACCACACATCTAATAAGTGATTAATATCTGAAATGTATAAGAAACTCAAACAACTGAGTATTAAGAAAACAGATTTTTTAAATGGGCAAATGACCTGAATAGACATTTTTCAATAGAAGACATACAAATGGTAATCATCAGGGAGATGCAAATCAAAACCACTATAAGATTGATATGGTTTGGCTCTGTGTCCCCACCCAAATCTCATCTTGTAGCTCCCATAATTCCCATGTATTGTGGGAGGGACAAGTGGGAGATGATTGAATCACGGGGGGTTGATCTTTCCATGCTGTTCTCATGATAGTGAATGAGTTTCACAAGATCTGATGGTTTTAAAAATGGGAGTTGCCCTGCACAAACTCTCTTTTTGCCTGCCACCATCCATGTAAGATGTGACTTGCTCCTCTTTCCCTTCCACCATGATTGTGAGGCCTCCCCAGCCATGTGGAACTGTAAGTTCAATAAACTTCTTTCTTTTGTAAATTACCCAGTCTTGGATGTGTCTTTATCAGCAGTGTGGAAACAGACTAATACAGAGATACAATGTCACACTCATTCAGATGGGTATTATAAAAAGATGAAACATAAGAAATGTTGTCTAGGATGTGGAGAAAAGGGAACTCTGCTAGAGGTTGGTGGGAATATAAGTTATTATAGCCATTACAGAAATCTGTATGGAGGCACCTCAAAAAATTAAAAACAGAACTATAATATGATCTGATAATCCTAATACTGGGTGCATATCCAAACAATGTAAAATCAGTATGTCAAAGAGATTTGCAGTCTTGTGTTTACTGCAGCATTACTCACAATAGCTAAGATATAATATAAGCAAGGTGTTTGTCAACAGATGAATGGATAAAGAAAATGTAGTGTATATATACACGATGGAATACTATTCATCCTAAAAAAAGAAGAAAATCCTGGCATTTGTCACAAAAAGGATGACCTGTAGGATATTATGCTAAGTGAAATAAATCAGGCACAGAAAGACAAATACTGCATCATATTAGTTACATGTGAAATCTAAAAATATAGAACTCATAGAAGCAGAGAATACAATGTTGGTTTCCAGAGGCTGGGGATTGAGGAGACTGGGGAGATGCCAGTCAAAGACACAAAATTTTATCTCGGCAGAAGGAATAATTTCAAGATGTCTATTTCCTATGTCTATTATGGTGACTACAATTAATCATTATATATCATATTTGAAAATGGCTAAGAGAGATTTTAGATGTTCTCACCACGTGCACAAAATAGGTGTTAACCACACAATGGGTGGGTTCGATCACTTGGTGGGTGACAGTCCAATGACCACAACCAAGGAGGATTTAACACAGGGATTTTATTACATGCAATAAGTAAAGAGGACACCTGGGATATTTCCCAAAGCAGTGCCTCTCCAAATAAAGGTGAAAACATCTTGTATTAGACTAGCTAACTTTATGGATGTAGAGGTGCAGTAAAGGCAGTGCAAGCACAGTCACTGATCATGCTTCTACATACATTGTATGTATAGAAAATGGTGAAAAACTCCTCCATAGGCAAGATCTTAGAATAGTAATGAGGAGAGTTTGCCAAAGTTCATCTCCAATTCAGGCCTTTCTGAATCTAACTGGTTTTTGTTTTTTGGGGGCTGAACTTCTTCCTGGAACTGTTTTGAAACAATAATAACTCAAGGTACAAGTTACAAGTGGGTACTTTTTCACAGTACATACCCCCAAACCCAGGGACTCTGGGTTACATAAGTATGTGATGTCATGCATGTGTTAAAGAACTTGATTTAGCCATTCCACAATGTATACATATATCAAAAAATCATATTGTACACTATAAATATGTACAATTTTTACTTGTAACTTAAAAAATAAATAAAACTTTGTGGATATACAGAATTCACCATCAACTCAAACAACTCAACAACAACAACAACAAAACAAATAACCAAAAGCAGGCAGAAGAAGATGGAAAGAGCAGATTTGCTGAGTCTTCTGGCCTTCATCTTTCTCCTGTTCAGGATTCTTACTGCCCTTGAACATTGGACTCCATGTTCTTCAGCTTTTGGACTCTCGGACTTACACCAGTGGTTTGCCAAGGCTCTCAGGCCTTCAGCCACAGACTGAAGACTACACTGTCAGCTTGCCTACTTTTGAGATTTTGGGACTTGGACAGGCTTTCTTGCTCCTCAGCTTGCAGATGGCCTATTGTGGGACTTCATCTTGTGATCATCTTTACTTTTTCTCTGGATTGACTAAAAAGGGAGGGGCCAAGATGGCCGACCAGACCAGAAACAGCTGTGGTAGGCTCCCACTGAGAAGAAAAAAAACAGCAAGTGAATCCTGCACTAGCAACTGAGATATCCAGGTTCTCTCATTGGGACTGACTAGGCAGTTGACACAACCCACGGAGAATGAGGAAAAGCCGGGTGGAGCAATGGCCTACTGGGAACTACACAGGGCAAGGGGATCCCCCAACCCCAGCCATGGGATGCAGTGATTGTGCTACCCTGCCCAGGAAACCATGCTTTTTCCATGGATCTGTGCAACCCTGTGGATCAGGAGATTCCCTTGTGAGCCTGTGCCACCAGGGCCTTAGGTCTCCAGCACAGAGCTGTGCAGATTCTCAGCTGCTCAGCTGGAGACTGCCTAAGGCTACCGAGTTCCTGGAGGGTGGGCCGGCTATCATCACTGCAGCTGCCTGCTGCCTAAGATGACTGAGTTTCTGAGGGGAGGGGCAGCAGCTATTACTGCAGCTTCAGTCATCCATTTTCCCCTGCCGGTGCTGGGGAGACTGGGCAGTTTGGACCCAGGAGGAATTCCCCACAGCACAGCACAGCAGCTGTGGCAGATCATGGTCAGATTGCCTCTTTAGGCCAGACCCGGGCCCATCCCTCCTCACCAGGTGAGGCATCCCTGTGGTAATTTCAGCAACTTCAGCCAGAGGTTTACAAACAGAGCTCTGATCTCCTTGTGGTGGAGCCCCAGTGGGGAGGGGTGGCTGCAGCCTCCATAGATCAGTGGACTTAGTCTTTTTCCCTCCGGGCTCTGAGGAATCCAGGCAGTCTGGAGGAGTGAGATTCCCCTCAGCACACCACAATCCCTCCACCAAGAGGCAGCAAGAGTACTTTGTTACAAGGGTCCCTGATCCCATGCCTCCTGACTGGGTAAGACACCCCTAACAGGGGTTGCTAGAGACCTTATACAGGAGCTTGCTGGCATCAGGTCGGTGCCCCTCTGAGACAGAGCTCCCAGAAGAAGAAGGCAGCCATCTTTGCTGTTCTGCACCCTCTACTCATGACACTTCCAGGTGTGGGAGGGACCCAGACAAATAGGGTCTGGAGTGGACCCCCAGCAAACCACAGCAGCCCTGCAGAAGAGAGGCCTGACTGTTAAAAGAAAAACAAAGAAACAGAAAGCAACAGCAACAAGAGCATCAACAAAAATTTCCTCACGAAAACTCCATCCAAAGGTCAGCAGCCTCAAAGATCAAAGCTAGATAAACTAATGAAGATGAGGAAAAAAATCAATAAAAAAATGCTGAAAACTCAAGAAAGCCAGACCACATCCTCTCCTCCAAATGATTGCACCATCTGTCCAGCAAGGGCACAGAACTAGGCTGAGGCTGAGATGAATGAACTAACAGAAGTAGGCTTCAGCAGGTGGGTAATAACGAACATCACCGAGCTAAAGGAGCATCTTCTAACCCAAATCAAAGAGTCTAAGAATGATGATAAAACATTACAGGAGCTGTTAACCAGAATAAACAGTTTAGAGGGGAACATAAATGACCTGATGGAGCTGAAAAACACAACACGAGAACTTCACAATGCAACCTCAAGTATTAATAGCTGAATAGACCAAGTGGAGGAAAGAATATCAGTGTTTGAAGACTATCTTGCTGAATAAGACAGGCAGACCAGATTAGAGAAAAAAGAATAAAAAGGAATGAACAAAATCTCCAAGAACTATGGGAATATGTAAAAAGACTGAACCTATGACTGATTGGGGTACTTGAAAGAGATGGGAAGAACAGAACCCAGTTTGAAAACATATTTCAGAATATTATCCAGGAGAACTTCCCCAACCTAGCTAGACAGGCAAACATTCAAATTCAGGAAATCTGTAAAACCCCATTAAGATATTCCATGAGAAGATCAACCCCAAGACATGTAATGATCAGATTCTCCAAGGTCGAAATGGCGGAAAAAATGTTAAGGGAAGCCAGAGAGAAAGGCCAGGTCACCTACAAAGGGAAGCCCATCAGACTAACAGTGGATCTCTCAGCAGAAACCCTACAAGCAGGAAGAGATTGGGGGCCAATATTCAATATTTGTAAAGAAAAGAATTTCCAACCCAGAATTTCCTATGTGGCCAAACTAAGCTTCATAAGCAAAGGAGAAATATAACCTTTTCAGACAAGCAAATGCTGAGAGAATTCATCACCAACAGGCCTGCCTTGCAAGAGCTCCTGAAGGAAGCACTAAATATGGAAAGGAAAAACCGTTGCCAGTCACTACAAAAACACACTGAAGTACAAAGACCAATGATATTATGAAGCAACTACCTCAACAAGTCTAAAAAATAACCAGCTAGCATCAAGATGACAGGATCAAATTCACACATAACAATATTAACCTTAAATGAAAATGGGCTAAACACTCCAATTAAAAGACACAAAATGGCAAGCTGGATAAAGAGTCAATCCATGTGGTGTATTCAAGAGACCTGTCTCATGTGCAAAGACACAAATAGGCTCAAAATAAAGAAATGGAGAAAAATTTACCAAGCAAATGGAAAACAGAAGAAAAGTAGGGATTGCAATCATAGTTTCTGACAAAACAGTCTTTAAATCAGCAAAGATCAAAAAAGACAAAGAAGGGCTTTACACAATAGTAAAGGGTTCAATTCAACAAGACGAGCTAACTCTCCTAAATATATATTCACCCAATACAGGAGCACCCAGATTTATAAAACAAGTTCTTAGAGAACTACAAAGAGACTTAGACTCTTGCACAATAGTAGTAGGAGACCTTAACACCCCACTGTCAATATTAGACAGATTGTCGAGACAGAAAATTAACAAAAGTATTCAGGACTTGAACCCAGCTCTGGATCATGTGGACCTGATACATATCTACAGAACTCTCCACCCCAAAACAACAGAATATACATTTTTCTCAGTGTCTCATGGCACTTACTCTGAAATCGATGACATAACAGGAAGTAAAGCACTCCTCAACAAATGCAAAAGAACTGAAATCATAACAAACTGTCTCTCACATCACAGTGCAATCAAATTAGAACTCAAGATTAAAAACTCACTAAAAACCACACAACTACATGGAAATTGAACAACCTGCTCCTGAATGACTCCTGGGTAATTAATGAAATTAAGACAGAAATCAAGAAGTTCTTTGAAGCCAATGAGAACAAAGAGACAACGTACCAGAATCTCTGGGATGCAGTTAATGCAGTGTTAAGAGAGAAGCTTATAGCACTAAATGTCTATATCAAAAAGCTAGAAAGATCTCAAATCAACACCCTAACCAACATCACAACTAAAAGAACTATAGAACCAGGAGAAAACAAACCCCAAAGAAGACAAGAAATAACAAAGATCAGAGCAGAAATGAAGAAGATAGAGACGTGAAAAACCCTTTAACAAATGAACAAATTCAGGAGCTGGTTTTTGGAAAAAACTAATAAAATAGACCTCTAGTTAGACTAATAAAGAAGAAAAGAAATAAGAATCAAATAGACACAATAAAAAATGATGAAGAGGATATTACCACTGACCCCACAGAAATACAAACAACCATAAGAGAATATTATAAACATCTCTATGCAAGTAAACTAGAAAATCTTGAAGAAAAGGATAAATTCCGGAGCAATACACCCTTCCAAGACTGAACCAGAAAGAAGTTGAATCCCTAAATAGACCAATAACAAGTTCTAAAATTGAGGCAGTAATAAATAGCCTACCAACCAAGAAAAAGCCCAGGACCAGACGGATTTACAGCTGAACTCCACCAGAGGTATAAAGAGGAGCTGGTACCATTTCTTCTGAAACTATTGCAAACAATTAAAAAGAAGGGACTTCTCCCTAATTCATTTTATGAGACCAGCATCATCCTGATACCAGAACCTGGCAGAGATACAACAACAACAAAAAACTTCAGGCCAATATCCCTGATGAACATCGATGCAAAAATCCTCAATAAAATGCTGGCAAACTGAATCCAGCAGCACATCAAAAAGCTCATCCACCATGATCAAGTCAGCTTCATCCCTGGGATGCAAGGCTGGTTCAACATACACAAATTAATAAACATAATTAATCACATAAACAGAACTAAAACAAGCACCACATGATTATCTCAATAGACGCAGAAAAGGCCTTCGATAAAATTTAACATCTCTTCATGTTAAAAACTCTCAATAAACTAGCTATCGATGGAACATATCTCAAAATAATAGGAGCCATTTATGATAAACCACAACCAATATCACACTGAATGGGCAAAAGCTGGAAGCATTCCCCTTGAAAATCAGCACAAGAAAAGGATGCCCTCTCTCACCACTCCTATTCAACACATTATTGGAAGTTCTTGCCAGGGCAATCAGGCAAGAGAAAGAAATAAAGGAATTCAAATAAGAAGAGAGGAAGTCAAATTGTCTCTGTAGAGGACATGATTCTGTATCTAGAAAACCCCATTGTCTCAGCCCGAAAACTTCTTAAGCTGTTAAGCAACTTCAGCAAATTCTCAGGATACAAAATCAATGTGCAACAATCACAAGGATTCCTATACACCAAAAATAGACATGCAGAGAGTCAAATCATGAATGAACTCCCATTCACAATTGCTGCAAAGAGAATAATATACCTAGGAATACAGCTAACAAGGGAAGTGAAGCATCTCTTCAAGGAGAACTACAAACCACTGCTCAAGGAAATCAGAGAGGACATAAACAAATGGAATATTATTCCATCCTCATGGATAGGAAGAATCAATATTGTGAAAATGGCCATGCTGCCCAAAGTAATTTATAGATTCAATGCTATTTCCATTAAACTACCATTGACATTCTTCACAGAATTAGAACAAATGACTTTAAAACTCATATGAAACCAAAGAGCCCAAATAGCCAAGACAATCCTAAGCAAAAGGAACAAAGTTGGAGGCATTATGCTACCTGACTTCAAACTATATTACAAGGCTACAATAACCAAAACAGCATGGTACTAGTACAAAAACAGACACACACATCAATGGAACAGAATAGAGAACTCAGAAATTAGACCGCACATCTACAACCATCTGATCTTTGACAAACCTGGCAAAAACAAGCAATGGGGAAAGGATTCCCTATTTAATAAATGGTGCTGAAAGAACTGGGTAGCCATTTGCAGGTAATTGAAACTGGACCCCTTCCTTACACTTTATACAAAAATTAACTCAAGATGGATTAAAGAATTGAATGTAAAACTCAAAATTATAAAAACCCTAGAAGAAAATCTAGGCAATACCATTGAGAACATAGGCATGAGCAAAGATTTCATGACAAACACATCAAAAGCAATTGCAACAAAAGCAAAAATTGACAAATGGAATCTAATTAAACTGAAGAGCTTCTGCACAGCAAAAGAAATGATCATCAGAGTGAACAGACAGCCTACAGAATGGGAGAAAATTTTTGCAATCGATCCATCTGACTAATATCCAGAATTTACAAGGAACTTTTAACAAATTTACAAGAAAAATACCCATTAAAAAGTGAGAAAAGGACATGAACAGACACTTCTCAAAAGAAGACATTTATGCAGCCAACAAACATATATAAAAAGGCTAAACATCACCAATCACCAGAAAAATGCAAATCAAAACCACAATGAGATGCCATCTCACGCCAGTCAGAATGGCTATTATTAAAAAGTCAGGAAACAACAGATGCTGGTGAGGCTGTGGAGAAATAGGAACACTTTTACACTGTTGGTGGGAATACAAATTAGTTCAACCACTGTGGAAGACAGTGTGGAGATTCCTCAAAGACCTAAAGACAGAAGTACCATTTGACCCAGCAATCTCAATACTAGGTATATACCCAAAGGAATATAAATCATTCTATTATAAAGATACATGCACTCATACTTCATTGCAGCACTATTCACAATAGCAAAAACATGGAATCAACCCAAATGCCCATCAATGATGGACTGGATAAGGAAAATGTTGTACATATACACCATAGGATACTATGCAGCCATAAAAAGGAATGAGATCATGTCCTTTGCAGGGATATGGATGGAGCTGGAAGCCATTATCCTCAGCAAACTAACGCAGGAACAGAAAACCAAACACTGGATGTTCTCACTTATAATTGGGAGCTGAAAAATGAGAACACATGGACACAGGGAGGGGAACAACACACCTTGGGGCCTGTTGGCAGGTACGGCAGGAGAGAGAGCATCAGGAAAAATAGCCAATGCATGCTGGGCTTAATACCTAGGTGATGGGTTGATAGGTGCAGCAAACCACCATGGCACACATTTTTCTATGTAACAAACCTGCACATCCTGCACATATATTCTGGAATTTAAAATAAAAATAAAAAAGCAAAACAAAACAACCACATCAAAAAGTGGGCAAAGGACATGAATAGACATTTTTCAAAAGAAGACATACAAATGGCCAATAAGCACATGAAAAAAATGCTCAACATCACTAATCATCAGATAAATGGAAATGAAAACTACAATAAGATATACTCTTACCCTATCAGAATGGTATTATTAAAAATACAAAAGATAGCAAATGCCGGTGAGGGTGCAGAGAGAAGGGAAGGCTTACACACTGCTGGAGGGAATATAAATTAGTACAACCTCTATGGAAAAGAGTGTGGAGATTTCTCAAAGGACTAAAAGTAGAACTACCATTTGATCCAGCAATCCCACTACTGGGTATCTACCCAAAGGAAAATAAATCATTATACCAAAAAGATACTTGCAGTTGTATGCTTATGATAGCCCTATTCACAGTAGCAAAGACATGGAATCACCGGAAGTGTCCATCAGTGGGTTAGTGGATACAGAAGTTGTGGTATATGTATACAATGGAATAATATTCAACCATAAAAAATAATGAAATTATGTCTTTTGCAGCAACGTGGGAGAAACTTGAGACCATTATCTTAAGTGAAATGACTCAGAAACAGAAAGTCAAATACTGTATGCTTTCACTTATAAATGGGAGCTAGGTGAAATGTACACATGGAAAAAAAAGTTTGTGGATATAAAACACAATTAGCCTTATACCAGCTGTTTTTAATAATGTGGAGCAACAGAAACTCTCAGACAATGTTGGAGTGTAATTTGGTGTATCACTTTGAAAAATAGCTTTAAATTTGAACATAAGCAGACACTATGATTCACCATTTTCACTCGCAGCCATAGACCTTTGAAAAACCGGTATATTCGCCAGAAGATACTGCCTAGCTTTGTTCATAGGAGCATTATTTGTTTTAGTCCTGAAATGAAAATAACCCAAATAGTTATCTACAGGAGAACAGATAAAATTTGGCATATTCATACTATGAAATGTACCACACAGTGAAAATGACTGAATAACCATCACATGCATTAATGTGGCTGAATTGCAAAAACACGATTTTATTTATAGAGTTGAAAACCATCAAAACCTAATCAATGCATTGTTCATGGGAACATACATAGGTAAAAACACTGTAAGGAGAAGTACTGGAATGTTTAACACAAAATTTAAGATAGAGATTATAAGTGTGGAGGAGGGAGGCTAATAAGATCAGAGAGGAACACATAAGCTTCTGTTAAGTCCTATTTCTTGTGGAGAAGGAAGCAGACGGGTGTTTTATATTGCTGTTTTTAAAATCATGATGTTTCATATTTCTTCTCTTTGTATAATGTATTTCTTCCTCTGTTTCATTCACACTCACACCCACACTCATGAAATTCCATTCAGGTTAGCAATAAAAGCTAAAAGTTACTTAAGAATAAATCTATAAAAACCACATATAACTTTTATGAAGAAAATTCTGAAAGTTTCTTGAAGGGCATGGAGTGAGAAAATTATGTACAACCATGGCCCTGGAACTCAATATGGGTGAGTGAACTCAATATTGGAAAAGTGACAATTCTCCTCAAATTGTCCATATAATTTAGTGTAATTTTTTTTATAGATCTTGATAAGCTGACCATACATTCTATTGAAAGGTAAAGGGTCCAATTTATCCAAGATAAATTTGAGGTACAAGAATAAAGAAGAAAAGGTCATCCAACACGTATCAAGACATTTCATTTCCTTAAAAAAAAAAAAGATTTTGGGAAATGAAGAAATAGACGTCACATTTGTAGGCAACTCTTTCAAGAAGTTTGGCTGTGCAGAGGAGCAAGAACACAATTTGTAATTTTTTTTTCTGATACACAGAAACATTTCACCTTATAGATCAGCTGCTTCCTGTGAAACTGAGACATAGCTCAGGACACAGATAATGTAGCTCATGAAACAGATAATCTAGCTCAGGTTTTCCCAACTTCCTAAGAATTGCCCAGGGTACCTGTCACAGCAGATTCTTTTGTCACATCCTAGACCAATTGCATCAGATTATCCAAGGGTGGGGGCCTGGGGATCTTTATTTCCAATAAGCTGCCAGATGATTCTTATGTTCTGACAAAGTCATGTAGCACTGACCCCTCCTCCCCCCGACTTTTTTAACTTTACGTCCTGGGATACATGTGCTGAATGTGCAGGTTTGTTACATAGGCATAAATGTGCCATGGTGGTTTGTTGCACCTATCAACCCGTCATCTAGGTTTTAAGCTCTGCATGCATTAGGTATTTGTCCCAGTGCTCTCCCTACCCTTTCCCCCAACCCCCTGACAGGCCCCGGTGTGTGATGTTCCCCTCCCTGTGTCCATGTGTTCTCATTGTTCAGCTCCCAATTATAAGTGTGAACATGCAATGTTTTGCTTTCTGTTCCTGTGTTAGTTTGCTGAGGATGATGGTTTCCAGCTTTATCCATGTCCCTGCAAAGGACATGAACTCATTCTTTTTTATGGCTGCATAGCATTCCATGGTCTATATGTGCCACATTTTCTTTATCCAATCTATCATTCATGAGCATTTGAGTTGGTTCCAAGTCCTTGCTATTGTAAACAGTGTTGCAATAAATATACATGTGCATGTGTCTTTATAATAGAATGATTTATAATCCTTTGGGTATATGCCCAGTGATGGGATTGCTGGGTCAAATGGTATTTCTGGTTCTATATCCTTGAGGAATCACCACAGTGTCTTCCATAATGGTTGAACTAATTTACACTCCCACCAATGGTGTAAAAAGAATAATTGTTGTTAGAAATAAATGGTTGATAAAACATGTCTTGTGAAAGTTTAAATATAACTTTAAAATAAAAATGATCATTGAGAAAATATGTATTTTCCATGGATGGGAATTATTTCTACAGAATTTGGAGTCTGCTTCAGTTACCAAGGGACTCTTCAGTAAAATTCTTTATAAACGTGTCTAACTTGCCAAATTAAAAAGGAAACAAATTTATTTATAAGAGTTATAAATATTTAATTTTGTTAATTGGTGTAGAAATGCTTTTCTTTTCTATATATTTTTATAAAAGAGGGAGACATAGTACAAATATTAGTTTGTGGTTTTATCCAACAAGATTTGTGATTCATGTGTTTGCATTTGTTACATTCAAGAGAGAAGCAGGTTTAGGATGTGGCAGAATAATTATAAAGGTTTCTGTCTCTTCTGAATTCTTACAGCCCTCAATTTGTACTTTTAGTTAAAGAGTGCTTTGATGGTATTTTTTCAATTACACAAATAATGTATGGATAGATTCTCATTGTAATTGATTAAAACAATTCAAAACATTAATAATGACTTACAGATGAGTTCTGTGTGCCTACTTGGAGTATTTTGTCATGGATTACCTAATTTAATTCTCAGAATTCTCAGAATTTTGTGAACTATGCCCCATAATTATTTTACAAAAGGGGAATTCCAGGTTTCTGCATCTGGAAAATAGTAGAACTAGATTTTGAACCCACATAATTTGACTCCAGAGTCCACATTATGGACTTTCTAATCTGATCATCAACCATACATGGAAAGAAACTTCAAAAACTCCCTTCATCCCCACCTTCTCTCCCTGACACAGAGATTAGCAGTCTCAGCAACTTTTCTGTGTGCCTTTCTCATTCCCCTTGTATGCATTTGTGTGTATAGCTATACCTATGCATGTGTGTCTTTTATTAAACTTAAGTGGGATTTATACCACAGATTGTTTCATGATTTGATTTTCTGCAAAATAACTCTTAGAGTTTTAAATTTCATTACATATAATCTACTACATTTTTAAAAAGTGGCTAAATACTCCACAGTACGTATGTAGCAAACCTTTTTAAATGGTTGTCGTGGGAATAGACAGACCCTTTCCAATTTTTCCCAATTATAAATGATGCTCTAATGACCATCCTTGTGCAAGGTGTGAATATGTCTGTAGGACAGACTCAATCAAACAGAATGGCTCATAAAAAAATCATATGAATAATTAAAATTCCAATAGATACTGCCAATCTGGACTTCAAAAGGCTGTGTGAATTTACACTCCCTGCCATCAGCAGGTTCATTTTCCCACATCTCACCAGCACTTGATATTATCAATCTCTGTAAATTTTTGCCAATCTAATGAGCAAATTAGATTTGCTACTTTATTTCTTAATTTCCTTTTTGTATCTTCTGTTTAATGCTACATGCATGCACCTGCTGAGGCAGTGCCTGACATATAATAACACTCAATAAATAATTGTTGAATGAATTGAAGAATAAATATATTGGTCATTTGTATTTTTTTTGGTAATTTATCAGCTCATATTTTTTCCCATTTTTATTTTGAGCTATGTCTTTTTCTCATGCTTCATAAGAAACTTATATATTCTTGATGGTGAACATTGTCTGTTATATATGCTGCAAATATTTTTTTCTACTCTATTGATTGATTTAACTTTATGGAACATTTTTATTAAGAGGGTTTTATTATTTTTTTATTATTTATTATTATTATTATTTTTGAGACAGAGTCTTGCTCTGTTGCCCAGGCTGGAGTGCAATGGCACAATCTTGGCTCACTGCAGGCTCCTCCTCCTGGGTTCATGCCGTTCTCCTGCCTCAGCCTCCCAAGTAGCTGGGACTACAGGCCCCAGCCACCATGCCCAGCTAATTTTTTGTATTTTTAGTAGAGACAGGGTTTCATCGTATTAGCCAGGATGGTCTTGATCTTCTGTCCTCGTGATCCGCCCACCTTGGCCTCCCAAGAGGGTTTTATTTTTTAAATATCAAATTTGAGTATCTTTCTCTTTATGCATAGAAAGGCCTTTCCTAGAACCAAAGGTTATAAAAATATTCTAGTAGAATTTATTCTAATATTTGTATAAATTTGTTTATAGTTCTTAAATTTATCTGATGTGTGTATGTCTGTGTGTGTTGAAATTAAGTGTGACTTTATATTTTCCTAAATAATGCCAATAGCATTAAATTCTTTTACATTCATGGTATTGTTTCTTCATTTGTTCCTTGCTTGGTTTAGGGATGAAGTATCTGATAAATTAGAGAGAGGCCTACTGATTGATTAGAAAAGCCTTAAAAAGCTTGCCATGCGCCTGAAATTCTGTCCCCTATGCTAGGGTACTATTTTCAGAAGACCCTGTTCAATCTATATTTGCTACTTGGCAAATATAAAAACTGACAATGTGTCACCATCTTTTTGGGAAAAGGAGACTCTACCATTTCTGCCACCACAGGAACATCTAAAGCTACTTTGTGACTGAGAGTTTGAGTCTCTACCCTTACATTCTTTCTCAGCAGGCACATATTATTTAGTAAATCTGGTAAACTTGGGCCAAATTTTGCAGTAGACTTCTCCCTTGGATACTACCACTATGGGATTTGGATACTTCATGGGTCACTAGCTATAAAAGGTCAGCCCTGCTTTTATCCCCTGTATGGTTCCTTTACGGCAGAATATTCCCAGCATGACTATCTGAAAGCAGTCTTTCAGAAACTCCACCAAAGAGACCTTGCCACAGATGGTGAAGACACAAAAGGAGGGAAAGCATACATTCAGAATAGAGTCAGAGAACCTCTAATATGCCTTTTTAAAAATTTCATTTTTTCCATTTGTCAACTTTTGCTTTTGTTGCAATTACTGTTGACGTCTTCGTCATGAAATCTTTGCCCATGCCTATGTCCTGAATGGTATTGCCTAGGTTTTCTTACAGGGTTTTTATAGTTTTGGATTTTACATTTAAATCTTTAATCCATCTTGAGTTAATTTTTGTGTAAGGCGTGAGGAAGGGGTTCAGTTTAAACTAAAGAGCTTCTGAACAGCAAAAGAAACTATTAACAGAGTAAACAGACAACCTACAGAATGGGAGAAAATATTTGCAAACTATGCATCTGACAATGGTTTAATATCTATAAGGAATTTAAACAAATTTACAAGAAAAAAAACCAACTCTATAGAAAAGTGGGCAAAGGACATGAATAGACACTTCTCAAAAGGAGACTGCAGAATATTCCCAGCATGACTATCTGAAAGCAGTCTCTGAGAAACAAAAATGTGACCAACGATCATATGAAAACAAGCTCAGCATCACTGACCATTAGAGAAATGCAAATCAAAACCGCAATGAGATACCATCTTACACCAGTCAGAATGGCAAATATTAAAAAGCCAACAGATAACAGATGCTGGCAAGGTTGTGGAGAGAAAGGAACGGTTATACACTGTTGGTGGGAGTGTAAATTAGTTCAACCATTGTGGAAGAAAGTGTGGAAGACAGAGATTCCTCAAAGACCTAAAGACAGAAATCCCATTCAACCCAGCAATCCCATGACTGGGTATATACCCAAAAGAATATAAATCATTGTATTATAAAGACACATACACGTGTATGTTCATTGCAGGACTATTCACAATAGCAAAAACATGGAATCAACCTAAATGCCCATCAATGACAGATAGGATAAAGAAAATGTGGTACATATACACCATGGAATACTATACAGCCATAAAAAAGAATGAGATCATGTCCTTTGCAGGGACATAGATGGAGCTGGAGGCCATTATCCTTACCAAACTAACACAGGAATAGAAAACCAAATACTGCATGTTCTCACTTATACGTGGGAGCTAAGTGAAGAGAACATGTGGACACAGGCAAGGGAACAACACACACAGGCCTACAAGAGGATAGAGATTGGGAGGAGGGAGAGAATCAGGAAAAAAACTAATGGGTACTAGGCTTAATATCTGGGTGATGAAATAATCTGTACGACAAATCTCCGTGACACAAGTTTAACTATGTAACAAACTTGCACATGTACATGTGAACTTAAAAGTTAAAAATTTCATTTGTTTTTCTATCTGTGTGAATACTTTTGCCTATGTCCTTCCAAATTTACATTTTTTAAACTGCTCCCCATTGTGTCTTCTCTTAGAAGTGGAAAAGCTGAAGTTTTGCTAGTGAAGTCTGTGTCCTGAGTTGCAAACTGCTTTTCTTCATCTCATCTCAATCTGAGCTTCCCTTTTCCAGTTAAAGGAGAATCTGTCCTCCATGGCTTCTAGCTTTTACTGAATCAAATTTTTTCCTCTTTTTTTTTTTTTTTTTTTGGCCTGGATTTTCCTCTAATTACACATTACACCGTGAACTCTCAAACCCAAGCCTTATTGTCTTCCTTGGGAGAAGCAGAGGAGTATCAAGTTTATCAATCCTACTTGTGATTTCATCCTTCTGTTACAGCTTCTCAGGTTGTGAGTTGTGATTTCATCCTTGTGTTACAGCTTCTCAAGTTGTGAGCGTGTGCCAAAGTTTTATTTCAAACTTACAATAGGGAAGAGGCTTCTAAGAAAGCCAGTTCAAAGATTTCCTCTTGGTAGAGGTATCTTATGTGGAAATGCATGGTTATGTAATCATTATTATATTATATATTTTTAAAAAGCATGTATAGTTTAAGATCATTAGGCCTATTACAAGATGACTACAAGCTGGTGGTGTTACTCTAATTTCTCAAAAGGAGTTTTTTTTTTCTTTTTTTTTTTTTTATGACAAGGTCTCACTCTGTTGCCCAAGCTGGAGTGCAGTGGTGTAATCATAGCTCACTGCAGCCTTGATCTCAGGGGCTCAAGTGATCCCCCCGCCTCAGCCTCTCTAGTAGCTGGGACTACAGGCATGTACCACCATGCCCAGCTGATTTTGTTTTGTTTATAAAAAACTTCCAGAAGAGACAAGGTCTTTCTATGTTCCTCAGGCTGGCCTCAAACTCCTGAGCTCAAGTGATCCTCCTGCCTCGACCTCCCAAAGTGCTGAAATTACAGGCATGAACCCCTGTGCCTGGACTCAAAAGAAGTTTGAATCTTGTGAGAGTTTATTAGAAAATTGCTTCAGCATTTTATTATGAATAATAGATATTTTCCATAAGGTGCTGCTAATTACATAACTCAGAGTTCTACCTCAGCTCAGGTATGGGCAATTCTCTCTCTCTTTCTCTCTCTCCTTTTTGATTTTTTGATAGAGTAATTCTTTTTTGAAGAAACATCTTGATCAAAAAAAAATTTGTCTTATTGCATTCTATCCTAAGTGTATTATGGAGTTCGTTGCTTAGCCACTTTTTACATCTTTCACAAGTGGTGGAAATTAGACGTAGATTTAATTTGCACCATTACAATTGGCAGCAATATTTTTATCCACATTGTTAGTAGGCCATTAAGCCATTTTCTAGTTAACATTTCTAAAATCAGTATATGTCTTACAACTGAATATAATACGCTCCCATGCATACACCCACAGCCACCCTCCCCCACCATACCCAATAGAGCCATTGTTGTATTGATGTTAGGTCTTAAATAAACTTAAAAAGTACATATAGCATTATACAAACTGGCCCATGTTGTTTTTCATTGTTAGCTTCCTGAAAGTAGGCTGTTTTTTGGGTTTTTTCATTATTTAATCTCTTTCTTGTGCCTCAACTCTCAGGAGGGTAAGATAATATAGTCTAGTCTCCATTCTGTGAGAAGCTCTCACTGTTCGTTGATTGGAGTGAGAAAGGGGAAGGGAGGAATTTTTTTCCTTCTTGGGTGGAGAAACAGGAGTGGCTGCCGCGCTGTGCTCCAGATGGTATCCCTTCTTCCCAAACTGGTGATTCCTGGTTGCTTGGGAGCCTCTTCTCATGATGGAGATTCCGCCCATCCCTGTCTTGGGTTTGCAGTAGTTAATAACTCTATTCTCTCTTTCTTTGGGCGAGGCTACCTGAGTGTGTTTTTAATCCATGAGTGTGGAGGAAGGGAAATTGCCTTCATTAGTTCAGCCTTGTGGTAAAAACAAAACAAAACAAGACCTTCCCCCCAGCATCCCCTCACCCCCCACCTCCAAAAAAAAGCTACAGAAAAAAATCAAGTTTTACCCTGCCAAGGTGATTGGTTCTTAGTAGTACTCTGGGTTATTATTCTGTTAAAAGATGTCTCTCTCTTTTTTCTATCTGAATTATATTGTGAAAGGCCTCCTTCCAGCTGGGGGCGGTGGTGCACGCCTGTAATCCCAGCACTTGGGGAGGCCGAGGCAGGCGGATCATGAGGTCAAGAAATGGAGACCATCCTGGCCAACATGGCGAAACCCCGTCTCTACTAAAAATACAAAAATTAGCTGGGCGTGATGGTGCATGCCTGTAGTCCCAGCTACTCGGGAGGCTGAGGCAGGAGAATCACTTGAACCCCAGAAGGCAGAGATTGCAGTGAGCCGAGATAGCACCACTGCACTCCAGCCTGGCAACAGAGCGAGACTCCATCAAAAAAAAAAAAAAAAAAAAAAAAAAAAAAGAAAGAAAGAAGGAAAGAAACAAAGAAAATGTCCCCTTCTGCAACCCCTTAATCACAGACCAGGCTCCTGAAGGAAAGTCATGAGGGCTGACTAAAAACCCCGCAGTGCTGCATATTGTATGCCTCATAGTATTGGGTATGGTGCTTGACGCACACTTAGCAATGGCATCACATTTTGCTAGTGGTGGGTGCGTGTGGCAGGACTGGTGGCAGACAGGGCTTCTTATCAATATCACCACTGCCAGGAACTACTATTCCTCAATCTTGCTATTCTAGAAATGAGGTTTTCTCAGTATACTCAGAAATAATTTGCTGCTCCATTGAAGACTCATATTGACAAAATTCCCATGATTTTAATAGATATACAAGAACGCTAATTAATTTATACTGGAGCACACCTGTTTATGTAGTAACAAGAATACTCATAATTCTCTCTCCAAGACACCCTCCTTTCTTGTTATCTGGGAATCTGAAAAACTGAACTATTAACTTGGTGGATAGCTTGTATACCAGGCGTCAGAACAAAAGTATAGAGTGAATATTTGGGGAAAATATTTTATCTAAGCTTTAGGAAATAAAAATGAAATCTCACTAGCCTATTTCTTTACCAAAAGTTGTTTTACTGATTGCAGTTGATTAAGATAATTAGTGCCCAAGAGAAAATTGGAATTAGGAAGCAGATAAAAAGGGGTTGGAGAGGGAGCTTACTATTGCAAGAAAAATCATGACATGACCATCTTATTAGTGATTAAAATCAATACATCCAAGGATTTTCCAAGAGCCCCAAACAAAATAATTATCAGCTAGAAATAGACTTAAAAAATCTTGCCTGGGCCTCAGATTTAAAATACAAAAAAATACTCAAGGAAGTAATTGTGAATAGAAGTAAAACATTACAAGAAGCTACTTGAATATTAGAAATGTGATGAATTTTAAAAAGTGGTATAACTGAAAAAAATGACAAAACCCATTTTTTTCTTTTTTCTTTTCTTCTTTTTCTTTTCTTTTCTTTTTTTTTTTTTTTTTTTTACAAAAATAGAGACTTGTGAATGAATCTGTGCCAAGTTTGTTTAAAATGCCTACTTAAACAAGTGGGGATGTCAGAATGTCTGTAATTACTATTTCTGAATTTCCTGTGGAGACTATTTGGCAATACTGTGTTTGGAAGTCTTTTACCCCAGTTTGTGAGGAGATGATGAAACAAAGGAAATAAGCAGGCATGAAAAAAGAAAAGAATTAAAAATATAAGAATAAGAGATCTGAGTTGTACAAACACCTGAGATCATTAACATATATAACAGCTCTGTGCCATAAGAAAGTAATGTCTGAGCAGATAAATAATACAATCCGTTTGATTTTTTTGGTCTGAGAATAAAATAGTCATTGAATTTAATGAAAGACAGACATTTAGACAAACTGTTTGGATGAAAAAGGAGGGAGGAAAAGCAACGCTTTAAAGGAAAAAAAAATCCAAATAGGCACCATAATCTTGGGAAAGAGAAATTATGTAAACATCAACAAATTTGGATCTGCTATTACATTGTATCTTTTACATATTAGTGATTTTGAGAGAAATGTCAAGTTATCTTTGGTTCCTTGCCTATAAAAATGGGAAAAATATACTCTTGGAATGGAGATTATGTCATGCTTCATGCAGTATCCTCAGCACCTAGAACAACATGTAGCCTCAAACAGGCCATCCAGGAATATTTTTTAACTAAATGAATAAAACTAGCAGTGAGTCTCACCTGACATCTTCAGGAGGATGTCAGGATCATCATGTTACATATGGTCAGAATGATGTACAATCTTCAAAATTGTGTGAAGGAATTTCAAATCTGTAAACAACAGGTAAATGAGGAGCTCTGTTAGAGACGAAGCCACAGCTCAATGGGAAGGGAAGTTGTCAATGCAGGGTGAGACTGGGCAGATCAGGAACTGACTGTGTAAAAAATGGTCACCTTCAGTAATCATTGGAGAAATGCAAATCAAAACGACAATGAGATGCCGTCTCACACTAGTCAGAATGGCTATTACTAAAAAAATAAAAAAATAACACATGCTAGCAAGGTTGCAGAGAAAAGAGAATGCTTATACACTGCTGGTGGGAGTATAAATTAGTTCAAGCATTATGGAAAGCAGTGTGGCTATTACTCAAAGACCTAAAGACAAAAATACCATTAAACCTAGCAATCCCATTACTGGGTACATATCCAAAGGAATACAAATCATTCTACTATAAAGACATATACACATGTATGTTTATTGCAGCACTATTCACAATAGCAAAGACATGGAATCAACCTAAATGCCCATCAGTGACAGATTGCATAAAGAAAATATGGTACATATATACCATGGAATACTATGCAGCCATAAAAAGAACAAGATTATGTCCTTTGCAGCAACATGAATGGAACTAGAGGCCATTATCCTTAGAAAACTAATGCAGGAACAGAAAACCGAATACCGCATGTTCTCACTTACAAGTAGGAGTTAAATAACGAGAACACATGTACACATAGAGAGGAACAACACACACTGGGGTCTGCTGGATGGTGGAGGGTGTGAGGAGGGAGAGGGTCAGAAAAAAATACCTATTGGGTACTATGCTTATTGCCTGAATAATGAAATAGTCTGTACACTAAACCCTTGTGACACGAGTTTACCAATATAACAACCTGTACATGTACCCCTGAACCTAATAAAAATTAAAAGAAAGAAAATGTCTAGGCAGACAAGTCATTGGAAAGCTCTTCATAAACAAGTTTTAGGAGAACTAAATTTATGTTCATACTGATTATAAGAACATGAAAGTGATTTTTGTTTTTCTAGGAACAGAAACAATCGCTATTTACAAAAGCAAACAAACACCACCTCTGGATTGATGGTTGTCAAAGAGAAACCTATATATATTAAAATACTTGTGTTATTTTCACTGCTATCATACTGACAAACCTCACCACTTGTACCAACTTTGAAATAGCAGTGAAGCAAGAGCAAAATGGTTTTATTTATTCATTTTTGGATGGGTGCTAAGGATATTTTTATCCATAGTCAAGAACTAATTTAAAAGCATATTATTTGGTATGGAGGTGGCATGAAATAAAAAGAATACTAAAAGTTTCTATTTGTTCAGTTAAAAATTGGGAACAGACAAAGTAAATAACATATGTACCACAGTTATAGGTTATGGAAATTTAAGAAGAAAATAAATACCTTGGGGAAAGAAAGGAATAAACTCCATGAGAGAAAAAAGAAAAGGGATAGGAATGCTTGTAGGGGAGCAAACTTTCATCCTGAATGGGCCTGGCAGATGGTATCGGTGCTAACTGGCTGGATAGAGACTGAGGGGATGGAGACTTGTTCTGTCTGGAAGTACGGAAGTGACTCAGTGCTAGCTCTTTGCTTCTATGGGACTAGGACCTTATGTTGCCAGATCTTGTTTGTTTTTAAGAGGCATCTGAAATATGGAATGTTTTTAACATTCATACTTTATTTAAATGTTGACATCAATTTTAGATTTTGAGAAACAGGGAGCACTCCATACAAAAGTATATATTTGAGGGTTGGATTCTTTAAGGCAAAGAGAGAATGATGGAAAAAGGCATAGGAATTTTGAGGTAAGAGAGGAAAGTGGAAGACAGCTAGGCAAGGAAAAGCAGAAATGAGAAAGAGAGAGAGTAAGTGAAATATAAATATAAAAATATAAATGAAAAAGTGAAATATAACTATAAAGGCCTTTATCTCTTGCTCACCCTACCTAGTCTCCATCTCCACACACCTGCTCATCTAGACAGGAAACACCCTTTCCAAAGCCTCAGCTCCTTAAATCAGCTCAAGCATCTGCTCATTTGAGGCAGCATCATTTTCCTCTTCCTCACCAAGTTCTTGGGTGAAAATGTACACCATGACCTTTAAGTGGTCCCACCAGTTCCACAGGTAACATCCACAAGTTCTGCTGATGGTTTTGGACATTCTTTCAAAAGCTCCATACATTAGCCAGGCCTGGTAGCGGGGGACTATAGACCCAGCTACTAAGGAGGCTGAGACAGGAGGATCCCTTGAGCCCAGAGGTTGAAGGCTGCAGTGAGCCTTGATTGTGCCACTGCACTCTAGCCTGGGTGACAGAGTGAGAACCTGTCTAAAAAATTTTTTTAAATGTCCCTCAAAATTCTTTTTTAACTGGCCTAATAAAATTTGGTTGGTATATGACCTGGTATTCTTTCTGGGCTTTCCAGTTCTTTCTAGTTGAGCTAGCTTTCTAGTCTTTGAAAGGTTATTTCCTCTTATTTATCTCTCTCTTTATTTTCCCCATTTTCCCCCTCACTCCTTTCCTCCTTTCTTCCTTTCCTTTCTCCCTCCTTCCCCGCTTTCTTTCCCTTCCCTTCCTTTCCCTTTCTTCTCTCCTTTCTCCCTTCTTCCCTTTTCTACTTTAAAAAAATTCTTTCTCAAATAGCTCTCTTAAATGGAAATATCTGTTTTCACATTCCCTTAGCCTTGCTGCATACACAGATACACAGGCTTGGCATTTAAAATTTGACATACATTTATCTTGGGTTTACAATGAACTCTTCACAAATGTTTTTCAACTTCCTGTGGGTTATTGAATTTTTAAATGCTATTATGCAATTTTTCCCCTGACTAATCTTTAAAGATCTTTCATGTTCTTCTATAATTATATAACTAGGATGGATGTTTTTTTCATTTTGCTTTCTCTCTTTCACTAGTTTGCTCAATTTAGGTGGCATCATCACGAATATGTATCTAGGGCTCACACCACAATGCACTGTGCAAGGTGATGGTGATCTAGGGAACACTGTGATATTGTTCTTGTTTTCAAGTTGCCTGTAATCAATTTGGGATTGATCAAGATGGGGAGGCAAGATACACATGAAAAGATAAATGATGATAGAAACTCATATATGCCAGGTGGCAGAAAAGTAGGTGAATACTGAAAGAATTCAGTTGCTGAATGATTATTAGTTTGCCTGGGATAATCAGAGCAGGAAGGGTAGAAGCAAACACTCACTGAGCGTTTACTGTGTGATAGGCATTTCCCATGTGCCATTTTTCTTTTCTGTGTGTGTGTGTGCGTGTTTTTCTTTTTTTATGTTTGTTTGTTTGTTTGTTTTGTGACAGAGTTTCACCCTTGCTGCCCAGGCTGGAATGCAATGGCATGGTTTCTGCTCATTGCAACCTCCACCTCCCAAGTTCAAGGAATTCTCCTGCCTCACCCTCCCAGGTAGCTGGGATTACCAGGTGCCTGCCACCATGCCCGGCTAATTTTTTTATTTTTAGCACAGATGGGGTGTTGCCATGGTGGCCATGCTGGCCATTTTTCATTACTTAACTTTTTCAAAAAACTGGTGTAGTTCTAATATTTTTCAAAATGATGAATCTAAGACTCAGATGGATCAAAGTGACTTTCCCAAGAACACAGAGCTAGTAACCTGAAGATCCAGGATCTGGAAGAAATAGTCATGACATGTTTGGGAGTCTGAGAGAGGAAGAGGATCCTTATGGGGTATAGGAGAGAGAAAAGTTTCAATGATAAAAACTGGATTGTACAATGCTTGGAATGCCAACTTCTTAGTGTATACTTAGTGTGCACTAGAAGACGGTTCTATTCTAGTGAAATACTGTGCTACTTTACACAGGTAACGTATCTGCTAAAATATTCCTATTTCAAATAGGAGTTTAGAAAATACATTCTACACATCTTTTTGTCTATCAATTACTGGTCTAGATATCTATCCTGCAGAAATACTGGCATAGTGCACATATAAGGGGTTTATTATAGCCATTGCTTACAATAGTGAAAAGAGCGGAATTGACCTATGTGGCAGAGACTGGCTAGATGCATATAAAGCTTGTTTCCACTTCCTGGCATGAACTCAACCACATTTCCCAGACCTTTTGGTGGTCTATATGACCAGATCTTGCCAACAGAACTTGAGTAGGAGAGATAAATCACTTCCAGTCCAAGCAAGGCATGGAAGAGTGGATGTGGCTTCACCTTTTCTCTTTCTTCTTGTCTGCTGGATAAGGTAGGAGCCTGAGACCTGAAGGGCCATGGTAAGAAGAACACCCCCTGTGACACACTGGATTGTGATGTGAGTTCAGCCATAAACTTTACTACTCAAAGTTTCAGCATTGTTTGTTTTAGGTGTTAGCCTATCATAATTAATAAAAGCCAATATACATCTAGAGGAATGACTTAATAACTTACGCTTACTTCCATATTATGGACAGCTATGTGGCAGGTTGCAAGCATTGGGCAGATTTTTGATCCTGTCATAGAAACATCTCCAAGATATGTTGCTAAGCATGAAAAGCATTTCACAAAATAGTATGTATAGTATCCCACTTATAAACACCTGCCATCTCAAACTGTTTGCGTGTATGTGTATGAGAACGCATACATAGAAAAATAGTTAAAAGAATACTGGACTTGAACAAAGGGGACCTTCACATTTTGCTCTAACTACTGTATTATTGGAATTTTTAACGATAAAAATGTATGTATTATTTTTTAAATATAAAAGCCAAAAAGTTGTTTAGACATTTTTACAGGCTTGTAAGGCTCAATAATATAATAATTATAAAAATTATTAGGAGAAGTGCTAAATATATACCAGATGTTTTTATTTTGACAAACCTTTTCAGATATCTCTTGCTAAGATGTCTACTTAGATTTCTAACGAAGCTATAATTTTTTGTACCATAGGAACATTTTTCAAAGTTTCAGGTTGCTAGGCTATCTCAGCTGATTAGTAAAGAATCACTGTGGTTACAATTTGAGATGCCTCCTGTCCTCTCATGCTGTTTGCCTCACTTGTTTTCCTCTCCCACTCAGTTCTTCTAGAGAGCAAATATTATTAGGGGGAGGGAAAGAGTTCTCTTTCCTCTGAGAGTGGCATATAAACTTTTTCCCAATTAAATAAAAAGATTCATAAATGGGGTTAAGAGGTGACAGGAGTTTTCAGTTGTCTGCTTTGGAAAGAGAGGTGGTAAATAATGAGGATGTAATACTGTCAGAAGGAGCAGCAGATAATTCTAGTTGATTGGGAGACTTGAAGGCAAATGGAAGTTGTTCCTCTAATTAGTTTAAATAGCAATTAATTCAGAGGCAATTGGTAAGTAGACCAGAGCATAGGTGTAAATGAAAGTCCCCAATAAGAAGAAACTAGAGGAAGCAGCATGGACATGCATCAGAACTGGCCTGGGTTTGAATCTTGATTTAGTTAACTACATCATATGCAATTTGGCAGGATAAAATGTTTTTCAAATACTTAAGACTGTGTTTGATACCCATGAGGCACTCCATCAGTGTTTTTAAAAATGGGCTTTTAAGAACTGATTTTTAATGAGTATTACACTTAAAAAATTATTGTTTATGTCACTATTCTGCTAAACAACTTTCTGTTTGTGAGGGTCATTCTCTTGTTTAGCCAATTTTATTTTGTTTTATGTTTTATTTTATTATTTTGAGACAGGGTCTTGCTCTGTTGCCCAGGCTGGAGTGCAGTGGCACTATCACAGCTTACAGCACCCTCAAATTCCCAGACTCAGGAGATCCCCTCACCTCAGCCTCCCAAGTATCTAGGACTACAGGGATGTGCCACCACAGCCAGCTAATTTTTTTTTGGGTAGAGACAGGGTTTTGCCATGTTGCCCAGGCAGGTCTTAAACTCCTAAGCTGAAGACATCTGCCTGCCTCCACGTCGCAAATTGGTGGGATTACAGGTGTGAGCCACCGCACCCGGCCTCAGCAATTTTCGTTAGTAGGAAATCTTAGGACCTGAGAGGAGGAGAAGGAGGAAGGGAGATTGAGAAGAACAATGAAACAATGAGGAGGAGTTGAAGGAAAGAAGAGGATAAAATGGAGAAGGGTAATAGGAGGAAGAATGGGAGAGAAAGGGGACAGAATAAAGTGAAGGAGAAGGAGGAGAAATAAATGTGATTAAAGTCACTTTTATTTGTGTGTCTAGATCACAAAAATGTTTTTTAATGAGATAATATGATAAAATTATTTCTCTTAATTTTTTTATGACAACTTTTACTTTTACATTGTCTAATTAGTTCGCAACTTATTCCCAGAAGTAATCTATCAGTGGTATTATTATTTATAATGCTACCTATTTTATTAAAATTTAAATTTTCTTTGATTGTCCTGGCATTAATTTGCTAATCACATAAAAATATCTATGTATCAATATTTTCTGCTAGAAAGTTTAGAAAAGGTATGGTTCAAATGTACTGATATATTGATAAAAAGAAAATAAATTATTAAAAGATTACATTTAATTTTTTTTTTTTTTGAGACGGAGTCTCGCTCTGTCGCCGAGGCTGGAGTGCAGTGGCACAATCTCAACTCACTGCAAGCTCCGCCTCCCTGGTTCACGCCATTCTCCTGCCTCAGCCTCTTGAGTAGCTGGGATTGCAGGTGCCCCCCACCATGCCCGGCTAATTTTTTGTATTTTTAGTAGAGACAGGGTTTCACTGTGTTAGCCAAGATGGTCTTGATCTCCTGACCTCATTATCTGCCCGCCTCGGCCTCCCAAAGTGCTGGCATTACAGGCGTGAGCCACCGCGCCTGGCCTACATTTATTTATTTTGTTTTATTTTATTTTTTTCACAGAAGAAATTATTTCATTGGAAAGTAAAGGATACATTCATTCTTTGCCTGGAAAAAGTGATTTTCCCATGGGACTCCAGGCCCTGCCTGGTGAAGTTCTGGGGGCAGATGTTAGAGGAAACTGTGGCCCTCAATGGCACAGAGAGCACAGATATTTGGCTGGAAAAGCACTTACATGATTAACACATTTCCTGTAGCAAAAGTTCAGAAGTTCTTTTTATCCTGAAGATCTTTCTGGTGTCTAAGAAAACATTTATCATTGAAGATAATTTGAATTTGCTAATTGAGCCCTAGGCCAACTGTTTTTTCACACAACTGAGATCACAGAAATTTGAAGTCAATCTCAAGTACTCCTTGGCCACACTCCCATCCTTGTACATGGTGAGATCTTTTAAAATTCTCTCCAGGCCTGATGTATCAAAGGCCATAACCATCCCTAAGCCCAGCATTTGTGCAGTGTTTTTTCCTCCTGTCCATACGCCTTGGAGGCTGGGCCGCCAGCCACCTCCACCCTTCCCTGCCCCTCTGTGCTACAGGCCACTGACTCTAAGGCAGAAGCAGGCTCTCACCTCCAGCCCATCCACAGCACTGCTGTTGCCTTGTCAGGGAGGAGGACCAGGTAAACCGCAGGCCTCTTCCCTCAGGTATCAGGCCCCATGTTTTGATGGCCTTTCTTTGGCAAAGGTCACCTCTAGCCCCTCCATGAAGCATTTGGTCCTTTAACATTACGAGCTACAGTGTATATAGAGTGTTATTTTAGGGGCATCACCTGAAAGAAAAGGACTGAGCCACATTCTCATGCTGTGACACTAGAGTTCCTAAGAACTGAGTTAGGGAAGCAGCAGGGAACACCCCGTGCCAAATAGTACAGGAGCTGCTGCTCTCAGCAGCGCTGGCCTGGCAACTGCGCAGCTTCATATAGATATCCATGCTGGTGTCTCAGCAACAGGCACCCATCCTCCTCTCCAGATGCTGGCCAGCAAGTGCTCCTTCCAAGGAAGCCTGCTGGGAGAATCTAGGGAGCCTCTGAGGAACTGGGCAACGGCTCTGTGTGCATATGCTTGGCTTGAGACATGCCTGTGTGTCAGACTAAGCAGCTCTAAATGAGGATAGGAGCAGAACTGCTGTTTATTCAACAGTGCAGAACTGCCCTTTGTTCAACAGTACAGCAGTTTGGACTTGGGGCTTTTTCAATTCTAGAAATGGCATTGCCTCAAAAAGACTAACCGATGAAGCAAATATGAAGTAGGACTTGTTACAATTGTAATTTGTCACTCTCTAAAACAGGGTGACATGCCAAGACTATTCCATAGCACCTTTGCCAGAGAGACAGAGAACAACCCTTCTCAGAGCCAGTCCCTGCTCCCCAGCAAGCAGGGCAACTGCAACAACCAGGCGACCCACACCAATCACAGGGGCTCCCACACTACAGGTCCCTTGGCCAAGGCCATTCCTTTCTCTCCAAGCATATCCAACTTGGGGACCCACGCAGTGCTGCTGTGAAGACATGGCCAGTCCACTAAATGTCTACAAGAAATAACCATCTGTCACATGTAAACACCTTGCTGCTGATCCTCTCTGGATAGAAGAAGCTAAGGGTGCTGGTGTTTTTGATCCTGGAGGCTTGGATTGGGTGAGGCCATTCCTCAGGGTCACTGCAATTGAGAACACTGTGGTGACTTCTGAAACGTGTCCATCCTTCCCAGGACACAAAATGCAGCACCCCTAGGATGTGACCAGTGACAGCTGATGCACTTCAAGAGCCAACTGCAAAAGCTGGGCAGGTTCTTTAAAAACAAAGCTTAGTTCCCTGGCTGGGTGGTCTGACTGAACTGGCTGTCTGAAGAGGTTGTGGTTGGCACTGGAATCGCTCACCTGGGGATTTGCTCTGGCATTGTACTCACTGCCATGGAACCACTGGGGACAGGAGTTGTGTTCATGCTATTAGGGTCTCGCCAGTAGCCTGTATGTTAAAATAGACCAAATGAAAGATGGGCAAAACAATCCCAACTAGAAGCATGATAAAAGAAGACATTCCATCACTGAATTCCACAGTCTGCACCATTTGTTGGCATCTTTCGAGGAGCTGGGAGCAGTTGCTGATAGGAGGGTCTCTATGCAGTAACTTTCCCATAAAAAGATTTCTGACTGCAATGCACACTCAATATTCTGGTCAATCTCCTTAAAGAAATCCATCAGTTGACTGGCCTGGGCATCAGTGTCTGCGGCTGCTGTCTGGATTTGGCAGGTCTATGGTCACTTCGGTCTCTGAAAATGAGCTCAGAAGGGGTTTTAGTTCTTTGTGGGTCTTTGTTAGGATCCCATTGTTTTTCACTGGAATCGTAATGTATTCCAAGGCATATAAGTCTGAAAGGTCAACAACTCTCATGAAGTTGTTGATCTTGATATCTGTGACTTTGCAGCTGCCAGCTGGTTGAGGCTGTCCTCCTGGGCCAGCCCCTGCTGCAGTGGCACTGGCGCCTGCTCCTGGCTGGTGGGGCTGGTAGGCACTGCTCTTCAGGACTCCTTGTCCCAGGCCGCAGAACCACAGGGTGTGAGGGTGAGTTCCTCAGAGGAGTCCCCATTGGCATTCTTTTTTCGTTTTGTTTTTTGAGATGGAGTCTCGCTCTGTTGCCCAGGCTGGAATGCAGTGGCGTGATCTCGGCTCACTGCAACCTCTGCCTTCTGAGTTCAAGCTATTCTCCTGCCTTAGCCTCCCCAGTAGCTGGGATTACAGGCATGTGCCACCACGCTCGGCTAATTTTTGTATTTTTAGTAGAGACAGGGTTTCACCATGTTGGTCAGGCTGGCCCCTTCTGTGAAAGGAGGGGGTTCCTAAATGAAAGCTCACACAAAAACGCACGAGGAGCAGCCAACCCCAAGGCTTGTAAGGGCGGGGCCCCAACATTCCACAAAGGCAGAACCTCAGTCACGTGGGGTCAGCCTTGGACACTCAGGGTCACTGCCCGTCCAGCTGCAGAAGGGTCACCCAGGAGCCTGGGGAATGGTGGCTTGGCCCCAAACCAAGGATCGAGACAGACTGGGAGGCTGAGCCCACACAGACCCCCTAGCCAGGACTGTGGACCTCTCCTCCAGGCCAGGTACCTCAGCCAAATTTAAATTTATATTGTTGGAATTGTTAGTGACAGAATATACAGGTCTTATATAGGTTGGTGCAAAAGTAATTGCAGTTTTTGCCATTACTTTTAATAGAGCTCGTTGAGACGCCATGGTTTGTGATTTGTTGGTTGCATTGACTATTTCTCTTGTTTTCTCAATTCCCCATACCACACAAGAACTATTTTAGGTGTGTTTGTATCTTAATATTAACTGTGCCATTTACCACTGCTACTTTATGTGTTTAGGTTTGTTAATTAAATGTTCAAAAAATTTCTGTGTGCTGCCCAACTTGATCTTGCAAGTGATTACTGGTAGGTAGTGAAAGTCTGACTGTATAACTTTTAAGTCCTTTTCACATATGTAAGAGAAGTCTACGCAATTATTCCTCATTAATATAAAGTTAGAAATATTAAGAATTCTCTATTTGAAGATAACATAAAGTACAATTTAAAGAAGTAAACTTGTAAGTTCACTTGAGAACTACTATTAGTGACCTTCACTATCACACCATTTGGTGTGGAAGTTAAATTGCTATCTTAGAGTCCAAAAAATTTCCTTGATTAGAATGCATCTGCTGGAATACAACTCAGTGTCTTTGGGCCAACTAGCATATTGTAGAATGAATAAAGAAAAGGCAAATGTAAATTAAGGGTCACGATATCAGCCATATGAGCACAAAATGTTATGGTGAAACTCAAGTAAGAAAATAGGCCAGGCATGGTGGCTCATGCCTATAATCCTAGCACTGTGGGAGGCTGAGGCGGGAGGACCACTTGAGTTCAGGAGTTCGAGACCAGCTTGGCCAATATGACAAAACCTTGTCTCTACAAAAACTACAAAAATTAGCTGGGCGTGGTGGTGTGTGCCTGAAATTCCAGCTACTTGGGAGGCCGAGGCATGAGAATGGCTTGAACCTAGGAGGTGGAGAGGTTGCAGTGAGCCGAGATCTCGCCACTGCACTCCAGCCTGGGTGATGGAGTGAGACTCTGACTCAAAAAAAAAAAAAAAGTGCGTGAAAATACTTTGCAAACACAAGGCATATAAGCCTTGATGAACAGGGGTGATGGAAGATATTTCTGACGGCCTATAGGCAACTCAGAGGCATTTTCTTTCTTCTAGAATCTTCCCTGTTTAGTGGAAATTGGATGCCTGGAAACAAAATTTTCAGAATCCTGGCCAGCAGAATTCTGGGTTAGATTCTATCAATGAGAGGCATCTGTATGTTATTTGAAAGACTAAAGACTGCTTCAGCAGCGGTGGATGGATTCATGAGGAGCAAACTGAGAGAGGCCTTTTTGTAGAGGTCTCTGGGCATTTACTTGAATATCACCCACCATGGAGCAAGAAGACCTATGTTCATTGCCAGCTATATCCTGCAATGCTTGTAACCTTTGAAGTTTCTGAAAGACACTGGTGACCCTGAGAGTTAGTGCTGGCTTTTTCTGACCTTCATTCCACCAGTCTTTCCACTGATTTTGTAATCATCGAAGTTACTGGATGTAACATCCTATTGCTTGAAACAGGTAAAATGAATTTTGCTTTTCTGAATGAATCCTGGCTGATTTGGGAAATAAGTTTTACAATCAAATATGTGACTATTTTCTTTTTATTTGTGTATTATTTATAATATATTTAAGGCGTACGAGTGCAGATTTCTTACATGCATATATTGCATAGTGGTGAAGTCTGGGGTTTTAGTGTACCCATCAACTAAATAATGAACATCGTACCCAATAGGTAATTCTTAAGCCCTCACCTCCCTCCCATCCTTCCACATTTTGTAGTCTCCAGTGTCTATAATTCCACTTTGTATGTCCATGTGTACCCATTGTTTAGCTCCTACTTGTAAGTAAGAACATGCAATATAAGTTATTTCCCTTAAGACAATGGCCTTCAGTTCCATCTGTGTTGCCGCAAAAGACATAATTTCATTCTTTTTATGGTTGAGTAGTATTTCATAGTGTGTGTGTATACATAAAATATTTTATTTATCTAAAATATTAAAATATTTTCTTTATTCAATCCTCTGTTAATGGACACTTTGGTTGATAACATATCTTTGATATTGTAAATAGTGCTACAATAAACATATTGGTGCAGGTTTTTTTTTTTTTTTTTTTTTTTTGAGACAGAGTTTCACTCTTGTTGCCCAGGCTGGAGTGCAATGGTGGAATTTTGGCTCACTGCAACCTCCGCCTCCCAGGTTCAAGAGATTCTCCTGCCTCAGCCTCCCTAGTAGTTGGGATTACAGGCATGTGCCACCACGCCTGGCTAATTTTGTATTTTTAGTAGAGACAGGGTTTCTCCATGTTGGTCAGGCTGGTCTCGAACTCCTGACCTCAGGTGATCTGCCTGCCTCAGCCTCCCAAAATATTGGGATTATAGGCATGAACCACCGTGCCTGGCCGCAAGTATCTTTTTGATATAATGATTTATTTTCCTTTGGGCATATACTCAATAGTGGAATTGCTGGACTGAATAGTAGTTCTCATTTTAGCTCTTTGAGAACTCTTCATACTGTTTTCCATAAATATTGTACTAATCTACATCCCACTGACCCACTGACAGTGTATAAGCATTTCCTTTTCTCCACATCCTCACCAACACCTGGTTTATTTTTGACTTTTTAATAATAGCCATTCTGATTGGTGTAAGATAATATCTCATTGTGGTTTTAATTTGCATTTCTCTGATGATTAGTGATGTTGATTTTTTCATATGCTTGTTCACCATTTGTATATCTTCTTTGAAAAATGTCTGTTCATTTCCTTTGCCCATTTTTTAATGGGGCTATTTGTTTTATTGTTGATTTGTTTGAGTTACTTGTAGATCCTGGATATTAGCCCTTTGTTGGATACATAGTTTGCGAATATTTTTTCCTATTCTGTAGGTTTTCTGTTTACTCTATTGATTGTTTCTTTTGCTGTGCAGAAGCTTTTTAGTTTAAGTCCCATTTGTCTATTTTTGTTTTTGTTGCATTTGCTTTTGAGGACTTAGTCATAACTACTTTGCATGGCCACTGTTCAGAAGAGTTTTTCCTAGTTTTTCTTTGAAAATACCTGAAATATAGTTTCAGATATTATGTTTAAGTCTTTAATTTTATGGTAAGTTAATTTTTGTGTATGGTGAAAGGTATAGGTCCAGTTTCATTCTTCTGCATATGGTTACCCAATTTTCCCAATACCATTTATTGAACAGGGTGTCCTTCCCCTATGCATAGTTTTGTTGGCTTTGTTGAAGATCAGTTGATTGTATGTATTTGGCTTTATTTCTGGGTCCTTTATTCTGTTCCATTGAGATCTGAATGTTTATTTTATTTTATTTTTACCAGCATGGCTATAGTAACCATACTGTTTTGGTTACTATAGCCTTGCTGTATAATTTGAAGTCAGGTAGTGTGATGCCTCCAGATTTGTTCTTTTTGCTTATGATTGCTTTGGCTATTCAGGCTCTTTTTTGGTTCCATATAAATTTTAGAATTGTTTTTTCTAATTCTGTGAGAAATGACATTGGTAATTTGATAGGGATTGCATTACATCTGTAGATTGCTTTGGGCAGTTTAGTCATTTTAACAATAATGATTCTTCTAATCCATGAGCATGAGATGTTTTTCCATTTGTTTGTGTAACCTGTGATTTCTTTCATCAGTGTTTTGTAGTTCTTGTAGAGATTTTTCACCTTTCTGGTTAAATATACTCCTAGGTATTTTATTTTATTTTATTTTTTGTAGCTACTGTAAGATTGCATTTTTGACTTGGTCCTCAGCTACATCATTATTGGTGTATAGAATGCTACTGATTTTTGCATGCTGATTTTTTATCCTGAAGTTTTACTGAATTCATATGTCAATCTAAAAGTTTTTTGGTGGAGTCTTTAGGGTTTTTTAGATATAAGATTATATCATCAGCAAACAGGACTAGTCTGACCTCCTCTTTTCATTTTGAATGTCTTTTTTTTTTTCTCTTGCCTGATTACTCTGGGGAGGACTTCAAGTACTATGTTGAATAACAGTGGTGAAATTGGGCATCCTTTCCTCATTCTAGTCCTTAGAGGGAATGCTTTCAACTTTTTCCTGTTAAATATGTTAGCTGTGGGTTTGTTGCATGTTGCCTTTATTATGTTGAGGTATGTTCCTTCTATGCCTAGTTTGTTGAGGATTTTTATCATAAAGGGATGCTAAATTTTACTGAAAGCTTTTCCTGCATCTATTAAGATGATCATATGATTATTGTCCTTAACTCTGTTTATGTGATGTATCACATTGATTTGCAAATGTTGAACAGTCCTTGTGTCCCTGGGATAAATCTCACCTGATCATGATTTATTATCCTTGTGATGTCTTGTTGGATGGATTTGTTAGTATTTTTTGACGATTTTTGCATCTATGTTCATCAGTGATATTGGTCCGTAGTTTTCTTTTTTTGTTGTGACCTTGTCTGATTTTGGTATCAGGGTGATATCAGCCTTGAAAAATTAATTAGGGAGAATTCCTTTCTCCTGGATTTTTTGAAATACGTTCAGAAGGATTGGCATAAGTTCTTTTTTATATGTTTGGTAGAATTTGGCTGTGAATTCATCTGGTCCTGGGCTTTTCTTTTGATGGGAGATTTTTTATAACTGATTCAGTCTTTCTACTCATTATTGGTCTGTTTAGGAGTTTCATTTCTTCCTGGTTCAATCTCCGGAGGTTGTATGTTTCAAATAATTTATCCAATAAAAAGCCATTGAATCCCTCAGGCTCTGTTTCAAATTATAATGCCCTACATTCCCTCAGGCTCTGTTTCAAATTACAATGCCCACAAACAACTATCCATCTTCTATCTTCCAATATCACCATATCAGCATAAGGCAGACAAAATGAAGTTCACCCACAGTCAAGCTTTATGAATATGATCTAGTTCCTGTTTCTTCCTTTCCAAGGGTAACTGTCTCCCGCTTTGTACCTGGGGTGATTGACAGTGAAGACATCAAATTATATAACATTTTCTTTTATATTTGGGAAATTGGGAGGGTAATTGGGATATTTTATATTTGTTTACTTGAGAATAGACAAAGTGACTAGCACTCAAAAATTTTCATGATGTTGTGAAATTATCATCAATTTAATTTTTCTCCTGTTAATTTTAACATATTTATTATATCTAGCACTATTTCTATGGATTTCTTTTTTCTCCTGGTTATGAGTCAAATTACATCTAGTAATTTTTTATTGTATGCTTGACATTATAAAAGTCATGTTGAGAGTCAAAATTATGTTGTCTTTCTTTACAAAGGGTCGATTTTTATTTTGGCAGAAAATTGATTTATAGATTTGGTGATACTTCTGAGGCATTGTTTTCAGCTTTGTTTGTGTGGGTCTACAGAGGCCCTACATTATGACTAAGATATGCCCTATTCCTAAGTTATGGCTTTTCTGATGTCACATAAAAAATTGCTTTAAAAGATATTGAATGCTTAGAAAGTTGTATGAAGTCTATGAGTGGTCAGAATCCCAGCATTGTATGATCTCTGGAATCTTTATTCAGCTTAAAGACTTCTAGTAGTTGATCCCCGTCAGGGCTTGCAGAATTCCACCCTGTGCATACACAACTAAGGCTCTGGCCAAGACTCAAGATAACTTTTAGTATATTTATGTGTTTCCTGCTCTGCATAACCTCTTCCTCTCTGGCACCCTGTTTAGCCAATTCTTACTGTTTCAGCAATCCTTAACTCTAATATTAATATTATACATTCAGCAAGACTGATTCAGGTTATACCTCTATCTAAGGCAGTTTGAAAGTATGCATAGAACCAAAACAGGAGCAGTAGAACTTGTGTTATGTGTTTTTCTTCTCCCAAAGATCACTGTCTCATGCTTTCTTTTGTCTAATGCTTGAAAACATCTGCCTCATATATTTGCTCTGCTTTGTTGCTATTTACTGCAGGAGGGCAAACCTGATACCTATTAACCTATTATGGCTGAATTTCCAGATAACTTCTAGAAGTAAATCATATTTACCTTGTGCCATTCTCATGTGTAAATGTGATACAAGGAAGTTCTGTATGATGTTAATAGCATGGAGATGAATCTAAAATCTGAAAGAGATCAAGACCAAAAGAAATTGAGCCCAAAATACTAGATCAAGCCACCCTATTTCTGAACTGAACACCCTATTTCTGAATTTCTAGTTATAGGGAAATATAAATGTTTCCATTGTTAAATTCAATTTGAATTACATTTTCTGTTACTTGTAGGCAAATCATTTTAATTGATATAAGCCCGCACATACATTTTTCAAATTATAAGTTAAATCATATTCTAATGAACTGTGAAAAAATATTCAGATTCTTTTTTATACTGAGTTTTTAATGTTTCAAACATTATATGAAATAAATGCTCCATTGGTTGGGGCTGAATACAATAGAAATTTTTCATAAAGTAACATTTACGCTAATTAAATCCTCAATGCTCAACATTACACAAATATTTATGTAACACTCTGCTAAACAATGGCAAAAAATAAAAATATAAAGCATGAGTTTTTGTCTGTGAGCACTTACATATATATATATATGTCTAGAGAAAGTTCTATAAAGATTGAAAGGAAATGCCAAAAGAAGTTACTACGGGTGATAGGATTGCTGGTTATTTTTACTTTTTTAAAAGTAAAAGTAAAATTTACTTTTAAAATTAATTAGTAAAAGTAAAATTTACTTTTAAAATTAATTAGTAAAAGTAAAATTTACTTTTAAAATTAATTAGTAAAAGTAAAATTTACTTTTAAAATTAATTAGTAAAAGTAAAATTTACTAATAATTTACTATACTGTTTGAATTTTTTTAAAAACCTTATACTTATAATATGATGCTATATTTCCAGCACTGTGATAAATGACACATACTAATTTTCTCTTTAATTTTCATGACAAAAGATAGGATTATATTCTTCTCAATTTACTGATGAGGAAATTGAAGCTTTTATTTTAAGTAAAGTGTTCAAGATGAAACAATGGAGGAGGTATTACATTTGTAATTAAAAATAGCAAGAAAGTTAATTCTTAAAAAAAATAATGAGGCGGAGCACAGTGGCTTACACCTGTAATCCCAGCACTTTGGGAGGCTGAGGCGGGTGGATCACAATGTCAGGAGATCAAGACCATCGTGGCTAACACGGTGAAACCCCGTCTCTACTAAAAAATACAAAAAATTGGTCTGGCTTGGCGGCGTGCCCCTGTAGCCCCAGCTACTCAGGAGGCTGGGGCAGGAGAATGGCATGAACCTGAGAGGCGGAGCTTGCAGTCAGCCGAGATTGTGCCACTGCACTCCAGCTTGGGCGACAGAGTGAGACTCTGTCTCAAAAAAAAAAATTAAAATAAAATAAAAATAATAATAATAACGATACAGGGATACATTTAATGAATGGAAAGATGCTTCTGATATGTTACGTGACAAAAAGCCAGTTGAAATACAACTATCTCACTATCTCAGAAGACCCTCATACCATCCTGGTTATAGACTGGGGAGGTTTTTAACATTGAACGTATGGCAATCTTTCTTCTCCTGGGAAAAAAAATGGACCAATGAATTAACATTAGCTTTCCTAAGCTCAGTACCACAACAGTTTAAGAGAACATAGAGGGTTTAAAAGATCTGTATTACAGCCCTGTCTTCTAGAGTTTTGGTTTATAGTTCTTTTAATGATTTTATTAGGGAACAAAAAAATTGCGCTTCAGTGCTTCAATGAAGCCAAGAAGGTACATTTAGATGGGAATATTATTCTGCATTGAAGAAATTTCCAGATTGTACTCACAAAGTTTGAGTATAAAACCCCCCTTTTTGTCCAAATATTTATCCTGGAAAAGGTCCAGACGACTTGCATATTTGAAAGAGAAAGTCTCACTAGCAGATGATTGAGAAGCAGTTTAGGTAATATCTGACCCAAACATCTGACCCGTCCTTAGGTCATGACCCAAGTCATGACCATGGGTACAAAATAGACAAACAAATCTGACTGAGCTCTCTCAGTATTCTGAAACCTCTGTTTCATTGTTTTGAAAAGAAATTGTCAAAGAAGATAACCTTGGTTTTGGCAAGAATCACATGTTGTTTCTGCTAATCTGTGTTTATTCTTTTTTTTCTCTAATGAATACATATCATTTATGTAATAAGGAAATGTATTATTTAAGAATTTTAGGATTGTAGTGAGTCTTAGCTATTATCTAGTTCAAACTCCTTTTCCTCCTTTACAGTAGAGTAGCCTGAGGTCTATTGAGAGCAAGTATCTGTCTCACATGGAATTAGTAGTGCTACTGCTTAGTAGTGCTTTGCTAAAGGTTTTGGCTGACACACTCTCTACAAATTTATTTATTACATAATACATTTTTTGCACCCTTATCTGAGAGCTTCTTCAGATTTTTTTTTAAATAAAGGAGAAATCTGAACAATTCTTATATGAGTTTGAAATCTGTAGGCCATTTAAAGCATTTTCTTTTTTTTTTCTAATTGTATGGGGATTTGACTGTCAGAGATTTACGATGAATATTTTGTATCATTTTCTTCTTGCCATTTAAAAACATTTCTGCTCTAATCTCTAGCCCATGCAAAGACATGTTTTGTGTCTTTTTCATTCTTAGAGGTTGCACTGAAGTGCTATTTCTGTTTTCTTTTGTGAATGAGATCTTCCAATATAAGGACTGTTTCTTTTGAATGGGGATTTATCTCAGTGGTTTACAAACTCTTAAAAACTTTGCAGATTCTGGCTTTTGAAGGTCAAGTATTCTTTGTACAAATAGCATTTCACTGAATGAGATCTTTGTTAACTTTATTTAGTATTTGTTTCAACTTTAATTTCTCTTGACAGCTTTATTATGATATATGACATAGTTATTTTCTTAGAGGGACCTAAATCACAGCATTCACATGCAGTTTTTTTTCCTTCACGAAGATTTTCTAAATTTAAAAAGTTTGTTTCACTATCCATTTTTACATCTTTTATATATGTACTATTCAGGATTTTGTTTGATTGGAAGAGACAAAAATCCTGTCAAGAGTTGCTTAAAATATGTTTTGTTGTTGTTGTTGTTGTTACATACAAGAAATCCAATGTGTATAAGTTAAGTTACTCAAGCATGTCATCAAATGCTATGGCTTTTCCTATATTTTCACTTGACCAGCATTTATTGGTTGCTTTTTCCTCATGGTTACAGAATAATTTCTGAATAAATTCTATCTAAAACTGAGTGAAGTTTTTCGACTTGGGGTTTGTTTCTCCTTTAAGGAAGCAATGAACATTCAGTAAAGTGGGGGATAGATTTCAGAGGGGGTGTTTTGAAAAGGTGTTTGAGAGGGTGTAGAGATTGGTGAGAACTTTCTTCTTTTCTCCATCCATCTTTCAACTTTTTGTTTCAATCCAAGCCTGACCTTTAGTACCCAGCTCCCTATCAGAAACAGGAAGCCAATCTCTGGAATATTGATGTCTACTGAAAAGTTGGAAACAGCAAGGTTGGATCTTAATCAATCATTAAATGGGGACCTTTTCGGTCCAGACTAGGTAATAATGAATAATAAATGTGTCTCACAAAATCCTGTAATATTGATGTTATCTAGAGCCCTCTACCATTTAAAGATCTGGTTCAACATGTCTGGAACCACCAGTTTACAACTTGTGAGAATCTTCTCCTAATTTCTGTGAATTCCTGTGAATTCTTAATCTTACTTCTTGTTTCCTCTCTTTGCTTTTTTGCACTTGAGTTTATACTTCTGCACTTTTTCTTTTAAACCTCAAATTTAAAGATGAAGCCAAATTCTCCACAGTTTTTCAGAAAATTCCAATTCAATGTTTCATGAGCTCAATGTTGATATAGTTTGGATATTTGTCCCCTCCAAATCTTATGCTGAAATTGATCCTCGGTGTTGGAGGTGGGGTCTGGTGGGATGTGTTTGGGTCATGGGGGTGGATCCCTCATGAATGGGTTGGTGCCATCCCAGTGGCAATAAGTGAGTTCTTGCTCTATTAGCTGACTCAAGAGCTGATTCTTTAAAAGAGCATGACACCCCTCCCCTCCTTCTTGCTCCTGCTATCGTCATGTGACATACTGGCTCCTACACCCCTTCCATCATAATTTGAAGCTTCCTGAGGTCCTCATAAGAAGCAAATGCTGGTGTCATGCTTCTTGTACAGCCCTGCAGAACTATGAGCCAAATAAATTTCTTTTCCTTATAAATTACGAAATATCAGCCTCAGATATTTCTTTAGAGCAACACAAAAACAGACTAAGACTATTATCTTCACTATAGGTCTTAGGGACTTTAATATCTATGATTTAGCCTTATGTCATCTGGCCTCATGCTTGATACTGCATGGTCCTCTACAGGTCCTCAATCAAACTGGGAAATTAATTCAGGCTCCTACCTCAGCTGCTCTTGTGGGGGAACAGTCTCACCAGGCAAGCCCTTTCCCCAGATTTCCACACATTTTTGAAAATAAATCATTCTGTAAATTGATAAATCTATTAGCCAGAGATATTTTTGTTGATTTTGACAGAAGCGAAACTCAAAGTAATTAGGGAAAATTGGGAATTTATTAACTCATAACACTGAAATATCTAGATATAACATTGCCTTAGTCAGAGTTTGAGCCAGGAACTCTCATGGCTGTATCAGGAATATATTTGTGGAGACAAATCAGAAAAAAATATATTCTTGATACAGCCATGAGAGTTCCTTTTCCTAGTATTGCTTCACTCACAGACAGGCTATATTTTTGTTTGTTTCATATGGTTTTATTTTAAAATTATATTTCTTGAAATTGTTTATATTTATTGGATCTTTGAAAGCATCAATATATGATAGTTGGGAATCTTACAAGTTTTCTATCACAGATCATTTAGCCCCAGGATCTGCTGTTGACCAACTGTGTGGTCTGGATCAAGTCACTTAACCATATCTGTTAAATGGGAATAGTATTACTGGTCTCAGAGGATTTTTAGAAGATTAAATGAATTGATTTATGTCTTAGTTTTTTTAAAGATTTTAATTTTAATTTTTTTATTGGTACACAGTAGGTATATATATATATATATATATATTTATGGGGTACATGAGATATTTTGATATAGGCATACAATGTGTAATAATCACATCAAGGTAAATCACATCACCTCAAGCATTTATCATTTCTTCATGTTATAAACATCCCAATTATACTCTATTAGTTATTTTAAAATGTAGAATATATTACTGTTGACTGTGGTCACCCTGTTGTGCTATTAAATATTAGACCTTGTTCATTCTATCTAACTATATTGTTTGTACCCATTAACCATCCCCACTTCCCTCCCCATCCACTATCCTTCCCAATCTCTGGTAGCTACCATTCTACTGTCTATCTCCATGAGTTCAATTGTTTTAATTTTTAGCTCTCATGTATAAATGAGAACACGCAAAGTTTGTCGTTCTGTGCCTGGCTTATTTCACTTAACATGAAGACTTTCAGTTCCATCCCTGTTGTTGCAAATAACAAGATCTCATTCTTTTTAATGACTGAATAGTACTCTATTATGTATATGTACCACATTTCTTTATCCATTTGTTTGTTGATGGATACTTAGGTTGCTTGGGGATGCAGATGTCTTTGTTATATTTATTTCCTTTCTTTTGGGTATATACCTAGCAGCAGGATTGCTAGATCATATGGTAGTTCTTATTTTAGATTTTTGAGGAACCTCTATACTGTTCTCCAGTGACCGTACTACTAGTTTACATTCCCACCAACAGTGTGTGAGGGTTTCCTTTTCTCCATATCCTCACTAATATTTGTTATTGCCTGTCTTTTGGATCAAAGCCATTTTAACCAGAGGGAGCTGATATCTCATTGTAATTTTGATTTGCATTTCTCAGATGCTCAATGATGTTGAGCACTTTTTCAAAATATGTGTTGCCATTTGTATGCCTTCTTTTGAGAAATCAAATTTTAAAATCAGACTATTAGATATTTTTTCCTATGGAGTTTTTTGAGCTCCTTATATATTCTGGTAATTAATCCCTTGTCAGATGAACAATTTGCAAATACTTTTTTCCATTCTGTGGGTTGCTGTTGATTGCTTCCTTTGCTTTACAGAAGCTTTTTAACTTGATGTGATCCCATTTGTCCATTTTTGCTTTGATTGCCTGTGCTTATGGGGTATAACTCAAGAAATCTTTGCCTTGACCAATGTCCTGGAGAGTTTCCCTAATATTTCTTTTAGTAGTTTCATAGTTTAAAGTCTTAGATTTAAGTCTTTAATGTATTTTGATTTTATTTTTGTGTATGGTGAGAAATAAGGGTCTAGTTTCATTCTTCTGTGTATGGCTATCCAGTTTTCCCAGCAGCATTTATTGAAGAGACCATCATTTCCCTAAGGTTCTTGGCATCTTTGTTAAAAATAAGTTCACTGTAGCCATATGGATTTATTTCTGGTTTCTCTATTCTGTTCCATTGGTCTGTGTGCCTGTTTTTATGCAAGTATCATGTGGTTTTGATTATGTTCTGTAGCATAATTTGAAGTCAGGGAATGTGATTCCTCCAATTTTGTTCTTTTTGGTGAGAATGGCTTTGGCTATACTGGGTCTTTCGTGGTTCCATACAAATTTTAAGATTATTTTTTCTATGTCTGTGAAGAATGCCGTTAGTATTTTGATAGGAATTGCATCAAATATGTTTATTGTTTTGGGTAGTATGGACATTTGAACAATATTTTCCAACTGATAAATATGGGATATGTTTCCATTTTTTGTGTCCTCTTCAATTTCTTTCATCAGTGTTTTATAGTTTTCATTATACAAATTTTTCACTTCTTTGATTAAGTTTATTCCTAGGTATTTTATCTTATTTTTAGCTATTGTGAATTAAATTACTTTCTTCATTTCATATTCAGATGATTCACTGTTGGCACATAAAAATGCTTCTGATTTTTGTGTGTTGATTTTGTATCCTTCAACTTTACTGAATTTGTTTAACAGTTCTAACAGTTTTTCTTTTTTTTTTGGTGGAGTCTTTAGGATTTTCCAAATCTGAGATCATCTCATCTGCAAACAAAGATAATTTGATGTCTTCCTTTCCAATCTGGGTGCTCTTTATTTCTTTCTCTTGTCTGATTGCCCTAGCCAGGACTTCCAGTACTATGTTCAATGTTAGTGGTGAAAGTGGGCATCCTTCTCTTGTTCCAAATGTTAGAGGATAGGCTTTCAGTTTTTCTTCATTCAGTATGATACTAGCTGTAGGCATATTGTATATGGCTTTTATTATGTTGAGGTATGTTCCTTCTGTACCCACTTTTTGAGGGATTTTTATTATGAAGGAATGTTAAATTTTATCAAATGCCCTTTCAACGTTAATCGAAATGATCATGTGGTTTTTGTTCTTCATTCTGTTGATATGACATATCACACTAATTGATTTGTGTATGTTGAACCATCCTTGCATCCCTGGGATAAATCCCACTTGGCCATGATGGATGATCTTTTTAATGAGTTCTTGAATTCAGTTTGCTAGAATTTTGTTGAGGATTTTTACATAAATGCTCATCAGGGACATTGGCCTGTAGTTTCTTTTTCTGATGTGTCAGTATCATGTTTTGGTGTCAGGGTAATACTGGCCTCATAGAATGAGTTTTGAAGTATTCCCTTTTCCTCTATTTTTTGAAATAATTTGAGTAGGAGTGGTATTAGTTCTTATTTAAATGTTTATTAAAATTCAGCAGTGAAGCTATTGGGTTCTGGGCTTTTCTTTGTTGGCAGACTTTTCATTATGACTTTGATTTCATTACTTGTTATTGGTCTATTCAGGTTTTAAACTTCCTCATGATTCAATCTTTGTAGGTGGTATGCGTCTAGGGATTTATCTATTTCTTCTAGGTTTTCCAGTTCTCAAGGGGAATGATTCCAGCTTTTGTTCATTCAGTATGACGTTGGCTGTGGGTTTGTTATAGCTGGCTCAATATTCAAGTATAAGAAGGTTATATATCACTAAGCAGAATCATCCCAAGTAAGACTACCTCAAGACATTTAATAAGCAAACTCCCAAAGATCAAGGATAAAGAAAGGATACTAAGAGCAATAGGAGAAAAGAAACAAATAACATATAAAGGAGCTCTAATATATCTGGCAGCAGACTTCTCAGTGGAAATCTTACAAGCCAAGACAGAGTGACATGACATATTTAAAGTGCTGAATAAAAAAAGAAGTTTTATCCTAGAACAATATATCCAGTAAAATTATTCTTCAAACATGAATGAGAAGTTGGATTTTTATCAAAGGCTTTTTATGTATCTATTGAGATGATCATAGGGTTTTTGTTTTTAATTATTTTAATGTGGTGAGTCATATTGGTTTATGTGGAACCAACTTTGCCTCCCAGAATTAAAGCCTACTTGATTGTGGTGGATTGACTTTTTGATGTTTTGCTGGATTCAGTTCCTTAGCACTTTGTTGAGGATTTTTCTGTTCATGTTGAGGAATTTAGCCGTTTCCTCTAGATTTTCTAAAATGTTTGTATAGAGGAGGTCATAATAGTCTCTGGGGGATCTTTTAATTTCTGTGAGATCAGTTGTAATATAATCTTAGTTGTTTCTGATTGTGCTTATTTGGATCTTCTTTTTGTTTGTTAATCTAGCTAATCAGCTATCAATGTTGCTTATTCTTTTGAAAAACCAACTCTTAGTTTCATCAATCTTTTGTATGGATTTTTGGGTCTCAATTTCATTCAGTTCATCTCTGATTTCAGCTATTTCTTTTCCTCTACTAGCTTTGGGGTTGAATTGTTCATTTTTTTCTAGTTCCCCTACTTGTGATGTTAGGTCATCATCATATCTTGATGTGAAGGCAGTTTAGTACTATAAATTTTCCTCTTAGCACTGCTTTAGCTGCCTCCCAAAGGTTTTGGCAAGTTGTATCTCTATTTTCATTAATTATGTATATATATATTTTTATTCTACCTTAATTTTGTTGTTCATGCAAGAGTTATTCAGGAGCAAGTTGTTTAAGTTCCATGTTTTTGTGTAGTTTTGAGAGATCTTCTTGGTATTGATTTCCATTTTTACTGCACTATGATCTGAGTATATCCTTGTTATGATTTTGCATTTTTTGAATTTTTTGAGACTTGCTTTATGGCCGAGCAGGTGACTGATTTTACAATATATTCTATTTGCAGATGAGAAGAGTATATGTTCTGTGGTTTTTGGATGGAGTGGAATATATATTCTGTGATTTCTGGATCTGCAGATGTCTATTATGCCCAACTGGTCAGTTGTTGAGTTTAAGTCCAGAATTTCTTCATTAGCTTTCTGCCCCAATAATCTGTCTAATGGTGTCAATGGAATGTTAAAGTCTCCCACAATTATTGTGTGGCTGTTTAAGTGTTTTCATAGGTTGAGAAAAACTTCTTGTCTTATGTTGGGTGCGTATATATTTAGGATAGTTAAGTCTTTAAAAAAATTAAACCCTTTATCAATATGTAATGCCATTCTTTGTCCTTTGCAATTGTTGTTGGCTTAAAATTTGTTTTATCTGATATAGGAATAGCACCTCTTGCTCTTTGTTGTTTTGTGTTTGCTTGGTAGATCTTTCTCCATTCCTTTACTTTGATCCTGTGAGTATCATTACATGTGACATCCATCTCTTGAAGACAGAAGACAATTGAGTCTTGTCTTTTTATCCAGCCTGCCACTCTGTGCCTTTTAAGTGGGGGTATTTAGACCATTTACACTCAGGGTTAGTATTGATATAGGAGATCTCTATCCTGTCATTGTGTTGTTGCTGTTTGTTTTGTAGACTTGATTGTATAATTGCTTTGTATATTTCATGGGCTATGTGCTTGAGTGTATTTTTGAGGTAGCAGGTGTCAGTTCTTTGTTTCTATGTCTTCTTTTTAATTTTTATTTATTTTATTAAATTTTTTTTTATTTCCATAGGTTTTTGGGGAACAGGTGGTATTCGGTTACATGAATAAGTTCTTTAGTGGTGATTTATGAGATTTTGGTGCACTCATCCCCTGAGCAGTATATACTGAACCTAATTTGTGGTCTTGTATTCCTCCCCACTTTCCCACCCTTTTCCCCTGAATCCTTGTATTTGTCCATTTTCATGCTGCTGATAAAGACATACCCAAGACTGGGCAATTTACAAAAGAAAGAAGTTTATTGGACTTACAGTTCCACATGGCTCAGGAGACCTCACAATCATGGTGGAAGGCAAGGAGGAACAAGTCACATCTTATGGGTATGGCAGCAGGCAAAAAGAGAGCTTGTGCAGAGAAACTCCCATTTTTAAAACCATTAGATCTCATGAGACCCATTCACTATCATGAGAACATCATGGAAAAGACCTGCTGCCATGATTCAATCATCTCCCACTGGTCCCTCCCACAACATGTGGGAATTATAGGAGCTACAAGATGAGATTTGGGTGGGGACACAGAGCCAAACCATATCAGTCCCCAAAGTCCATTGTGTCATTCTTAGGCCTTTACATCCTCATAGCCTAGCTCCCACTTATGAGTGAGAACATACGATGTTTGGTTTTCTCTTCATGAGTTACTTCACTTAGAATAATAGTCTCCAATCCCATCCAGGTTGCTGTGAATGCCATTAATTTTTTCCTTTTTATGGCTGAGTAATATTCCATTGTGTATATAATCACGAGGTCAGGAGATTGAGACCATCCTGGCCAACATGGTAAAACCCCATCTCTACTAAAAATAAAAAAAAATTTAGCTGGTCATGGTGGCATGTGCCTGTAACTCCAGCTACTTGGGAGGCTGAGGCAGGAGAATCGCTTGAACCAAGAAGTCGGAAGTTGCAGTGAGCCGAGATCGCACCACGGCACTCCAGTCGGGTGACAGAGCGAGACACCATCTAAAAAAAAAAAAAAAAAAAGAAAAGAATGCCAATGAGTCATAGATTTGGTCTCTTTACATAATCTCATTTCTTGGACATTTTGTTTATTTTTAAAATTCTTTTTTTCATTACTTTTGTCTGAGTTAATTTGAATTTGAAGAACTGGTCTTCAAGCTCTGAGATTCTTTTTTCAGCTTGAACTATTCTGCTGTTGACACTTCTGATTGTACTGTGAAATTCTTGAAGTGATTTTCTTTTCAGTTCCAGAAGTTCATAGTTTGATTCTTTGTTAAAATGACTATTTCATCGTCCAGCTTCTAGGTTGTTTTACTAAGCTCCTTGGATTGGGTTTCAACTTTCTTCTTTATCCCAGTGAGCTTCTATGCCATTCCGTTTTGAAATCTATGTCTGTCATTTCAGTCATCTCAATCTTGCCAAGAATCATTTCTGGGGGACTAGTGTGTTTGTTTGATGGTAAAGGGGCACACCAGCTTTTTGAGTTGCTGGAGTTCTTGTGTTGATACTTTCTCATGTGTGAGGGCTGGTCTTCCTTTAACTGTGAAGTAAATTGAGTATAGTCAGTAGGCTTAATTTCTGGGTGTTTCCAGAGTGCTAGAACTTTGTATAGACTCTTTATTTGTGGCTGGATCTTTGCTTTGGTGCTTAAGAGTGTTGGCTGACAGATAGGCTCTTACTCAGCTGCATGGCTGTTTTGTTTTGGCTCAGTTGGCAGCAATGCTCTGTGGTGTGGGAGGAGCAAGATGACACCTTCAGCTGATCCACTCTTGGGCCTTGGAGGAGCCCTTTCCAATCACTGACTCCATCCCCACATTTCTTTTGTTAGGTGTTCTGGAAGCCGGGGCTCCCTTAGGCAGGGCCTGCAGTTGGCAGACAGACTGTACCCTTCCTGGGCCAGCCATGTGGAGGGAGACACACCCTGCTTTTCTGCTGGCCTGCAAACCTAGGAATCTCCCCCCTCTTTGTGGTCTAAGAGTGAGAGCTCAGCACTGCTTGGACACTGCCCAAGCTAGCAAGTCTCACCTAGGAGCAGTGTTAATGTGTGAAGTCACCTGACCTACCACTTGTGGGCTCTAGCATGCATGGCCTGCTTGGCTATAAGTGGTGGGTGTGGGTGAAGTCACCCACCTTGCCATCTGGATGTTTGCTGGGGGAATAGGGGACTAAGCCTACTGGCAGGGTTCAGGCAGAAGTGGGACTACTGGGCTGGAAGCTCTAGCAGGTAACTTGCCTGGCTACACATGGTAGAGGTGGGTTGAGTTGCCTGCCTTGCAGTCTGGATGTTTACTGAGGGAACATAGGGCTGTGCCTGGCCACAAAGTTCAGGCAGAAGCAGGATTGCTTTCTGGAAGCTCTAGCAGGCATGGCTTACCTGGTTTTGAGCATCCAGGGTGGGTGGAGTTGCCTGATCTGGCATCCAGATATTTCCCAGGGGAACAGAAGGCTGAACCTTCTTACAGAATTCAGGAAGAAGCAGGGCTTCTGTGTGGAAACTGGCTTTGAGCCTTGCCTGGTGAGGGATGTGAAGCAATCTTACTGCACCTGGGCACAATGATTGCAGCCTCTGTTGGAGCTATCTCATTGGTGCTGGTTTGTTCCAGGGTCCAGGGCTTGTAGAGGTCCCTGTGGGCTTGAGTGTTGCCTTTGCAAAAATTCCGGGTGGCTCTTTGCTTCAGTTTAGAGGACCAGGGTCGGGGGTTGGAGGGATTCTCCTGTTCCCAGACTTGCACAGGTTCCTGTGGGAAGTGTGAATTTTCCAGACGCTCTTCCCCATGTTAAGAAGCTTCTCTTGGTTCTGTGCTGATCCCAGATGGGCTGCTGGCCAGCTTTGCTCCTCTCTGCTCTGTCTGTCCCCTCACTGTGTTGCTGGATCCTAATGTGGTTTCTTAGACAACCGATTTGCAAGGTCAATGTTCACTAGCCACTCTGTCCACTCCCTATGAGACAGGCACACATGAGCTGTTTCTAGTCAGCCATGTTGACCCATCTCCCTTGTGGAATGGACTTGATGCTTGTGAATATTTGTTGATTTCTGGGCATTGGATAGTTAAGTATTTATTGTAGTCTTTGCAGTCTTGGCTTGTTTGTACCCATCCTTCTTGGGGAGATTTTCCAAGTATTCAAAAGGAATTGTGCTGTGATCTATGTCTTTGATCACTGCAGCCATATCTACATTAGGGGGCACTCCAAGCCCAGTAATGCTGTGACTCTTGCAGACTAGTAGAGGTACTGCCTTGAGGTTTTGGGTAAGATCTCAAAGAATTCTTTGAATTATTAGGCTGGTGCAAAAATAATTGCAGATTTTGCCATTACTTTCAATGGCACAATTATTACTTTTGTACCAATCTTACCTTTCTCCAAACAAACAGAGTCTCTCTCTCTCTTCGTGCCCTGCTGCCTGCAGCTGGGGGAGGGATGACTCAGCACCCCTGTGGCCACCACCACTGGGTCTCTGCTAAGTCAGACCTGAAGCCAGCACAGTACTGGGCCTTGCTGAAGGCTTATCGTGACTATTGCCTGGCTACTGCTGATATTTATTCAAGGCCCAAGAGTTCTTTAGTTAGAAAGTGGTGAATCAAGCCAGGCTTGTCTCCTTCGCTTTAGAGTAATAAGTTTCCTTCTGGCCCAGGGTGGGTCTAGAAGTGCTGTCCAGGAGCTAGGGCCTGAAGTTGTGAACATTAGGACTCTACTTGGTGTTACTGTGACTAAGATGATACCCAAGTTGCAAGACTAAGTTCTTTTTACTCTTCCTTCTCCTTTCCTTAAGCGGGAGTCTCTCCCTGTGGCCACCACAGCTGGCAAAGTGCTGGGTCACACCTGAAGTGAGTACTGCACTGGGTCTTACCCAAGGCCCCTGGTGAGTACTGCCTGGGTATGTACTGCTGATGTTTATTCAAGGCCCACGGGCTCTTTAGTTAGCAGGTGATGAATCTTGCCAAGTATGGGTCCCTCCCTTCAAGGTATTGGATTATCTTCTTTCCTGGGGTATGTCTAGAATTGTCATCTGAGAGCTAGGGTCTGAAATGGGGTCTTCAGGACTCTGCTTGGTGCTTTATTTTACTGTGGCTGAAATGATATTCAAATTGCAAGACAAGGTCCTCTTTACTCTTCCCTCTCCTTTCCTCAAGTGGAAAGAGTCTCTCCTGGAGCTATGAGCAATGCTGCCTGGGATTGGGGTGGAGGTGACACAAGCACTCCTTTGGCCATCCCAGCAGGTGTCTCACAAGTCATTGCACCCTGAGTCCACTGGTTCTGAGCCCACACAGCACCAGGACTTGCCCAGAAATTGCAGTCCTTGTGGCCTAGACTGCCTTTCAGTTTTATTTAGGACCTCAGAGCAGTGGTAGTCATGGGGCTAGCCAGAGCTCAGGTTCCAACTGCTGGGATGGATGATTCCTCTCTGAGTAGGGCTGGTATAAATGCTGTCTTCATGGACACTGTGTTGCTTTCCACAGTGACAGGGCAGCACTGAGTTCCAATGCAAAGTCCCACAATCACTACACTCTTCCTTTTCCAATTGCACAGACTCTCTCTCTTCGTGCCATGCAGCACTGCTGGGAGATAGGAGCAGGGTGGTGTTGTCAATTCGAGACTGGGTTTTCTATCCTTTTCAGTGCCTCCTTCTTTAATATGATGTTAAAACTAGGTACTGTGATCATTTACCTGATTTTTAGTCCTCAGTAAGGTGCCTTCCAGTAAGCTGCTCAATTTGGTATTCCTGTGGGGGAGATCAGTGGAGGGTTCTATTTGGCAATCTTGCTCCACCTCCTCCTCAGATGTTTTTAACTGCTATTTTATTATTTATTTGTGTTAAAATATATAACACAAAATTTACCATATTAACTATTTTTAATTGTACAATTCTGTGGCAGTAAGTATATTCACCATGTTGTGTAACCATCACCATTATTCATTTCCAGAATGTTTCATCATCCCAAACAGAAACTCTATACTCATTAAACAATAACCTTCCCTTCATCCCCCCAGCCCTTGGTAGCCTCTATTTTACTTCCTTTCTGTGTGCAGGCTCTGTTTTTGTAGTGCATCTCCTACAGTGCCAGGCTGACATCCTTTAAGTTCAGTGACTTCAGAAAGTTTTTTCTCTGTGAATATTCAATAATATTCACAAAAGTCTCAGATTCAATTCTCAACTGGACAAAGTTGAGTCATATGTCCATCCTTGAACCAATCATGACTGTGTGGATTGGCCAGATCTGTGACATGCACATTCCTGGATATTGGAAGGGTGGAGCCATTCCTGCTTTTCCACCCAAACCATAGGGACTGAAGATTGTGGACTGTGGTGCACAGAGTAGAGTCAAGAAGCAATTAGCAAGATTGGAGGTGAGCTGGAGTACAGGATGCAGAGCAGTGGTTGCTGGGCAGACAGATTCCAAGGCAAGGTCTGGCCTGAACACACATGTCTACATGAATCAAGCAGCCTTCACTAATGACCTTCTGAAAGGAAATAGGATGACTTTTATTTCGCTAAGAGGAAATTGATCTACTAAAAGTAATAATGTTTTCCACATACAAGTCAAAGAACAACTTTTGTTTTGATTCAAAACTTTCATTGTGGTAGGGAGAGGGTGCTATTTAAAAGTTCACTGTATAAAAATATTAGAGGAAATGAAAAAATACTTTATTAAATGAATTCTGACTTCTATTTTGTGGTAGAGAAAGGGAGGAATTAGGACATACAGCAGAAGAGAGAGAAACATGTAAAAGGAAAACTGGCAGAGATGGAAATTCTTCCGTTAAGAAGAAAGGGAATGCAGATTAGTAGGTATAAACTATTTTTATTACACTTCAGATTTTACTTGAACTTCTGGGTTAGGCATTTCCATTTTTTCTCTTGAAATTCTTTGATTAGGATCAGTAAATATGAGACATTTAAGTTGCAATTTCCCCCTTTCTGAACACATGGCCGACATTGCTAATACATCTATTCTTCCAAGTCTGTACGTAGCCTTAAAATGTCCTTAACAGGCTGCTCAAGGCAGACTCCACCAGTTAATCGAGTTGACATGCAAAATTAAACCTATTTGTTACCCTGATATTAGATGTACATTCTGACAGACATATAGGATCATGTCTTGGAATATATTGGCAGCACCTAGTGCAGTATTATGACCTTGAGGACTGAATAAAGTGGATTTAGATTTGGTCCAGCCCATACACTGGGGATTCCTCTTATGAGATATAAGACTGTAAAACATATCCTGAGCTGACTTGGAGCAGTTAGATTATTTCATTCCTAATTATGTTAGGAAGTTAATGGGACAGCCAGCATGTCTTACATTTACCCGGTCAACTGAATAGAATTCAACTGTTTAATTCTGGGAACTGCACAGTGGTTACTGGAATCTCCTGATTCTGAACTAAATGAACACTAAATTTGGATTAATTTGAAATCAGTAGAAAGAGGATGTTAGCGAAATTTTGTGTTATTTTTGTAAATATATTGATTAAATTTGTAGAAGACGTTTTCATTTGGAATTGCAAAAGCAGCCACAAAAGTAGGGGGCTGAATGTTTGTAAGTTAAAAATTATTTAGTTGGAGAACAGAAAAAAGTGATGTCCAAAGGGAGGACATAATTACTTAAATGGTAAAAAGAATAAAACTTGAAAAATTGCTAGAGGTACATAATGAGTCTGCGTTTTATCATCTTTCTACCCTTACTTAAATGGTAATTTGCACCTTGAGTCATTAATACTCCATTTCCTCCAAATTATACTTATTAGATGATGTATCAAAGGTATTAATTTTATTCTATTACATAAAAAGTTCATTTACTTTAGGAAAATTAATATAAAAGATAGAGCATTCCAGTATTCCATTAAAAGTATATGATAAGCAACAGATGGTGTTAAAAACTTCAGACAAGTTTTCCTGGATATCTACAAAAATATGTAAAAAATTAAAACAAATGCTCACTGTTTCTTTATCAGTTTAATTTGGAAATTGTCAATTACAATTATCCAGTAGCTTTCAGGAGTATAGCCTCTGTCATGTTCAGTGGTGGAAATACCAAAAATATGAACTAACACAAAATAAGCTAAATGTTTATACCAGTGGTCAAAGAAGAGGCTTACACTAATAATGAAACTGGAAGGAGTGATCATTTTTTTGCAGCTTCCTTTTTATGAAAGCATGTGTTTGACTGAAGTGTATGTGTGTAACTTAGAAATTAAAGATGGCTTATAATAATAGAAAATTAGACCTTATATTTTTCATATATTTTCTTTTAAATTTTAGAGACATGATCTTGCTCTGTCTCCCAGGCTGGAGTGCCATGGCATGATTATAGCTCACTGTAAACTTGAACTCCTTAGCTCAAGCAGTTCTCTTGCCGCAGCCTCCCCAGTAGCTAGGACAACAAGCTGATGACACCCAGCTAATTTTTTAATATTTTTGTGGAGACGGAAGTTTCACTATTTTGCCTAGCTTGGCCTCAAATGATCCTCCCACGTCAACCTCCCAAAACACTGGGATTAAGGAGTGAACCACCATGTCTGGCCTGGTATGTATGTTCTTGATTCCTTTTTCCTGTAGCTTGGTTCTCTGAGACTCAGAGTATTGTTTGTTTAGTGTTCATAGAAAGCTTCTACAGCCAGCGTCTGGAGAACTAAACCCGTTCCAATACTGTGCCTTTAGATCGAGCTGATCCATCCACACATCATGTGTCCAATGCACAATAATTGTCCTGGAACTTTGCTTCTTTACTGCATCCTGCTATGTTCTGTGCTTACCTGACCCCTGAACTCTTGGCTTCACATCCTGTTTCTTTTCTTGTGCTTGATCTTGGACATGATGCATTATTTAGTTTCTTTCTGAGACTCTCAGCACAGCACTCTGTTTGTTTTATTTAAATTAGCCTCAGAGTCTCTTAATTTCCAATTGTCCCTAATAATCTTAGCCCAGAAGATCCAGCTGAGCTACCAACAGATGCTACTGCCAGATATATAACTAGTATTGTCCTGTGCATAACTCCCTGCCCCCTCAGGCCAGAGCTGAAGCTGCACACCCCTCCTAGGGAAATAGTACTTTGGCAGAACCTCTCCATCTACCTCTCTTAGTCATGGCTGCACCTCACCCCTAGGGGCCTGAGCTGAAGCTGTGCACCACCCCCTAGAAAAATGGTGAATTGGTAGAACTCCATCTGCTCCTCCCAGTCACTGGTGCACTGTGCTCCTAAGGGCTCTGAGCTGAAGCTATGGACTTCCTCCTGAGAAAACAGTGCCTTGGCAAAGCCATTCCATAGACTTCTCCCATCACTGCTGTGCCTTACCCCCTTGAGAGAGTTGAAGCTGTATACTACCACTGAAGGAAATGGTGTCTTGGCAGAGCTGCTCCAGCTACTCCTCGCAGTCACTGTTGCTGTGCCCTGTATTGGGGGAATGGCGCTGAACCAGTACACTACCTCCTCAGAGAAACAGTGGCTTGGTGGAATGGTTCCATATGCCCTTCTGAGTCACTGTTGTACCCCACCCCTAGAACCCTATGCTAAAGCTGCACACTGCCTCCAAAGGAAATGGTACCTCAGCAGAGCTCCTCAACATATCTCTCCAGGTTGCTAAAGCACCCTGAACCCTGTGTCAAAGTTGAAGCAATGCCAGGCATCCCAAGGAAATGGTGCCTTAGCCACCCAGAGCAGTCACACCCCTCTGTGCCTGAGCTGAAGTAGTACCCTGTCCTCTGGGAAAACAGTACCTTGACCTACCAGAGCAGCTATGCTGCCCTTCCAGAAGATGGTGCCTTGGCTTCCTAGAGCAGTCACACATCACAATAACTAAGCTGAAGCAAGACACTGGATCTTAGGGAAATGGTGCCTGGGCCAGAATAGTCACACACCCTGCGCCTGAGTTGAAGAAGCATATTGCCTCCCAGGGAAGTGGTGCCTTGGCCACGCTGAGTAGCTACACATCCCAGGGTTAAGTTGACATAATTCCCGCATCCTAGGGAAATAGAGCAGTGACTGAGCTGAGACGCCTTGCTCTACAGGCAAAACAACTCTAGTATCCCGCTTACTTGAAGCTGAACTAGCTCTCTAAAGCCTGAACTTCTGACATGCTCCTCTCCCTGGGGAGTGGAGTCATTAGTGTGCTGCTCCCTGCCCACCAGAGCCCAAATGACAGCTGTGCTCCACCATGCCGCCACTGCACCTGGTCTCAGTGAGTTTATGATATAGCCACACCTCACCATCCCAGAGTCTAGTGTCACCACTCTACAGTGCCTTGTCCTCTGGGACCTGAGTTGCTACTGAGCCCTATTGGCTCAGATTCTCAAATTACAACCATAACTCCCTGGACTCAAAACTTCAGAGCACTCCTTTTTCTCTGGAGTCAGACAAGGGTTGTTTACTCCCTGAGAGTAAAATCAGAGTTACATCCCAGTCCCTGGATCCAAACTTCTATGGGTGCCTCAGAGTAACAGACCCTGGCTCTGTGGGCAACCAGTATCTGACCCTGCCATAGAGAACAAACCTGCAACTCAATATGCAGGTGCCACAATAGGTTCATGAGACCTTGAGCCTAGGACCTGGGCCCCACAGCTGCTCCAAGTACCTGCACATGGAACCCAGCACAGCTGCAGCCGCTTGTAGGCCACGTTAGACCTGATACAGGGATCCCTTCAGCTAAGTCTCTTCATTTTGGGTAAAATGAGAATAGGAGGACCCCAAAGCCTTTGTCACTGAAGACCTTAACAACCTATTATGCTGCTGCCACTGCCACAAACTTTTACAACCTATGCCATGGAGACACCCTCAGTTGTTATTACTGAACACAACTGAAGAAGCAGCACAAAAACTATACCACTGTGTCTACCAGAAATGGAGTCACTATACCCTTTCCAACTGGTACACTAAGATATAATGGTAGGTGGAAGTCTTTCTATGAAAGCCACTCTAGAAAACTTAAAAGAGGAAGTTGTTCCACCAGATGCATAGACATTAGTGCAGGGATAAAAGAAACATGAAAAAGCAAAAGAATATAATGCAACCAGGGGAGCAGAATAAATCTCTAATAATAAACCCCAATGAAAAGGAAATCTACAAATTGTCAGAAAAGGAGTTTAAAATAATAATCTTAAGGAAATTCAATGACATACAAGAAAATGCAGATACATAATTTAATACAAACAAAAAAACATACAATATGAATAAGAAATATTTTTAGTCCTCTAATGTCCAAGTCCTATGAAAAAGAAACTTAACAAACAGATAGATATCACAAAAAGTAACCAAACAAAAATTATATGGTTGAAGAATTCAATTAATAAAATTAAAATATACAATAGAGAGCTTCAACAGCAGACTTTATTAAGCAGAAGGAAGAATCTTTGAACTTAAAGATAAGTCATTTGAAGTTGCCTCATCAGAGGAAAAAAAATAAGAATAAAAAAGATTAAAGAAAGCCTTCATATTATGGGAGTCCCAGAAAGGGAAAGGATGGGAAAAAAACATAGAAAATCAATTTAATTAAACAATAGTTGAAAACCTCACAAGTCTTTGGAGAGATATTGTACAAATTCAAGAACCTCAAAGATTCCTAAATAGATCCAACCCACAAATGTCTCATCTGAAGCACATTACAGTCAAATCTTCAAAAGTCAAAGACAAAGAATTCTAAAACAGCAAAAGAAAACCATCAAGTCCCATATAAAAGAACTCCCTGTAGATTAACTGCATATTTTTCAGCAGAAACCTTATAGGCCAGGAGAGAATGGGATGATATATTTAAAGTGCTGATAGAAAAACAATTATCAGTTAAGGATACTTTATCCAACAAAGCTATCTTTCAGAACTGAGGGAGAAATAAAGTCTTTCCCAGAGAAGCAAAAACTAAGAATTGATCACTATTGGATTAGCGTCACAAGAAACAGTCAAGGGAGCCCTGTATATAGAAGTTAAATATAATAATTATCATTATAAAAAACACAAAAGTGTAAAACTCACTGGCAAAGCATACACACAAGTGAGAGAGAAAAGAATCAAACTTCATTACTACAGAGAATGACAAACCTACAATAATAATCAATAAGAGAAGAAAGAAATGCATGGCATACCAATAAATAATAAATAAGCCACCAGAAAACAATGAACAAAACGACAGGATTAAGTCCTCAGCTGTCAAGAATAGTCTTGAATAGAAATGGACTGAATTTCTTACTTAAAAGATATAGACTGGCTGAATAGATAACCAAACATGACCCAACTATTTGCTGCCTGTAAGAAACTCACTTCATTTGTAGAGATACACGTAGACTGAAAGTGAAAGGATGGAAAAGGTATTCCATGCAAATGGAAACCAAAAGTGAGGAGTAATTATACTTGTTTTAGATAAACAGAGCTTAACTCAAGTGTAGTAAAGAGAGAGAAAGAAGGTCGCTATGTAGGATAAAAGGATCAATTCAGCAAGAGAATATAATACATATAATATATATGCATCCAACACTAAAGCAGCCAGACATATAAAGCAAATATTACTAGATCTAAAGGGAGAGGTAAACTCTAATAAAATCGTAGTTGGAGACTTTAATACCTGACTTTCACAACTAAAAAGATAATCTAGACAGAAATTCAACAAAGAATCATTGGAGTTAAACTGTACTTTAGAACAAATATAAGTAATAGACATTTACAGGACTTTTCATCCCAAAGCTACAGAATACATTTTTTTTTTTTTTTTTTTTTTTGAAACAGGGTCTCACTCTGTCACCCAGGCTAGAGTGCAGTGGAGCAATCACAGCTAACTGCAGCCTTGAACTCCTGGGCTCAAGCAATCCTCCTATCTCAGCCTCTTGAGTAGCTGAGACTACAGGAACATGCCACCATGCCTGAGAAGTTTTTTGGTTTTTTTTTGAGATGGAGGCTCACTCTGTCGTGAAGGCTGGAGTATAGTGGTGCGATCTCTGCTCACTGCAACCTCTGCCTCCCGGGTTCAAGCAATTCTCTGACTCAGCCTCCCGAGTAGCTGGGATCATAGACACCTGCAACCATGCCTGGCTAATTTTTGTATTTTTAGTAGAGATAGAATTTCACCATCTTGGCCAGGCTGGTCTCGAACTCCTGACCTCATGATCCACCCTCCTCAGCCTCCCAAAGTGCTGGGATTACAGGTGTGAGCCACTGCGCCCAGCCTTGCCTGAGTAATATTTTGTATTTTTCGTAGAGACAGGGCTTTATCATGTTGCCAGGCTTGTCTGAAATTCCTGGGCTCAAGCAATCTTCCCACCTCAGCCTCCCAAAGTGCTGAGATTACAGGCATGAGCCCACGTGCTTGGCTACACATTCTGTCCATCAACACATACAACATTCTCGAGGATAAGCTACATGTTAGGCCATAAAACAAGTCTCAACAAATTTAAAAGAACTGACATCATATCAAGTATCCTTTTTGACCACAATGGCATAACATTATCTATTAATAACGAGAAACTTTTGAAACTATATAAACACATGGGAAATGGAACAACATGTTCCCAAATGACCATTGGAACAATAAATAAATTAAGAAGAAAATTTTTGGAACAAATGAAAATAGAAACACAACATACTGAAACCTATAGGATGCAATAAAACCAGTAGTAAGAGGGAAGTTTATAGGAATAAACACTGACATCAAAAAAGCAGAAAGATCTCAAGTAAACAACCAAAAGATAAATAACAAAGAACTAGAAAATCAAGAACAAACCAAATCCCAAATTGGTATAAGGAAATAAATAATAAAAATGAAAGCACGAATAAAATAGAGACAAAAAATACAAAATGCCAATAAAACAAAAAGTTGTTTTTTAAATAAGATAAGCAAATTCAACAAATCATTTGCTAGACTAAACAAGAAAAGACCCAAATAAATAAAATCAGAGATGAAAAAGAAGAAATTACAACTCATGCCACGAAAAACCCCGAAGGATTATTAGAGAGTATTACAAGCACTTACAGGTCAAAAAGTTTAAGAATGTAGTAAAAATTGATATGGTTTGGCTGTGTCCCCACCCAAATCTCATCCTGAATTGTAGTTCTCATAGTCTCCACATGTTGTGGAAGGGACCAGATGGAGATAATTGAATCATGGGGGTGGTTTCCCCATCCTCTTCTCAAGAGAGTGAGTTAGCTCTCATTAGATCTGATGGTTTTATAAAGGGCATCCCCCTTCGCTGGGCACTCATTCTTCATGCCACCTCGTGAAGGTGTCTTGCTTCCCCTTTGCCTTCTGCCATGATTGTAAATTACCTAAGCCCTCCCCAGCCATGTTGAACTGTGCATCAATTGAACCCTTTTTCTTTATAAATTACTCAGTCTCAGGTATATCTTTATTAGCAACATGAGAATGGACTAATACAGAAATAGTTAAATTCCTAGACACATACAATCTACCTAGATGGAACTGAGAAGAAAGAGAAGACATGAACAGACCAGATGAGTAATGAGAGGGAATAACTAACAAAAAGTCTCCCAACAAAGAAAAGTCCAGAACTAGATGGCTTCACTGCTGAATTCTACTAAACCTTTGAAGAATAATTAATACCAATTATTCTCACACTATTCCAAAAAATTGAGGCAGAGAGAATTCTTCAAACTCACTTTACAAAGCCTGGGTAACACTTATACCAACACAAACCAACAAACAAACAAGCAAAAAACCAAAATAAAAAACAACAACAACAACAACAAGGACACAAGAAAAAAGGAAACTACCAGCCAATATATCTGATGAACTTAGATACAAAAAATTTCAACAAAATACTAGCAAACTGAATCCAACAACACATCAAAAACATAATACAAACAATCAAGTAGGATTTATCTCAAGAATGTAAGGATGGTTCATCATATGCAAATCAATAAACATGATACACCACATCAACAGAATGAAGAACAAAAAATATATGATTATCTCAATAGATGCAGAAAAAGCATTTGCTAAGCTTCAACATATCTTTTTCATAATAACTGTCAATAAATTAAGTATAGAAGGAATGCACCTCAACACAATAAAGGCCATATGTGACAAACCCACAGCTAATGTCATAGTAAATGGAGAAAAGCAGAAAGCTTTTTCTCTAAGAACTGGAACAAAACAATGATGTCCACTCTAGTCACTCTTATTTAACTTAGTACTGCAAGTACTAGGCAGAGCAATTAGGCAAAAGAGAGAAATAAAGGGCACCCAAATTGGAAAGGAGAAAGTCAAATTGTTCCTGTTTGCAGATCCAGATGATCTTATATAAAGAACAATGTAGACTCTACCAAAATACTCCTAAAGCTGATAAACAAATTCAGTAAAGTTACAGGATACAAAATCAATATACAAAAAATTAGTAACATTTCTATACACAATGAATGAAATAGCCAAAAAGAAAGCAAGAGGAGAATCTTATTTGTAGTAGCTGCAAAAAAATTTAAAATACTTAAGAATAAAATTAACCAAGAAGGTGAAAGATCACTACTAATAAAAATTACAAAAAATGAATGAAAGAAATTGAAGATACAAACAAATAAAAAAACCTCATGCTCATGGATGAGAAGAATTAATATGGTTAAAAATGACCATACTACCCAAAACAATCTACAAATTCAAATTCATGCAATCTGTATCAAAATACCAATAATATATTTCCCAGATACAGAAAACAATTCTAAAACGTGTATGCAGCCACAAAATACCCTGAATAGCTAAAGCAATCCTTAGCAAAAAGAGCAAAGCTGGAGACATCACACTACCAGATTTCAAAATATACTACAAAGCTTTAGTAAACAAAGCAGCATGATAGTGGCATAAAACCAGAAACGGAACAATAAAACAGAATAGAAGACCCAGAAATTAATCCATGTATCTACAGCGAACCAATTTTTGATTAAGGCATAGAAAATATATGTTAGGGAAAAGACAATCTCTTCAATAAGCAGTGCTGAGAAAACTGGATATTCATATGCAGAAGAATAAAACTAGACCTCCATCTGTCACTCTATAAAAATCAACTAAAAGTGGATCAAATACCTAAATGTAATATCCAATACTGTAAAACCAGTAGAATAAAATAGGCAAAATGCTTCAGGACATTTGTCTGGGAAAAGATTTTTGTGTGTGTGTAAGACCTCAAAAACACAGGAAACAAAAGCAAAAATTAACACATGGAATTGTATTAAACTAAAAAGCTTCTGCACAACAAAGGAAAGTTATCAGAATAAAGAGACAACCTAAAGAACTGGATAAAATATTTGCAAACTATTCATCTGACAAGGGATTCATATCCAGAATATATAAGAAACTCAAACAACTCAATGGCAGAAAAAAGACAATAAATAATCCTATTTAAAAATAGGCAAATGTGCCGAGTAGCCATCTCTCCAAAGAAGACATGCAAATGGTGAACGGGGATATGGAAAATGCTCAATTTCACTAATGATCAGTGAAATGCAAATTATAGGTTGGTGCAAAAGTAATTGCAGTTTTTGCATTGTTGGAATTTGCTGTTTGATATTGGAATATATCCTTAAATAAATGTGGTTATGTTATACATCATTTTAATGAGCATTTCTTGCTTTATTTTGCTAATGACTTATTACTTGCTATTCATTTTATGTTTATTTTAGACTGTGGAAATGATGTCAGCCAAAAAGCAAATTCCACTGATTTTCTTATTCAAATTCAAAATGGATCATAAAGCAGTGGAGACAACTGACAACATCAACAACGCATTTGGCCCAGGAACTGCTAATGAATGTACAGTGCAGTGGTGTTCAAGAAGTTTTGCGGAGATGAGACCCTTGAAGATGAGGAGCTTGGTGGCTGGCCATCAGAAGTTGACAACGGCCAATTGAGAGCAATCATTGAAGCTGACCCTCTTACAACTACACGAGAAGTTGAGAAGAACTCAGCATTGACCATTCTATGGTTGTTCGGCATTTGAAGCAAATTGGAAAAGTGAAAAAGCTTGGTAAGTGGGTGCCTCATGAGCTGACCGAAAATTTTAAAAAAATCGTCATTTCGAAGTGTCATCTTCTTTTATTCTATGCAACAACAGCGAACCATTTCTAGATCAAATTGTGATGCATGACAAACAGTGGATTTTTTATGACAACCAGCAATGACTAGTTCAGGGGTTGGACTGAGAACAAGCTCCAAAGCACTTCCCAAAACCAAACTTGCACCAAAAAAAGTCATGGTCACTGTTTGGCCGTCTGCTGCCAATTTGATCCACTACAGCTTTCTGAATTCCAGCAAAACCATTACATCTGAGAATTATGCTCAGCAAATCAATGAGATGCACTGAAAACTGCAATGACTGCAGCAGGCATTGGTTAACAGAAAAGACCCAATTTTTCTCCATGGCAATGCCTGATCACATGTCACAAAACCAACGCTTCAAAAGTTTAATGAACCAGGTTTTGAAGTTTTGCCTCATCCACCATATTCATCTGACTTCTCACCAACTGACTACCGGTTCTTCAAGCATCTCGACAGCTTTTTGCAGGGAAAATGCTTCCACACCAGCAAGATGCAGAATATGCCTTCCAAAAGTTTGTCAAATCCCAAAGCATGTATTTTTACACTACAGGAATAAACAATTTATTTCTCATTGGCAAAAATGTGTTGATTGTAATGTTTCCTATTTTGATTTATAAATATGTGTTTCAGCCTAGTTATAATGATTTAAAGTTCACAGTTCGAAACTGAAATTACTTTTCCACTAACTTAAAAAACTACAGTGAGACATCATCTCACAGTAGTTAAAATGGTTATTCTAAAAAAAAAAATGAAATTCTGGTAAGGATGCAGAGCTAGGAGAATTCTTATACATTGTTGGTATGAATGTAAGATAGTACAACTGTTATGGAAAACAATATAAAAATTCCTGAAAATGAAAGATAGACATAGTATATAATCCAGAAATCACACTACTGGATATATATTCAAAGGAAAGGAAATCAATATGTTGAAGAGATATAGGTACTTTCATGTTATTGCAGCACTATTCACTATAGCCAAGATATGGAATCAATTTAATTGTCCATTAACAAGTAAATAGATAAAATCAGGTAATATACACAACTTAGCCTAGAAAAGAATAAAATCCTATAATCTTGGCAATATGAATGACCTTGGAGGACATTATATAAAGTAAAATAAGCCAGACATAGAAAGACAAATACTGCATATTCTCATTCATATGTGAAAGAAAAAAAGTTGATCTCATAGAAGTAGAGAGCACAATAGTGGTTACTGGAGGCTGGGAAGAGTGGGGAGCAAAATAGCCAGAGGTAAGTTAGTGGATACAAAATTATAACTCAATAGGAGGAATAAATTATAGTATTCTATAAAACTGAAGGGTGACTATAATTAATAACCATTTATTGTGTGTTTTCAAACAGCTAGAAAAGCATATTTTGAATGTTCCCTACACAAAGAAATAAATATTTGAGGTGATAAATATGCTAATTATCCTTAATTATTCTGCATTGTATGCATGCTTTAAAAATCATACTGTATTTCTAAAAATTGTACAATATGTCAATGAAAAAGAATGATAAAAGCAAAAAATCTGAGAAGAATGAGAACAAAACATTTAGCTGATGAAAATTTCTCTCCCCAAATAACCAAAAACAGAGGAAAACTGTAACCCAATACTTGCAATTCATTAAACATTTTTAAAAAGTATTTGTAGATATAAAACACATTCTTGAATTAGAAATTTCAAGTGCCAGAATAGAAGTGGTCAAAAAGAAGACCGAAGCCCCAGAAAATAGGAAGATGTAAAAGAAGAGTTTACCAAACATATGAAATAAATTGAAGAAAAACACAAAAATTTTCTTTAAAATGAAGACTATGTGACAAGGAACACAAGGGAGAATAGATTCAGCTGAAAATTTAGCAAGAGGGAATGAGAAAGGCACATAAATAGCCAAGAGAACAAGTATATGATAAAGCAGAAAAGGAATTAGACAGAAAAATATATAGAAGATAGGCAAAGAAGATTCAATATACATATAATTGCTCATACAACTTTATTCTTGATAGCCAAAAACTGAAAACTCCCCAGGTGTCCTTCAACAGAAGAATGGCTAAAGAATCTTTGGCACACTATCACCACCACCACCACCACCACAACCACCGTAAAAAGCAGAGTAGTTACATCACTACAAGGATCAAGGATTTCTGGGATTTTTCTTTATAACGACACCCAGTACCCTTCTCACTCCAGTATTCCCAACTTCTGCCATCCATGAATCTGTTCCACATTTCTATAATCTTGTCCTTTAAAGAATTCTATATGAATGGAATCATACTGTATGTAAGGTTGTGGGACTGGTCTTCTCACTCAGCATAAAGCCCTGGAGATTCATTTAAGTTTTTGCGTGTATTAATCATTCATTCCTTCTTATTGCTAAATAGTATGGAGCTACCACTGTTTGTTTAACCATTCTTTTGTTGAATAACATCTGCTTTGTTTCCAGTTTTAAGGCTATTATGAATAAAACTGCTGTAAACATTTGCATACAGGTTTCGGTGTAAGTATAAATTTCAAATTCTTTTGAATAAATGTCTAGCAGTGTTGATATGATTTGAATATGTGTCCCCTTTAAGTCTCATCTTGAAATGTGACTACCTATGTTAGAGGTGGGCCTAGTGGGTGGTGTTTGCATCATGGAGGTAGATCTGTTATGATTGGCTTGGTGCCCTCCCCATGGTTATGAGTGCATTCTTGCTCTGTTCATGCAACAGTGGGTTGTTTAAAGGAGCTTGGCACTTCTTCCACTTTCTCTTGCTCTCCCTTGCCATGTGATACACCTGCCCCCCCTTTACCTTCTGTCATGATTGTACGCTTCCTGAGGCCCTCACCAGGAGCAGGTGCCAGCGCCACTCTTCTTGTACAGTCTGCAGAACTGTGAGCCATATAAGGCTCTTTTCTTATAAATTACCCAGTATCTGGTATTCCTTTATAGCAATGCAAAATGGACCAAAATAGAAAATTGGTACTGAGGAGTGGGGCATTGCTATAAAGACACTTGAAAATGTGGAAGCAGTTTTGGAACTTCTCTGTCCTCAAACTCTTCCAAAATAATGGGTTGATTCTTTCAGAAGAGTTTGGAGGGCTCAGAAGACAGGAGGATGAGGGAAAGTCTGCAGCTTCTTAGTGGCTGGTAAGTGGTTGTTGCCAAAGTGCTGATAGAAATGTGGACAGTGAAGGCCAGGGTGATGAGGTCTCAGATGGAAGTAGCAATTGATATTTTCAGTATGTTTTATTTTCATCATTCTTGTAAGTGTGTAGTAATGTCTACTTGTCTGTGTTTTTATTCTGAATTTTTCCAATGGCTAATTAAGTTGAACATTTTTTCATGTGCTTACTTGCCTTCTGTATATCTTTGGCAGTGAAACATCTGTTCAAGCCTTACCCTTCTTCTAACTGAATTGGTTCTTTCTTTTTCACTCTTGAGTTTTGTCCATTCTTTATATATTTTAGATAACAGTTCTTTGTCAGATATGTGGTTTGAAACTATTTTCTTTCATTCTTTAGCTATCTCTTACCAGCTTAATAAAATATCTTGCAGAGAAAATGTTTTTACTCTTAATGAGATCCAATTGATCAATTTTGCTTTATGGATGATGCTTTGTGTCAAATCTAAAAATTCTTTGTCTATCCCTTATTTCTAAAAAGTTTTCCTATGTTTTTTACATAAGTTTTATAATTTTACATTTAATTCTATGACCCATTTTTAGTTACCTTTTTAAAACATAAGTCATGATTGTTAGGTCTTTCTTCTCTCTCTCTCCCTCTCTCTCTGTCTCTCTCTCCCTTTCCTTCTTTTTGTTATTGCTTGTAGATGCTCAATTGCTGTAGCATGATTTGTTGCAAAGGATATCTTTTAGCCTTGGAATTGCTTTTGCATCTTTTTAAAAAAGTCATTTGCATGTATATTTCTGGGTTCTGTATTATGTTCCACTGATCTATGTGTCTATCCTTCTGGTAATAGCATAATAGCTTGATTTTTATAGCTATATGGTAAGCCTTAATATGGAGTAGAAAGACTCCTTTTATTTTATCTTTCTTTTTCAAGATGATTTTAGTAATTCTAAGGACTGTGCCTTTCCACATAAGTTTTAACATAAGATTTTTTATGCATTAAAAGTTGATCTGGGATTTTGATAGGAATTATATTAAACTGATATATCAATTTAAGGATAATTAATATCTTTACTATGTTGAGTTTTCCAATCCATGAATATAGTATGTCTCTCAATTTATTTAGGTTATCTTGGATTTTTAAATCAGTATTTTGTAATTTTTCACTATACATTTTATGTACAGATTTTGCTCAGTATGTATCTGTATTTTTTATTTCTTTGGAATGATTGTAAATGATATTGTGTTTTAATTTTAGCTTTTACGTAGTCATTGTTAGTATATAGAATGTAATTGTGTGTGTGTTGAGTTTGTATATTGTGATCTTTTAGGACTATATATTGGTTTTTTAAAAAAATAGTCTTTCTACCCAGCAATCTTATTCTCTTCAAATAAGAACAGTTTTATTTATTTCTCTTTAAACTTGATTAGTTGTATTACTTTTGCTTGCCTTATTTCAGCATCTAGAACATCCAGTGCTGTATTAAATAAGTGTGGTGAAAGTGGACATCCTTGCCTTATTTTTGATCTTAGGGTAAACATTTAGTCTTTCACCACAAAGTATAACATTATTTTAGTATGCCGTAGGTTTTCTTGTTACGGCTCTTCACTAAGTTGAGATAGTTTCCCTCTGTTCTTAACATCCTGAGAGTTGTTAAATGACCAAGTATTGGATCTTATCAATATGTGTTTTCTGCATATATTGATGAGATCATATGATTTTTCCTCTTTATCTTGCTGATATGGTGGATTGCATTGATGAATTTTCAAATATTCAATCAGTCTTTCATATCTGAAATATGTAGAATTCACTTTATTTATTGTGGGATTCAATTTGCTAATATTTTGTTGAGGAAATTTTGTCTAAGTTCATGGGAAATATTGGTATGTAATTTTCTTTTATTTAATTATTTATTTATTTATTTTTGTTACTGTCTTAGTCTGATTTTGGTATCAAGACAATATTAGCCTTAATAAATACATTTGCAAGTGTTTCCTCTTTTTCTATTTTAAGCTGATAACAACTTAACTTTAATTGCATGAAATAACTCTGCATTTTAACTCTACTGCTGACACGCATTTTATGTTTTTGATATCAGAATTTACATATTTTTATATTGTGTATTCTTAAACAAATTATTGTGGCTATTGTTATTTTTAGTGGTTTTGATTTTAATATTCATATTGAAGACATAAGTGATTTACACACCACCATCACAGTATTAGATTATTCTGAATATTACCTCATACTTACTTTTACCAGCGAGTTTTACAGTTTGATATGCTTTTTATGTTATTAATTAGCCTCTTTCTCTTTCAGCATTAAAAATTTCCTTTGATATTTTTTGTAAGGCAGTTCTGGTGATGGTGAACTTCCTTGGCTTTTGTTAGTCTGGAAAAGTCTTTATCTCTTCCTCCTTTCTGGAAGTAAGATTTGCCAGGTAAAGTTTTCCTGATTGGCAGTTTGTTATTTCAGTACTTTGAATACATCATCTCACTGTAACCCTGTCTCCAAGCTTTTTGCAGATAATCCTACTGATAATCTTATCAGGGCTCTCTTGTAGGTGATGAGCTTCTTTTCTATTATTGATTTTAAAGTTCTCTGTTTGTATTAGCCATTTTCACATTGCTATAAAAAACTACCTGAGACTGGGTAATTTATGAAGAAACGAATTTAATTGACTCACAGTTCTGCAGGCTATACAGAAAGCATGGCTGGAGAGGCCTCAGGAAACTTATAATCATGATGGAAGGGGAAGGAGAAGCCAGCATATCTTACAATGGTGGAGAAGGAGAGAGAGAATAAAAGGGGAAGTGCTATACACTTTTAAACAACCAGATCTCATGAGAACTCACTTACTATCACGAGAACAGGCAAGGGGAAATCAACCCTCATGATCCAATCATCTCCCACCAGGTCCCTTCCCTAAAATTGGGAACTCTTAACTTCAGGTGATCCACCTGCCTCGGCCTCGCAAAGTGTTGGGATTACAGATGTGAGCCACTGCGCCTGGCCAATGCTAGCATTCTTTTAATGGTGTATCATAAATTCTTTAGGCTTTCTTTATTCTTTTTATTTTATTTTTCTTTTTCTCCTATGACTGGATTATTTCAAATGATCCCTCTTTCAGTTTGCTAACTCTCTCCTTGATCAAAATTATTGTTGAAGCTCTTTATTGATTTTTTTTTAGCTCAGCCATTGTATTCTTCAGTTCCCAAATTTTTGTTAGTTTTTAAATTACCTTTTTCTATCATGTTGAAATTCTGAGTTTGTTCTTGTGTTGTTTTTCTGATTTTGTTAAATTCTTTTTCTGTGTTTGATTGTAGCTCTCTGATCTTTAGAGCAATTATTTTAAGTTCTTTGTCAGGAAATCTGTGTATCTTCATTTTTCAGGGGGTCAGTAACGGGAAGTTTATTGTGTTCCTTTGGTGATGCCATGTTTTCCTGATTCTTCATAATCCTTGTCACTTTGAATGGATGTCAGCACATTTGAAGCAGGCACCACTTCCAGACTTCATGGGCTGGCTTTTGCAAGGAAAGGCCTTCATCTATAGGGGGGTAGGTTATGCTAGGTGCACTGCTGTGCAGACACCAAGTTAGGGATTGTGTAGTGGCTCTGGGTCTTGGGGGCAATGTTGTCTCATTGACTCAGGCAGTTGAGGTCTGTAAAGTTGGTAACCATATGGTCTTTGTGTAAGAGGTCTGTAAGAGGTCTGCAGTGGGTCTAAGGGCTATTGTGGTCCTCAGTGGCACCTCCAAGTCCAGTGGGGAGAACCTGGGCCAGTCAGTTGTGGTAGGGTTTAGGGCTAGTTATGTGTATGTGCATGAAAGTAGGAGCCATGTTATAGTGCTGGAAGCTGGCAGAAAGATTGAGGTTGGCTATGCGTACGCACGCAGCTGTGGGATCAGCTTCACACCACATTGGGACCCAGGGCTGGTAACAGGAGCCTTAGTTGCAGATGGGCATGTAAGCAGTGGCTGCTGTGGTTCCTGGGGACAGGGTACCTATAGTAGTAGCAGATGAGGGTGCTGCTACTTCAGAAGTGAAGCTTGTGAGGGCAAAAATTTTGTGTCTCCATGGCAAAAGTGTGTTGGGGGCTGAAGTGGCCACGAGGGCTATTGAGGTCCTCAATAGTGAAGGCCACTGGGGTTCTTTGCAGAGCAAGCCACTGGAAACCAGGCTGAATATTGCTGCATGGTTGACAGTGAAAACCCCTGCCTTTCTTCTTTGTTCCTAGCTGTCTTCAGATGTCTCAGCTTTGTTGGTCTCCCCAGTGATCTGGGTGGAGTGAAGCCAAAGTGAGTTCTTCAGGCAATACCCTCAAAGGCTGGGAAAACTGGTTGTTCACTCTACTCTCCTTTTCCCTGAGGGAGACCTTCACTCTCAGCACTAAGCAGTGCCATCCTGGGGGATGGGATGATATAGGCAAAAGGAAACTGTTCTTCCTACCTTTTCTGCGTACTTATTTTCAGGTTCTTTTGCTCCACTGTGTTGCTGCAGCTTTTTAAGTGGACATCAGAGTGCTCCAAACTATTTTTGTTTGTGGATAATTGGCTAATTTTTATTTTTTTGTGGGAAGACAAATGCTGGGGTCTTTTGTTATCTTGCTGACATTACTCAGCTTTCACTTGTGCCAGTTGTTGCTTAACAGGTGACAATGAACTCTTCAACTTTTTATCAATGTATAATTATTTTGCTAACTTACTGTGGTGATTATACATTAGATAGATAATTGAATTGAGTGGGTCATTTGACACCATGCAGAGTGAGTTAAAAGCTATTATATAGTTAGTAAATATAAGGCATATTATAATATTATCATATGCTTCTTATTTCAAACCACGCCTATGAAAGATTGTGAGTTTACTCTGTTGTGTGAGCATTTTGCCTCATGAATAACCATGAAAGTGTGGTCAGGGCAAAAAAAATTCTATCAAATGACTGCTAAATAGTTAGATAACCAAAGAAGCTTAAAGTCTCCATGTGATAAAATATGACAGTTGTAACTAGAAAGGAAGTCCACTATGAAGGTAATACATATATAAAATGTATTTAGTTAGCTGTTTTATTGTTATTTATACTTGAGAATAATCAGTACATAATAGAAGTACAATAAAACAGGATGCATTAAATTAGTTGATTTAAGAAACTATGTCTTGGTCAATAAGCTATGTGGAGATACAAGAGATAAGTGGAAGAACTCTCGAAGGTTACATCTTTGATCACAGAAATCAGGTGAGTGAAAAAAATTGGGGGTTGAAGCAAAATAAACTGCATAGAACTAAACTGTGCTGACATCACTACTACCCAACCTGGATATGGGAAGCTCTTGCCTCCACCCCATTCATCAATAATAAAAAGAAGCCACATGCAATTAAAAAAATCATAAAAGCAAAGCAGCATGTGGTCTTCAGAGCTTTACCTTGAAAGCGATGAGAATGCTTTGGGAGTTTGGGAGAGTTTGGAATACAGGACAAATAATGAAATCTTTTGGGGGAAATACAGGCAGTAAAAAAAGAGATTTATTGAGTCTGCCAAGAGTATCCTGGATATGGTGTCTGTCATTTATTTTGCTGGTATGGTTGGCTAGAATGTTTACCTCTCGGTTACCATGACTCTATGGAAGGAAATCCTAGGGAGTGGAGTAGAGATGCCAACTATAGGAGTGATTATGTTATTGCTGACATGATAGAGTTGATTTGAGTCTTTTAATCTCTTCCAAACAACAAAGTCCCAGAAGTTCTAATTCTAAAGAGTGTTATAAATTAAAAATTTTGAGAAGCATTGCTGACTGGACTTCAAAGATTTGTGTCCAATTTTCTTCCCAACTGACTTGTAGGTATTGATCATTTGGATGTTAGCTCAGCATAGGGAATTTGGTGAGTTCTGCAATGGTGTAATGGAGACAGAGCAAATTAACTTCTAAGGAGGAAGAGCTCTGAAGTTGTAGAGAAGCTGAAAGCCCTGGTTTTGAAATACAAAGATTTAGCTCAGAAGCAAAGCCAAGGACAAATAAATAGCACCAATGTCCTCATGCAGGTCTCCTAATCTGTAGTCCTAGACAAGAGAGCAATATATCCTGGTATCAAGTTTGGAGAAGTGAGCAATCAAGATAATAAATGAGAAATATAACCATGTTACTGAGTTTGGTTTTTGACTCAAGAGTGTTTTCAGAGCCGACTAGGCAGTGGTAGTCATTTAACATTAGGTTTCTGTAGCTGTGTGTGGTGGTACCCCTTGCGATAGAAATACCAACAGAAAGGAGAAGTCACCTTGAAGCATGGTGTGCTCCAGGTTGGAAGAGCTCTGAAGCCCAGCTTGTTGGACAACTTGAAGACAAATGCAAGGACTGGTGTTTGGAAAATAAAGAGAAGGCTATGAAGTAGAAGGAGGTACAAAGATAAATGGAGTACCGGGGGATAGAAAAGAAGATGTGTAAATAATATAACTTGGAAGTTCTGCTGGGCAGGAAAAATGTCTGAGTAGGATCCTTTAGGGTTTGTTTAGCTGTGAAAAGTAAATGACAATTATGGCTATGCTTAGTTTGATTATTCAGGTAAAAAATTTTTTTTTGTCTCAATTAACCAAACCATTGAGGAAATGTCTAATGATATTAATTAGCTATTTGAGATACTATGATTCACCCTTCATTTGATTAATATTTCATATTAGGAAACTAAGGCAGAATGTTTAGTAGAAAGATTTTCATATTTCCAGTCTCTAAATTTGTTGGTAAAATTGGTTCAGCCTTTTTAATTTCTGATAATTGAAAACATTGCAGTGTATGGTTCTCATTTGTTATTTGTTAAAAGAATTTGCTTTTGTTGTCTTTTAAAACATTCCAGAATATACCCAAGATCTCTTTCTATTTTTCTTAGTAAAGGAATCTTAACCAATTGTTCTAAATTTGCATAAATTTAAGCACTATTTTGCATTGAGTAGGGAAATGTGTCTTTTGCTACTTTTTCTAAAAACACAATTTAATGAGAGTAGTATTGAAATATAATGACTATTAATTTCAAATATTATTGCAATATTAAATAACTGGTAATTGTAAAATTTGGCCATCAGTACTGTGTTACACAAACCTGAGTCACTTCTTATATCAATATCTTGGCTTCAAAGATGATAGCATTTTTCCCTCAACAACTGCCATTACAGTTAATAAGTAATGTCAAAAGTATCCTTGAGAAAACTTAGAAGATAACATTGCATAGAAGTGAAGATATGATTTATTGTAAAATTGGTTGCGTATTGTTTATCTTCATAATTTAATTATGAGGCAGTGCTAACCTTTCAGATTAATATAATCCCTTGAAATTTAAATGAGTCATGAAATAAACTGTCAACTTAATATGTTATTTTTTCTTAAATAAAGTAATTTATTTATTTACTTGCAGATATAATATTCATTGCAGATATAAGATGCTACAGGTTCATCTTGTATATTTTCTGCACCAGGTCTAGATTCAATTATTTCTCCAAGGGCCCTTATTCCTTTTATTGGAGAATGGTATTACAAACTAAATCCGGGTACTAGATGTGTTCATTGGTATTCAGATGTTGTTGTTTTTTTTGCCCTTTCAATTGACAAAGCAAGAAAATACATGGATGTATACTAACCTGTGCATACACACATATGTATAAATATCTACACATTCATATATCTATGTTTAGAAATACACAGAAATATAAACGTCTCTGTGTGTATCCATCTTTATCATGTTAAGCTAAACATGAGTTCATACGGATGTCTTCAACTCTGATTCATCACCATGCAGATCCTGCTAGCCTCCTGCCCTTCCTTATCTGTAATCTTTCACTCCAACACCGAGAAATTGGCTTTTACTACCTGGCATCTAATTAATTAATTAATTTCATTATACATGGATAGGCATATCAGAATTATTAATCTCTACTTCTTTGGCAAACAACATTGACAACTAGAGTACAATGCTTACAGTTTCTTTTGGCTTTCATTTTACAGACGCCAATAATTTCCAAACTTACTTAGGTCAACATATCCCCTCCGCCCAACTTCTTTAGTGAGGTTGTTTCGTACACCATAATACAGCTAGATGGTTTTGTCACATTCTATATTTTATTGTGAGATTCCACTGACCTCCTAAGATTTTTAAAATTTGCACATATAAGGCATATAAGGTCCATTATTTGTGTTATAATTATATATATATATATATATATATATATATTTTTTTTTTTTTTTTTTTTTTTTTTTTTTTTTTTGAGAAAGCCCAGGCTGGAGTGCAGTGGCATGAACTCGGCTCATGACAACCTCTGCCTCCTGGGCTTAAGCAGTTCTTCTGCCTCAGCCTCCTGAGTAGCTGGAATTACAGGCACGAGCCACCACGCCAGGATAATTTTTGTATTTTTAGTAAAGAGGTGTTTCACCATGTTGGCCACACTGGTCTAGAACTCCTGACCGCAAGTAACTGCCTGCCTCAGCCTCCCAAAGTGCTGGGATTACAGGTATGAGCCACCGTGCCCAGCCTTATAAGGGTTTTGACAAATGTAGTGTCATGTATCTACCATATACAGAGTTTCACTACCCCCAAAAAATTCCTTGTACTTCACCTATTTAAATCTTCTCTTTCTCCAAACACCTGGAAAACATCTAATCATTTAATCTTTAATTATAAACTCCCGAGTCTGAACAAGATGTAATCAAAATGTAAAACACTTGCTAACAAAAAGTTCCATGTCTTTTTAAGACATTTAAAACTTAATTTAACAAAGTTTCCAAAGGGTTAAATATTTTGTGAGAGGTAGCCAAGAGGAAATGCATATCACCATTTGGAAACTTTTTTTTTTTTTCTTTTTGCTGTTGCTTTATTTTTATATTAGTTTTATTACAAAATTTTGTAGTAAACATAAAATATTTGTACATTTAAAAAAGTTCTGCTTTTTTTAACTGGTAGAATATCATGACATATTTAAATGCAGTTATAAATGATGAGTGGAAAACAATCAGTTCTAAGCACATTTCCATGTCATAGGTTTTTAATACAGCAGGAGCATTGTTTTTACTGTGATGATGGCCTCCGTTAGAATTTTTATATGTACATATTAGAGACAGTGTCTTGCTCTGTCACCCAGTCTGGAATACAGTGGCACAATCATAGCTTACTGGATCCTCAAACTCCTGGGTTCAAGAGACCCTTCCACTTTAGCATCCCGAGTAAAAGGGATTACAGATATGAGCCACTGTGCTCAGCTCAAAATTTGTATATGTGTTATTACTGGAAAAACAAACACTTTTTTTAAGTGGCACTCATAATAATATCAGATGTTTGCTCTTCAATGGAATGGATTTCCTAAAGTCTCATTTTGATTCCATAAGTTTTATGAAAAAAATCAAATGATTATTAGCATTAACTCATTTTCCACTTGAAGGATCTGATGACACAGATATGAAACTGGCAAAACGAGTTCTTTTCGTGTTTTGCTTCTGCTAATGGAGCCAACCTATTAACTGCTATCATTTGCTTTTCATACAAATACAAGAAAATGTGTAATGGAAAAATAAGCTAATTTAATACGGAAACAGTGTTATTTGATTAAGTAAACTATCGCAAGAACAAAAAACCAAACACCGCATATTCTCACTCACAGGTGGGAATTGAACAATGAGATCACATGGACACAGGAAGGGGAATATCACACTCTGGGGACTGTTGTGGGGTGGGGGGAGGGGGGAGGGATAGCATTGGGAGATATACCTAATGCTAGATGACGAGATAGTGGGTGCAGCGCACCAGCATGGCACATGTATACATATGTAACTAACCTGCACAATGTGTACATGTACCCTAAAACTTAAAGTATAATAATAAAAATAAATAAATAAATAAATAAAAGGGAAAAAAAGGAAAAAAAAAAAACTAATCCTGTTCTGGAGAAACCAGAATATATGATCACCTCACTTATCTTCTCAGAATCTCAAAATTTCTTTGTATTCTTTTGCCAATGTCCTCCTTCATCTCCCAACTTACCATTCTCAAGGACTATTACTTTACATTTTTCAACGTAAAAATTTTTCTTTTTGGAATTTACTTCTCTGTTTTTAAATATGTGCAAACTATTCTCATGTTTCTTTTAAAATTTTTAGACACTGTCTGTTAACTTCTTGTTATAGTAGATGAGAATTTTCTCTATCTTTTTTCTATTCTAATATAGTTAATGTTACGGTTTTTGGTTAAACCAGTTTTCAGTGTTTCCCTTATAAATGTGTGTGTACATGTAGTTTATTTTTTCTCTACTGCTGAACTCAAGCATTGTAGCATGATTAGTTTCCAGTCAGATCTTTTCTCTTTGAATTTGATAATTGCCTCCCCTCCACCATTGACCTGGTTTTCTTTAAATCAACAACTCTTCTTTCTGCCCCTTCTAACAGCTCTAGAAAATATCTCTGAATGTAATTTTGAAAGCAGTAAAATTTTTCAGATAATCTGCTAGTAACGGTATCACTGCTTTTATTTATTTTTTAATAAACGCATCCTTTTAGGAAACTTGCATCTTTCTGTGACATGATGGTTTTCAGTGTAGGCTTCCTGCACGACTCTCAACTTGGGACTTCTTTTTGACAAGTTTGTACAAATTTCTTTTACCACTTTCCTCTGTTGGGTCTTCTGTTTCCTGGATTCCTGGTCTCTGTCTTCCTTTATGACTTCATTTTAGCATGGTATACTTTTCAGTGGCTTCCTCAGAAAAAGTGCCTGAAAAGTTAAATTTTTGAGACATTTGATTTTTCCTCTCAACTGTAATACATTGTATCATTTTTTTCCAACATCCAGTGTTATTATTGTGAATTCAATGCCATTTATGTTCCTGGATTGGTGAAAATTACTAGTAAGAAACACCTTAATAACTATTGAGCATGTATATATTAATATGTGTGTAGTCTAGGTACTGCCTGGCTAGTGTTATAAGTAAAAAAAGAAACTAGTTTTGTTACTTGTTAATAAAAGAGTTCTAACAAATATATTTCTGAAAACCCAAGATATTTTATATTAACATTGTATGTACTTTTCTATGTCATAACATAACAAAACAACAACTAAAAATGTTGATACTTCTATCTTTCAATAAAGAAAAGTTTTCTGGGCTTTGGTCTTTCTTAGATAATATCAGACAATATATCAAACCCCTAGAATTTGATAACTGGATGTCATCTAGGTGATGACCTATCAATGTTTTTCTTATATTTATCAAAGATAACCCTTTTTTGGCCAAGCACAGTGCCTCACACCTGTAATCTCAGACCTGTAAGAGGCTGAGGTGGGAGGATTGCTTGAGGCCAGGAGTTCAAGACCAGCCTGGGCAACTTAGTAAGACCGCATCTGTAAAAAATTAAAAAATAAAAAAGTTAGCCAGGCATAGTGGTACACACTTGTAGTCCTAGCTAGTTGGGAGGCTGAGGCAGGAGGACTGCTTAAGCCCAGGAGGTCAAGGCTATAGTGAGCTATGGTGGTACCACTGTACTCTAGCCTGGATGGCACAGGGAAACCTCATCTCTATAAAACAAAGCAAAACAAAACAAAAAGACAATCCTTTTTTATTATATAGTAAACACTTAACATATTTCATTTATTTCTGAAAGACAATATTCATATAGGATTGTATTTTTCTTTTCAAAAAAATTTTGGCTATTCTCAAAAGAAAAGAGTAGCTTTATTGCTTAGTGTGTGCGTCTACACATATATACAGAAATATCATTTATATATGTGTGTATATATCTACATAAGTGCATACATCTGTGTAAATATGTATTTATGTGTAATGCATATATATAAATTTATGTGGATATAATAAAATGTGACTATAAAACTGACATTTGTTACATTTATTTAATTTTCCGCATTTACCCTCATAAAGATAACACTCAAATAGTCTTAATTTAGATTAAAAAGTGCATATAAATTAAATGTAGAAAAATATTTTAATTGTATTGTGATCCTCTCTTTACAAGTCATGGAAATTTAGGCAGCCTTAATTATTTTCCTCTGCTTTTTATTAAGAAGAATTATAATTGAAACAGCTACATTACAATACTTTTCCAAAGACTTTCAGGAAATGTAAGCCTTACTGGATTTGTAATTAAAAGGAAGTTTCTGGGTGACACCACCAAAATGGTAAATTAGGAAGCCCCAGAACCTCCTTCCACTACAGAGGCAATGACATAACAACAGAGGCACTGATGAACCAATTGTGAGAAATCTAGAAACAAGTTAAGCAGCTCCTGCACTCCAGATGAATGCAAAACCAGCTGCATTAAATACAGTAGAAAAAAATCTGTGGCACTCTCATATGGTTTGGATCTGTGTCCTTGCCATATCTCACGTTGAATTGTAATCCCCATGTTGGAGGTGGGGCCTGGTGGCAGGTGATTGGATCATGAGGGTGGATTTCTCATGAGTGGTTTAGCACCATCTGCTTGTGCTGCTCTTGTGATAGTGAATGAGTTCTTGTGAGATCTGCTTCTTTTATTATTATTATTATTATTATACTTTAAGTTTTAGGGTACATGTGCACAATGTGCAGGTTTGTTACATATGTATACATGTGCCATGTTGGTGTGCTGCACCCATTAACTCGTCATTTAGCATTAGGTATATCTCCTAATGCTATCCCTCCCCCCTCCCCCCACACCACAACAGTCCCTGGTGTGTGGTGTTCCCCTTCCTGTGTCCATGTGTTCTCACTGTTCAATTCCCACCTATGAGTGAGAACATGCGGTGTTTGGTTTTTTGTCCTTGCAATACTTTGCTGAGAATGATGGTTTCCAGTTTCATCCATGTCCCTACAAAGGACATGAACTCTTCATTTTTTATGGCTGCATAGTATTCCATGGTGTATATGTGCCACATTTTCTTAATCCAGTCTATCATTGTTGGACATTTGGGTTGGTTCCAAGTCTTTGCTATTGTGAATAGTGCCACAATAAACATATGTGTGCATGTGTCTTTATAGCAGCATGATTTATAATCCTTTGGGTATATATATCCAGCAATAGGATGGCTGGGTCAAATGGTGTTTCTAGTTCTAGATCCCTGAGGAATCGCCACACTGACTTCCACAATGGTTGAACTAGTTGACAGTCCCACCAACAGTGTAAAAGTGTTCCTATTTCTCCACATCCTCTCCAGCACCTGTTGTTTCCTGACTTTTTAATGATCACCATTCTAACTGGTGTGAGATGGTATCTCATTGTGATTTTGATTTGCATTTCTCTGATTGTCAGTGATGATGACCATTTTTTCATGTGTTTTTTGGCTGCATAAATGTCTTCTTTTGACAAGTGTCTGTTCATATCCTTCGCCCACTTGTGGATGGGGTTGTTTGTTTTTTTTCTTGTAAATTTGTTTGAGTTCTTTGTAGATTCTGGATATTAGCCTTTTGTCACATAAGTAGGTTGCAAAAATTTTCTCCCATTTTGTAGGTTGCCTGTTCACTCTGACGGTAGTTTCTTTTGCTGTGCAGAAGCTCTTTAGTTTAGTTAGATCCCATTTGTCAATTTTGGCTTCTGTTGCCATTGCTTTTGGTGTTTTAGACATGAAGTCCTTGCCTATGCCTATGTCCTGAATGGTATTGCCTAGGTTTTCTTCTAGGGTTTTTATGGTTTTAGGTCTAATGTTTAAGTCTTTAATCCATCTTGAATTAATTTTTGTATAAGGTGTAATGAAGGGATCCAGTTTCAGCTTTCTACATATGGCTAACCAGTTTTCCCAGCACCATTTATTAAATAGGGAATCCTTTCCTCATTGCTTGTTTTTCTCAGGTTTGTCAAAGATCAGATGGTTGTAGATATGTGGCATTATTTCTGAGGGCTCTGTTCTGTTCCATTGATCTATAACTCTATTTTGGTACCAGTACCATGCTGTTTTGGTTACTGTAGCCTTGTAGTATAGTTTGCAGTCAGGTAGCGTGATGCCTCCAGCTTTGTTCTTTTGGCTTAGGATTGACTTGGCGATGCAGGCTCTTTTTTGGTTCCATATGAACTTTAAAGTAGTTTCTTCCAATTCTGTGAAGAAAGTCCTTGGTAGCTTGATGGGGATGGCATTGAATCTATAAATTACCTTGGGCAGTATGGCCATTTTCATGATATTGATTCTTCCTACCCATGAGCATGGAATGTTCTTCCATTTGTTTGTATCCTCTTTTATTTCATTGAGCAGTGGTTTGTAGTTCTCCTTGAAGAAGTCCTTCAAGTCCTTTGTAAGTTGGATTCCTAGGTATTTGATTCTCTTTGAAGCAATTGTGAATGGGAGTTCACTCATGATTTGGCTCTCTGTTTGTCTGTTATTGGTGTATAAGAATGCTTGTGATTTTTGTACATTGATTTTGTATCCTGAGACTTTGCTAAAGTTGCTTATCAGCTTAAGGAGATTTTGGGCTGAGACAATGGGGTTTTCTAGATATACAATCATGTCATCTGCAAACAGGGACAATTTGACTTCCTCTTTTCCTAATTGAAACCCCTTTATTTCCTTCTCCTGCCTAATTGCCCTGGCCAGAACTTCTGACACTATGTTGAATAGGAGTGAGGAGAGGGGGCATCCCTGTCTTGTGCCAGTTTTCAAAGGGAATGCTTCCAGTTTTTGCCCATTCAGGATGATATTGACTGTGGGTTTGTCATAGATAGCTCTTATTATTTTGAGATATGTCCCATCAATACCTAATTTATTGAGAGTTTTTAGCATGAAGCATTGTTGAATTTTGTCAAAGGCCTTTTCTGCATCTATTGAGATAATCATGTGGTTTTTGTCTTTGGCTCTGTTTACGTGCTGGATTACATTTATTGATTTGCATATGTTGAACCAGCCTTGCATCCCAGGGATGAAGCCCACTTGATCATGGTGGATAAGCTTTTTGATGTGCTGCTGGATTCGGTTTGCCAGTATTTTATTGAGGATTTTTGCATCAATGTTCATAAAGGATATTCGTCTAAAATTCTCTTTTTTTGTTGTGTCTCTGCCCGGCTTTGGTATCAGGATGATGCTGGCCTCATAAAATGAGTTAGGGAGGATTCCTTCTTTTTCTATTGATTGGAATAGTTTCAGAAGGAATGGTACCAGTTCCTCCTTGTACCTCTGGTAGAATTCGGCTGTGAATCCATCTGGTCCTGGACTTTTTTTGGTTGGTAAGCTATTGATTATTGTCATAATTTCAGATCCTGTTATTGGTCTATTCAGAGATTCAACTTCTTCCTGATTTAGTCTTGGGAGGATGTATGTGTCGAGGAATTTATCCATTTCTTCTAGATTTTCTAGTTTATTTGCATAGAGGTATTTGTAGTATTCTCTGATGGTAGTTTGTACTTCTGTGGGATCGGTGGTGATATGCCCTTTATCATTTTTTATTGCGTCTATGTGATTCTTCTCTGTTTTCTTCTTTATTAGTCTTGCTAGCGGTCTATCAATTTTTTTGATCGTTTCAAAAAACCAGCTCCTGGATTCATTAATTTTTTGAAGGTTTTTTTGTGTCTCTATTTCCTTCAGTTCTGCTCTGATTTTAGTTATTTCTTGCCTTCTGCTAGGTTTTGAATGTATTTGCTATTGCTTTTCTAGTTCTTTTAATTGCGATGTTAGGGTGTCAATTTTGGATCTTCCCCACTTTCTCTTGTGGGCATTTCGTGCTATAAATTTCCCTCTATGCACTGCTTTGAATGTGTCCCAGAGATTCTGGTATGTTGTGTCTTTGTTCTCGTTGGTTTCAAAGAACATCTTTATTTCTGCCTTCATTTCATTATGTACCCAGTAGTCATTCAGGAGCAGGTTGTTCAGTTTCCATGTAGTTGAGTGGTTTTGAGTGAGTTTCTTAGTCCTGAGTTCTAGTTTGATTGCACTGTGGTCTGAGAGACAGTTTGTTATAATTTCTGTTCTTTTACATTTGCTGAGGAGTGCTTTACTTCCAACTATGTGGTCAATTTTGGAATAGGTGTGGTGTGGTGCTGAAAAAAATGTATATTCTGTTGATTTGGGGTGGAGAGTTCTGTAGTTGTCTATTAGGTCTGCTTGGTGCAGAGCTGAGTTCAATTCCTGGGTATCCTTGTTAACTTTCTGTCTCGTTGATCTGTCTAATGTTGACAGTGGGGTGTTAAAGTCTCCCATTATTATTGTGTGGGAGTCTAAATCTCTTTGTAGGTCACTCAGGACTTGCTTTATGAATCTGGGTGCTCCTGTATTGGGTGCATATATATTTAGGATAGTTAGCTCTTCTTATTGAATTGATCCCTTTACCATTATGTAATGGCCTTCTTTGTCTCTTTTGATCTTTTTTGGTTTAAAGTCTGTTTTATCAGAGACTAGGATTGCAACCCCTGCCTTTTTTTGTTTTCCATTTGCTTGGTAGATCTTCCTCCATCCCTTTATTTTGAGCCTATGTGTGTCTCTGCATGTGAGATGGGTTTCCTGAATACAGCACACTGATGGGTCTTGACTCTTTATCTAATTTGCCAGTCTGTGTCTTTTAATTGGAGCATTTAGTCCATTTATGTTTAAAGTTAATATTGTTATGTGTGTATTTGGTCCTGTCATTATGATGTTAGCTGGTTATTTTGCTCGTTAGTTGATGCAGTTTCTTCCTAGCCTTGATGGTCTTTACAGTTTGGCATGATTTTGCAGTGGCGGGTACCGGTTGTTCTTTTCCATGTTTAGTGCTTCCTTCAGGAGCTTTTTTAGGGCAGGCCTGTTGTTGACAAAATCTCTCAGCATTTGCTGAGAGAGTAAAGTATTTTATTTCTCCTTCACTTATGAAGCTTAGTTTGGCTGGATATGAAATTCTGGGTTGAAAATTCTTTTCTTTAAGAATGTTGAATATTGGCCCCCACTCTCTTCTGGCTTGTAGAGTTTCTGCCGAGAGATCCGCTGTTAGTCTGATGGGCTTCCCTTTGTGGGTAACCCAACCTTTCCCTCTGGCTGCCCTTAACATTTTTTCCTTCATTTCAACTTTGGTGAATCTGACAATTATGTGTCTGGGAGTTGCTCTTCTCGAGGAGTATCTTTGTGGTGTTCTCTGTATTTCCTGAATCTGAATGTTGGCCTGTCTTGCTAGATTGGGGAAGTTCTCCTGGATAATATCCTGCAGAGTGTTTTCCAACTTGGTTCCATTCTCCTCGTCACTTTCAGGTACACCAATCAGATGTAGATTTGGTCTTTTCACATAGTCCCATATTTCTTGGAGGCTTTGTTCATTTCTTTTTATTCTTTTTTCTCTAAACTTCCCTTCTCACTTCATTTCATTCATTTCGTCTTCCATCACTGATACCCTTTCTTCCAATTGATCACATCAGCTCCTGAGGCTTCTGCATTCTTCATGTAGTTCTCGAGTCTTGGCTTTCAGCTCCATCAGCTCCTTTAAGGACTTCTCTGCATTGGTTATTCCAGTTATCCATTTGTCTAATTTTTTTTCACAGTTTTTAACTTCTTTGCCATTGGTTTGAATTTCCTCCTGTAGCTCGGAGTAGTTTGATCATCTGAAGCCTTCTTCTCTCAGCTCGTCAAAATCATACTGTGTCCAGCTTTATTCTGTTGCTGGTGAGGAGCTGCGTTCCTTTGGAGGAGGAGAGGTGCTCTGCTTTTTAGAGTTTCCAGTTTTTCTGCTCTGTTTTTTCCCCATCTTTGTGGTTTTATCTACTTTTGGTTTTTGATGATGGTGACGTAGAGAAGGGTTTTTGGTGTGGATGTCCTTTCTGCTTGTTAATTTTTCTTCTAACAGGCAGGACTCTTAGCTGCAGGTCTGTTGGAGTTTGCTAGAGGTCCACTCCAGACCCTGTTTGCCTGGGTGTCAGCAGCGGTGGCTGCATAACAGCGGTGGCTGTAGAACAGCGGATCTTGGTGAACCGCAAATGCTGCTGCCTGATCGTTCCTCTGGAAGTTTTGTCTCAGAGGAGTACCCGGCCGTGTGAGGTTTCAGTCTGCTCCTACTGGGGGATGCCTCCCAGTTAGGCTGCTCGGGGGTCAAGGACCCACTTGAGGAGGCAGTCTGCCCATTCTCAGATCTCAAGCTGCATGCTGGGAGAACCACTACTCTCTTCAAAGCTGTCAGACAGGGACATTTAAGTCTGCAGAGGTTACTGCTGTCTTTTTGTTTGTCTGTGCCCTGCCCCCAGAGGTGGAGCCTACAGAGGCAGGCAGGCCTCCTTGAGCTGTGGTGGGCTCTACCCAGTTCCAGCTTCCTGGCTGCTTTGTTTACCTAATCAAGCCTGGGCAATGGCAGGCGCCCCTCCCCCAGCCTCACTGCTGCCTTGCAGTTTGATCTCAGACTGCTGTGCTAGCAATCAGCGAGACTCCGTGGGCGTAGGACCCTCTGAGCCAGGTGCAGGATATAATCTCCTGGCGTGCCATTTTTTAAGCCCGTCAGAAAAACACAGTATTAGGGTGGGAATGACCCGATTTTCCAGGTGCCATCTGTCACCCCTTTCTTCGACTAGGAAAGGGAACTCCCTGACCCCTTGCACTTCCCGAGTGAGGCAATGCCTCGCCCTGCTTTGGCTCACGCATGGTGCGCTGCACCCACTGTCCTGCACCCACTGTCTGGCACTCCCTAGTGAGATGAACCCGGTACCTCAGTTGGAAATGCAGAAATCACCCATCTTCTGTGTCGCTCACGCTGGGAGCTGTAGACCGGAGCTGTTCCTATTCAGCCATCTTGGCTCCACCCTGAGATCTGCTTCTTTAAGAAGTGTAGTACTTGTCCTCTAGCTCTCTCTCTTGCTCCTGCTCAGGCCATATGACTGTGTCTGCTCCTCCTTTGCCTTCTGCCATGATTGTTAGTTTCCTTAGGCTTCCAATCACCAATCAGATGCCAGTATTATGCTTCCTGTACAGCCTGCAGAAGTGTGAGACAATTGAATCACTTTTCTTTATAAATTACAGATATTTCTTTATAGCAATGCGAGAATGAATTAACACATACTCATTGGCCATAGTTCCTCCCCTGGCTCAGTGTGGCACAATCAGGAGAAAAGCATTCATCTCCTGGCTTCTTTCTGGGGAGGGAAAAAGAAGACTTAAACATACATTCAAGGATTAGACATTTTAGGTGGCTACCCATAGGACTGGTTTCTGTCTTGCCTGAATCTAAATGCTGACAAGAAAGAGCATCAGACTAAGGCTTCTGAGAACTAAGGCAATGGTTTGGACTACTATACACTTGCCATAATTCTTCACTCCACTTAGCATGAAATGAGCTGGAGCAAATTCCAACGCCTGGCTGCTTTAAGAACAAAAAAAAGAGTGCTTCCAATGTTCTGACTTTTCAGGAGACTTCCTGAGGTACTAGTTTCTGTCTCACCTATCTCCAGATTACTGATGGAACCTGACATATTCTAGAAGCCTACAGGCTTCTGAGACCAAAAAGAGATTGGGCAGCTTGTAGCAGGTTAGAGAACTTACAAAACCCCACACAGACATGAGAATGAGCAAGAGATTATGAGCCCCTGAAAAAAGAAACTGGCAAATCCCTCCAATTGGGAATTTACATGCAAAAATCCAGAGAAGATTACATACGCAGAAAGGGTTTGAGAAGCTTTCAGAATCTCTAGCCAGGATGACTGGAAAAAGTCTTTCTTTGTACAAAAGCAACCCATAAGCACTGAAAAAGTGGCTTTTTTTTTTCAGATACACAGATCCCAACTCAAAGTTACAAAGCACATGAAGAAACAGGGAAATGTGTAATCAAAGAAACAGCATAAATCTCTAGAAAGTCACCTGAAAGAAATGGAGGTATATATATATTACCTGACAAATAATTCAAAATACCATGTTAAAGTTGCTCAATGAGGCAGGAACAAAATGAGAGTATCAGCATACAGATGGAAAATACAGAAAAGAGCCAAGCAGAAATCTTGGGGCCAAATAATGTAATAACTGTACTAAAAAATGAACTAGAGGGGATCAACAGCAGACTTGATTGAGCAGAAGAAAGAATCACCTATCTTGAAGGCAGATCATTTGAAAGTATTTAGTCAGAGGAGGAAAAAGAAAAAAGGAATAAAAAGAGTAAGGAAAGCCTAAGGTACCTATGAGACAAACATCAAATAGACCTATATATATTATTGGAGTTATAGAAAAAGAAGAGAGAGAGAAAAAGGAAGAAAACCTATTTGAAGAAATAATGACTAAAAACCTTTCAAATCTGGGGATGAAGATAGATGTCCAGATTCTGGATCCCAGTGCATTTCAACTAGGATAAACCTAAAGAAGTCTACACTGAGACACATTATAATCAAATTGCCAAAAGTCAAAGACAAAGAGGGAATTCTGAAAGCAGCAAGATAAAAGTGGATCATCACATGCAAGGTATCCTTCGTAAGACCATTAGCAAATTCCTCAGCCAACACAATGTAGGCCAGGAGGGAGTAGACTAAGACATTCAAAGTGCTGAAGAAAAAACTGCCAACCAAGAATGTTATACTGCATGAAATGGTCCTTCATAAATGAAGGAGAGATAAAGATGTTACCAGGCAAACAAAAGTTCAGAGAGTTTATCACTGCTCTAGACCCGCCTTATAAGAAATGCTATGAGAGTCCTTTGAATTGAAACAGAAGGATGCTGGACATCAACACAAAAAGATATAAAAGTACAAAGCTTACTGGTAAAGGTAAATATATAGATAAACACAGAATAATTCTGAAATAGTGGTGCATTAAGCACTTTTAATTCTGGTGTAGCAGTTAAAAGACAAAATTATTTAGAAAACTAATTATGAAAATATTTTAATGGATATACAATATAAAAAGATATAATTGTGACATCAATAACACAAAATGTGTGGAGGAATAGAAGTAAAAAAGTAAAGTTTTGTATGCAAGTGAGGTTAACTTTTTATCAGCACAAAGTAGATTGTTATAACTATAAGGTATTTTATTTAAATCTGATAATCATAAAGAAAATTTTTATTGAAGATACACAAAAGAAAATGAGAAATAAATCAAAATATGTCATTACTCACAAAAAATCCCTGCAAAAGAAGACAAGAAAGGAAAAGAAGGATGAAAAAGCTACGAGACATACACTAAATACTAGACAAAATGGCGGTGTTAAGTACTTCCCTATCAGTAATTACTTTGAGTATAAATTGATTACATTCCTCAGTCAAAAGCCATAGAGTGCCTGAGTAGATAAAAAATAAGATCCAACCATATACTGTCTACAAGAGACTTACTACAGATATAAGAACACACAGAGGCTGAAATTGGAAGGATGGAAAAAATATTCCAAGGAAATGGTAACCAAAGGAGTGCAGGGTATCTGTACTTATATCAGAAAAAATAAACTAAATTAAAAACTATAAATAACAAAGATGGACATTATACAATGACAAAAAGTCAAATCACCAAGAATTTATAACAATTATAAATGTGTATGCACCCAACATTAGAATACCCAAATATATGAAGCAAACATTGCTAGAGCTGAAAGGAAAAATAGCAACACAATTGTAGTAGGAGATTTCCCATTTTCAATCATGGATAGAACATCCAGAGAGAAGATTAATAAGGAAACAAAAGACTTCAACAACAATAGAGACCAACCCAACAGCAGGAGAATACACTTTCTCTTCAAGAGTACAGGGAACATTCTCAAGAATTGATTGTGTTAGGTCAAAATACAAGTCTTAACAAATTTAAAAGCATTTATGTAACACCAAGTGCCTTTACTCAATGCAATGGAATGAAACTAGAAATTAATAGAAAAAGGAAAACTGGAAAATTCAAAAATTTGTGTAAATTAAACAATACAACCTTGAAAACTAATGGTCAAAGTGTAATTTCTAAGATTAATTAGAAATATATCGAGATATAAATGAAAACACAGCATAACAAAACATGGAGTGCAGCAAAAGCAGTACTGAGTTATAAATGCCTACACTGAAAGAGAACAAAGATCTCAAGTACACAATCTAATTTTACACTTTATTACCATTTGACCTAGCAATCCCATTACTGGGTATATACCCAGAGGAATATAAGTCATTCTCCCATAAAGACACATGTACATGAATGTTCATTGCAGCACTATTCACAATAGCAAATACATAGAATCAACCTAAATGCCCATCAATTACAGATTGGGTAAACAAAATGTGGTACATATACACCATGGAATACTATGCAGCCATAAAAAAGAGCGAGATCATGTCTTTTATGGGAACATGGATGGAGTTGGAAGCTATTATCCTTAGCAAACTAATGCAGTAACAGAAAACTACTGCATGTTCTCACTTATAAGTGGGAGCTAAATGATAAGAACTTATGAACACAAAGAAGGAAACAACAGACACTGGTGTCTCCTTGAGGAGGGAGTTCTGGAGGAGGGAGAGGAATAGAAAAGATAACCATTGGGTTCTTGGCTTAACACCTGGGTGATAAATAGTCTGTACAACAAACCCCCCATGACAGGTGTTTACCTATGTAACAAACATTCACATGTACCCCAAACCTAAAATAAAAGTTTAAAAAATCTAGAAAGGGACAAACTAAATAGAAAGTTGGCAGAAGGAAGAAAACAATGAAGATTAGAGCAAAAATGAAATACAGAATAGTAAAACAATAGAAAAAATGAATGAAACTTAAGTTGGTAAAAAAGACGAAGATTGACAATTCTTTGGGCTAATTAAGAAAAAAGAAGACTCAAGTAAATAAAATCAGAAATGAAGAGGAGACATTACTATTAATACCACAGAAATAAAAAGGATTATAAGAGACCACTATGAATAGTTATATGCCAACACACTGAATAACCTAGAAGAAATAGATAAATTTCTAGACTCTTACCATCTATCATGATTGAATCATGAAGAAACAGAAATTCTGAACATATCTATAACTGGTAAGTGATTGAATCAGTAATCAAAAATTCCCTACAAAGAAAAGCCCCAAAATCAAATGGCTTCATTAGTGAATTCTACCAAACATTTAAAAAATAATTAATGCTGATCCTTCTATAACTTTTCCAAAAAGTTGAAGAGGAGGGAACACTCCCAACCTCATGAGGCCAACATTACCCTGATATCAAACTCATACAAAGACACCATAAGATGACCAAATCCCCATAAAATACTAGCAAACCAAGAAATAAAATACACCATGTCAAATGGTATTAATGCCTGTGACATAAGGATGGTTCAGCATATGAAAATCAATCAATGTGATAAAATACATGAACAGAACAAAGGATAGAAACCACAAGACCATCTCAGCAGATGCAGAAATGCATTTAATATAAATCAATACTGTTTAATGATTTAAAAAACTCAACAAACTAGGGAATAGAAAAAAAATACCAATACATAAAACAGGGCAGAAGTAAAAGGCTCACAGCTACTCATTAATGAAAAACTGAAAGCTTTTCCTCTAAGATCATGAAAGAAGCAATTATGTCCTCTCTTGTTACTTCTATTCAACATAATATTGGAAATCTGAGCCAGAGAAATTAGGCAGGAAAAAAAGAGGCATCCAAATCAGAAAGGAAGAAGTAAAATTGTCTCTGTTTATAGGTTACATAATATAATTTGTAGAAAATCTCTTAACCCCTTATCAGATATATAGTTTGCAAATATTTTCTTCCACTCCATAGGTTGTCTTTTCAATGTTTTTTGAGTTTACTGATTCTTTGTTCTCCTTCATCTAGTCTTCTAGTGAATCCTTCTAGTGAATTTTTCAGTGTAGTTACTGTATTCTTTTACTCAAAGATTTCTGTTTAGCACTTTAAAAATACTTTCTAGCTCTACGTTGAAATTCTCATTTTGCTTATACATTTTTCTCCTGAGCTCATTGAGGATATTTATATGGTTAATTTGAATTATCTGTTAGATAAATCATACATCTCTGTTTTATTAGAGTTGGTTTCTGATGCTTTATATATTGTTCCTTTGTTCTGGCTGTATTTTCTTGTTTCTTCGTTTTCCTTGACTTTTTGTGTTGGCATCTGCATATTAGGAAAAATAGACATCCCTACCAGTCTTCACAGACTGGCCTTGTATGGGAGAAGACCCTCACCAGTCAGCCCAGCCAGAGATACTGGGGGCCTCTCAAATGTCTCTGTATGCATTTTATCTGAAGTTGTGTTATCCAAATTAGCTGGATTTGCCAGCTTTTTTTTTTTCCTTCCGGCGTTTGTAATCTCTTGCTCCCTCTGGTGTTCTTTGCTGTATGGGTCTTCTGGGGCAGCAGCACGCCCCAAGCTCTTTTTCTGTGGTTGTTCTCAACAGTCCTTCCTAAGGCACCTAGAGTATACTGGGTCCTGTGGGTATTCTGAGACAGGTGAGAAAAACAAACAAACAAACAAACAAACAACAACAACAACAACAACAAAAACCATCCCTCAGGCAGTCCCTGGAAAATTTGGAATGATGAATGAACAATTCAACTCTTTCTCTCTCCAGGGAGAAGTTGGGATTTGAGGGTTTTGCCCCACTGACTCAGGACTGAGCCAGAGGGAGGGCATATGGAAAGTATGTGCATGCAAGTCCAACCTGCTGCTTTTGTTCTCAGTGGCTTCCAACTGGGGACCTTTCCTGACAGCATTCAGATTCAGCCAGGCAGAAATAAACCTTGGGCAGCACCCAGAAAAGTCATAACTTTTGAAGTATGGTCCAGTCCTTTTCTTATCTCCCCAGGTAGAAAATTGGGAACTGGTTTTGTTATTGTTGTTGTTGATCATGTGGTTGAGAGGAGGAACCTTGAATTTTTCCACCATCTTCAGTTAGGCTCGTGTTGCTCTTGCCTGTGGTTTAGGAGCCCCTCAGTTCGTTTCTGGACTTCTCATACAGGGAATTGGTCCATGTATTGTTATTGTTGAATTTGTCTGTCTATGGGGAGGAGGAAGATAAAATGCTTCATATTCCCCCATCTTTCTGATGTCCCTCTTTTTTGCCTTTAATTTAAAATTATTTATTAATTTGCTACTGTGTGCTGGAGATTGCACTGAACTCTGGAGACTCTGAGCTTAAGTTTCATTATACAACTTCCATGGTGTTTTATTCTTGTACTCCTGATTTTTTCTCTTTATGTATTGGTTTTCAGGATAATTATTTGTTTATTTAGCATCTTCCTACGGTAAACATTGGCTCCTTTTCCTTTTTTGTTGTTAAAGCATCCAAGATTTTAACATATTAGATACATTTCAAATTATTGCAGTCAATATTCCTATCCATGCTCAATTTATTTCATTTGTGAGCTGTGGTAACCCTTTGAAGTTAGCTCCTGGATCCTTTTTACTGATATAATCCTAGAAAGCATCAAGAGCCAAGACAAGGTCTGTTATTTCACTGCCCTTCTCCCATTTGTTCTCCTCTTCTCTGTCTATCTGCTGAATAGGCTCCCACAGGGATGGGATGGGGTGCTTGGGGACTTCGAGAGAGTAACAAAAGTTTTACCACTTAACTATCATTGTCACTGATGTCTTTGTAGACCGCAGACTGCCGATGTTAATTCTTTGGAGTGCCACAGAGACTTCTTCACCATCCTGGCAGTATATCTGAGGTCCCTAATAGTGAGGTCCTCTGGTTGTTCTCTTGTGGGGCACCTTTAAGACCACAACACCTTTTTAAAATAACTTCTAGTGAAGGCCCTCTTCTGCTGCCCTCTCTCCTTGTTCCTGCTTTTGCCACCTGCTCAAGTCAGCTACAAGGAATATGTGTCAGGTTCTCCCAAAAGCTCTCTTACCACAGTCTCCTCTGCATCTGGCAGGGCCAAGGTCCATATATTCTATGCTAATCAGACAGAGAAGGGAATGTCAATCGCCTCTTCCTTTAGGCACTCCTAATCTCTATAACTGGTTCTCTTGGACTCTCTCCTTAATTAGACTGAAGTGAGGAAATGGAGGGGGAAACCCATTACACTCTTCTGTCTCGGCTGACAGCTCACACCTCAGTTCAGTTCTGCAGTACATTAACCTCCTTTAGCATTGCTTTCTTTTAAAATAAGCTGGACATGGGTAAATGGGGGTGAAGGGATCAGGTCTGATTCTGATTTCTTTTAATAAGCCCACAGTGGACATTTGGCAAGTCCTTGGTATTCTCTTTAAAGCAAAGTTTCTTTGAACATTTATCCCAAATTCCCAGACCACAGGAACGTCTAATTCAAAATCCTATTTCCTAAATTTTTGATTTTTTCTTTATTTCTTAAAATATTTATTTTCTTAGAAAAACTATATATCATCTTGGCTTTTTGCTTCGTAATCATTTTATGGAGTTATTTAGTGGGTGTAGTATATTTTTGTTTCAGCTCTTCACAATTGGATCTTAATAGCCATGACATAAGGAACTTAAAATTTTGCTGAGGTAAGAATTTGGACTGAACAAGTCTGGGTCTGGGTCCAAAGCCGCTTTTATCTCATTGTGGCTTTGTTGTTCTCTACTTGTCAACAGTAACTTTGTAAGTGATGAAATGTGTGTTTCTTTGAGCAAAATGGCCATTAAGTGAGTTAAAACTTTAGCACAGTTTGAAAAGGCAGCAAAATTGCTGGACAAGAATGTGCTGGGAATCACAGGGCTTTTTACTGAGGTATGATTTAGAGGAAAGCTGAGCTAATAGCTCAGTATTTATCATTCTGAAGAATAATGAATGCCTCACAATATAACCAGAACAAAAGTCAATGCACTAACTATGCTATATCATACATATGTTTATTTTTTTAAGTCTCTTTTATGTTTGTTGTTACAGTCTCTTACATTTGTGTGTGCATGCTTTCTTTTTTATTTCTTAATATTAGTTTTCAGGGGTATACATAACTTTTCCTAGGAATCAGCTCTCAGTTTACTGATTTACCAATTTCTGCATTTTTCATCAAATTCTTCCAGATGTTTGCTTGTTTTGCTCACTTCTGTCTTTCAAATCGCTTTTCAAATGTCACCTGTTCAGATAAACCCCTGTGACTATTTTATCTAAAATAGCTATTTCCTCCTATCCTATTTACATCTCTGACTCCTTATCCTGCTATATGTTTCTTTACATTGATTTCTATATAATTGTTATATAAGAACTTGTTTACTTTTTACTTATGTTTACTTATTTACTTATTTATTGCTTACTAAAATGTAAGTTCCCTGTATCCTCAGTGCCTAAACCAATGTCTGGAACATTTTAGACTTTGTCAAAATATTTGCTGAATAAATGATTGAATAAAGAGTAAATGATTTTACTCATCCTGTTTTCTTAAATGTTTTTCCCCTCACCATTTGGAGTTGAATTATGAGTTCATTTACTTCCATTTTTATTTAATAACCAGACATTTAATTTAAAAAATATTTTATGATTGCAGTTTTTATTTTTCTGTTCATCCTAGAGTTATTGAGCAAGGCAATTCTACATTTACAAGCGATTAGGGAGTTTCTGTTTAAAATTTTTGTTGTTAATTACCAGTTTTCATTTTCAGTCAGAGAATGTGAGCTGTAAAATATATTGTTTCTTGGCATTTATTGAGATTATCTTCATGAACAGCTACATGATAACATTTTCAAAATGTTCTCTGTAGAATAAAGTTTACTCTGTCTAATAAAAAATCTTACTAATTGTACTATTGAAATCCTTGTAAGACCTTGGTCAGTCTTTGTTCTGTAAAAGAGAGTTTTAAATTCTCACAACAAAAATAATTTTTCTATCAGTGTTTGACATCTACTGCCAGCAAAGAAGTTCATGACTGATTTATCTTCATTGTAATTTAAATTGCTTATCAGCAGAAATGACTATCTTTTTAATAGTTTACTAAATTCAATTTTACTTTGTTTGAAATTAATATTACTAGTAGCTTTCCTTTGGTCTGATTTTGCCTAGTCAATCTTTCTGTTTCCTTTTGTTTTTAGCATTTTGGTGTCCTTGTGTTATGTGTGAGTTTTGAAGCTGAACATTGTTAAATTTTGTTTTAATAGGTGAGTTCAGTTATTTTATTTTTTGTCCAAATTCTTTTGAGTGATCTTATTTCTTTCATCTTTCTTTTTTTAATTTAAAATGTTTCTTTGCTGTTGCATTATTTTTTTCTTTGCTTCTCCTTTCACTTTTTCTAGTGATTGAAAGATAAACATCTTGTTTTATCTTCTTCAAATGGAAATTACTTTAATGTTAAAACTAAACTTTTTCTAGTTTAATATATTTAAAAATAAGACTTTTTGAGTCTAAATAAAATGAATGTTTTGGCATATATTTTTCTATTACTTTTTCTTGATTCTCCAAAGTAATCTAGATTTCTGAATGTTAATTATTATTTTTATTTCGTTACAGATTTCAACTTTGTTTCTTTTTCATGCCTCAGTTTTGTTTTTAATTTGGGCATATATTAAAATTTAATTTTAATATATGGCAAAGACAGTAGTTAGCAAATTGAACATCAGTATTCGTTATCCTCAGCTCTTTAAAAAAAATACCTCTCCTTCATACATACAAATACATTCTGAGTTTTAATTGGTCATGTGTCCACTCAATTAGAGACTGTAGTTTCTAATCTCCCTGCAGCTAGATGAGATCATGTGACTAAGTGTTGCTCCATTGGATGTGAGCAAAGCAACGTGTGCAATTTCCAGATCAATTTTATGTAAAGAAATTGATTGTTTTTTACCCCCTCTTTTTCCCAGTTTCCATGGCCTAGAATATGGACATGATTGTCCATGCGAGCTCTCACCATATTCATGAGGATAACACTCTAAGAGATGGCAGAGCAATTATACCAAAGGAATTGGGGTTTCCATATGACCTAATGGATTGTCTGCCTCCCACCAGGGACTGGCTTCCTACCTCTAAACTCTTGTAAGAGAAAGTAAGCTGCAGTCTTGTTTCAGCCCCTGTATTTTGCAGCCTTTTGTTTTAGCTTCTTAACCTTTTCTCTAACTAATACATCATATTTGCAGATATTTAATATTTTTAATTGCTTGACATAGTCCCTCATTGTTACTTTTGGTTTTGCTCTCAATATTCTGATAACAAATTTTGTTTAATTTCAGGTAGATACACTTGGGTAGTTATATTCCCTGAGCCATTTGTCCACGTTATCTTGTCTGGGTATAAAATAAGTACCACATCTTTTATTTCCCCCAGTTCTGAATACAGTTCTGGTATTCTGGGTTGAATAAGGCAGGCCTGACTTTTTTCAATTCTCCAAAACTATTTTTGTTGTCTTCCTGAATTTTTACAAAATCTTATGTCAGACTAAAAAATTTATACAGTTTATATTTAATTTAGCCTACTTTATATTAATTTTGTCTAGAATTTGGTAACCCTTTTTGATATATCAATGTCTGTGCTTTGATTTTTTTCACTTAGGACATTATATTTTTCCTTTCTAATATCTCTTTGATGATTGCTTCTCTATTCTTATTTCTTTCTCAGTGGTGATTATTCACATGTTGAATTTTCTCTTTCACTGTATTTATGATTTTCTTAGAGAACTTCTCTAGGTTGTTACTGATTACATTATTTGCAGTCTTAGTTCTGTCCTTTACATGTTCCAATGCATATTTTAATTATTCTATTTTTTTTGTGCTTCTTTGGGATTTCTCTGTATTTTTACTTTCTTATGCCAGATCAATTTTCATCTTATGTTTTATCTTTTACTTCACTGAGTCCATGATTACTTATATTTCATTGATATAATAAAACCAAAGAGAAAATAAGCTTTTATTTTACTTATTGGATAAATATTATTTAGAGATAGATATCTCTCTATATTTTCAGGGAAATAGCTATGTTATTACTTACATATCACAGAGGGGTTTTTTTTTTAATTTTTAAAGATCCCTTTTTCCCCATTTCTGTATGATTTATCAAACTTGAACAAGAAATTATTTTTCTGGTCCTGGTATTTGTAAAGTAATGTGATAGTTTAATTCTCTTTCAGTTTATATATTATCTATGCCTTTATTGCTAGAATTCCCTTATGAACTCTTAAGTTTCTAACCAAGTTTGTGAGCACAACCTCTAACAAATTTCTGGTATATAGCAGACATTCATTTAGGGCGGCTTTGTTATACAGAGTGAGATTTTTTTTTTCTCTGAGTTTTTGGTTCTTAAAGTGTGAAGAAGTAAATTTATTTTTGGATATTTTGAAATTTGAATAATATGTTAGAGATAGTTCATTACCAGTACCATCTCTAGAGAGCCTGCTTCACTCTGCTCTTACTGAAGGCTGAACTTGCCATCAAGTCCTCTATGCACCACTACCTATCCTCTACTTAGTATTCAGCACTAGAAGTTGTTGCTTCCTTAATGAATGGATGTAGAGAGGCAAAGATGAATGTAATGAAACAATCTGCATTATTAAGTACCTAAGTGATGTGTTATGACCTTTTTCAATTCTTTCCCATAAAACTGAATTGCCATTTGAGAGGTCTTGTCAATGATTAAACCTACGGAAAGCATAATTGGGGGTAGACGATTGATTAATAATTGTTTTTTTTACAAGTTTCTATTGCTCTTATCATTTTTCTCTTTTTTCTTTTTCTTTTTCTTGGCAGATCAGAAAATATGTGTCAGTTTCAGTTAGTTAGCATCATTGTAACCTAAATGTTGTAGTATTTCTCCTGAATTTTGTTTTATGCCTTCTGTGCTTTAGGGAGAATAGTTCTTATTTATTGGAACTAAAAAAAAAACGAATAGATTTGAAATTCAAGCTCAAAACCATGTAGAGCTGTCATTGACTTTTCCCAAGGTGTTTAATTGCCTGTAGGAAAGACTTGTTTTGTTTGAAAATTCTCTGAGCATTCACGGAAATTCATAGTGGTCAATTTTGCATGTCACTCGGAGTATTGGGACTGTTTCTTAGGCTTCCCCAGAAGTAAGTAATGTGTGGAAATGGTCACTTAGAGTGTCTTTAAACAAACATTCCTACAAAGGCAAAAATGCATTCAAAGATTGTGAGAGATACAAACGTTTCTAACAGTTTAAGGCATAACCATTTTCTATCTCAAACTTTAAAATGCTTCGGTCACAAATGTTTTCAGGCATAACCTCTTACAGGATTTATGGAAGGATTCCCAGGAACTGAGAGGGCATATTTACCCTAGCTTTGAATGTCACATCTAACCAGATTAACACATTTAGCCTTTGGTTTTAGGTCCTAGGCTATCACATTATGGAACTGGTTTTTATTCTAGAAGGAAGTGGCCAAGCTGTATTTCCTGCTCTTGTTCTAGTTCAGTACTCCTCATCTTTGTCTCTCAAATTCTCACAGCTCCTGGTCTCAATGTGCTGACTTGTCTTAATCTTTGGCAACTGCATTATCTATAATCCCTGATTAAATACATAGCTTTTGGCCTCTAATTCCAACTTTGTTATCAGTTTCTAGCCTTCTTCAGTACCTGACCTCTAACTTTTATCCAAGCCATACATTTGGTTGTCTGAATTTGGTTCTACTCTTAATTCTGTGATCTTCACTGCTGAAAGTCTTGAAATAACAAAACCATCGGCAAATTAATATTCAGCGTATCTGTGTGTTTATGTGTATGAATGTGATTATATCACAATTTAACAAAATGTTAATATCGCAGAATTTCCAAAACAGTGTCCATAATATAACTGTCATTGAAATAAAAAACTAACAAAACAAAACAGTAGTACTTTTTGGACATGCACTCCTCTCTGTGACTTCCAAAAACTCAGTAAATTCTTTACAGACATCAGCATTGCAGAGAGAGAAGATTCTGCATGTACAACCCTTTGGATTGCCTCAGGATCTAACCCAAGACCACAGTTATGCACTATGCACCTCCTTTTTCAAGTTAGGGATTACTAAAGAATATTTTGTGTTATATTATTAGCCCCCAACTATATACACACATTGCCTGAGAAGTAATAAAATTACCAAATTAAAAGTATTACTAAGTAGAAGTAAAAGAGAGAAAGAAGAGGATTGGTAAGTATTATATTTATGCTTGGGAAACTAATGTATTCAAAAAATTATGTTCTTATCTTGATAAACCTATTCTGCCTTTTAAAATAAGGAGGTTAATCTAGCTTAGATGGTCTCTGGGGATTAATGACAGGGTTTCTTAAGATAACTTACTAATAATTCATATCCTCATAACATTTTTCATCTCTGTAGAATCATATTGTTCTTGTATAATCTATTTCATTTTTGAAATTCTGATAATCTATTCTAGGGAGCAAATGAGTCATGAGGGTACAGGTGTATGACATTTAAGTGTTGGTGAACTTAATTTAGCACAGTCAGCATTTACTCTATAAGGGAAAAAAGCTAGAGTAGAGACCCCTAACACAGGCAGTAGTAATAGTGAGCAGAGGCTAATGATGAGTCTGTTATAAAGGGTAACTTACCGTGATTTTAATTTAAATATATCTTAGCATGTTTATAAGGTAATTTTTAAAGTGTTCTGTATTTTGCTTTAAATAAAATTTAAAATTTCTTTGTGTATATTAAAGGTTTTTTTTTTTTTTTTTTTTTTTTTTTTTTTTTGCAGTTTCACTCTGTTGCTCAGGCTGGAGTGCAGTGGCACAATTGCGGCTCACTGCAACCTCTGCCTTCCGGGTTCAAGTGATTCTTGTGCCTCAGTCTCTGGAGTAGCTGGGATGACAGGCACATGCCACCACACCTGGCTAATTTTTGTATTTTTAGTAGAGACAGTGTTTCACTGTGTTGGCTAGGCTTGTCTCAAACTTCTGACCTCAAGTGATCCACCCACCTCAGCTACCCAAAGTGCTGGGATTACAGGCATGAGCCACCGAACCAGGCCAGCCAACATGCCTGGTCAAAACATTTCTATATTTTACATAAATATTATTCTTCTCGGTTTATGTTTGTAATTATTTTGATAAGTTTGCTACTTTCTATTAGATCAACTTTTAACAATTTTCATTATAAGATTATCATTCTTGCTTTAGGGTTTTTTCATCTTGTTTTTGCTTAGTTTGCCTTTTTAGTTTCTCAGTCATCATGATTTTATCTTTTTGTCTCATTTTTCTCAGTTATTGTGATTTTATTCATTTGAATTAATTTATCATTGATCTCCCAACTTTACTATTGTCATTCATTATTAATGTAGTGCTGGAAATGAAGCTTCTATTCTATACGGTTGTTAAATAAAAGTAAGATGGGTCATTGATTGGGGTAGAGCTTTCTACCTCAGAATATGACATTTCCGTAGTACTTGTGATACCTAAATAGCTGTGAAATATCAAAAATAAAAGGCTCTTATGGTAGAGAGCAAGTATGATAAGGTTGCAAAGTACCCACCTCATGCCATGGTGACAAGAATACCAAGCCTAATATTTACTCACTATGGAGAAGAAGTGATGTACCCATTAATCTCTTAAAGTTTTATGTTAGTGTGCAATATTGGGCACAAGGAAATATATTTATAAACTCATATAGGTTCTCACCAATTAATAGGGTGGTCAAAATAAAAATCGTTATAACTGAAAACTCTAGGGGCCGCTAATAAGAGAAACATAATACTCAATTTGCAGAAAGCTTCTAAGCTTGCTTCTGTGTACAGTAAAATGTTTTACTGAGCAAAGTAAATCAATAAGGATTAAGAAACATAACATGTAATAGAATACATATACTAAAAATTCTTTCTTTTCACATGTGGTTTATTGGCTGGTTAAGATATTCTTCGGTATGCAGCAGGATCAGACAAAACCAAAATGATATATAATTTGTATTACTCTTTATAATTTGTTTAAAAAAATTAACAATTCAAATTTTATTTGAGTATTGAATTATGGTATCTATACATGGCTGTAGTCTCAGTATTTTCCTGGGAGAGCAAATAAAGTTACAAAATAAGCCCACAGAGTTATCATACAGCCAAGCTGTTGCCAAGCAATTTGGCTGAGATCTTCACCTTCCTTAAGTAGCTGAAACTCTTATAATTTTAAATCCAAGATTCAAAAACACATTTTGGAGCTCTTCCTACTGTGTGAACTTTCTTGATTCTTACCCCCATTATCTCTGCCCAATAATCCAGTAGAATTTGCTACAGTAACCTTGGGGCATGGAAAGAGGAAGCCATTAAATCAAGCCCTAATCCTCCTTTTGTAATAAAGCCTGGCCCAACAATCAGCTCATGTCTAAAAGATCACCATATTAGCATAATAACTAATGATTTTTTGTTTCATTCTCAGCATAATGGTTTTAAATTTAATATATTCAACTTATAGTCTCATTAGGGGCTGTTAGTACAACAAGGATGTTTGTGGAGCATAATTAAACTATGATTTAATCATAATATACTGTAATGCATACATTAAGGGGTTAGGCACGTTAAGTGGTTTCAGGAACAAGAGAGATGTATAGAACCTTTAATTCTATAAATTTAGGCTGCACTTTTCTTTTGAAAAAGTATTGAATTAATTCATTAATTTCTTAAATTCTAAGTGAACCGCCTTCTAGTTTCAGGCTCCAAGAGGTCCAGCTCTGTTCTGAACCAGTGGTTTGTGAGGACTGTTTGGCTTTTCCTGGGCAGTGCAGAGGCTGCTCACGGATGCAGTTCTTCTTTCCTAGGGTACTGGTATGGTCCACTTCACCAGCTTGGAGTATAAAGGAGTTCATATCTATTTTATTTTTCAAATTGACACTGGTTTGGTTATTCATGTGCACAAATTACTAGAAAGTCCAGTATCTGATTCAAAAATTTTCTTCTTTTCCATCAAATTAAAAATTACTCATAATCCTTCAGGAGCTTACTTAGTCAAAAGGATAGCCACAGTTCTAAACTGTCACAGGAAAGAGGACATCATTGTATTTTGCTGATTTTGTTTCTGTTTTCATATGTTGCTGCTAAAAATGGAAAGTCTTATAATTTTCGCTGGCATACACTTCACTGTTGCAATGCCACCACTGAAGATCTAGTAGTTTTCTAGTGTAGGGAGGGGATGTTTTATAGGTTTCTCCCTACACTGTTAAGCCTAGCTGGGCTCCCAGTACTTATAATGATTTTAACATGAAGGATGGGGCAGAATTTGAGAGACTGTAGAGGTACTTCTAGAGAAGATGATCTCACTCCCTCATTGTGACACTTTGCAAGGGTGCTTCAGACTTGGGCTGCCAAGTTCAGCTTTAGTTCATATTCACATGCTCAGCTATTATACTCCAAATATGGGCACCTGTCAGGGAGCAGGCTCAGCAAGGAAGTCCATCCACAGATGCTGCTATGCTGCAATTAGCCCTTCCACCATAAATTATTGGTCCTGGCTGTGAGCTAGCTTACCAGTCCAGATGCCTTTCCCATAATGGTAATGTCATCCTTGGGGACTATTTTAAGTCATTCTTACTAGTGATACCATATTGATCAACAAGAAAGTTTCTAATAACAACAATCTCAAAGAAGAATCAAAATCTCAATGTCTGTGTTCCCTGGGACTCTTCAACCTTACTCCTATGCAATTGTGTGCTTACATCCTCCATAGAGAACAGCTCTCTATACTAAAAGGTATTAGTAGCAGTGGCTTTCATCTAATCACACAAATGCCATGCTCTACCATTCCCCCAAGGCGTGGGATGCCTACCTGCCTTGCATCAACATTACTAAGAAGTTCACCCAATAAAGAAGATAGGTTCTAAGTCTGTTTATATGTTTATTAAAAAGGAAATCCATGCACTGCATTCACCATTCCAAAAGTCCAAAAGGGCTTATTTTAAAAAGCAAATATTTTTCTTATTCTGTCCCTTGATCATCTAGTTCCCTTTTCCAGAGGTATGTATGTTACTTAATGATACCATATACATATTATATCCATATATACACACACGTATATACATGTTTAAATATATGCAACTAACCTATATAGGTTCTACACTTTGATTCTACACTTTGATTTCTGCACTTTAAAATATCAAGTTCGTGTTAGTATATGTTAAAAAGTTGTGGTGGAGCTCTACCTGTCTTGCAGAGATCTACTTCTCTTGTAGCCATCCAAGACCACACTTCTGCCCATCTTCAGAGAGAAAACACTGAGAGTCAGTTAAGAGGTGAGGTAGATGCTAAGGCTGAAGAGGGAGGAAGCTGGGAGCCCTGCGTAGAGTTGCTGAGTGCCAGGATGAGTTTCTGGTTATGAACAGCTCCTAGGGAATGGGAGCTGTGAATGCTCTGAAATACAAAACAGCTGTGTCATATTAAGTATTGCTCTGGACTGCATTGTGTTCCCTCAAAATGCATATGTTGGAGCCTTAACCCTCAGCGTGATGATATTTGGAGACTGGGCCTTTGGGAGCTAATTAGGTTGAGATGAGTTCATGAGGGTGGGGTTTTCATGATGGGATTAAGTGCTCTCACAAGAAGAGACACCATAGAGTTTACCCTCTCCTTCTCTTCACTATGTGATGACACAGAAAGAAGGCACTGTCTGTAAGCCAATAAGAGAGCCTTCACCAGAACTTACCCTGCTGGCACCCTGATCTCAGGCTTCCAGCCTCCAGAACTGTGAGAAAGTACATTTCTATTGTTTAACCCACCCAGTTTATGGTGTTTTGTTATGCAGCCCAAGAAGACTAATATAAAGGTTGATTAGAAGTTAAACAGACCTCCTGAATGCTGCTCTGGAGTAGACCCTTGTTATCACCTGACACAAATTAGCAATTCATCCTGCCAAGGCTAAAGCTTATACTGGCCTCTGAGTGGGCAGTGGCAAACAATTGCTTATACAATAAGCTAATTGAACTCCTCTGAATACATTTTAATTGCTCTTCTGACAGTGAAGGTAACACTTCAGATCTTGAAAAGTTTTATGATTATGGGAGTTTTAATATTTATGGCTTTCAGAGCCCGAGTTACATTAGAGGTTGAATATTAGGACATATTAACTAAAGAGTCATCTAATTCCCCTAAATTTATAGACACATTCCTGAATAGGAAAAAATGGGAGAGCAACAGTGGAAGATACAATAGAATGTATACTTTGGAGCTGTGAAGAGCTAAGGCACCCATGTCTCTCATATTTGAGAAATGCTGGATACTTTTTATGGTAAAAATACCTGTGGACCCCCAGTGTTGACATAAATTACTATTTGTATAATCTTACATTGCTAAGTACATATATGTTTTATTTTTATCAAAATCAAAGTTAAAAATTAAAAAGTTTAAAAATCTCTTAGAAAATCATTAGACTCATACGAATATGCTCATTTATCCTCTGAGGTCTATGGACTCCCATATGAGAAATACTGGTTTAAAATAGAGCACTTGAATAACCTTTTATCAAGTTACATTTAACCTACTAAAACTTTTGCTTATTAGTGATTTTTTTCTTAAAAAATGAATAATAGCCAAGTTTGCCATGGTGCTACTCTCCTTAAACTTCCTCAGACTTGCCACCTTAGAATAATTTTTCATGTTTTTTTCCTCCTTTCACTCTGCCCTCCTTCTCCCTTTGAATTCCCTCTCTCCCTCCTTCTCTCCTTTCTCCCTTCCTTCCTCTTAGGTGCTATGTACCAGACACTATTTCAAGTGCCTTAATGGAGCTTTCATATTAATGAGGTAATTTTGACAATAAACATGCAAATGGATAATGTGTCAAGTGGTCACAAACAATGAAGGAATTTAAAGCAGGGTAAAGGGAGACAGGGATTGCTGGGTTATTATTTTATAACTTATTTTATATATGATGATCTAGGAAGAGTCTTGGATAAGTTAACATTAGACAGAGAAGCAACTAAAGAAAGTGAGCATAATATATAGCTGGGAGATATTTCGATGGTTAGTCAAGGTAGGAGCATACATGGCATTTTAAAGAACAGTAGTGATGATAGTGTGGCTGCAGCTGAGTGGCTAAGAGTGACAGTGGTAGGAGATGAGCTCTAATAGAGAGCAAAGGATAACACCGCATAGGACCTTGCAAGCCTTTACACTGAATTTGGCTTTTACTATAAATGAAATGGAAAACCATTAGAGGGCTTTAAGGAGAGAAGTAATTGTTGGGACAAAATTTCCCAGGAGTCTTTCACATTTCTGTACATCTTCAAAGGCATTAACAGATAATTTGCTCTGAACTATCTGTTTAATGATGTTTACATAGCAAGTAACCTAGGAAGATGGAGTTTTTTTTTCTTTTCTGGAGCAGATTTGTTTATATTGCTGGGTAATAAAGAAAGAGATATCTCCATCTGGAAAGGAGGAAAGGCAGTTTTGTCAGCGGCTATTCATATAACACCAGGACTTCCTAACATTTGTGCCCCTATCCTATAACAGACCTCACTCCATGTGCTGTCAATACCTGGCCCTACATCATCCTGTGAGAACTGGGGCTTAGTGAACCGGTATAACAATGTTAGACTGACTATTATTAATGTGAGTAATAAATTATCTTTTGTCTCTGACCTAGTAGTTTTGTGTCTTCTCCCATTATTATGAAACTGCAGCAGACTAACTTATTAGCTCAGAACACTAACACTTCCTGTTCTGACTGTGATCTGATCTGACTTACATTTGAAAGCACCATCCTGGCTTATGTGTGAAACATATGGTGTAGAAGGCCAATGGTGGAAGCAATGAGATTGTTTGGTAAGCTCCTATAATAATTTTGGAGAGACATAATGGTGGCTTGAACAAAAGGGTTTGGTAATAAATTTCATGAATGGTCTGAGAGAAAGAGAAGAATCAAGGGTGATTCCAAGGTTCTTGGTGGGAGCAACTAGGAAGAATGAATGGAGAAGACTGTAGAAATCTTGGGGTAGAGATGGGGGAATTAAGAAATCCATTTTAATTATGTTATTTTTAAAATAACGGGCATCCCATTAAAATGTAAATATACTATGTTTACTTATTATTAATCCCATAACATATATGCAATGAGGAATTATGACATACGGCTGTTGGACATGTAGGGTTGGAGTTCAGAGGAAAGTTCTGGGAAAAGAAGACATATTTGGCAGTTATCCATGTATAGATGATTTTTCTTTCTTTCTTTTTTTTTTTTTTTTGAGACGTAGTCTCGCTTTGTCGCCCAGGCTGGAGTGCAGTGGCACTATCTCGGCTCACTGCAAGCTCCGCCTCCCAGGTTCACACCATTCTCCTGCCTCAGCCTCCCGAGTAGCTGGGACTACAGGTGCCCACTACCACACCCGGCTAATTTTAATTTTTTTTTTTTTTGTATTTTTACTAGAGACAGGGTTTCACTGTGTCAGCCAGGATGGTCTTGATCTCCTGACCTCGTGATCCACCCTCCTCAGCCTCCCAAAGTGCTGGGATTAGAGGCGTGAGCCACTGCACCCGGCCATAGAAGATTTTTTAAAGCCATGAGACTAGATTTCATCACTTTTGGAAGACTATAGATAAAGGAGGGAAGGTATCTGACGACTAAGCCCTGAGTCATTATAATATTTATAGGCTGAAATGAATAAAAAGAAAGAAAAACCAGAAGAGACCCACAGTGAAGTGGGAGGAGAAACAAGAAGAAGTGCTATTCTGGAAGCCTTGTGAAGAAAATGTTTCAAAGGGGGAGTGATCAATTGTGTCAAATGCTGATGATGGTCAAATGAGATGAAGACTAAGAATTTATCATTGCACATACAATGGTGTGAAAACTGGTGACCTGATAAGCTTAGTTTCGTTTAAGTAAAGACAAAAGCCTGTATGAAGTAGATTAAGGTAAGAATGACATTCAGGACAGAATATTAAGTTTACCTATAAAGTAAAATAGAGATATGAGGCAATAAAGAAGGACGAAGGATAAATATTGGGGTGATGTCTTTGACTAGGTGTAAGAGCGGATCAGACCTAGAGTACAAGAGAAGGGGTTAAACTTAGATAAGAGCATGTTATGATTTCTAGTAACAAGAAAAAAGGCAGATATAAAGATAGATATGGCAATAGGACTGTGAAGATTTCTCTTTTGATATCACTGTATTTGCAGAGAAATAGAAAACAAGATCATCAGTTGAAGGGAGATAGTATTGGAGATTTGAGGACAGAAAAGACATGAAATAATTATCTATGCAACTGGGAGAGTGAATGAGCCAGGAAAGCAGCATGATTGCTGAGCAAGAGCCCTCTTGAGTTTAGGGATTATGAAATCAAAGGGAGAGAGTTGTGCATGGTTGTGTGTTTTTCTTCAGCCCCATTCAGTTGTTTAGGTGCAAGGGTGAAGTAGGTGATGATTTGAACTTAGGGAACAATAGTATTTAGCCAGGTAAATATATTGGAAGGAGAGGGGGATGGGCCACTGGGGGCATGTGAAAAGGAGTGATTATAATGGTGATCTATGGAATGTAATTTGTGTAGGCAGAGAAGTGAGAACATAATGGAGATGAAGGATATAAAAAGGACCCAAAAACTCACTAAAGCCAAAGGGAAAAGTTAAGCTGGGAACTGGGTCATGCAAACCTGCCTCCCGTTTTGTTCCTAAAAAGATAGATACGAAGATAAAAAAAAGCTACATACCCTCCTCACAATTTGCCTACAGAGAAATTCCTCATGGGCCCCATGATCTTTATCCTAAAACAGTTCTGTTGCATTTCACCCTGGCAATGTAAATTGATAGCTTATCTTCATAGGTACAGGACAAAGGATAGAACCTAAAGTCATCCTTCTGCTCACCTGAGACAAATGCATATCTATCTATTGCTTCCTCTACCCTATATTTATTTTATGTAAAAATGAAGATTCACAGAGCTAGATGATGGTATAAATGACTATTTCTCTATCCCCTTCTCTCATGTAAATTGTGCATTCAGTGAAAAGCTAATCAAAGACTCAAAAGAATGCAACCACTTGCCTCTTATCTACTCATACCTTTTAAAAATTTTCTTCCTCTTTCCCCAATACTCACTCTTTTTCCTTTAAATATTGTAGTTCCCAGACCCTCTTCAGAAAAACAATGGACCACAATTTTTCCTGTAGATCTATGGTCTTTCCTGGGTGTGTCCTTAATCTTGGCAAATAAACCTCCTAAAATGATTGAGACTTGTCTCTGTCATTTTCTTTGATTTACAGGAACAATAAAAAAGTTGTTGGGATCAATGGATTTAAGGCAGAGGATTGATGGATTATCCTTTTGAGAGTGGGAGAACAAAAGACTGGAGGTTTTGGTTGAAGAGTTTATGGAAGGAATGCAGATCTGAATGCAAGTCTGTTCTATTTAATCCATTTCGAATCCTATGTCCTGGTGTTTTTATACTCATAACCCAGTCTGTATACTCGATTGCCTCATGCTTGAATTCTTTTTATTGCCTTCTCTGTTCTGTAAATGATGCTGCTCACAGATCAGTGAGAAGCATCTTTCTAAAAAGCCAGTTTGATCTACAAATTTTTGTAGAAGTCTATAATGATTCTGGCCCATTTTCAAATTAAATCTTAATGTTCTTTATAAGTAATATCCTCTATAACTTCTTCATACTGTGGCCCTTTCCACTCCATTATAATTTTTTTCCATTTTGTACTCATAAATACAGCATGTTTTCCAGGAGCTCTCTAAATTAAAAAAAAATAGTTTTCTCCTTTTATCTCCCTTCCAAATATATTGTTTCAAGAGAAAGCAGAAGCTTACTCCTAAGGTTTCTTTTTTGCTATTCCGTGGCACTTTGTGGTATCTTTTCACCACCTCTCCAGAGTAACTGCAACACAACCTCAGACCTTGATCTCTAAATTTTGATTTATTCTTTTGTGTGATATCTCATAGGCTTAAAGTGGAGAGAGTCAGGTTGTTTTTATCCAAATATGTGGTAAATTCAGCAGGGAAGGCTTCACACATGCAGTGGGCTTTGTCCTTTCCACTCCCTCTGGCGTCTGTGTGTTGGTGATTCTCTTTGATGTGTTATCAAGTAGTTCCAGATGGATACCTCACTCTTGTTTGCTTTCATTACTGTACGTTGCTCCAGGTTCAGTGCTCTAATTGGTGTCTCTCTTTTTAAGGAGACATGGATTAGGACCTTGAGCTATTTTTTTTTTCTACCAATTCGTTATTTGAAGTGATTAGTTCTCATTCCCATTTGACCTCTACTGTAGAACTTTGGGACTAACAGTACTTGGGTAATTTTTTACATGGTGAAATTTAAAGATAATTTTATCTCAGGTCCACTCCCATCTGTTTTCCAGGATTTTCAGATAAACCACACTCTGTTTACAATGACAGTTTAATAAATATTTTTCCTGGTATTTCCAAAGAGGGGTGCAGGCTCAACAAAGCTAAGTTCTGGCAGAAAATGATACTTCTGATTTTTGATTTATTCTTAAGATGCCTAATATAGGTAGCATTCAATAGTTACAGGATTTACATCCCTTGTTCCTTTTGGTGGGTGTATTAGTTTCTCAGGGCTGCTGAAACAAAGCACCACAAACTGGGTGACATAAAACATGGACATTTATTCCCTCACAGTTCTGGAGGCCAGAAGTCCAAAATTAAGGTGTTGGCAGGGCCATGCTCCCTTGGAAGCCTGCAGGGAAAAATTGTTCTTGGCCTCTGATTCTGAGGCCTCCCCAGCCATGTGGAACTGTAAGTCCAATTAAACCTCTTTTTATTCCCAGTCTCTGGTATGTCTTTATCAGCAGCGTGAAAACAGACTTCTACAGTAAAGTGGTCCCAGTAATGTGGGGCACTGCTGAAAATATGGAAGTGACTTTGGAACTGGGTAACAGGTAGAGGTTAGAACAGTTTGGAGGGCTCAGAAGAAGACAGGAAAATGTGGGAAAGTTTGGAACTTCCTAGAGACTTGCTGAATGGCTTTGCTCAAAATGCTGATAGTGATATGCACAATAAGGTCCAGGCTGAGGTGGTCTCAGATGGAGATAAGGAACTTGTTGGGAACTGGAGCACATGTGACTCTTGTTATGTTTTAGCAAAGAGACTGGTGGCTTTTTGCCCCTGCCCTAGAGTTTTGTGGAACTTTGAACTTGAGAAAGATGATTTAGAATATCTGGCAGAAAAAAATTCTAAACAGCAAAGCATTCAAGAAATGACTTGGGTACTGTTAAAGGCATTCAGTTTTATAAGGGAAGCAGAGCATAAAAGTTTGGAAAATTTGCAGTCTGACTATGGGATAGAAAAGAAATACCCATTTGCTGGGGAGAAATTCAAGCTGGCTGCAGAAATTTGCCTAAGTAGCAAGGAGCCTAATGTTAATCCCCAAGACCATGGGGAAAATGTCTCCAGGCCATGTCAGAGACCTTCATGGCAGCCCCTCCCATCACAGGCCCGGAGGCCCAGGAGGAAAAAGTGGTTTCATGGGCTGGGCCCAGGGTCCCTGTGCTGTGTGCAGCCTAGGGACTTGGTGCCCTGTGTCCCAGCCGCTCCAGCTGTGGCTGAAAGGGGCCAACATACAGCTCGGACTGTGACTTCAGAGGGTGGAAGCCCCAAGCCTCAGCAGCTTCCACATGGTGTTGAGCCTGTGGGTTCACAGAAGTCAAGAACTGAGGTTTGGGATCCTCCACCTAGATTTCAGATATATGGAAACTCCTGGATGCCCAGGCAGAAGTTTGCTGCAGGGACAGGGCCTCATGGAGAACCCCTGCTAGGGCAATGCAGAAGGGAAATGTGGGGTCAGAGCCCCCACACAGAGTGCCTACTGGGGCACTGCCTAGTGGAGCTGTGAGAAGAGGGCCACCATCCTCCAGACCCCATAATTGTAGATCCACCTACAGCTTGGACCGTGTGCCTGTAAAAGCCACAGACACTCAATGCCAGCCTGTGAAAGCAGCTGGGACAGAGACTGCAAAGCCACAGGGGTGGAGCTGCCCAAGACCATGGGAACCCACCTCTTGCATCAGCATGACCTGAGTGTGAGACTGGAGTCAAAGGAGATAATTCTGGAGCTTTAAAATTTGACTGCCCTGCTGGATTTTGGACTTGCATGGCCCTGTAACCCCTTTGTTTTGGCCAATTTCTCCCATATGGAATGGCTGTAATTACCCAATACCTGTACTCCCATTGTATCTAGGAAGTAACTAGCTTGCTTTTGATTTTACGGCCTCAGAGGCAGAAGGCGCTTGCCTTGTCTCAGATGAGACTTCAGACTGTGGACTTTTGGGTTAATGCTGAAATGAGTTAAGACTTTGGGGGACTGTTGGGATGACATTACTGGTTTTGAAATGTTAGGACATGAGATTTGGAGGGGCCAGGGGTGAAATGATATGATTTGGCTGTGTCCCCACCCAAATCTCAATTTGAATTGTAGCTACCAGAATTCCCATGTGTTGTGAGAGGGACCCAGGGAGAGGCAATTGAATCATGGGGGCTGCTCTTTCCTGTGATAGTGAATAAGTCTCACGAGATCTGATGGGTTTATCAGGGATTTCTGCTTTTGTTTGTTCCTCATTTTCTCTTGTCACCACCATGTAAGAAGTGCCTTTGTCTCCTGCCATGATTCTGAGGCCTCACCAGCCAAGTGGAACTGCAAGTCCAATCAAACCTCTTTTTCTTCCCAATCTGGGGTATGTCTTTATCAGCAGCATGAAAACAGACTAATACAGCCTCTTCCAGCTTCTGAAAGCCCCAGACATCCCTTGGTTGTGATAATATAACTTCAGTTTCTGCCTCTGTCTTTCTTCTGTGTCCAATTTTCTCTCTGTCACCAGTCCTATTGGATCAGGGATCACCCTAATGCAGTATGGCTTCATTTTCACTGCATACATCTGCAAATACCTAATTTCCAAACAAGGTCACATTCTAAGGCTCCAGGGGGAAATGCATTTTGTGGGGACATCATTCAACCCAATAGAGGGGTTTAGAAAAGAGATCTACAAAAATTGTATTATAATCATTCTGTAGGAAGGTGAATGCTTCAGAGTGATGTTGTGCAATTTGGAACCCCCTTCACCACTCCCATCACCATCACTTAGTCCTTTTTTACATAGAGTTGACATTAAGGAGTGGACTAATTTCAGTCACTTAAATGCTTTTCTCTGAAAACTTTCTCCAAATACTAGGAAAATGAGTGCTTTGAGGAGAAAAATGGCTTTGATAAAATATTATTAAGGTGAAAACATGAAGAAATGTCCTTTACTGGGTAAACACCCTTTACCTGTGGAAAAAAAAATAAACTGTGAACATATTTTCAAGGCTTTAATTTGATCCACTTCTCTTCCCCTTAGTAGATGACCTAACCTATTACTTTACTAAAAAGCCAGCTTAAGTGAGCTCTGTCATCACGTGGCACTGCTCTTAGGTCCTTCGGTTTTTCATCCACGGCTCTGACCTCCTCCTCTTTTCTCTCATGCCCTGCCGAGAGGAAGTGCCTGTCTCCTCCTGGCAGAGGCCGACTTTTCCACTTATGCTCTTAATCTAGACCCCTTTTCTTTCTCTGAGATCTTATTCCTTCAATTTTTCTCTTTTTTCTTTGTAAATTTAATCTTCCTCTCTACTAACTCTTTCCTGTATGCCAATAAACACATTTAGGTCTCCATCTTCTGACAGACAACACTTTTTGACTCTGCCGCTAACATTTTTCTCAGGTCTCAACTTTTTTTATACTCTAAGCAGCATTTGACATCTTAACCATCTCCTCTATGATCTTTCTTTTCCCCATCTCTCATTTCTTTTTACCTTACTAATATTTCCCCCCTCTCTCCTTCACAGAGTCCCCTCTCTCATACTGTGTCTTAAAATGGAAGTAATCCAAGATTTTCTCCTCAAAACTTAAAAAAAAATTCTTTGATGATTTCTTCCTCTCTCACATCTTCAATTAATATCTTCCAAACCTAAACTTTTTACTCCCAATTTTTCATAATGCCCAGAAGACACAATAGCTGTAGCAATAAAAACAGTATTAGTTACTGTTTAATGAGTATCTGAGATGTGCTATCCATAGTGCTTTTCCTTTTCTTTTTTTCTTTTTCTTTGCTTTTCTTTTTTTCTTTTTTTTTTTTGAGACAGAGTCTCACTCTGTCGCCCAGGCTGAAGTGCAGTGGTGCGATCTCGGTTCACTGCAAGCTCCACCTCCCAGGTTCACGCCATTCTCCTGCCTCAGCCTCCTGAGTAGCTGGGACTACAGGTGCACGCCACCACACCCGGCTAATTTTTTGTATTTTTAGTAGAGATGGGGTTTCACCGTGTTAGCCAGGATGATCTCGATCTCCTGACCTTGTGATCTGCCCGTCTCAGACTCCCAAAGTGCTGGGGTTACAGGCATGAGCCACCGCGCCTGGCCTTCCTTTTTAAAAAAAAAAAAAAATATTATCTTATTTAATTCCCCTGTAAAGTATGTAAGTTGGATGTTATTACTCACATTTTTTCAGAGAAGAAAACAGGCTTGAGACATTAAGCTGTTTTCTCAAAGCCACATAGTAAAAAATCAAAAGTTCTCTGCACAGACTCTAGAAACATCTTAATAAGCCCACTGCATCTGCCTTACTTCCTATTTTTTGTTAATTACAACACTTGACTCCTTATTTTATTAATTTCAGGGCTCAGGTTCTAAATGTTAGGGTTTTCCTCCATCTTCTCCTTCATAGGACTCTTCACATCATAGCATAGTTACTTGTCAAGTTGTTCCTAATGTCTTGAATCTAGCCCTTCTTCTTCAGTTTGAACATTGCCACACTGTTTCAATCCTACCTTGTGTCTTATCTATTACAAAAGTACCTTTATTGTTATTACTCCCTTTTGCATCCTGTACTTAATGCTCTTACATGATTAGCCTTCCAGAAGCCCAGCTAGAGAGTGTCATTCAGTTTCTTGTGGTTCTTCAAAATTTTCTGCTGAATTAGATACTGACGCCTCAGACTAGAGGCGATATATAACAAATTAGAGTTTATTCCTATGATAAAATGAGAAAGTACACATAAAGTACCAGCGTCATGCTTGCATATAGAAAGGGCTTCATAAATATTTTATAATTATAACAACTTTGTGCTCTTCACAATGTAATCTAAACTTACTCTTCCAGCTTATGTGTTCCAAAGCCTTCCCACCATACCTTCTATTCTAACAGGACAAAATAAGATGTATCAATTTTTCTGCTGTAGTGCTTTTATTTATGTTGTTTTCTTTCCTGAAGTGTTGCCCTCCTTTCTTTTCATTGTTTATTTCTGCATTTGAAATCCTATCAATTACAGGTCTTTCTCAAAGGCCATCCTAATGAAAGTTTATTTTCCTGAGTGAGTAATTTTTGGTCCAAACTGATAAAACTGTTTCCTTCTATAACACCATAATGCCTTGTCTATAACTCTGAGATGACAAGAAATGTAGAATGTATGGTAATACAATTATTTGCGTACTTCTCTCATTATTTTCTGGATTATAAATCTTCTGAAGGCAGAACTTGCTTCTAATTAATTCTGCATCTTTGTAGAGTCGAAAACAGTAAATTAATACTTGCACTTGAAATAAGTTTGGATTTAATTTCTCTCAGCTTCTCCAAATGTGCTAAGATAATGATAGGCTGCTACAGCAAAAAGACCTGGCCCCAATGAGATAGAAGTTAATGCCCTTGAGGGAGGCATGGGTCCAGGGGAGGTAGAGCACTCTGCTCCCTCCACAAGCTGACCTGGGACACTGTGTGCTCTGTCTTTGTTTTTCAGTCATTTCTTTGGTTGTTGCCTCATCTGTATGGTTGAAGCTAGCTTATCTGCATCTGCTTCTTGTTTTCAATACGACTTGTGGGGAGAGAAAGAGGAAATGGAAGAAAAGCAATTCCCTTGTAAGGAAGCACCACAGATGTTACACAAAAGACTTTTATTCACATGCCTGTAATGAAGGTTTTGTCACATGGCTTCATTGAGCTACAAGGAAGTCTGGGGCATGCAGTTTCCAGATGAGCATGTAGTTGTCTCCCTAAATACACAGGATATTTCTATTTTCCAAAAGAAGACTTGGAGAGTGAAAATTCAGGGACAATTAGCAGTCTTTGCCATACCTTCTTGTGAAATGATTTGCCATGTTAGTATGTTATTTTTACTTTCATTATCTTCTTATAAAAAGAGCACTTAAAGATTGAATCAGTCTGAATAACTGGGGTTTTTTTTTGATAGCTGAATAGGTATTCATTAAGGCACAAACACTTTTTACTTGGCTCTTCTCAACAGAAATTGTTCAAAATGTATTGCCTCTTCAGTTAAATTACTGAAAATAATAATTTAACTTTTAAAATCATTTCTTGCATATTCAGGATCCTCTTTACAAACATTAACTATTTTACTGAGTTGAAGTGATGTCCTTGGACATGATGCTTCAAGTTCCTCTTTATAAACTTTCACTACTCTATTGCGATGTAATAAACTGATGCCCTTGGACACTCAGCAGGCATTTGTTCCTATGCTCAATGTCCTCAGTTCTTGTGCCTATTTTTAAATAATACCTCCCCTGCCTCCGTGAAACTTTTAGTGGATACTAATGGCTGGTGTCAGTGCAATTTGCTTACAGAAACCCTTCTCTGTCGTTTTTCTTGCCTTTTATAATGTTTTATGAGCTTAGAAATTAAACAAATGCCATGTGCGTGGCTTGGTTCTACATGTTTTACATATTTTAACTCATTATACTCTTCTAACAACCCTATACGAATTATTATTATTTTCCCCATCTCATGAGTGATCTAATAGAGCATTGAGTTTAATTAACTTGCCCAAAGTCACAGAGTTTGTAAATAGCAGAGTCAGCATTCAACTCAGTCGAACTCCAGGGCCTGCACTGCACTGCCTTTAGGCTTCTTAGAATTCTGTCCTAACTAAAAATAAACAGATTCTGAAAGAGAGTGAGGGACATTCTTATATAAATAGCACTTTTGGCCTTCCAAGCATTTTTTCCTTGCTCTAATTGCATGCAGATTGACTCACAAGATAGACAAGCTTCATGTAGGTGAGGTGTTTTGGCCACTTTGGTTGTTTGGGCCGTTCTGTTAGAAAGCAGTGAGAGCTTGTTCTATGGTATGAAAAGAAGAAGAATTATAAAGCAGGTGTTCAAAGGTAAAATGAAATATTTCTTTTTTTCTACATTTGATGTCACTGTCATTGGAAGATGATTTATTCTTTTTCTTACAGTGGCCAAACAGCAGTTTGCTTAATGGCCTCTGATTTGAAACCCACAGACTACTGTTTCACATATTGATTGTTTGCATCATCAGGAGAGAAAGTTTCAGGGGAAGTAAAAAAAAGACTAGGGACTGTCACCAGTGTTTTTCTTTGCTGCTATAATATGGAAGCCAGTTTCCAAACATGACTGATTCAAAGGAAAAAGGATTGTCTCTTGGTCAAGGAAAAAGGTGTCTACCTAATGTGCAAAGTTGGTACTCTGGAAGGAAATATGCATTTGAAAAATGCAATGTAAAATATCTGGCAGTGCTTCTAACCTGAAGTAAAATGTGACACAGAGCGTCTTAGAGTAAGAACATACTAGCTGGGAACACTGCCAAAAACCAAGAGAAGAAAAAAAAGTTGTGTAAATGCTGACAGTAGAGTAGACACTAAGATTGTTATAACCTCCACAAGATTGATATTTTTCAAATGGCTTCAAGGCTTTGCTAGGTTATTTTGATAACTAACATCAGGTTTTGGAGTGTGTCTTGGGTGTTTACTTATTTTTCTGCTTTAAAAACAACCCAGAGCATTTTCTTTATAGCAGAGGTGAATATAACTGATTGAAAAATTAAGAATTCTCATCTCTTAGCTATCGCTGTCAGTGGTTTTATTATGAGACAGCAGCACATTTTGGAGGTCCACAATTTGGTTTATTACAGAACAAGTATGATGGTAGAACTCCTGCACCTCATTAGCCTGTCAAAATGAGTAGTTACATTTATTTTTTAATATAACAACATATATAATTATAGGTTATAAAACTTGGACTGAAGCATATAAAGGAAATAAAGTAGCCTCTATGGCATCAAAATGAGATGAAGGGTATAGTAGTCTAGTGGTAAGAAATTTTATATTTTAGAACTTGATATCGTCAGACATGAATATTTCTACTTCAAACAATTAGACATCCCTATCTCCTTCTATTGCTTCCCGCCTCACTCAGCTATGAGAACATAAGTGTACCTTGATCAACACAGACTCTCTTGAAAAGAAAAAGGACAATATTGAAGTTAATTCTTAGCCTATTGCCAAAATGTCTTTCAGCTAATACAGATTTTTTTTTATATTCATGCAATATATGCCAGTGCCTATTTTCAAGCCTGGGCTAGTAGCTTCAGAGTATTTAAACCTTTTTCAGAGATTACATCACTATTTTGAATGGGTGTAAGAAGAGATTGACCAAGATCAAAGTCAAATTGCTTGAGTTCTTATTAGAATTTTAAGTTGGTTTATTTAGCAATGTATATTGCACAATCTTGAGCACTTGATTTTATAACTTTGGTTTGATCTTTCGGATGGGATCATTGTTCCTTTGATCTGATCATCTGTATCAAATTACCTGGAAGAGGATGAGGTCATGCTTCAGCTGCTACATTCCTTTACAGGAAGGCTAAGTACTTTCATTACAATATGTGATCATGAATATAAACCCAGATGCCAGCTGTTGCCTTGTACTCTGGCTTTTGCATTCATGATTTTTTGTCTCAGTTTTCACCCCATGTAAGCCTAGATTTTAAAATCCATAATTTCACTACATTGCAAGAACAAAAGTACCTACTTACAACACACTTTAATAAATTTCCTAGAATGATTGGAAATTTTGAAGTCACAGAGGTGAGTGCATTGTCATGGTCCTGCTCGCTTCATTTTACCTTTATTTCTTTCTGTGTCTCACTCTTTTTCTCTTATTTTACCTTGGAAATATCCAATCTCTGTCTTTCTATTATGTAGAATAATTCCCCCTCTCCTTCCTAGCTTTCACTGGCTGATGTCTAGGTCCTGGGGAGTTTAAATTTTACTCCAAGGACCACTCATAATATTTTTCCAGCAAAGAGAGCTTTTGTCCTTAGAAGAATGACAGGGTCAGCTATTCCAACTTTTAAATATCCTATTATGGGTTCAGTAACTGTATTAATTTCTTTCTTCTTATGTCTCTCTCTTCTCATTTCTTCTTCTTCCCTTTTCCTTTCATTATGACCCTCTCTGCCTCCATTCCCTTCTTTCTTTTTTCTTTGTTTCCTTCCTACTTTGTGCACCTAATATATAGTAGATACTCTTCTAGGCATAGAGATAAGGAGGACGTATAAGACATGTCTTCACTTTCAAGAAGCATCAGCATAGAAGCGGAGATGAAAAATATACAATGTGGGAGGCAGAGATGGAGGAGGAGGAGGATTTAAAAGTCATTTTCATGGTTGCTAAAGGTCATTTCAGGATTGCTTTGATGGAGATGCTATCAAGAGAAAACATGAGAGAAGGAGAAAGATTTAGGCAGAAATGATAAAATTGGCTTTCAGCATGATAAAATTTTATGTACCTTCAAGACAATTAAGAGAGAAATTTAGTTTGGAGCTCAGGAAAGAGATTAAAGGTAGATTATAATTTTAGGAGTCAACAGTATATGTAGGTGAGATGCCCAGGGAAGAAAAAAGATAATAAAAGTAAAAAGGTACCCAAAAGGATAGAATCTTAAATAACACCATAGTTTACAGGTGGTCAGAAGAAGCAAAGGCACTAAAAGTAAAAGTAAACAGTAAAAGTTAAAAAATTATGTGGAAACTAACCCAGACCGTTTCTAAACTCTTGCCTTCCTTGTATGACCTTGAGACCATGGACACCCTGGATACAAAGGGAGTGATTTGCAAGGTAGGATAACAGAGAATTGTACCTTAGAGGACGAACGTGGTTGTTCAAGAAGGAGGGAGTAATTGACAGTGTACAATGTTTCAGAACACTGAGTTCACTGAAGACTGAAAAGGGACCACTGAGTGAGCCTTAGCTCTTATTTGACCTATTGTTGTTGTAGATCATTTCTTCTTTCATTTCCAGAGGAGATGGAGGGCGGATGGTTACTATCTCTTGCTTTTCTTGCCGATGATTTCTTCATTGTTTTCTATTCAGCTTCATTCTTTAAGTTTTGTGAGCCTTCTCAGAAATGTATTCATTGCTTACTTCTCTGAAATCCCCATTGAATCTTTATCTCGAAAGAGTCTCACTAGTTGAATTGAACCTAATGCTCCATTTAACCTCTATGCTTTTATTAATTCATTTCTAAATAGCATTTGCTTAGAACTATGCTGAACTTCTGGATTATACTCAACTTTTGGTGCCCTGTGAGCTCTGTGATCTTTTGTTTACATGTCTACATAGGCCCCAATGTTAGTATAACATAAGAACAACTTGTTTCAAATACTATTACAAAAAACATGAGTTTTTTGTTTTGTTTTATTTTGGCTGGCATGTGGAGGGATAGAGACTGAGTAAATATAGTTGAAAAGACAAGATAAAGACAATTACTAAAAAGATTTTTCAGTTAGCAGAACTCACACTGAAGGGTTCTAAAAGCATAATCAGTAATCAGTAGTCTTTTCAAATTGGTTATCATAAATTGGCTTTCTAGTCCTGCAAGGGCACAAGAAGTTGAAGAGATTAAATGCTTACAGAGAGCAGAACATTGTTTTATCTTAAGTGATAAATTTCTTTGCATCTGACATCTCACAAAAAGTGATTTTATTCTGCTATTTTCTATAAAATATGTGATTGGTTTTATGATCATTTTACATTATTTTATTACTTTTATAAGGATTCTTGCAATACATTTCAGTGTATTTTTTACAAGGAGAACAAAAAGATAAAATTGCAATGGAGCTGAAATAATTCTTCTTACATCTGAACATTCATGTATATGAGTTTATGTAAAACTTTGTGAGCATAACTCTAAAGATCTATTTATTTATTCCATCCTTTTTTTGGAATAAGGAAGGAATATATAGTATATTCCATATTCTTGTTAAAGTTGGATGCCAAGGTTTCTATGATCAAGACTCTAGTCCAACTCTTAAACAAGTCAGCAGTGTTGGAGAAGAAGCTGCTGGGTATCCTGGCCCCAAGTCTTCAGGACCTTGAAGTTTTCCTTTAGACCCACCCATCTGGAGAAGATGCAATTGGTGGTAAGCCTTTAATCCAGAAGAGATTTTCAAGCAGGGTAGGTATGAGATGCTGGGTTTTTAAAAAATCTTTTTATTATAATATTTTTCAAACATACAGCACAGTTAAAAGGACTTTACATTGAAAAAATATACAATCACAGCATAATTCTATCCTTTATGTTGTCCTATAGGTGTTTTATCACTTAGGTATCTATATATTCCCTTATTGATTAATGCATTTTATCTTTTTGATGCATGTGAATGTAAGTTTCAGATGTCAGTGCAATTCCCCCTAAATATTTCAGTATGCATATAATTCACTAGAATTCAATATTGGGTTGTTGTTTTACTTTTTAATTTCATTTCTTTTTTTTAAAATTGAGAAAGAGTCTTACTCTGTTGCTCAGGCTGGAGTGTAGAGGTGCAATCATGGCTTACTGCAATCTTCACTTCCCTGGCTCAAGTGATCTTCCCAGCTCTACCTCCCAAGTAGGTGGGACCACAGATGTGCACTGCCATGCCTGGTTAATTTTTTGTATTATTGGTAGAGACAAGGTTCCATCATGTTGCCCAGTCTGGTCCCAAACTCCTGAGCTCAAGTGATCCACCTTCCTTGTCCTCCCAAAGTGCTGAGATTATAGGCATGAGTCTCTGTGCCCAGCCTGTTTTTGTTACACAAAATATATAACTAAAATGTACAAATATTACCAACACCTTCACCAAGTTTTGACCAATCCATACACTCGTTGAAAGAAAACCCATATCAAGATACAGAACATTACCACACCCAAGAAAATTTCCTCAGGACCCTCTCCAAACAGACCCTACTTCTATCCCCAGAAGAAAATACTCTAATTTTTTCTACTATAGTTTTTCCTATTTTAGAATGTCATATAAATGTAGTACAAAAATATGTAGTCTTTTGTGTCTGGCTTTTTTCCACTTAGTATTATATAATGCTTTTGAGATCCACCAAATTTGTTCCATGTATCTGTAGTTTATTCCTTTTCATTAGTGAATAATATTCCATTATAGGGATATACCACAGGTTTCTTATTTATTCTTCTATTGATGGGCCCTGGACTTTTCCAGTTTGGGGTCATTATAAATAAGATTTCTATGAATGTTATTGTACGAGTCTTTGTTTGTATAGAGAAATGGCATTCTCAGAGCTGGTGATGGTCGAAGTCACAACCTGACTTGAAGGCCAGGTTGCCAAGAATATCTGGTGGGTGTCACAGTGTATCCAGAACTGGTGGGTTCTTAGTCTCAGTGACTTCAAGAATGAAGCCACAGACCCTCGCGGTGAGTGTTACAGTTCTTAAAGATGGTGTGTCTGGAGTTTGTTCCTTCTGATGTTCGGACATGTTCAGAGTTTCTTCCTTCTGGTGGGTTTGTGGTCTCGCTGGCTTCAGGAGTGAAGCTGCAGACCTTCGTGGTGAGTGTTACAGCTCTTAAGGTGGCGCGTCTGGAGTTGTTCATTCCTCCCGTCCGTAGTTGTTCATTCCTCCCAGTGGGTTCGTGGTCTTGCTGGCCTCAGGAGTGAAGCTGCAGACCTTCACTGTGAGTGTTACAGCTCATAAAAGCTGTGTGGACCCAAACAGTGAGCAGCAGCAAGATTTATTGCAAAGAGCAAAAGAACAAAGCTTCCACAGTGTGGAAGGGCACCCCAGCAGGTTGCTGCCATTGGCTCGGGCAGCCTGCTTTTATTCCCTTATCTGACCCTACTCACATCCTGCTGATTGTTCCATTTTACAGAGAGCTGATTGGCCCATTTTACAGAGAGCCGATTGGTCCGTTTTGACAGAGTGCTGATTGGTGCGTTTACAATCCCTGAGCTAGACACGGAGTGCTGATTGGTGCATTTACAATCCTTTAGCTAGACATAAAAGTTCTCCAAGTCCCCACTAGATGAGCCAGACACAGAGTGCTGATTGGTGTATTTGCAATCCTTTAGCTAGACATAAAGGTTCTCCAAGTCTCCATCCGACTCAGGAGCCCAGCTGGCTTAGCCTAGTGGATCCTGCGCTGGGGCCGCGGGCGGAGCTGCCTGCCAGTCCCGCACCCTGTGCCTGCACTCCTCAGCCCTTGGGTGGTTGATGGGACCAGGGGCCGCGGAGCAGGGGGTGGCGCCCGCTGGGGAGGCTTGGGCGTGCAGGAGCCCACCGCGGGGGGCTCGGGCATGGCAGGCTGCAGGTCCCGAGCCCTGCCCCCCAGGGAGGCGGCTAAGGCCCTCTGAGAATCAAACCAATAGAAACATACACTTAAAGCAATTTTATAGGTATGTATTTAATTTACCACAAATTTAGGAGTTTAAAAATATGGTTTTATTTTCCTACAACTGAAATTAATTTCTGCCCTGTTCCATTCTGCCTACTGGCACAAATTTAACCATTGTCACTTTAAGTTAAACTTAGTCATTTCAAGAACTTCTCAAACCATACAGGATTTTCCCCTTTCCATTCTCCCCAAGAAGGTGTGTGTGTATACATATACATATACATATACATATGCATATACATATACATATACAGATACATATATATATACAGATACAGATACATATACACATGGTTTATTTGTCCATCCTGGTACCAAAATCACACCGAACTAACTCTAACTCTTCAGTCCTCTTCTGATTTGAAACTTTTTGACTGACCTATTTATTTTTATAGTCTTTGTCAATTTTTATTGATGTATAGCATACATATAGAAAAGTGTACTCTCTATATATAATACTTGTACACACACACACACTGGGAGCTTCCTCCAGTGCTTAGCGCCAGAGGGCAGGGCATCTACTCCTCAACCATCAACTGTCCGTGCTGGCATCTGTTGTCACACCTTCCATCGGCTGATTTAGTTATTGATATCCATTCTCATGCAAAAGCTAAAATCTGACTTTTCTGTTCTTTAAAAACTTTGTAATTTCTCTAGTGATGCAAAGGATGTTACTGACTTAGTATGAAGCATGTCTCTAAGAAGGCTGGCATCACTTCCATTCTGCCCTGTACATGAATGCTATTTCCTCTGTAAGTGATAGCCTATTTCATACTTCTCCCCTTAAATCTGGGCTGGCTTAGTTGACTCGCTGGACCAAAAGAAAGGGCAATAGTGGTGTTATAAGACTTCCAAGGCTAGATCATAGGAAGTATTGCAGCTTTTGTGTGGATCTCTTGGAATGCTCACTTCTGGAACACTGGGAATCCTGAGCTGCTATATAAGGAGTCCAGATACTCTGAGACTGCCATTCTGGAGAAGCCATGGGTGGTTATCCTGATTAACAGTCGCAGCTGAACCCAGGCAGCCTTGCAGTTATTCCAGCCGAGGCATTAGACATGTAAGTGAAGCTGTCTTGGACCCCATGGATAAATCCATTCACAAACTGTGTAACATCAAGTTACAGCTGCTAACACTGTGGAGCATGAAGAATGCTCAGCTAAGCCTGCCCAAATTCCTGGCCCACAAAATCATAAGAGATAATAAATTAGTTGTTTTAAGCCTCTAAACTTTGGGGACAGTTTGTTATGTAGCAAAAAAACACGAGGTGGGCAGCACCTTAATTTATATCTCAGATTTTAATTCTACTACCTAGTCAATACAGTCAAGTTGATAATGCAGCATTGATTTCACATTCTTTTGAGCACTGGGACCCATTGTCAGGGAAGTGGTCTTTTCCCCAGAGAACAAGGTTCGCTCTGTAACTCTGTACTTAATCATTGTCTGCTGCTTTCATGTGTCACCGCTTGCAGACTTTCCAGAAAGCCTTTCTTAGGAAAGCTTCACCAGAGTTCTTCTTGAGTTAGTATCCATTCTCTCTGCTTTGCATCCACTCCCTCAGTTTCTCTGTATGTTTTGATTATTTTGCCTAGTATTTTTATCTCTTTTCTTCTGTTTATTTGGGCTCTGAAGTTTTCCAAGTCATGGACTAGTATCATAAATCAAATGACCCTACAAGTGTGCTTCTGATATTGGACACTCTATTCTGTTTCATAGGTTTATTTGCCCATTCTGGTGCCAAAATCACACTAAACTAACTCTAACTCTTCAATCCTCTTCTGATTTGAAACTTTTTGATTAACCTGCTTATTTGTATGGTCTTTGTCAGTTTTTACTGACATATAGAATACATCTAGAAAAGTGCACAAATCTTAAGTGTATAGCTCTATAAATTTTCAAAATAAACACACTTTTGTAACTACCATACAGATTAAAAATAGAATATTTAATAGTACCTAGAAAGCTTCCTTTTGCCACACTTCCACTCAGTACCCCACTGTATTTAGCATTTTAACTTTTATAACCATAAATCAGTTTTGACTCCTCTGAACCTTATGTAAATAAACTCATGCAGTATGATTCTTTTATGTTTGGATTCTTCCATTGATCTTTCTGTTTGTGATATTTGTCTGTGTTGTACATGTGGTAATTATTCATTTATTTTAATTGTTGTATAGTATCCCATTGCATGAATATATTACAATTATTAATCCATACCATTATTAACAAACATTCAAATCCTTTACAGGTCTTGACTATTAAGTATAGCCAAATATGAATATTCAAGAATATAAATACTCTAGTACATGACATTTGTACATGTTTTTGTCTGATATGTATTTTGATGTAGAATTGACAGACCATAGGATATGTGTACATTCATCTTTGGAAGACACTCTAAAGCCATTTTCAATTTTCAGAAGAAGTTGCGCCAATTTACACACTTACCACCAGAGTATGAGAGTTTTTGTTGTATCATAGTCTGACCACTGTTTGGTTTAGTTTTTTTTAACTGTTAGCTACTCTGGTGTATTTGTAGTGATTTTTTTATTTTGACTTTAACATTTATTTTACTGAAAGAATAATGATGCTAAACACCTATTGATATGTTTATAACCATTTGATATCCTTTCTGTGAAGTACCTGTTTAAATCTTTTTTCCATTAATTGAGTTGTCTATATGTTTTCTATTGATTTATAGGAGTTCCTTATATATTATGGAGTGGAGTTCATTCTTTGGATATATGGTTGCAAATATACTCTCACACTTTATAGCTTGCTTTTTTACTCTCTTGATGGTAATTTTGGTGAGCAGAAGCTCTTAATTTTAGTGAAGTTAGTTTATCAATCTTTTTCTTTATAGTTAGTGCTTTTATGCATCCTATCCGAAAAATCTTTGCCTAGGGTAAAGTCATTGTGTTAGTTTTCTATTGTTGCTAGATAAACTCAGCAGCTTAAATAATATGATCTCACTGCCTCTATGTGTCAGAGTCTGAGGATGAATTACCTGCTCAGGGCCTCACAAGGCTGAAATTAAGGTGTTGGCTGGGCTGTACTCTCATCTGGAGACTTGACTGTGAAGAATCTACTTCTAAGTTAATTCAGGTTTTGGCAAAATTAATTTTTCTGTGACTGTATGAATGAGGGCTGCAGATTTTTGCTGGCTTTTGGCTGGTGGCTAACCTCAGGTGATGGAGGCCACTTGTAATTCTGGAGGCAGCTTGCACTTCTTCATCGTGGAGCCTTCTTCAATCAATCTTACTTCATCAAGTCAAAAAGGAAAGTCCCTTTTTTGAGGAGGCTCCAGTCCTTCTTTTAAAGACCTTCACTTGAGTGAGTCAGACCATGTGGGATAACGTTTCTTTTGATAATAACTCCAAGTTAGTTATTATTTGAGGCTTTAATTACATTTGAAATTTCTTCACCTTTGCCATGTTCTATTAGTTAGAAGCAAGTCACAGCAAAGGGGATGGGACTATATATGATGTGAACACCAGGAAACAGGAATTGCGGGGGCCCTGTAAGGGTCGTGTCCACAGTCTGGAAGATTTTTTAAATGTTTTAGAAGTTTTACTGTTTTACGTTTCACATTCAGTCTTAAAATATATTGGGAGTTGATTTTTATGTGAGGTAGGAATTAAGACTCATTTTTATATCATGTAGATTAACAAAAGAATCAGTAAAATTTATATGTCATATATCAGGTAAATATTTATGTTTGCTTCTTTTTCTGGATACTGGTTTTTGTTCATTGGTCTGTTTATATCTCCTGCATGAAAACCATGATTTCTTATTACTGAGGTTTATAATATGTCTTGATATCTGGGTAGTGTAAACACTCCAAATTTATTCTGTAAGTTGTCTTAACTATTCTTTGTTTTCAGGATTTCCACATAAATCATAGAATAAGCATGTCAAGTTCTGTAAAAACTTCTTGTGAATTTTTTTGGTATTCCATTAAATTTACAGATCAATCTGAAAGGAATTGTTAACTTTCAAAATTGAGCCTTTCAGTTCTTGGAAGCATTCTCTCTCTCTCTGTCTCTCTCTCTCTCTCTCCCTCATCTTTTAAAATTTATCTTAGTAATGTTTTATCGTTTTCTGTATAGAAGTCTTACTTATTTTTCATTAGATTTATTTCTCTAGGAAGTGAACCAGTGATTCTCTATGAGATTGGAGGTTTTCATTGCTCTCAGAAGAGCACGTTTTTGAAGCATGAGGTAGTATTGAAAAAAAACACAACTTTGCTAAATTCTTTAGTCAGAACCTTAAAATATAATCTCATTAATATAAATTGTGAATACTCAGAAAACTAGAGACTCCAATATTCACATATATGCAGACTCAATTCCAAACCAAATCTAATAGCGGTGACACTGACAATAAGATATATATTCCTACATATTTTATTTTTAATTCTGTTTATATGGTGAATCACATTTACTGATTTGCATTTGTTGAACCAACCTTGCATCCCCAGAATGAAGCCTAATTTATTGTGGGGAATTAACTGATTGATGTGCTGTTGGATTTGGTTTGCTAGTATTTTGCTGTGGATTTTTGTGTCTATGTTCATCAGTTATATTGGCTGGTAGTTTTGTGTGTGTGTGTGTGTGTGTGTGTGTGTGTGTGTGTGTCTTTGCCAGATTTTGTTATCGATATGATGCTGGCTTCATGGGATGAGTTAGTGGGGCATCACTTCTAGATACTTTTTGGAATAGTGTTAGTGAGATTGGTACCATCTCTTCTTTGCAAGTCTGGTAGATTTTGGCTGTGAATTTATCTGTTCCAGGGCTTTATTTGGTTGCTAGGTTGTTTTATTAGTGACTTAATTTTGAAACTTTTTACTGGTCCATTCAGGTTTTCAATTTCTTCCTAATTCAGTCTTGGGAGGTTGTGTGTTTCCAGGAATTTAGCCATTTTCTCTGGATTATCTAGTTTATGTGCAAAGGGGTGTCATTAATAGTCTCTGAGGATTTTTTGCATTTCTGTGGGATCAGTTGTAATGCCACCTTTGTCATTTCTAATTATGCTTATTTGGATATTCTCTCTCTTTTTCTTTGTTAATCTAGCTATCCTGTTCACCCTTTCAAAGGATACAACTTTTCATTTAATTGATTATTTACATGAAGTTTTGATCTCAATTGCATTTAGGTCTGCTTTGATTTTAGTTATTTCTTTTCTTCTGCTAGCTTTTGGGTTAGTTCTTGTTTTTCTAGTTCCTCTAGTTGAGATGTTAGATTGTTAATTTGAGATCTTTCTAACTTCTTTATGTGTTTAGCACTCTAAACTTTCCTCTTAACACTGTTTTTGCTGCATCCCAGAGATTTTGGTATATTCTGTCTCTTCTTTCATTTATTTTAAAGAGTATTTGATTTCTGCCTTCATTTTGTTTACTCAACAGTCATTCAGGAGCAAGTTGTTTGGTTCTCAGTAATTGCGTGATTTTGTGAGAACTGCTTGGTATTAATTTCTATTTTTATTCCACAAGGTCTGAGAATATGCTTGATATGATTTCTATTTTTTATATTTATTGAGACTTGCTTTATGGCTGAGCATGTGGTTGATCTTAGAGTATATTTCATGTGCAGATGAGAAGAGCTTACATTCTGTAGTTGTTGGGTGGAGTGTCCTGTAGATGTCTATTAGGTCCAATTGGTCAAGTGTCAAATTTAAGTTCAGAATTTCTTTGTTAGTTTTCTGCCGGGATGATCTGTCTAATGCTGTCAGTGGGGTGTTTAAGCCTCCCACTCAGTTGTGTGGTTTTCTAAGTCTTTCCATTGGTCTACAAGTACTTGTTTTATGAATCTTGTTGCTCCAGTGTTGAATACATGTATATTTAGGATAGTTAAGTCTTATTGTTGGACTGAACCCTCTATCATTATGCAGTGACCTTATTTTACCTTTTTTGTTGTTGTTGGTTTAAAGTCTGATTTATATGATATAAGAAAAATGACACTCGCCTTTTCTTCTTTTCTTTTTGTGTGATAGATCTTTTTCCATCCCTTTACTTTGAGCTTATGGGTTTATTACATTTGAGATGGGTCTGTTGAAGATAGCAGAAGGTTGGGTCTTATTTTCTTAATCGAACTTGCCACTCTGCCTTTTAAGTGGGATGTTTAGGTCTTTCACTTTCAAGATTAATATTAATTTGTGAGGTTTTGATCCTTCCATGCTATTGCTAGCTGGTTGCTTTGTAGTCTTGATTGTATAGTTTCTTTATAGGGTCTGTGGGCTATGTTCTTTTTTTTTTTTCTTTTTGGAGATGGAGTCTCACTCTGTCGCCTAGGCTGGAGTGCAGTGGTGTGATCTTGGCTCACTGCAACCTCCACCTCCCAGGTTCAAGCAATTCTTCTGCCTCAGCTTCCCGAGTAGCTGGTATTACAGGTGCCCGCCACCATGTTTGGCTAGTTTTTTGTATTTTTAGTAGAGACTGTGTTTCACCATATTAGCCAGGCTGGTCTTGAACTCCTGACCTCAGGTGATCCACCTGTGTCGTCCTCCAAAAATGTTGGAATTACAGGCGTGAGCCAGTACGCCCGGTCAGCTATGTTCTTTTGTGTGTTTTTATGGTAGCGGGTATTGTTCTTTTATTTCCATTGTTTGGAATTCCCTGAAGGATTTCTTGTAAGGCTGGTCTAGTGGTAATGAATTCCCTTAATGATTGCTTGTCTGAAAAATGTTTTATTTCTCTTTCACTTATGAAGCTTAGTTTGTTGGGACATTAAATTCTTAGTTGGAATTTCTTTTTTTGTAAGAATGCTAAAAATAAGCCTTCAGTGCTTTCTGGCTTGTAGAGTCTCTGCCAAGAAATCCACTGTTTGACTGAGGAAGTTTTTCTTTCTTTATTATTATTTTTTAAAAGTGATCTGGACCTTTTCTCTAGCTGCCTTTAGGAACTTTTCTTTTACATTGATGTTGGAAAGTCTGATGACTATTTGTCTTGGGGAAGGTCATCTTGTATAGTATCTTGTAGAAGTTCTCTGAATTTCTTGAATTTGCATGTAAACCTCTAGTAATATTGGGGAAATTTTTGTGGATTAAATCCTCAGATATGTTTTCCAAGTTGGTTACTCTCTCTCTCTCTTTCTCTCTCAGAATACTAATGAGATGTAGGTTTGGTCCCTCTACATAATTCCATATTTCTCACAGATTTGTTCATTTTTAAGGTCTTTTTTCTTTACCTTTTTCTAACTGGATTGATTTGGAGGTCTGGTGTTTGAGCTCTGAAATCCTTTTTTCAGCTTGGCCTAGCTTGTTGTTAAGGCTTCCAATTGTATTTTGAAATTCCTGTAATGAAATTTTCAATTCCAGAAGTTCAGTTTGGTTCTTATGTTGTATTTCAGCTGTTGGATTGTTTTCCTGGCTTCCTTGGATTGTATCAAGTTTCTCTTGAATCCCATTGAGCTTTCTTGCCATTTAGATTCTGAATTCCATGTCTGTCATTGCAGACATTTCAATCTGTTTAGGACCCATTGCTGGAGAGCTAGTGTAATCCTTTGGAGGTAAAGAAACACTGACTTTTTGAATTGCTGGAGTTCTTGTGCTGATTCTTTCTTATCTGAAGGGGCTGATATTCCTTTTTATTTTTGAAATTGCTGTCATTTGGAGAGGGATTTTTGTTTTTATATTCTTTTTTTTTTCCTCCTTCAGGGTTTGGCTGTGGTGTATGCTGTGTATAGTTGATTTGCAAATTTTCTGGGTGCTTTCAGAGGGCCAAGGCTCTGTTCAGGTCTCTTATCTTTGGATAGTTTCCTGCATTGCATTTCACAGGAATTGCAGGTTGAAGGAATTTACTTTTGTTTGGTGGTAGAATTCAGACTGTGATCCAGTAGATGGGCCAGCAGATAGGCTTTTACTTAGGCATGCACCTCTTTTCTGTTTCAGTGTGCTTGCAACAGTGCTGTGCACAGAGGAGATGAGGGTGTGGTCAGTGACTTCTTCACCAAGTCTGTTCCTGGGTCTTGGGGTATCCCCTTTCAATTACTGGCTCTGCATCCACATTTCTTAAGTGGACTGCACCCCCTTTTCCCTTAGGGGTGATCTGAGTCTAAGGTTAGGTCACCAGGAGACCTGAAGTACTCTGGGGATCTGCTGGGCCTCTGAGCTTCACAGAGTCAGAGTGGGTTGTGGGGTATGTCTGTTGTTGGTCTGGTGATGCAGTGGGTCAGCAGGGAGGATCCCCAGGCAGAGTGTTTGCGCTGCAGGTGTGCAGCTGTGTGGTGCCCATAGCTTAAAGTTTTTAGCCCAGCAGATGACTGTGGTCCCTACATGGCTCACACTCCCCTGACCAGGTCTTCTTCCGTTATCTGTCCCTGGAGCAGGCCTGACCAGGTAAACTTGTCCAAAGCGTTCTCTGTCCATATTGTTGGACTGCTCCAGGTGTTCAAGGCCTTGGGGATCCCTGGGGCAGAAGCTGCATCTAGCTAACCAGCTATACCTTTCCTGGACCAGGCTTGTTAAGGGAAGGATGCCCAGCTCCTGTGTCAGCACATGAACCTGACCCACATTCTTCTCAGTGTTCTGAGAGTGGGGACTCCTCCTCTGCTCAAGTTCAGACCACACATCTCAGCTTGAGACCCCTGTGAGGTGTGTTCGAATCCTGAGGTGTTGGGACTGGGCATGTGGTTTTGTCCTCTGGCCCCTCAGGGTTGAGTGCCAGCTGTGCTGGGGGGCCAAATTTCTCCCAGATTTGCTAGTCAAACACTCAGCCAGGACAGTGGAGATTTTGCTGTGGGCACTCCTGCAGGAGTGACCAGGTAGGCAATCTTGGTTGAGGGGCCAGTGGACAAGGGGGTGCATGGATCAGATGTGCCCTAGTCCTGTGGGACAGGCAGCCTTGTTATCTCCCAGCCTGGCAGTAGCAGGGGCAGCAGACACCAGACCAAGATAGAGAGCCTTGGGGGATGGGCTCCTATGGTTGCGTTTTATTGCAGGGGCTCTGCACACTATGAAACCTTCTCAGTTCTGCACAGGCTTGAGCTTTGACTCTGCCTGATCTCTGAGCAGTTCCCCCTTCCAATTCAAATGTCTGTGGGGATCATGGGATCTCTTGTAGCTAGCATCCCAGAGGTCCATGGTGGGAATGTGGTGCCGTGGAGTTCCTTCCTCACTCCTTCCGTAGGATCTGTTTAGGACCAGGAGCTGGTCCTGGTGCTCAGCATCTCCATGCAACCTTCCCAGTTTCCTCCCTCTTAAATTGCAGTGTCTGCGTTGTCTGTCTATTGACTTTCAGTGTTTTCTCTCAAAAGATCTGTTTAAGTGTGATGGTTTACTCAATATTTTGGTGGTGAGGTGGTTCGCAGCTGCATCTAGTCTACCATCTTAGTTTCTCCTCAAACCTTTTTTGTAAAGGGCAAGCTAGTAAATATTTTAGGCTTTCTTGGCCATAAAGGAAATTTTATTGCAAGTCCTTTTGTAGAATGAAAATAATCATCAACAATATTTAAAATGAACAGGCATAGCTATGTTTCAATAAAACTATACTCACAAAACAGGTATGGGCTGGATTTGACCCAAGGGCTATAGTTTGCTAGCCTCTTCTTCTTAGACATTGTTTAGAAAATACTGAAATCTGATTGCAGTCCATCTAATTATAGGTATAGAGTGACTAAATTGTAAACTTTCCAAGCCACTGCAACTAGGGAGTATGCTTAATGTCATTCCAAAAGTGTAAATATATCCATGTCTCTGCTCAGTTGTGCAATCTGATTCCTGACCTATAGTGTTTGCAGTCAACTGTAAAGGGGAAAGAATCTGGGTCAGAACAGAGGTCTTTCCTTTTTTTGTATTTTTAAATTTATATATCATAGTTGTACATATTTTGGGTGCATGTGATATTTTGATACATACAGACAACGCATAATGATCAAATTAGGGTAATTGGGATATTCATCACCTCAAACATTTATCTTTTCTTTGTGTTTAGAACATTGCAATTCTAGAACAGAGATATTTCTTGGCCGTATTCCACCAAGGATTTTCACTGATTTTTTAATGAAGAGGGAAAGGAAAAGGAGATACCTAACAGATATAAAAATTCACATGTAAATGTATATTAGCACATATACTTGTGCTTGAATTAATATACAGTAAAAATTCCCTACATATTACATATACTTTTATTTCATTTGTGTAAACTTTTCTAGAGCTAGTTCTTCTCTTTGAATATAAATCTATAATGTACTTATTATATGTAATTTGACTTATTTGTGAATATAGACACTGTTAATCAGTATAAATAATTTGAATTATAGGAATTTTGCTACTCAATTTTTGGTGTGCAGTGTTTTAGTGTAAATACATCCAGAGATACAAAGTTCTGAACTCAGAAGCTACTGATGGGAGGATGGGTGTGGTGCCTCACACCTGTAATCCCAGCACTTTGGGAGGCCGAGGGGGGCAGATCACCTGAGGTCAGGAGTTCCAGACCAGCCTGGCCAACATGGTGAAACCCCATCTCTACTAAAAGTACAAAAATTAGATGGGCATGGTGGTGCATGCCTGTAATCCCAGTTACTTGGGAGGCTGGGGCAGAAGAATTGCTTGAACCCAGGAAGTGGAGGTTACATTGAGCCAAGATCACACCACTGCACTCCAGCCTGGGTGACAGAATGAAGCTCTGTCTCAAAAAAAAAAAATAGTCATTTAAAACAGTATATATGTTTTAATTACAGATCATAAAAGATGAGTAATAGTGGTAGAGAAAATGCTCCCTGAAGCTCAGATACACCCTTGGTAAATAGGATGCCAATTTGAATATTTAGAATAAATATTAAGATAAATAGATAGGCTATTATTTCCTAAGAATTTCTAAAACTTTTGGCTCTCATTTTTGTCCAAGGAAACACATGGTGCAGGCTATATATGGTCTGGGTTTATTTAGTGAGCTAAGGAATCAGGGGGGAATTTGTAATTTCTATTTTTGGGACTCATTATCTTAACTTAAGCACCTTCCTTGACATACTGAAAGGATTTTGCAAAATATGGGCCATTAATAACTACCATGGAAAAGAGGATTTGTAATCAAATCAATGTATCATTCTTTTGATACTATTTCCCTTGGTTTGAGACTCACCATGTTCATGAATATATTAAGGGTTTTAAGAAGTCTGGAAGTTAAGAAATACTTTCATGCTTAGCCAAGGTTTCTTTCAAACTTTTTGGATGATGAAGTAGTTTTTTTCCCCCTATAGAATAGAATACTTATATACTGAAGTGCTAGTGCTGCAAGGAAGAAAAAAAAAAAACCCTTTGGAAACAGACTTTTTTTGTTGTTTGTTTGTTTTGTTTTGTTTTGTTTTTTTGAGATGGAGTCTTGCTCTGTCACCCAGGCTGGAGTGCAGTGGCTTGATCTTGGCTCACTGCAACCTCTGCCTCCTAGGTTCGAGCGATTCCTCCTGCCTCAGCTTCCCAAGTAGCTGGGACTACAGGTGCCCGCCACCACACCCATCTAATTTTTGTGCTTTTAGTAGAGACAGGGTTTCACCACGTTGGCCAGGCTGGTCTCGAACTCCTGACTTCAAGTGATCCGCCCACCTTGGCCTCCCAAAGTGCTGGGATTACAGGCGTGAGCCACCACACCTGGCCAGAAGCAGCTGTTTTAATCCATAATTTATTGTCCTGTTGTTTTTCATAACTTCCTTTTCTTGTTTCTGACATTTCCAATCAAGAGAGCTGTATTTTTTTCTATCATTTCTAATAGATTTCTGGAATTGGTTGTCTTTCTGAATAACTTGGAGAGATAAATTTATTCTTCTCTATATGTTTACTCTTCCTTAGTTGAAAACATTATAGAAAAGTCATATTTTGTGTTTTTATCAGCAATATTAAAAAGTGTTTTGACAGATAAATTTATTCCAATAAGAATATTGATTAGTAGTGACTTAGCTGAGTACTGTATAGTACTTTTTATGTCTATAGTTTTAAAATTTATACAAATAAACTGTGATAATATTCTCATTACTAAAAAATAAAATAACTAAGACATTTTTAGAATAAATATAAATTTTCCACTCACTAAAGATAATCTGTTATCAGTTTGCATTCTTTGGGGCCTTATAAAATGCATTTAAAATATTTACTTTATGGCTTTTGAGTTTTATGATGTATGTAGAAATGTTTCCCTCTTCCTATGGTTTTAAGTAAAATAATCATATACTTTATCCTTAAACAAGGTTATCAGAAAGTCTGGAAACACAGGTAAATATGCATAATAAATGGATTATTGATATTGTATTATAATGGATGTTTCATGACATTGCATGATATGTTCAATGTGTTGTCACTCTTTAGTGCCACATAGTTCAATGCATTATAAAGTTGCAACTAATGTGTTTCATTGACATTATATTTCCATCAGTCCCTGAACATGCATGTGTGATGTGCTGATTTGTGTCTCTGATTTTCCTGAATAAACCTATCCCTTTGGCATATCTCAGAAGATATTATCAAAGCAGTTCAGTTTGTCTATCATCTGTCTATCTCCACACTTTATGATTGTGTTGTACTTTTGTAGAAAAACTTTTTAAGACTTTTTTTCTGTAATCCACGCACAATTCAATTTTGTACATAATGTGAAGATAGAATCTGCATTTACTTTTTTTTTTTTCCAAATGGTCAGTTGTTTTTATACCTTTTATGGAGCATTCCACATAGAATCTATTTACAGGTAGAAGATAAAGGTTTATTAATCATCCACAAAGAGAAGAAAGTTGAAGTTGTGAAGGCAGATGAGATCTTGGGGAAGAGAGTAGATACAAATAAGGACCAAACACGTATCTTGAACCTTAGGACATATTTGTCTTTAGAGAAAGGGAGCAAGAAAAGGAGTCATGCATGAAGTAGACAGAAAATTCAGGGGAGTTTCAAGATGAGGTCAGGGCAGCAGTAACTAGTGGAGAAGAAAGAATTTGTTGTGAAATGGGTGAAACAAAACATTTGATACATCCCTTATACAGTTAATTGAATTCCGTGGTACAGTATGGTATAACTGGATTTTAGATTATCTACAATATATTCCATTGTTTCTGTCTGTGGACACAGATAATTTTGAGTTAACTGTAGACATAGTCTGTCTCTGGGTAATAGAGTCAAATTTTCTAAACAACAGATTTTAAAATGTTATTTTATTAAATTTTTATTTTTATGATGCAGTCAAAAATATTTTCAATGAAAACCAAGTGAACATACTATGATACAATGTCTATAAAAGGGCTTTCAATCTAAACAATCTATAAACATAAAAGATGTGATGTGTATATGTAACTCAGTTAAAGTATGTGGCATATTTGGCCAGGCCTCTTAGGATCACCATGTTTGTCAGCACCACAATAGGCGATACAAGACATTTTAAGCTTGCTAATTCTGTTTTTGTAAGCTAGTATTTCTATCATCTCTTTGTGCCTCACTTTTTCCTGCTTCTCTCTTCAAAAAGAGATAGAGACGTAGTGAATGTATCCAGGTTTAGTTTGGACATACCGTTTGATCAGCCTGTAGCCATGCCTCAAAGGTGATTATCACTGTATAAATACATAGCAACACAGCACCACACTAGCCTTTACCAGCTGCCCTGGAAAGCAGCCAGTGTGCAAACAGTGCCATGTGTGCCTCTTTGCCTGGTTGCACACTGGCTGAGGATGGATGCTCAGGACTCTGGAGCAGCTGCTTGGTGATAAGATGGGTGAAAAAAACCTCCACAGAGGCATTCACCGAGAAGCCCATCCGGAAATGTTGACATGACACCCAGGGGCTGCCATTAGTGATGAATGAGGGGTGTTGTCAGTGAGCTGACATGGCACATGGCATGTGACGGGGTGGCTCATTTTGATTCAAGGTATTGAGCAGCCTGTGAGGCTAGGAAAATCAGCAACAGTGACAGGCCCTGCCTTGGTATGTGCAGTCAGAAAGCTGGGTTTGACCAGTGAAACTCTCTGTTTGGAGCAGGTTGCAGTTTCTTTAAAAGCTACATCCATAAATGAGGAAAGCAGAATTGCCAGAATCATTAACATCATATGTGAAAGAAAATGATGCACATCCATAAATCATACTAATCAATGCCAGTTAATAGTGATGTGCTGGATGCTGTGTTCCGTAAAAGTCTTCCAGTCATTCTCTATCTGCTTATCCTGATTTATTTTCCTCATTGCTTCATTTTTGCCAGATATTTTATTATATGTGTTTATTTTGTTATAGGTTATTTCCTTCCAATCCCATCCCAAATGGAGGTTGCAGCAGGGTAGAGTTTTTGGACAATCTTGTTTACTGCTGCATCCCCAGTGTCAAGAAGGCTGCCTGAACATAGAAAGTCTTCAATATATATTTGCTGAAATAAAAGTAAAAATTCAGTCTGGTAAGTTTCTAGTGATCTCTCAGAATATTAGGGAGGTTCAAAACATCAATTTAGATAAGAAATATGTTCATTTAATGAAATGTTTTTCTTCAAAGAGATTCCTAAATAGCTGTTTTATAGTATTCAAAATGTGTAATGCTGTATTTTTTTGTAAATAGCTGTTTCTGATGGATTTATTAGTTAGCATTACAAACTTCGCCAGTCAACTAATTGTTTTTCATGCACATTGCCAAATAACAGGTTTTGACTAGATTTTCCTTTTCCCCTTTCCATTCCTCCCATCTTGCCCTGAAGAGAATGTTGTCACAACACAAAAACTTTATTCCAACTCACTGTCAATACATTGATTGTAGGAAAAAAAATTATGTACTTGTTTCATAGATTAGGTTTGTTTGTATGCAAAAGGAGAGTGGAGAAATTTGAGTTTTTCTAGGTAGAGAAAACAAAATGTTTGTAATTACGTTGTGGGGAGTGATTGAGCTCTTGGCTTGGAGGTGTCCAAGCAGAGATGGTCTAAATTGTGTTAGGGAAAGTGAGGCTGAGGGCTGCTTCCAAGCCAGCCTGGGATTCAGTATTATCTGGGGCACACTAATAAACAGGCAAACACCACCCCCAGCCCCGCAACAGAATGAAACAAAATAAAACAAAAACAGATTACAAACCCCTGTATTAGGGTCTTCAGAGAAACAAAACCAGTAGGATGCATAGAGATATACACAAAAGAGATGTATTATGAGGGATTAGCTCACTCAATGATGGAAGCTGAGAAATCCCACAACCTTTTGTCTGCAAGCTGGACCCAGGAAAGCCTGTGGTATAGTTCCAGTCCGAGCCCCGAAACCTGAGAGCCAGGGGAGCCAGTGATGTAGGTCCTGGTCTGAGTCTGAAGGCCCAAAAACCAGGGGCTTTGATGTCACAGGGCAGGAGTAGATGGATGATGTCTTCACTGAAGAAAAGAGAGCAAATCTGTCCTTCCTCTGCCATTTTCTTCTATTTGGACCCTCCATGGGTTGGATGATGCCCACTGCATTGGTGAGGGTGATCTTTACTCAGTCTACCAATGCAAATGTAATCTCTTCAAGAAACACCCTTGCAGACACACCTAGAAATACTGTTTTACCAGCTAACTGGGTATCCTTTAACCTAGTTAAGTTGACATAAAATTAACCATCACAGCCCCTAGAGGTTCTTCTAATTCAGTTATGTCTGGGGAAGAAGCACTGGACTCAATATAAAAACAGAAACAATGCACCAGGCGATTTTAATGAACATAAATATTAGGAACCACATAAGCTGGGATTGAAATTTCAGGTAGAAAGTTGGACTGGATCAGGTTTTCTCAGATATTACCTGAGAGCACTTGTAACCATTTAGTCAAAGCTTTTTGCACTGAGAATTCGAATTCAGATTCTAGAGTTTGAACTCAATTATTTTTTGTCAGTTTATAATTTTTAGACATTTTAAACATGCTTTCAGATGATTTTTATTTTCAGGCACATTTGGGAAACACTCATCTAGAAGACCTCGAGGTCTCATCCAGCCCACATATTCTATAATTATTCAAATGCCTCTCTACCTTATCTGTGTGTTGACTAGGCTTTAAGTGTTTTATTTTTGCATTGGGAATCATATAAGTAAATTCATATATAGTGGTTTATAAATTGGGCAGTTTATGCTCAGCTTAACAACACATGCACAAGAAAAGAGGGCTCATTTCATGCAAACTTCACCGTAGAATGACATGCCCTATGGATCACTGGGCCCAGTAACGGTTTTCACTTATTTGCAAGCACGCTGTATAGTCTTGCAGTCTGTGGTGTTCAAAGGTTAAATTCAACAGCTAGATAAATGATGACAGTAACAAAGTTTAAATAACAAAAAGCTTGATGCATGAAAACCAAAAACCAATCTTGAATTCCTATAAAGCTACCAGTGCCAATTCCTCATTATATTTTTAACTACATCATGATTCTGCAACTTGAAATACCCTGCAAGTTGAAAAACAAATAGCCAGGACTTAGGGTAGTATTTCTAAATGACTATTCTGCTTTGAATTTTCATCTTATTTCTTTTTTACTATATATTTCAATTGAATTAAATAGAGAATTTTAATTAAGAAAAGTGTTCAGAGCCCTATTTTCTTCTCAGATGCTGTACTCTGTGGTCTAGTAAGTACTTTAATGAGTTGTAACACTGCAAGATGTTTCCAGTTCCTTTACATCCTGAACTCCATTAGCATATATTTCTGCCAGACTTTCAAAATGGATTCCATTTCCCAAAATTGATATATTTAAAAAAAGAGCTTAGTGAAAAAACTTATTCCTATTCTAGTCTTTTAAAGTGCCTAATTTAAGGTATAAGCCATTCTTAACTCCAAGTAGGATTGAGCTAATTTTCTTCCTAGCTGTTTTACATAGGTATTCATACTGTGGAAGTCTTTGGGTAACTATTTAATCTTAATTTTAGGTCTCTAGATACTGCAGGTAATAACTACAGAAATATATAATTTTGGAATTTGAAAGGAAGTTCAATATAATTTATTATAACACTGAAATTTCACAAGTGAGCAATGAGATTCTGAAGGACTGAGTGACGTGTTCAAGGCCATTTAATTTATGGAAAGCCAATGCTAGTGCTTGGGAATTCAGAAGCCAGGTTCTAAGTTCTCCTCAACCCTCATCGACTTTTAAGTGCCCTTATCCTAGCAAGACTTGTTGGTCCTGGATAATTTGTTTAAGGTATTCAAAAAGATCATTTTTGGTGATTTTGAAAATAAGATAATTCTGCTTATATACTATGTGCAAATATATTTTTATGTACACATATTATAATAATAATATCCATAACACATATTACATGTGGTAATAAAATGCCTCTGCACATCCAGACTTAAAGATGATTTGCTTAAAGAAATATGTGGCTTTTGTGGTCTCTCTTTTCTTCTTTCCTCCTCTCCTCCTCCCCAACCTTTATGTCTCAGTTTAGGCATCCCTTCCTTAGGGAGCGTTTATGTGAATACTCTGAGTATGTTCAGGAATGATTATTATATGTTCTTATAGCACCTTTTAACCTTTCATCACAGCATTTCTAACAATTGTGATTTTATGTTTGTTTGTGTGATTACTTAATTAATGTCTACCTCTCCCCCACTCTACACTGACTCTAACCATGTGAGGACTGAGGCACCTGCTGTTGCTCATGGCTACAACCTCAACTTCCCCCCCAGCCCCCCAGTACCTGGTTCAGTGCCTGGAACATAGTACATTCTTAGCATTTTTTTTTGAGTGAAATGAAAATTGAGTGAAATATCCTCTCTCCTAAAATTGATGTGTTCTTGAAGTTACTGTTCTGTTTATTTCCTTCCTTCTAGTATCACATTTATGAAAATTAATTTTGATTAGTGGTTCTTACTCCATCAACTACAAATAGGCTTTATTCCAAGCACTTCCAAGTGGCTGCTGGCTGGGGTTCTCCTTAGTGGGGTGTTCCAGGGCATGCTGATCTGCAGGAATATCAAAGCAAATTTCCTGGTGTCCTGGAGCTAAAGAGAGGGAGGGAGGAGACCATGCATGATAGCAAGAGTAAGACACTCTGCAGTCCTCTTAGCAGAAGTTTAGTCAGTGAGTAGAGCTCCAATTGTTCAAGGTGGATCCTCAACATCCATCCCAGTCTGGAGGGGCATTGCCCAACACCTAAAGGTGAAAGTTCCTGAGGCTCTTCTTACATACTTATAAAATGAAAATATCCACCATTTAGTCTTAGCCGTAGGGAGATGGCCATTTCCTTAGAGTGTTGAGGACACTCAATGGACACTACTGAGATAAGTCACAGTGACCCCTTGAGCAGAGTGAGTCAGATGAGGTCCTGGAAGAGGAGTGAAGAAGTCAGCCTGATAACTAGGTGGTTGGAGAAAGGTAGAGAGATGGGCTACCTGTGCCCATGACACCTAATCAAGGGTTGGCAGAAGATGTCACTGTACACATTTAGTCTCAAACCAAAGTGCAGAGGAAGATCAGCAAAGAGCATCCCCAGAAAGATCAGGTGTCCCCTCTTGCTTGTGGGATTGAGACCTCTGCCTGACCAGATCCACATGCATGCTCCCTGGAATGCTAGAAAGAAATGCCACCTGTATGCTGTAGGCGACTTTGCCTGTGAAATACCATCTTTTGTAGCCCTGCCCTGAGTGTACATGTGCTTTGAATAAAGAACTAAGTTTCTACATTTCAGGGGAAGATTATTAGAGAAGGGCAGCCATCTTTGCAAGGGATTACAGAGATACTGAGAAGGTGAACCATGGACTGGAGGACGGGTACAATCCTTCTTTGTTCTGAGGCTGTGAAAGTCAGGCCTGGATTTCACAGCTTAAGATGTACAAGGTGTCCCTGCTATGTGGGGATGGTGAGAAATCCTGAGACAGATTCTGAACACAAGGTGGCTTCAAGGGTCCAGGGGCAGCTGTATCAGGAAGTAAATTAGTTATACGCTAATCTGTATTGGGCTTTTTGTTATCTGTGCATGCTCTGTGGAGCCTTGTGAGAGGTTGATATGAGCTGTGCTGTGGGGAAGTAAAGGAGGTTCCCATCTCCTGAGTGCTAATGGGGGTGGGTAGCCCTGCCCCTTTTCAAAGGTGGTGACAACAGCCCATCCCTATGGAGGCCTTCAGAGCCTAGCAGAGTAGTCCCCAGAGGAGGCTCACTGATGGTGTTGGCATCATAAGACTTGACCAGAAAGCTCGAGAACTCACTCCTGCACATGCACAAAAGCACTGTGAGATAACGGGACAGATTAGCTCCAGAAATTGGGCATTATGTGTATATTAAATAGGAATGTGACATCCTTGGTGCGCACTGGTTGGTGAAGGACAGACATCTACTGACATGTGAAAAGACTAGAGTTTAAGCCATATGAATTAATTTGTCTGACACATAGTGTCAAGAGCACTGTGTCACAATTCATTCCAAATGGTAGCTAACATTAATTAAGCACCTACTATCTGCCAGGCACTACTCTAATGGCTTCATGTGTATCGCCTCAGTCAATCCTCATAGCCATCTTACTAGTTCGGTGCTTTTATTATCCCTGCTCTGCTGATGGCATTCTCTTGGTCAAGGATGTAAGTAAGTGAATCAGAATATGAATCCAGTGAGTCTGACTTCAGCACAGTGCCCTTAGTCATTACCTATAATTCCTCTCTACATCAGTCTGCCTCCATAGACAAAGCTCAGTTTTGGCTTGAGTGTTCATATAAATAGCTCACTCAACAACAGACTACCTCCTGGTCATGTTGGCATTATCTGGCACACATGGAAGAGTTCTCATCCTAAGCCAATCACCACTCACTGTACTAATTGCTCAGCAACTATAAGCACAGCACAGCAAAGGCCAACACTCACATGTGTGTGGCATGCAGGCACACACCTTGCCCACTCTTTTTTTTTTCCAAACACTTTTAAAATCCTTCTTACTCATCATGTGTTCTTATCTCAATTTTTTTTCTTCAGCCATGTTTATTTCCTAATGGCACCCTTCTCTCTTGGAGTTTTTTTAGAGCTTTGCAAAATTTTATCAGTCTGCTTTATGGACTCCCTGCTCTCCTCCTCTTCCTGCCTTTCAAATGTTGGTGTCCCAGGATTCTGTTCTCCTTCTACCTCTCTTGTCACTGTCTATGCTGTCTATGCTATCTTTGGGTAATCTCAATCACTTTCATGGCTTTGCCTATGAACAAGTTGCTCACAAATCCCATTTTTCTCTCTGTTCTCACATCTTTTTCCTACCCTGGGGTTTATTGAGACTTAACTAAAAAAGATGTATGACATGTGGTCTTTTCTCTCAATGACATTTAAACTTAATTGCTATTGATTCCATATATGAATGAGAAATAAATACTATCTTTAGGTATGTATTTAACTATTCAAAGTATTTTGATTTTTAGTTGACTTAACATAACAATAAACATTTTGTAGTGTATTCAGATCATAACTATGTTAGATATTTAATGTGCACCTTTAATTTTTATTGGTAATAAAAACCATAATACTAAAATAAGAATTAAAAGCCACTTCAGGGAATATAGAAATCTTAATTAATAATATTTTACTTACATTTAATAGAATGATTCTTTGAAATTACCTTGTCTCAAAAATTAAAACATAAAATGAACTTACAGATATCCAGTTTTTAATGCACTTTTATATATAGAAAATATACACAAAACTTAGTCATATGCATAGACATAAACTTTGTTTTGCTTATGTGGAAGACATATTTTCTCAGTAGCCATCTGTAAGTATAGTAACCAATAGAAAATGGAAAATTGTAGTTTCTTTAGTCTGTAGATACATCCACAGGAATTTTTCCTTTTTAAAATATAAAAATGAGTTAATTCTCTCAGAATTTTCTGTTGCTAGTTAATTCCTCTGAAGCTATGTTGGCAGAGAAAAAGTGACTCCGGAATTGTTCAGATAATTCCGGAAAATATTTTAGTTCCACTCGAAGTATTTAGTTTAAACCATGCAAGTTTGGGCTTCACCTTTTCTCAAAGGTTTAAACTTAATTTTATTTGAATTTAATTTTTAAAAGTTGTCTATAGGCGATTTGGGCATAGAAGACAATTTAAGGACAAGCCCAGGAAATAAGTCATCTGTTGTGACTCAGCATCATCATCTGCTGAAACCGTAAGATGACATATGCTGAAACATTCAAGTCACAATCTGTGACATCTTTACAAATTTCAATAAATAAGACAGAGCAAAATATTGTGCAAATATGCAAAATAACACTGTGTCGGCTCCTTGTAATCAGTGAGGCAACTCTGTTTTAACTCCAGGTGTCTCCATAATCACAGCCATGGCCTTGTAAACAGGTAGTGATGCGGACAGAGCCATCTGTGCTGCGCTGCAGACCCACACAGAGGTCTACTGGAAGGGAGGAGCCCGAGGCGAGTCCACTGAATGTGGGCACTTCCCAGTAAGTACTCCAGCTGACACCCAGTTTCTCAATATTTGAAGAGAAGCTTTTGGAAATTAGGGGGCATGTGTGTGTTTGCGTGTGTGTGTGTTCCTGGAGGGGTATGTAGGGGTGCTCTTGCTAAAAGAAACCAGGCTTTCAAGGCTATTTTCTCACTATGAATTGAACAAATATGATTTAACACTCAAATCTGAATAATTTTTTTCCAAGGTATTATGGGTTCTTCCACGAAAGCAGTAAAAACCCTTGATTCACTGCATGAGAGAGCTGTAGGGAATTAAAAATACACGGTTATATTAGTTATAAAATATTGTAGCCATTACACATGTATCTAGTTTAATGTTACCTTCTGAGCAGATTTTCTTTTTGTGATACTCAACTCTCACAACATTTTTACTTAAATGTTTCAGTGTGATTTTTGCTGTGGTTTGGACTGCAGGGTTTGGACCAGAGCATTAAATGTGGAACAACAGTATTTTCTTTTTTCTTTTTCTTTTTATTTTATTATTATTATACTTTAAGTTTTAGGGTACATGTGCACATTGTGCAGGTTAGTTACATATGTATACATGTGCTGTGCTGGTGTGCTGCACCCATTAACTCGTCATTTAGCATTAGGGATGTCTCCTAATGCTATCCCTCCCCTCTTCCCACACCCCACAACAGTCCCCAGAGTGTGATGTTCCCCTTCCTGTGTCCATGTGTTCTCATTGTTCAATTCCCACCTATGAGTGACAACATGTGGTGTTTAGTTTTTTGTCCTTGCGATAGTTTACTGAGAATGATGATTTCCAATTTCATCCATGTCCCTACAAAGGACATGAACTCATCATTTTTTATGGCTGCATAGTATTCCATGGTGTATATGTGCCACATTTTCTTAATCCAATCTATCATTGTTGGACATTTGGGTTAGGTCCAAGTCTTTGCTATTGTGAATAGTGCCGCAGTAAACATACGTGTGCATGTGTCTTTATAGCAGCATGATTTATAGTCCTTTGGGTATATACCCAGTAACGGGATGGCTGGGTCAAATGGTATTTCTAGTTCTAGATCCCTGAGGAATCGCCACACTGACTTCCACAATGGTTGAACTAGTTTACAGTCCCACCAACAGTGTAAAACTGTTCCTGTTTCTCCACATCCTCTCCAGCACCTGTTGTCTCCTGACTTTTTAATGATTGCCATTCTAACTGGTGTGAGATGGTATCTCGTTGTGGTTTTGATTTGCATTTCTCTGATGGCCAGTGATGGTGAGCATTTTTTCATGTGTTTTTTGGCTGCATAAATGTCTTCTTTTGAGAAGTGTCTGTTCATGTCCTTTGCCCACTTTTTGAAGGGGTTGTTTGTTTTTTTCTTGTAAATTTGTTTGAGTTCATTGTAGATTCTGGATATTAGCCCTTTGTCAGGTGAGTAGGTTGCGAAAATGTTCTCCCATTTTGTAGGTTGCCTGTTCACTCTGATGGTAGTTTCTTTTGCTGAGCAGAAGCTCTTTAGTTTAATTAGATCCCATTTGTCCATTTTGGCTTTTGTTGCCATTGCTTTTGGGGTTTTAGACATGAAGTCCTTGCCCACGCCTATGTCCTGAATGGTAATGCCTAGGTTTTCTTCTAGGGTTTTTATGGTTTTAGGTCTAATGTTTAAGTCTTTAAGCCATCTTGAATTAATTTTTGTATAAGGTGTAAGGAAGGGATCCAGTTTCAACTTCGTACATATGGCTAGCCAGTTTTCCCAGCACCATTTATTAAATAGGGAATCCTTTCCTCATTGCTTGTTTTTCTCAGGTTTGTCAAAGATCAGATAGTTGTAGATATGCGGCATTATTTCTGAGGGCTCTGTTCTGTTCCATTGATCTATATCTCTGTTTTGGTACCAGTACCATGCTGTTTTGTTTACTGTAGCCTGTAGTATAGTTTGAAGTCAGGTAGCGTGATGCCTCCAGCTTTGTTCTTTTGGCTTAGGATTGACTTGGCGATGTGGGCTCTTTTTTGGTTCTATATGAACTTTAAAGTAGGTTTTTCCAATTCTGTGAAGAAAGTCATTGGTAGCTTGATGGGGATGGCATTGAATCTATAAGTTACCTTGGGCAGTATGGCCATTTTCACGATATTGATTCTTCCTACCCATGAGCATGGAATGTTCTTTCATTTGTTTGTATCCTCTTTTATTTCATTGAGCAGTGGTTTGTAGTTCTCCTTGAAGAGGTCCTTCACGTCCCTTGTAAGTTGGATTCCTAGCAATTTTATTCTCTTTGAAGCAATTGTGAATGGGAGTTCACTCATGATTTGGCTCTCTGTTTGTCTGTTATTGGTGTATAAGAATGATTGTGATTTTTACCAAAAACAAAAACCACATGATTATCTCAATAGATGCAGAAAAGGCCTTTGACAAAATTCAACAACGCTTCATGCTAAAAACTCTCAATAAATTAGGTATTGATGGGACATATCTCAGAATAATAAGAGCTATCTATGACAAACCCACAGCCAATATCATACTGAATGGGCAAAAACTGGAAGCATTCCCTTTGAAAACTGGCACAAGACAGGGATGCCCTCTCTCACCACTCCTATTCAACATAGTGTTGGAAGTTCTGGCCAGGGCAATTAGGCAGGAGAAGGAAATAAAGGGTATTCAATTAGGAAAAGAGGAAGTCAAATTGTCTCTGTTTGCAGATGACATGATTGTACATCTAGAAAACCCCATTGTCTCAGCCCAAAATCTCCTTAAGCTGATAAGCAACCTCAGCAAAGTCTCAGGATACAAAATCAAGGAACAACAGTATTTTCTGCCCTTAGCAGTGGTAGCATTGGAATTAAGAAAGGAGAAAATGATCCCAGGGAAAACAAGTGAGATGTGAGGTCCAGCTGCCATCCTTACATGAGGAACCTCTTCCAATGCCATCCTTGAACATTCTAGAATTTATTTTTTTATGAAAGATGTGATTTGTATCCAGAAAAGTTTAATGCCTGGCAATATTTTTACTATTTTTCAGACTGCCAATATTCTACCTATGTGTTACACTGACTGTGGAATGCAAAATATGCATGATTACACAGAATATTGTTATAGAGGAGATTTCATGTGAAGGTTGATCTGTCATGTAGGCATTCTACAGGATTTTAAATCATATTATATTGTTAAAGATGACATTTCATTTTGGCTTGTGCTTGGCAATCTGTTAAAAGTCAAACATTAATGAGAACTTGCAGAAAATTGTAGCCTGTTATGTTTGCAGAAGTGTGTTTTTCTGATAATGAAAGGATATTTGGAGACCTTCGTGTAAGCTGTCTCCAAATGCCATAGCTTGTGTCTTTGTAACATTTCGTGATATTCTTCCCTACCCATCCCTTCTCTTGCCTCATTTCCACTTGACACCACTACTGACCAAATAGGGTAGGGAAAGGTTTTTGTTTTCTCTTTTTTACTTTGACCCAAACATAGACACACGTGGTTTTCCTGAGTGCACCATAAAGAAATTGTGAAAGAGCATTCAGATAAGAATTTCCTATGGCCTAAGGCAGTAACTTGCTGTATAAGCTATGGCTTCCTCATGTTCAGCTTGGCTTCTGAGTTTCCTTGCCTCACTGTGACACTAGTGATTAACTTAAGGAGTTTTACATTAGTCCTCCCATCTAATGAGAAAATGAGAGAGAACCCATTGAAAGGGGTGACAGCGAACCGGGACAGCTTCTGAAACACATAAATACATACTAGGACACACCACTCCTAATTTTGTTTTACTTGCATCTTTAAGACCAGTAGACAAGAAAAGGGACAAGAAAGAACATTGAGAAGAAGAGAGGTCAACATGAGAAAGAATAAGAGTGTCAAAGAGGGATGCAGGAGAGCAATGATCAAGGAAGTGAGCCAGCAAGTATAGGTGTGATGATGGAAAGAAGTCTATATGACTTTCTAGAACTTTAATAAAGTTTCCATGTTTGCAAATTTTGTTATTCCCTATTGTACTACATGAGTCTGTACCTGTAGATCAATTAGAACTACCATGTAGAGAGACCCAATAAATGTAAATTCTGGGCCTTCCCCAGATTGTTCATATTTAATGTCACGAGATTTTTCCTTCCAGAAGATTCTCATATTTCTGTTCCATTTGTGTCTGCTCTTACCTGCTTCCAAATGCCACCTTATTTTCTGTTTTATTTCCCATGCTCATCTATTGGACCTGACCAGTGGTGCAGCTTCTTCACTTCTGAAAGTTGGTTTGCCTCTACCAGTTTGCCTTTGTCCTTTGGTGGTAGTTACTTCTGTTTGTGTTAATAACCAAGACAAGACAATGGTTATTATTATGGATACCATAGGTAGTCTACATGGTGTGTTTCGCAGCTTTGATTTGTTAGTGGGTAAACTCAAGTACCTTCTTAATCTCTCTAAACAAACTAGACAGGGCTCTATCAGGAAAAGATGGCACATTCAAATTGAGTAATTTGAGGAATGTACTGGTTTGCAATGATGGTCTGAATTCTTTATTCTTCCTCCACTTGTCCCCTCTGATATGTGATTTTGCAGAGTTTTTTCATTACAGGCAGGGTGACCTGCCATATCTCCTTACCTCCTTTTTCTTTTGGCACTGGGCTCAACCTTGTGATTTGCTTTGGCCAAGGCAGTATTAGCAGAATGGATACAAGTAGAATCCTATGCATTGGGGCTTCCTTTCTTATGCCTCTTGCAACACCGTGGGAGCATGCCCAGGATAACCTCCTGAAGGTCAAGAAGCACGGAGAACAGAGCTGAGGCTGTCTGAGATCAGCCATCAGACAGCTGTCAGACATACACACAACCCTGACCAAGGATTCACTAGTTGATAGCCTAGCTGATACCTGAGATTCAAGCAATAAGTGCTTATGGTTGAATGCTACTGAAGTGTTGCAAATTTTGTTACACAGTATTGTGACTATAACTTGAGAATTTAATTTGGGGACTTTTTACAAAGGTATGTGGTTAGAGTTTAGGAAAACCAGAGTTTAGAAGTAGTAATGGCAAGGTACATTTACCATGGCTATGCCTGAAGGGGCAAGGGTAAAAAATGGTTACTAGAACTTAGAAAAAGAGAAATGTACATGGAGACCAGAGCTGTGAATTTGAAGTAAGAGAGGCAGGCAGCCTGTGATTACATTGCAGGGAGCTGGGGGAATAAATACCCTGATCTCACTCTCTCCACTGGACCCAGTGATAAATTGTTAGAGGAACTGGAGCCAAGACTGCATAAATATCCTTTCTGGGCAGTGGTGGTGTTTCAGTGACTGAGCTTAGCAGCAGATCAGAACCAGGCTCTAATAAGCCTCAGAAGGCCTGAGTATTTTCCTTTTCTTAGTGCATAGTCGACCTAGTAAAATGGCCACAGATATGTGTCTGGAAAGGACTGGGAAACACTCCTCCTTGTCTTGTATGGACCTTCCCCGAGGGTCCAAGCCTCTCCCTCAGTCAAGGCAGCACTTCTGAGTTTGTGAATTTGATTGCCCTGGTTGGATAAAAGACCATAAATCCCTACTCCGTTGATTTAAATTTCTGATGACCATATCCAGAATATTTCTGCAAACACACGTACAGATATACCTTAATTTACAGCCCATCTGCTTCATATCTAGGGATTCCATGAGCAATTTACCATCCCCACAAATCCCTCTGGGCCAAAACAGTCTGGCCCCATTTTTCCCAGAGGGTTATTGTTTAATTGCATGCACCTTATTGCTTGTGGTTAGTGCAAATGCCTTGTCTCTACCCCTCTGGGATCCCATTATTTCCACTGAAATCAGGAAGACAAATTTTAATGCAGCATCGTTATCTCTGGCCAATACAGTTTTTCAGCCTCTTGGTGTTGTTCTCATCAATGCCTTGGTAAAGGAAGCATTCTCTGGGTAGCCCATGGATTATGGTTAGAAGTGGTGAGCAAATTACTTATAACAGATTCATTCCAATCTCTCATTTGCCATTAGAGCTTCTTCCTCTCTAGTACTCAAAATGTTCCAGCATTTTGACCTCAGTGATGCAGAGCAGGGGTCAGCAAACTTTCTCAGTAAAAGGCTAGACAGTGAATATCTTAGGCTATGAGGACCATATAGTCTCTGTCTCAGCTGCTCAGCTCTGTCATTTGAGTTCACAAGTAATCTCAGATAATATGGAAATAAATGAATTTAGTTTCATTCGTATGAAGCTTTATTTACAAATACAGATGGTGAACAGGATTTGGCTCATGGGCCATAGTTTGCTGACCTCTAACGTAGATAATTTTCGAGATTCAGCTTCAATTGACCAACTTATCAGACTATTAACACCACTGCCATGTTTATGACATAGTACATTTTTCTTGAATCCTGGGTGAACAGACTCTTGACAATTAATTCAGCTGGGTCAAACCTTATGCCTCATTCTTCTTGATCTGATACTCAGAATCTACATCCATTCATGTTTCCCTGCCCTGCCATACACATTGCATCTTTTTCAGTGTGTAGACTGTATCCTTTGGAGCTGTTCTTGTATTAGTCTGTCTGGATTATGCAAGGGCTCTACCTCTTGTTAGGGTACAGAATCCATGAGAGAATTTGGGGTGAATCATGAGAATAGGCATTAGTTTGTGAGGGGGCAACTATTTCTGGCCAGTCATTGAAAACCTTTTATTCAGGAATCAGCTAGGTTCCTCTGTTTCTGTTTCACCATCTTTTCTCTCTCTCTCTTTCTCTCTCTCAGTATGTATATTTGTATTTATATGGGCTTATTTTCCTTATGTGTGTTTAAACATTTTTTCCTGAACCATTTGTAAGTTGAGACTTTGTACCTTTTTATCCCTCAATAATTCAGCATGTATTCCTAAAAAAGAACATTATCTTTATTGTCAAGATCAGGAAACTTACTATTGATATAATGCTATTATCTAATCTACCGGCTATTCAGATTTCATCAGTTTTCCTATCCAGTATGTGTTATGGCTTTTCCCTGGTTCAGGATCTATTCTAGGAGCATGGAAGTTCTTATGTCTCTTTAGTTTCAATCTATCTAGGACATTTCCACAGCCTGCATTTTTCTTGACTTTGATGATTTTATTATTATTTTGTAGAATAATTGAGTTAACTAAATTATTTTTTAGAATGACATTTAATTGGGGTTATCTGATGTTTTCTAATTTGTTTTTGTATTTAGTTATTTTTGGTAAGAAAACAACTGAAGAGATGCCATCTACTTCTTAGGCCATTGTACCCAGAGCTGCATGATATCAGATTGTTCTAATACTGGTGATGTCAGGATTCTCCACTGTAAATCTACTTTTTTGGTAATTAATCAATATCTGTAAAAAGATATTATGTGAATACATAAAAATATTGTTTCATAGCAAGATTTTACTTCCAGTTTTAGCATCCACTGATGATTTTTACAGTCCATCTTTCTTTCTGCATTTATTAGTTGTTATTATACTATAAGGGAGAGATTTTCCTTTTATTTATTTACTCATATCAGAATGAAATCATGTATTATTTTATTCAGTGGATTATAATCCATTACCATTATTAGTTTGCTGCTCAGATTGTCCTAGATTTGGCCAATGGGCTTTTCTTTAGGCTGGCTCCTGTGACTTTTTGATGTGGTCCTTTGATTCTGTCAACATTTCCTGACTTTCTGGGTAAACAAGATGTTCCAAGCTCATCTTGTACTTTCTCTAAAGCAGCCCTGAAATCAGCCATTTCTGCAGAGGATCTCTGGATCGTTTTAGTAAGAAATGGCATTTAGAAAGCAAAAACTTGGCATGAGATTTCTCATTGCTACTATGAGTCATTGTTTTTAGGCCTTCTCAGTAGGCAGAGACAGGGTAAATGTGTGCACTATATATGTATAAATCTGTGAGGTCTTTAATATCTTAGACACAGATCAATTAGAGCAAATCCTTCTCTATTCTGAGGATAACCCTTAAGATGGTGGTCCTGGAGACTCAGGTAACTGAGTGCTAGTTCTTGGATACTTTATAGTTCTTGGAGGATCCCTTATTAATCATATAGACACACAAAGTTTATTTGACTTAAGTAACCAACAAATATTAATTGAGAAATTACTATGTCCTTCCCTCCCAGATTTAGTATTATTTAAAAAAAATCACCTAGTGATTTCAGAATGCACAGAGACGTACTGTAGGAAACACATTCACACAATTCCAAGAATATGGTTGAAGTTACCAGAGTAAATAATTTATATCGTATCTTTGAAGAAAACTCTCAAGCATAATATGAGATATAAAAGTTTGGCTTAAAAATCAAAAGAATTTGTTAAAATTATTTCTGCTTCTAGTTTTAGTTCTTGATTTAAAAAACAATGCACTATAACATTTTGTTGTCTGATTATATAACTATATAAAAATTAATTCTTCCAGTGGACATTTGAGTTGTTTCTGTTTTTTTTTATTGTGAACAATATTACTATGAATATTGGTCTATGTATTTCCTGGAGTTTCTCTAAGAATTATAAATACATTACAAATACTTTTATGCCAAGTTGTGGTCTAAGATTCATGTTTCAATTTACATCTTTACTAGAAATATATGTATAAGAATCCTCATTGCTAGTCTTACCATTTCTTATGAAACTTATTAAAAATATTTTTTGCCAATATGACAGTTGTGCAGTGTTATTTCTTAGTGACTTTAGTTTATATTTCTTGCAGAGATGTTTTCATTTTTTCTGCCTGGAGTCTTTGGGTTGCTCTTGATAGGGGGCCACCTGAACCCCTTTGTACAGCCAAGTGGGACTGTAGTTCAGCTCTTCCACCTTGAGGAGACTAAAATAGGTTCCTGACCCATTGCTATTACCAATTTACATTGGCTCCAACATAACATTGGCATTGTGTTTGCTTGTTGCTGACATTTCTAACCTTATTTTACTGTTTTCCAATAGATTTTTCTTTCTTTCTTGTACCCAGCAGTGAATTATAGTATTTCTGGGACCTAGTTGTATTAATACCATAGTAGAAGAGAGCTCAGAGAATCTCTCCCTTTTAGGTCCAGAAGCCGAAGTCAATGATGTACGTACTGTTTTTTTTTTAAAGCAATATCCATAAAGATCACAAAACATTCCTTTCTCCAAGCCTAAACTTTCACAATCTGTTTTGAATTTCATCCCTCTTCCAATTCAGAGCTGCATCTACTCACATTGAATGCCAGGAGAGTAGAGTAAATATTGTCAAGGTTGAGAAAGGAAATTTGCTTATTTTAACCTTTGCTATTTGCTCAAAAGCTTCTTGTGTCTTGCAATCCTTGGCATTCAAGATTGAAAGATTCAGGCTTTCCCAGTCACCAGTTTAATTATTCCTTCCTCAAGGCCAACAGTTAAAAGCCCTGAATCACATGATTCCAAAAGAGTAGGAAGTAGAGATAATTGGAATGGGGAATGGAGTGAGCTCTGTTTATTGTGTAATGAAATTCAGACTGGGGTATACCCTGGTGCATACTAGGGGACTCTAGAATATTTTTCCATTTATGTTGAAGCCATGTTCACAAATGGAGCCCCAACAGATTCTTTTGGCCTCATGTTCTAACCCTGACCCCATGCACTCAGTGCTGTTAACCACATGGGATGCTTTATACTTCACCTGATACAGAAGACATTTTCCACCTGTTTTGCTGGTGCTGTGCCCTTTGCATGGACTGCTCTCCTGCTCTTCTCTTCCTGGTAAATGCTAAACCTTTCTTTCTGGTTCAGGTTAGATTTTCTCCTTTTTGATCTTTTTCTTGCTTCCATGGCACTTTTAATACATTGAATTATGTCCCCTTGGTTTGAAAGTACATTTCAAAGCCTGGGAGTGTGACTCTCCCAGAGCCTTACACAGAACTGAGTATGAAATAAGTGTTAATAGTTGATAGGTGTTAAACGAATAGCTGAAAAAATGAAGAAATAAATGGCCAGATTATTGCAGGGGATTTTGAGGCCAGATTGAAGCCCTCCAGAATGATCAGAAGAGTGAGAACTATCCTTAAAATCTGCTTAATGAAACCTATGGAATGAGGAAAAGATGCTTCTCTGGTTCTTCACAAGCCATAAGTCCAATTGGACAGTGTCATTCTTTGGCACCCCAGAAAGTGAATGGATGGGAACTAAGTGTGTGGCTGCTTCAATTTGGTGTGTAGGTGGACATTCAGCAAGCTCTCGAGGCTCTGCCAGGGTACTCTCCCAGGAAACATCAACAACACCTAAGAGTGTGGAGTATGTTACAGATAGAGCTACAGGACCTCATGTTCCCTGCTGGTGGATGAGAAGAGTGACCTGCAACCCTTCTAACCTGTTTCTGGTAAGGCCTTGGCCTTTACATTCTAACATTTTTCTTTGAGTTAGCTCTGACTCAGATTTCAGAAGCAGACTGATGACCACTTTGTGTCTGAGATTCTGGCCAACATGTTTTAGACATTAGGGTGTCATCAACTTTCTATCAAATTTCTGTGACCCAGAACCTCCATGCCCCTTTCATATGCTCACAATGGAGCTTTCCCCACTCCTCTTTCAGCAATTCTTTGAGTGATGCCGTCTTTTTTTTTTTTTCTCCACAGAATTTCGCTCTGTCGCCAGGCTGGAGTGGACTGGCGTGATCTCGGCTCACTGCAACCTCAGCCTCCCAGGTTCAAGCAATTCTCCTGCCTCAGCCTCCTGAGTAGCTGGGATTACAGGGCCTCACCACCATGCCCAGCTAATTTTTTTGTATTTTTAGTAGAGATGGGGTTTCACCATTTTTGCTAGGCTGACCTCAGGTGATCCGCTCTCCTCAGCCTCCCAAAATGCTGGGATTACAGATGTGAGCCACCGCACCTGGCTGTGTGATGCCATCTTAACCCTGTGGGGCGAAACTGGGGTCTGGGAATAAGTCCTAGAGGTGTGACCCAGCTTCTTGTTTCTCTCACTGCTAGGCTTTTTCTGAGTCTTTTGATAATGAGGACAAAGATATGGAGCAGAAGTGATTAAATGATTAGAACTCGCCTTGGCTTCCAGACACTGAAAAGCTGCTTTTGACTTCTCCATGTGTAAACTACCTGCATGCCTGTGCTGGATAAGCCTTTGTATGGAAATTGATAACTGAGTTCCTCATCAAAGATTTTTTTCTTGCTAGTTTGACATGTTCTTAGCTGTAGTCTTAAATGTTCTCATGAAATTATTCATTTTCTAAAACAAAGTTTTCCTTCCATGAACCAAACAGGAAAAATCCTTTTCATTCTTCGGTCTCTATGGCCCAAAATTCAGCTGAAATTCAGCCACTTAAAAAGTGCTAACAATGGGGCCGGGCACAGTGGCTTACGCCTGTAATCCCAGCACTTTGGGAGGCCGAGGCAGGCGGATCACGAGGTCAGGACATCCAGACCATCCTGGCTAACACAGTGAAACTCTGTCTCTACTAAAAATACAAAAAATTAGCCAGGCGTGGTAGCGGGCACCTGTAGTCCCAGCTACTTGGGAGGCTGAGGCAGGAGAATGGCGTGAACCGGAAGGCAGAGCTTGCAGTGAACCAAGATCGTGCCACTGCACTCCAGCCTGGACGACAGAGCGAGACTCCATCTCAAAAAAAAAAAAAAAAGTGCTAACATTGGGATGGATTCATTCCAATTATGAGGTGATAGTCTGGTCATCAATTTAATCGACAAATATTTACTAATAATCTCCCTCCTTCCCTCTTTCTTTCCATTATTTCCTTCATTCCTTTATTTCTTCCTTCTCTTATTTTCACAAATGTTTATTGAACACCAAATGAATAATACAAGCTTTCATGTTATAGACAACTGTTAATCTAATGGTGAGGTGATTGAAAAGTACTTTCTGGGATGGGTCACTCCATTCAACTGCAAATAGACTGCAATTCCCTAGGTTTTAAGTGTTTCAGTGTTTTAAATTTGTAGGGCTCTACTAATATTGCTTAGCATTGAGTGACCTAGCATAGAAAATCCCTTCTTTCAGCTATCTTGATTTCAGACTTGATCTTTCATCTCTCAGAATAGTTCTTCACCAATGTTCTGTTGGGTACCCTGAATAAAGACTGCGGGTTGTACGCTTCATCGTGTGTTTTTGTCTAGACCTGTGTTTCTCAAGGTCATCAGTCACATGAAAGTCTTGTTAAATCACAGATTTGGGGGCCTTACTACTCTGAATCACTAGGTATTAAATTTGGTTCAAGAATTTTCATTTCGAACATTCTGAAGTGATGCTGATGTTGCTCATTCTGGGAAATGTTTAGAAAACCACTGGCTTACAACATTGAGACCAACTTAGTCCATCCTCTGCAGCTGATGATGCGGTGTGTTGGGACACAGGCCATGCTACTGCAACTAAAGGACTCCCAATACACAAATTCAATCAAGAGAGAAGTTTATTTATTTCTAAAGTAACTGTCCAGTGGAAAGTAGATCACTGTTAACAGGAAAGCTCTAATTTTCTCAATCTGTGGTTTCCATCGTTGTCCCAATCATCTCCATTTCTAAGGAAATGATAAGGTGTATGGAGAAGGTACAGGGCAGGCAGCATTGGCTCTTAGGAGATACCTGGATGTTGCATATATCACTTCAATTCCTACCTCATTAACCACACTGTCACTAGCTACACCTGGCTTCAAGGAGGCTGGATCTAGGTGGTCACAGGCCAACAGAAATGTTGTGGATCTTATTACTAAAAGGAAGAAAGGGAGAACATATCTGGGTAATAACTTGTTGTTGCTGCCTCAACAGATATCCAGCAGGTAATATCTATAAGGGCAAATGATATGAGATAATGACATGGAATCCACAAACCTTGTATGCTGGGAGGAGTTGGTTTCTGGATTGAATTTGTAAGTTGGTTTAGGATTAATTTGGTGTAGGATTTTGACATGAGTATTAGTTAACCTGGGGTGCACTTATTAATCAGAGAGAAATTATGCAGTAAATGCTGTTCTTTTATTATTAAAACTTATAGTGACACTCAAAATTTATTTTTCTTAATATGTGCTGTTGGCCAGTGGTATGGTTTGGATTTGTGTCCTAACCCAGTTCTCATGTCAAATTGTAATCCACGTTGTTGGAGAAAGGCTCTGGTAGGAGGTGAGTGGATCATGGGGGCATATTTCTTCTTTGCTGTTCTCATGATAGTGAGTGAGTTCTCATGAGATTGTGTTGTTCAAAAGTGTGTAGCACCTTCCCCTTCTCTCTTCCTCCTGCTCTAGCCATGGAAGATGTACCTGCTTTCCCATTGCCTTCTGCCATGACTGTAAGTTTCCTCGGGTCTCCACAGCCATGCTTTCTGTAAATCCTGCAGAACTGTGAGCCAATTAACCTCTATTCTTTATAAATTACCCAGTCTCAGGTATTTCTTGATAGCTGTGCAAGAACAGACTAATACAGCCAGTCATTATTTATTTTTGTTAGTTTATCTTACATCAATAACAGCCTTTTCAGTTAAGATCTGCACTGATGAAAAGACAAAAAGTCTAGAGAGGTTATTGGTATCAGAAAAGTGTATTTTACTTCATTCAACATGGGTAACATTTTCAAGCTCTGAAAAGGACTTTTCTATGTACTTAAAAAGGTCTTAAGGCCTCATATTTCTCCTCTAATCAAGTAGCAGGGAAATGTATTTACTTCTATTCATGAACATCTAAATGCTATTGTTGGTAATTCACAATAATTAGATAAGAATTTGAAATGAAGGCAATATTAAAACTACAATGTGCACAATAATAAAAAGTGTAATGGTGGTTTTGACATTACCATTTCTGGCTGATATTAGGATTGGTGCCAAAAAGAGATTATTTTGGCACTTGAAATATTATAAGAATGATGAATTACATCTACTTGACATTATCATTTATGATGATGCTTATTTCCCTTAATTTTAATTTCGAAGGGTAAGATAAAAGGTTAGTCTTTTTTGGATGATTAAAACACATTTTTAATCTAATTTCCCTAAGCCAAATAGAACGAAGATTTGAGAAGTTATGTGGAAAAGTCAGCAATATTTTTAGATTACTTTATAATGTACACACTGCTACCTTATTTACTTTTCATGTAGTATCTGGGCATATCATTATTTTTGCCATTTTACAGGGGAATGAAGTGAGGTTTAGAGATATTAAGTACAATAATTCATTCAATAGCAAACATTCACTTGGTAGAAAAACCAGGGATAAGGTGATTTCTGTCTCCAAATCTTGTGTACTTTCTATACCACTCTGCTTCTCATTATAATTAACAAATAATCATGATAATTTATACTTAAACATACACTCTACTATCTGTCAAATTACTCATCACCTTAGTTTCTAGTACATATTTCCAAAAAGAGAGTATGGCATGCCTTTCTTCTAAGATTAAGCTTCCTGTAACTGTTATTAAATGTGTTCATGTTTATGATCCATGTTGAATGCTATTCATCGTGTTTCCAGATTTGAGCTCTGGGCAAAGATTAATATGCTCAACATTTATAGATAGAGTCCAGGCTCCTGCTGGAGGGTTATTTCTCAAGTTCTGGCATCTCTGTTGACTTAAGGACCAGTCAACATGAGAAAATGGAGCCCACTAATTTTGGTAAGTTAAAAACATTTCTTTACAATTAACATTTTAAAATTAAAAATTAAACCAATTAAATATAAAGCATAGACTTTCTAAATTTATAGTTTTTTTTTTCATCTTGGTGAGATCACATTGCTTTAACCTTTCCCTAGAATAAAAATATCTGGTTCAGTGATGGATATTTTGAGCTGCTGGTTAGGATTCACATCTTTTTTTTCCTCTTTATTTCTTTAAGACCTCTAATTTGCAGGGGTTTAGGGAATATGTCAAAAGTTCTAGATATTCAGATCAATATATATCTAGTGATTTTTCAGATTTTTTTTTAACTGAAGACAACATTAATTGCTCCATTAGATACGGTTATAAGCAGACCACACTCAGAAGTAGGGAAATCAAGTAAATGTTTTATTTTGGGAGGTGAGGTTGATGGGCCTCTAAATTTACTTTGCAGTTTCATTTAACTCTGTTCTGTATCAGAATTCACACACGATAATAAAATGTTTTATAACATGTAGCATGTAAAACATGTTGTCAGTTTCTGTTTCTTGGTGTGAAGAAAATTATCCAACGTTATAAAAGTTAAACCCTTAGAGATAAACCATTTATATCACAATTTGTTTTTCTTAAGAAACCCTGATATCTTGTCTTTAACATGTGGCAATGTAGTCTCTTGTCCTTGCTGACCATTTCTTTACGTAGTATGCTGAAAATAAAGTTCTCAGAGTCTCCCTCTTTCGGACATTGGTTACATTTTGCCTACCTAGCCTCTTTAGCACTTCAGTTTGATGAATGAAATACAATCTGGTGGGACTCTTTATCAGATCCCCGTCTTCTACAATTTAAGGTGAAATATTTTAATCTTGTGTAGAGGAAAAAAGAGTTAAACAGCTGGCCTTCTGTCTCATCCCAGTGGTAGGCTTTCACCAGCCTGGTCCTGATTTGCCACAAATGCTGGACTTCTGATTCTTAGCCTCAGAAGCTGATTTCATTCCTTCCTATTCCCAAAGGTCCTTCTGTAGCCCGCCATCAATTCTGTAAGCTTTTTTTTTTTTTTTTTTTTTACCATTTTAATAAGTTTACTTTTATCTAAGTCAGTCAGAAATTGGTTTGGTTGTTTGTAACTAAAGAACTTTAACCTAATTATATTCAAAATAATTGCTATTTTCTGCAACACTGAGTCAACCACATTTTTAAAATGAATACATCAGGATATTTCACTGATTTTTTGGTGAAAAAGCTTAGTAACACCCTTTCTTGCTGCATAGCTAATGATTGTTATTTAAGCGCTAACCCCAACACACCCTTTCTAGACTATGTCATCCCTCAAAGAAAATTGGAGCTAATATTTTTAAAAAGGTCTTTTGTCCTTTAGTATGAAATCTTAGAGTTAAATGTGATAAGAAATCATTACTTTTTCCTCTTAGATAATTAAATTATCTAATTTTTAATTCTTGAAATTTAATTAAAAATTTCTTTGATTGTAATGGATTTTTTAAACTTACCATATTATAAGAACTGATTTATAAAATACATCAGTGGTTTCATCCAAATGCAAGATAATATACATCTATGTTTGTAACTCCACATTTTGTGCCACTGATACTAGGTGATATCCAATAAGTTCATTTCATAAAAGGAATTTTACCAATAACGTAGGTTCTGTTTTCTTTTTAGCACAATATTTTTTATTAACTTTAGAGACTTGTTATGAGCAATAAGCTTTCTCTATTTTCACTAGATGATTGCAATATGAATAATGCTCCTGTAGTTTTGTCTCTTCTCCATCTTTAGTAATACAATCAATTTTTTTTCCGTCAGTAACATATTGTAATATCTCTGGAAAAACACAACTGGTTTACGAAAGAGACCATGTGATTTATTTGAAAATGAAGCAGAAGCCTTTACAATGTTTTACTGAAACTGCCATGGGGACCAGAAGTGAATGGATCGGAGGTCCAACAAAATTCACTATTGAGGCTTACACAAATAACCACAGCTGAAGATGCAATTGTCCCAGCCTATTCTGTATATTCATATTCATCTTGTATGTTTATGATATTATTTAAGCTGTGATATTTAGGTTAATATTTTCTTTAGTACTATTATGTTTAATAAGTCAACTCTAAACTATAATTTCTACTTTCATGATTTAGCAATTTGACATTAGCAATAGTAATGATAAACTGCGGTAGAAACAACAAAAATTCAAAAATAAAAAATGTAAGTAAGAAGGACACAACTACGTGTGCATGTGTCTTTATAGCAGCATGATTTATAGTCCTTTGGGTATATACGCAGTAATGGGATGGCTGGGTCAAATGGTATTTCTAGTTCTAGATCCCTGAGGAATCGCCACACTGACTTCCACAATGGTTGAACTAGTTTATAGTCCCACCAACAGTGTAAAAGTGTTCCTATTTCTCCACATCCTCTCCAGCACCTGTTGTTTCCTGACTTTTGAATGATTGCCATTCTAACTGGTGTGAGATGGTATCTCGTTGTGGTTTTGATTTGCATTTCTCTGATGGCCAGTGATGATGAGCATTTTTTCATGTGTTTTTTGGCTGCATAAATGTCTTCTTTTGAGAAGTGTCTGTTCATGTCCTTCGCCCACTTTTTGATGGGGTTGTTTGTTTTTTTCTTGTAAATTTGTTTGAGTTCATTGTAGATTCTGGATATTAGCCCTTTGTCAGGTGAGTAGGTTGCAAAAATTTTCTCCCATTCTGTAGGTTGCCTGTTCACTCTGATGGTAGTTTCCTTTGCTGTGCAGAAGCTCTTTAGTTTAATTAGATCCCATTTGTCAATTTTGTCTTTTGTTGCCATTGCTTTTGGTGTTTTAGACATGAAGTCCTTGCCCATGTCTATGTCCTGAATGGTAATGCCTAGGTTTTCTTCTAGGGTTTTTATGGTTTTAGGTGTAACGTTTAAGTCTTTAATCCATCTTGAATTGATTTTTGTATAAGGTGTAAGGAAGGGATCCAGTTTCAACTTTGTACATATGGCTAGCCAGTTTTCCCAGCACCATTTATTAAATAGGGAATCCTTTCCCCATTGCTTGTTTTTCTCAGGTTTGTCAAAGATCAGATAGTTGTAGATATGCAGCATTATTTCTGAGGGCTCTGTTCTGTTCCATTGATCTATATCTCTGTTTTGGTACCAGTACCATGCTGTTTTGGTTACTGTAGCCTTGTAGTATAGTTTGAAGTCTGGTAGTGTGATGCCTCCAGCTTTGTTCTTTTGGCTTAGGATTGACTTGGTGATGTGGGCTCTTTTTTGGTTCCATATGAACTTTAAAGTAGTTTTTTCCAATTCTGTGAAGAAAGGCATTGGTAGCTTGATGGCGATGGCATTGAATTTGTAAATTACCTTAGGCAGTATGGCCATTTTCATGATATTGCTTCTTCCTACCCATGAGCATGGAATGTTCTTCCATTTGTTTGTATCCTCTTTTATTTCCTTGAGCAGTGGTTTGTAGTTCTCCTTGAAGAGGTCCTTCACATCCCTTGTAAGTTGGTTTATTGCGGCATTATTCACAATAGCAAAGACTTGGAACCAACCCAAATGTCCAACAATGATAGACTGGATTAAGAAAATGTGGCACATATACACCATGTAATACTATGCAGCCATAAAAAATGATGAGTTCATGTCCTTTGTAGGGACATGGATGAAATTGGAAATCATCATTCTCTGTAAACTATCACAAGAACAAAAAACCAAACACTGCATATTCTCACTCATAGGTGGGAATTGAACAATGAGATCACATGGACACAGGAAGGGGAATATCACACTCTGGGGACTGTTGTGGGGTGGGGGGAGGGGGGAGGGATAGCATTGGGAGATATACCTAATACTAGATGACGAGTTAGTGGGTGCAGTGCACCAGCATGGCACATGTATACGTATGTAACTAACCTGCACAATGTGCACATGTACCCTAAAACTTAAAGTATAATGATAATAAAAAAAAAGAAAATTAAAAAATAAATAAATAAATAAAAATAAAATAAAATAAAATAAAAAAAGGACACAACTGATGTGAATACATGTTTGTTTAAATGAACTACAGCCTGTTAACTGGATGTTAGCTATGATTAATAATCAGCAGAATACTCCTAATATATATGCATACTTTAAGGATAGAGTGATTTCCAAGAAAGTAAAAGAATTCTCTTTGAATTAATAATGTACATACATATGTGTGTGTGTGTATATATGTGTGTGTGTGTATATATATATGTATGTATATATATATATGTTATTGGTTTGGCTTCTCTGGAAAACCCTGACTAATACACCAAGGTCTTTGGTTTCTTCCTGTTATGACTCTGCCTTTCTAAGATCTATTTTAAAAATACCTAAAGCTATAGCTTGATGGGCAGAGGTACACTAAGGTTACACCACATTTTTAACAGAGTAGGTTTCTGACATTATAAAGCCACTGAATCCATGGTTGCGAGTACACCCCACAAAGACATAGGAAGTCAGAAAAATCTGGCATATCCAGGCCTCTTATTCCATCAAGCTGCATCATATTTGACCAGCAACCTGGTCAATATAATCTGCTGTTGAGATCACCATCACAAATAACTATGTCAGGGGAAGTAACATACAAAAAAATTTGAATTTATGTGGACTGCAATTCTTACAGTTATATGGTTAAAAGGACTCATGAGACTCTTCATGCATACTCAATGATATGGTTTCGCTCTGTGTTCCCACTTAAATCTCACCTCTAATTGCAATCTCCATAATCCCCACGTGTCAAGGGCGGGACCAGGTTGAGGTAATTGGATCATGAGGGTGGTTTCCCCCATGCTGTTCTTGTGATAGTAAGTGAATTCTCATGAGATCTGATGGTTTTATAAGCATCTGGCATTTCTCCTGCTTGCACTCACTCTGTCCTGCCACACTGTGAGGAAGGTGCATATTTCTCCTTTGCCTCACACCGTGATTGTAAGTTTTCTGAGGCCTCCCCAGAAATGCAGAACTGTGAGTCAACTAAACCTATTTCCTTTATAAATTATCCAGTCTCATGTATTTCTTCACAGCAGTGTGACAGCAGACTAATAAAGAGAAAGAATATGGTACAGCAAGAGAAAGAAGATACAAAACCAGAGTCACAAAGCTTTCTGGTACAGCTCCCAGGTTCCTTTCTTAGTCACATAGGACTTACTCTGTCTTTGGATTTTGAGCCACCAATATATATGCAAGTTGCCTTGATCTCAGAGAAACCAAAGTCCTATGTAAGATGTCTTTTAAACCTCTCTGGCCACATAGCCCAAACAAGGCTTCATGACCAAGCTCAAAAACAGAAACTAAGAGAACAAATAGAAACTAGGTACAAACTGTACTTTATCTATAAACAGCGCTAATAAACTGGCACAGGTTGTTCCTCTCTGTTTTGGATTCTAGCTCAGGACTACATTCATAGCTACTTAGTACATTTCATTCAAGTTTTGCCAATGATCAGCCCTGATATGGTTTGGCTCTGTGTCCCAACCCAAATCTCATCTCAAATTGTAATCCCCATGTGATGAGGGAGGAACCTGGTGGGAGGTGATTGAATCATGAGGGCAGTTTCTCCAATGCTGTTCTTGTGATAGGGAGTGAGTTCTCATGAGAGCTGATGGTTTTAAAGTGTGGCGCTTCTTCGCTCTCTCTGTCTCCTGCCATCATGTAAGATCATGCCTTGATTCCTCTTTCCTTCCGCCATGACTGTGAAGCCTCTCCAGCCATGTGGAACTGTGAGTCAATTAAACTGCTTTTGTTTATATAATAAATTACCCAGTCTCAGGTAGTATCTTTGGAGCAGTGTGAAACAGACTAATACAAGCCCTATGTATGACTGAAAACATCTCTGGAGATAAAGACAGCGTTGCAATAGATTAGTGGGATTAATCCTGTTCTTATACCATCCACCCTGTGACTCTTAGTTGAGTTTTCTTAATTACAAATTGGCCATCATTGTTCTTCTTTCCACATTTTATGACATTTATAGAATGGAGAAAACAGAAATATAAATACTAAGCTACAAATCATTTGTATCATTCAATGAAGTATAGTTATTACTTTGAAGAATCATTCAGCTTTTCAAAAATATTCCAGCCTAAAATTGTTGATAATTATATACAAGCCTGAAAACTCTTGTTTTTATATTGAAAGATCATGAGTAGAGTATTAGACTACAGCAACTGGGGAAGTAGAGAGAAGATCCACATTAGGAATGCACAGCAAATTCTTACGTGTGAATATTGTAGTGAGTAGATGGAGCATGGTGGCAGCATGGAGTCTGAAAAAGGCAATGGGAGGAAAATAAAGATTTATTTGGCCCAAGGAAGATCAGGAAGCAGGTGGAGAAAGGACTCAACCACAGAACCATAGTTAGGAAGCGGTGTTCTTATTCACAGGACCATTGCAGAGCAAGGCAGGACCTCAGGATGGACATCAGGCAATACCTCAAGATTCACTAATTTGAATTTAGTTACAAGAAGGGTTTGGTGCCTAGGGCGGAACTAGGACATTAGAGAATCTATTAGTTCTTTCACTTAGTTGTTCATCCATTTTTATTCATTCAATACATATTTATTGAGTACCCAGTATTTGTCAAAAATTAGGTGCAGAATACATAGAGTTGGAAAAGGCAGAAAAATTCCTGTTCTCAAAATGTATAGTCTGGTGAGCAACTAAGGAAAAGGTTACCTTGATTTTAAGCCAGTGAGCTTCTGATGTAGTGCTACTTTAATCCTTCCCAAATAGGAATAACATTGGTTTCAGGGCCTAGAGTAGGAAGGATGCTAAAGGAGAAGGCTTAGCCTCCCTAAATTTGGGCTTTAGAGAGATGTTCAGGCAGGAATTCAAGCAGATCACTTCACTGCCTACCTCTTTAGAATGGGAGCTAAGAAATTACACAGTTTGTGTTGAAAATCTAAATTAACATAGAAAATTCAGACTCCCAAATCTTCTACTCCCATGCTAGAATTATGTCTTGATGTAACTGGCTGTTTCAACATTTCACTTGACTTTGTTATTATAGACCTAGACTAAAATGAAGCACAGACTGAGAAAGTGTATAAGCTTTTCCTCCACTGATGGCTGTTTTTAAAAGCAGATGTTTAACAAAGACTCTGTTCAAGCATTGCAGATCTGTTATAACAGTCAAACTTTAATATCATCCTGCTTTACCACTGAATATGATAAGTACTTACTATATACAAGCTCTATGGGTTAAGAGATTCAAACTTAAAGATAAATATCTTCTATCAACAACAGAAATGTAGCTTTTATATTATCTTACTTCCTGGAGCTTTCAGAAGCTGACTTTTTATTTCACTTTTACTTTATTTTTAATACTAAAATAGTGAGCCCCAGTTCACATAGTTACACTTGATAACAGTAAAATCAGAAACTTGGCTAGCCAGTCAAACTTCTCATTGCTTAATGGTAAGGAAAAGAAGCTTTATTTTCATTTCATTAAAACATTGACTGCTACTTTATTCTCTTAAAGAAATAAAATAAATTTTTAAGGAATTAGCAGTTTTTAAGACTCTTATGCAAATTGGTAGCAAAGCTCAAGCAGTTATAAAAGAAACAGATAACTATTAGAAATATTAAAAACTGGAGTGCTTTTACTTATATGCACATATGTGGCTGCATTTAAAGGTTGAACATGAACCAAAAGCTTTGTTAGGAAAAAAAGAAATTTCTGAAATACATGTAGTAAGAATAAAATCAGAATCTTTGGGAAGAAAATTTAAGGCAGAAAATGCAAAAGAAATATTCTGGGACCTTAGAGAAAAAACTGGAATAACAATAGATTGTCAAATAATCAGAATGTAAATGGTAAAAAGAAGGCATCAAATGAGAAAGAGTGTACTCATGACAACTTGGGTAGTTCCTGTTTTTCTTTGATAGAAGCAATGGATCTCACCATCATACTCAAATCTGTAATAATAGCTCCTTGTCACAAGAAATTCATCCTGGATTTGTATTTTGGTTTATGCATTTAAATGCCACTTGTCTGTCTTTTGATGAATGACCTATCTATATTTCAAAAATGTAGACCTTATTTTCAAAAGCTATCCTTAAATAGTATTTTGAAATACAGTGATATATTTTGAGAAAAAAACAAACAAATAACAGATTTGCTAACTCTGGAATTCTTGGCTTATTTTTCATTTGTTTCAATTATAGAATCTAATTGAACAATAATTCCTGCACATTTCATTATAAGAAAGACTATGTAGCAGATGCCAAGGTTAATTATTGGATGATTGAGTCCACCAATGAATGGGGAATGTTGTAATTAGGTACAAAAAAGTGTGAAATTGCACTTTTTGTGATATGCGAAGCCATATTTAAAATGCATATGGCTACAAATAAACAATGAGGAATAGAAAGCTTTGCATTCAGTATCTTTAGCTGGGCTTGGCATGCACCAGTTGGTTTATAGGGAGAAAGCTTAGTTGGCATGTCTCAATGCTGGATTGAGGTTTATATTTAGGAGTGGACTTTCATTCCTGGGAGATTAGTATCCAGGCAGTGAACAAAACATTACAATATAAAGCACAACTTTACCATGGGGAATAAGAAGTTTGAATTTGAAATGAAATGAAACTGGCTTAGTTATATAGCCTCCTTATGTATGCTATACGAATTTTTTGGATCTTGATTTCTATAAAATAAAAATGTTGGATTCCATGGTCTATAAAGTTTTTCATAACTCTAAATTCTGTAATTTGTTTCTAAATTCTATAGCTAATACCCTTTCTGGACAACTCTTTATTGTGAAAGAAAAATCAGATTTCACTTTTGGCCACTGATACTTTAGAAGAATGAATTAGACAGATTTTAGATACTGATACAATTATATTCTGCCCACTTAATTTTAATAAAAGGATTGGTTCCACTTCTATTAATATTAAATTCTCATATCCGAGAGTATCATCAGTAAGACAGCAAAATAGAAAATACCCTGGCATCACTGCCCCCACATTATACAGCTATAAACTATTCAAAGATGAGAATGCCACCCAGAACATACCAGAACTCAGGGGAGAAGTGGAGAAACCCCCTAGACTCATGAAATCAAGAGAAGTCATGACTGGTAAGAGAAATGGTAATTTCAGGCTGTATCACTCTGTCCCCCAAGCCAGCATAATGCCATTCACAAAATGTTTTCTTAGATGCACAATTTGCTAAGGTAAGAATTGGGAATTAGAGGTAAATATTCAATTTCCACACTGGTTTGAGAATTTTCATGAGAAGCTCACTCTGGTTCTGTCCCATAGGAATCACTGAGAGTGCCAGGAAGACTGAACAATGTGGGGTAAATTGGGAAAAGAGCAGGTCACTAGTTGCAGTGACTGGCTTGTGGACCGTAGTGGCTATTCAACACTCTGATTATCAGGGACACCACATTGAGGAGACTGACCGGTGCCATAGTGCTGCAGGGGACACAATACATAAGAAAACCTGAATCCCTAACCAGATTTTACACAAAGCCCAGGTTTTTGCTTGGAGACTTATCATGGCCCAGAAAGAACTAATAGGTTCTAAGTTTTGGTGCCTGCTTAAGTTCTCCTCAAACTGAGAAACAACAGCAGGGCAGCAGTACAGTTCCAGAGCAGTATTCGAGCATCTTTTTTCAACATAAGTCTTACCCAGACTGAGAAACAATGACAGGGTAGCAAGTTAGTTCCAGTGAAATGTGCTTAGTGTAAGTTCTGGTGCTTACTATAAGTCTTCCTCAAAAAAGATGTGTGTTTAAATACTGATCCTAAGAAGTAAAAGTCTAAACCCACGAAAGAACATCTTCAAAAATGTGGAAGGGGTGGATGCCTCCTCAAAGGCACAGAATCAGCATAGAGATACAAGAATTGTGCAAACTCGGGAAAATATGACACCACCAACAGAAGCCAACAAAATTCCAGCAATAGACCCAGAAGAATTGAAGATCTATGAAATGTATGGCAGAGATTTCAGAATATCTTCTTAAAGATATTCAAGGAATTACAAGACAATATAAATAAAAAACTGAATAAAATTTGAAAACAATCCAAGAATGAAATGAGAAAATTGACAGATAAATAGAAACAATTTTTAAAAACCCAACAGCATATATATATTTTTAAATACCAAAACTGAATTGAATACAAAAACCCATTTGAAAGCTTAAACAGCAGACTTGATCAAACACAGGAAATAATCAGCAAGCTTGAAGACAGAACACATGAAATTGCCCAGTAAGAGTTGCAAAAAAAAAAAAAGGAATAGAAAGAGTGAAGAAGGCCTACAAAAATTATGGGACACCATCACATTAACTAACTGTTGCATAATTGGAGTTCCCAAAGAAGACAAGTAAGAAAAGGCATTGAAAGAATATTTAAAGAAATAATAGCTGAACATTTTCCAAATCTAGACAAAGATGATAGCATCCACATATAGGAAATTCAAAGGTCACTAATGACATTCAACCGAAAGAGGAATTGTCTTAGGCATATCATAATAAAATTAGCAAATTCAAGGATAAAGAAAGAATATTCAAAGTAACAAGAGAAAAGAAATATATTACATTCAATGGAGCACAAATATAGCTTTCAACAGATTGCTCAGCAGAAACCTTACATGCTAAGAGAGAGTAGTAAGCTATATTCAAGATGCTAAAGGAAAATACTGTCAAACAAATATACCATACCCAGCGAAGCTATTCTTCCAACATGAAGAAGAGATAAAGACTTTTCCAGATAAACAAAAGCTTAAGGAATTCATCAACACCAGATCTGTCTTACAAGAAATGTTAAAGAAAGTTCTTCAATTGGAAAGAAATGGACACTAATGTGTAACAAGAAAACATCTGAAAGTATAACTGTCACTAGTAAGAGTAACAAAACAGACAAGTTCAGAATACTGTAGTACTGTAATCATGGTAAGTAAACCACTTACATCTTAAGTAGGAAGACTAAAAGACAAAACTTAAAAACAATAATAACTACAACAATTGGTTTAGAGATAGGCAATATAAAAAGATATAAATTGAAACATCAAAAAGTCAAAATATGTGGAGGATATGATGTTAAAATGTAGTTTGTTTTTTATATTTTTCTTTGCAATCAAAGTTAAGACACTATCAGTTAAGAATAACCTGTTAGAACTGTAAGATTTTTTTTTGTAAGCCACATGGTAACCACAAAGCATAAATCTATAATAGATACATGAAAGATAAATAGCACAGAATAAAAACATACTACCAAAGAAAAATAACTTAACCACAAACAAAGACAGTAAGAGAGGATTGAAAAGGAAGAAGTGATCTACAAAATAACCAGAAAACAAGTAAGAAAATGAAAATAATAAAACCTTACCTATCAATAATAATTTTGAATATAAATTGATTAAATGCTTTGATTAAAAGACATAAAGTAACTGAATGTATTTAAAAAGACCAAACTATATGTTTTCTACAGGACACTGGCTTCATTCACCTTAAAGATATGCACAAACTGAAAGTGTAGAAATGGAAAAAGATATCCTATGCAAATGAAAACCAAAAAGAGAAGGAGTAGCTATACTTATATCAGATAAAATGGGCTTTAAGTCAATAATGATTTTTAAAATAGACAAAGCAGGCCATTATACAATGATAAAGGAGTCAATACAGCAAGAGGATATAATAATTGTAAATATAGATGAACCTAACTCAACATTGGAGCACTGAAATATATAAAACAAATATTATAGACCTAAGTGGAGAGATTGCAATGCAGTAATTGTAGGAGACTTCAACACCCTACTTTCAGCAATGGACAGGTTATCCAGAAACAAAATCAGCAAATAAATTTTATAGTTAAATTGCACTCTAGGCTAAATGGACCCAACGGATATTTACAGAATATTCCATGCAACAGCTGCAGAATACACATTTTTCTCAATAGCACGTGGAACATTCTTCAGGATAGACCATATGTTACATTACCAAACAAGTCTTAACACAGTTTTTTAAAAAACTGAAAAAATCAAATTTGTGTCAAGCATCTTTTCTAACCACAATGGAATAGAAGAACTCTATTCTAAAAATTAATAACAGAAGGAACATTGAAAACTTTACAAATTCATGAAAATTAAACAACATGCTTCTAAACAATTAATGGGGCTGTGAAGAAAGTTAAAAGGAAATTCAAAAATTTCTTGGGATAAATAAAAACAGAAACGTCATACACCAAAATCTATGGGGCATAGCAAAAGCAATTATAAGTGGGAGGTTTATAGTAATAAGCACCTACATCAAAAAAGTAGAAAGACTTCAAATAAACAACCTAATGATGCACTTCCATGAACTAGAAAAGCAAGAATTAACCAGAGTTAGTAGAAGGAAAGAAATAATAAAGATCACAACAGAAGTAAATGAAATAGAGACTAAAAAAATACAAAAGATCAATTAAATAAAAATTTGTTTTTTGAAAAGATAAAATTGACAAGCATTTAGCTACAGTAGGAAAAAAAGACCTAAATAAATAAGAGATTAAAAGGGAGATATTACAATTGGTAACACAGATATACCAAGGAGTATAAGAAACTATTATGAGCAACTATATGCGAACAAACTAGAAAACCTAAAAGAAATGGATAAATTCATAAACACATAAAATCTATGAAGATTGAAAAACGAAGAAGTAGAATACCTGAATATATACAATGACCTACAATGAGTAAAGAGATGGAAGCAGTACTAAAAAGTCTCCCATCAAAGGAAAAACAGGACTTAATGGCTTCACTGCTAAATTATACGAAACATTTAAAGAAGAACTAATACCAATTGTGTTAAACTCTTTTTTTAAAAAAGAGGGACAAAATACAAATTCATTCTATGGGGCCAGTATTACCCTGATACCAAAAGCAGACAAAAACAAATGAACGAACAAAAGAAAGAAAGAAAGACCAAGAAAACAAGAAAGAAAGAAAGATAAAAGAAAAAAGAAAGAAAAAGAAAGAAAGAATGAGAGACACAGAAAGAAAGAAAACTACAGGCCAATATCACTGATGAACATAGATACAAAAATCATCACCAAATGACTAGCAAACTGAATTCCACAACACATTGAAAAGATCTTTCACCAGGATCAAGTGGAATTCATTCCAGATATGCAAGGATGGTTCAATATACGCAAATAAATAAGCATAATATATCACATTAACAAAATCAAGAACAAAAGCCGTATGATCATTTCAATAGAGACTGAAAAATAATTTGACAAAATTCAACATCCTTGTATGTCAAAAACTCAAAAAACTGAGTACAGGGGAAACATACTTTAAGATAATAAAGTCCATGTATTACAAACCCACAGCTAATATATACTGAATGGGGAAAAACTGAAAGCCTTTTTTCTAAGATATGGAACAAGAGAAGAATGCCCACTTTCACCACATTTATTCAGTATACTTCTGGAAGTTCTGGCCTGAGCAATTAGTCAAGAGAAAGAAATAAAGAACATCCAAATAGGAAAGGAAAAAGTCAATTTATTCTTCTTTGCAAATGACATGATCATATATTGAAAACCTGAAGATTTCACCAAAAAAAAAAAACTGTTGGAACTAATAAATGAATTCAGTGAAGTTGCAAGATACAAAATCAACATACAGAAATCAGTAGCATTTATACACACCAACAGTGAACAATGTGAAAAAGAAGAAAGAATCCCATTTATAGTACCTACAAAAAATAAAGTATCTAGGAATAAATTTAACTAAAAAAGTGAAAGAACTCTATAAGGAAAACTATAAAACACAGATGAAAGAAATTGAAGAGGACACACTAAAAAATAAAAAAAATTTCGCATACTTATGGTTTGGCTGTGTCCCCACCCAAATCTCATCTTGAATTTTAGCTCTCATCATTTCCATTTGTTGTAGGAGAGACCAGCAGGAGATAATTTAATCATGGGGGTGGATCCCCCATACGGTTCTCCTGGTAGTGAATAAGTCTCACATGATATGGATGGTTTTATAAGGGGTTTCCCCTTTCACTTGGCACTAATTCTCTCTCTTGCCTGCTACCATGTAAGATGTGCTGCCATGTAACATGAATGGAACTAGAGTTTATTACATTAAATGAAATAAGCCAAGCACGGAAAGACAAATATCATGTGTTCTCACTCATATGTGGGAGCTGAAAAGTTCTCACTCATATGGAGGTAGAGAGCAGAATGATGGTTACCAGGGGTTGGCAAGTGTAGGAGAGGGGAAAATGAGAGGTTAGATAGAAGTTAGATAGAAGAAATAAAATCGAATGTTTAATAGCACAGTAGGGTGACCACGGTTAACAAGAATTTATTGTATATTTCAAAATCGCTAGAGAAAAAGATTTCGAATATTCCCAACACAAATAATAAATGTTTGATATAATGAATATTCTAATTACCTTAATTTGATCATGACACATTATATACATATATTAAAATATCACATGTGGCCGGGCATGGTGGCTCACGCCAGTGATCCCAGCACTTTGGGAGGCCAACGCGGGCAGATCACCTGAGGTCAGAAGTTTGAGACCAGCCTGATCAACATGGTAAAATGCCATCTCTATGAGAAAAATACAAAAATTAGCCAGGCATGGTGGCAGGCACCTGTAATCCCAGCTACTCAGGAGGCTGAGTCAGGAGAATCACTTGAACTCGGGAAGTGGAGGTTGCAGTGAGCTGAGATCACATCATAGCACTCCAGCCTGGGCAACAAGTGTGAAATTCCATCTCTACATAAATAAATAAATAAATAAATAAATAAATAAATAAATAAATAAATAATAAATAAATAAACTTCACATGTACTCTATAAACATGTATAATTATTATGTATGAATCATTATATTTGCATTCCAGACAGCAAGAAGAAAAGACTAGCATATTTCCCTTTAAGAACATTTTCTGGAAACTGTAAACAACATCTCCACTTACATTGCAGCGGCCAAAATTTAGCACTTGGCAATATGAAATTGCAAATTAGGCTGAAAATGTCATTATTTAGAGTAGCCACATGCTCAACTAACAATTAGGGGCTCTAATAAAAAGGTATAATGGTAAAATAGATATTAGGAAACACTGCCTATTTAACTGAATAAAAAGCAGAAGCTACAAATGTGGGAAGTGACCATTTTTTCCTTAAGTTAGCTAGTGCTTTTAAAAAATTAAGAATATGAATAAAGCACTAGCTATATTTGGAAAAAATAGTGAGAAAACATGTGCACAGAAAAGAAAATTATCAAAAAGTGAGGAAGTACAAATACACAAAATAAGAATGGCAAGGCAGGATAACTTTTGTAAGAGTAAAAAATAGAAAATGTAAGAGATTACTTTGCAGATCTCCTGTATAAAATATATATTTAAATGAATTAGATGGTTAATTTTTATGAAAATAGTTTTACCCAGCATGTTACCTTTTAGATAGAAAGCTTAAGTGGATCAATTTGTATAGAAGAATGAGACAAAGTTATAGAGGAATTACCCCACAAGAAAATATTGGGCCCAAATGGTTTCACAGTGAAAATCCATCAAAATCTAAAAGATCAGATAGCTCTAATGCTATACAAGTTGTTTTAAATGATAGAAATCAATGAAAAACTTTACATTTCTTTTTTTAAAGATAAAATAATGATATTTACCCTTGATAAAAATAGTACAAAAGAAAAAGTCACAGAACAATATCACTGATATTGATACACAAGTCCTAAACAAACTATTAGTGAACTGAGTTTAACAACACATTTAGAAGATAATGTGCTAGGGCCAAATGGAATTCATTCCAAGAATGCCAGATAGATTCCAAATTAGGAGATTAATTAATATAATATGTCATATAAAGTTCTAAGGAGGAAAATCTTATGATTATCTCAATAAACGTTGAAAAGCCTTTGACAAAACCAAACTCTTATTCTAGATAAAAGCAAAAGCATACAAATATAGGAATTAATAGATACTTAAGTTTTTTAATATTGTATATATGAATTTATGAGCTATATAAATTACAGACATACAGCATATAGTTTTATGTGTCTACATATCAGTCAATTGATCTATTGATCTATCATTACACATCTTAATTCTAAAGCTAGCATTTTACTTTATGGTAAAACTAAAGGAGTCGTTACAAAAATACACAGAAAAGAATACCCATTACGTCCATTATTATTTAACACTGTACTGGACATATCAGCTAATGCAATTATACAAGAGAAATAAATTAGTGGCATAAACATAAGAAAAGAAAATGTAAAACCATTTTACTTCTATTACACATACCATGGAAATATATCTGAAAAATGCTAAAGAATAAATAATAAAATTCAACTTTTATGATGATGATTAATGATACTTCAAACAATAAAATAATTTGTAAATGTAGCAAGATATAAAATTTGCATACAGAAATCAGTAGTTTCACATACACAAATTATAACCAGTAGAGGGTATAATGATTGAGAAATGCCATTCACAATGAAGAACATAAAAATAGTTATAAATCTGGCTGGGTGCAGTAGCCCACACCTGTAATCCCAGCACTTTGGGAGGCCAAGGCTGGTGGATTGCTTAAGTCCAGGCATTTGAGACTAACCTGGGTGACATAGGAAAATTCTGTCTCTACTACACATTACAAAAATTAGCAGTCATGCTAGTGTGCACCTGTAGTCCTAGCTACTTGGGAGGCTAAGGTGGGAGGATCACTTGAACTCCAGAGGCGGAGGTTGCAGTGAGCCACGATCATGCCACTGCACTCTAGCCTGGGCAACAGAACAAGACTCTGTCTCGAAAAAAAAAAAAAAAAGAATAAACCTGAGAAAAATATGTAAAATTTATGTGCAAAAAAAAAAAAAAACCTCTAAAACATTTTTGAAAGAAAGAATTAGAACTGAATAAATGAGAAAAAATTTTTTTTATTTTTTGATAGGATGATGCAGCATCATCAAAAAGTTTTTTCTCTGTAATTAATTTAATGCAATCCCAATTTTAAAACTAGTCTTTTTTTTTTTTCTGAAGCTAGACAAGTTAATGCCAAAGTTTATGTAGAAATATAAACATAGACTGAGAGTGGACGAAGGGAGGACACAGATGCTGGGCCGAAGGGGGTGGAAGCTGGAAACCCTGCATGAGTCTACCATGCACTGAGACTCCTTCCTATCTCCCAGTGACTCCTGGGGAACTAGGGAGTTGAGTAGGCAATGAGCAACTCACTCTCACCACGGATCTCTGGAATCCTGCCAGCGGGAGACTCCATAACCCCCACAGACACTTGAGCTGACAGGGAAAGCTGCTTAGAAAAATAGTAGGGACAGAACTCTAGATAGTTGGGAGCCCAAATAGTTTGGCATGGGAGCATCTGTAGTGGAGCATGCCCAGGACACCCATCCCCTGTGGCTCGCTTTACTCCTCCAGAAGACTTTAGTTCTAGAAAAACTGTTGAACCTGAAGAGTCAGGATGGTTTTGTCCATGAGATGAGGCTGGTCCAACCTGGGCATCCCTTGCCTGCTGACTTCTCCTGAGGCCCCAGCCTGGCCACACCTGCTTGCAGTGCAACCTCAGATTCCCAGGTTGGAGGGTTCCTGGGGGCCTGCATCATAGCTCCTGCACTGATGGACTATACTTGACCAATGGAGAACTTCACTAGAGCACCCCAGCAGATGTGCACAGGCATGCCTGTGGCCTCCCCCAACCACAGCCTCCTTGGAGTTGCTTGGCCTGCATGCGCTCACACATGGCCATCCCTCACATTACTCTCCCACCATGTGTGCATGCTGGTGCACCTTGCCTTCCCTTCCTTGTCAGCATGCATGTGTGCATGCACCCTGCCCACCATGCTACAGCTGCTGGCAGGAGTACACCCCCTCCCCCAATTCACCTGCTGTGCCACCATTGCTGTTGGAGTATTTGCAGGCACAGAGCCTGCCAGTGCCCCACCCAGCACCAGTGTGAAACTAGGCAGGGAGAGCAGGAGATCTGCTCACCCCCAGCAGTAGCTGCTGTATGTGTGAACACATGCATAGAGGGTACACAGGGCACTGGCAGGCACAAGACTGTGCCTGCCAGTGCCCTGCCCCTGTGCTAACACTACTACCGGTGCAAACATGCACACAGATGATGTCAGAACCCCTGGCCCTCCTGTGCTGTACTTCTACCACTGCCACTGTGAATGCTCACATGGAGGCTGGCACCCCTCCACCTGCCAGGACCCTGCTACAGCTTATGAATGTGCACACTGCTGTGCTGCTGCTGTTGCTGGCACATGCAGTTGAGGACAGATGCTGCTGCTACAACCTTACCAAGCACTGTGGCTGGAATTACTCATTAGAGTGTTCTGACTAGTGGTCCAGGAACAACTCAGCCCCTCCAGCATGGCATGTTCCTAACCTTATGGGGACACAGAACAAAGCCAGAGGCCAGATGTCAGCCCCCAAGAATTAGAGCTTGCAGTCCAGGAGTCATGAGCTGAGCCTTGGCTTCCTAAAATTCTCCAGAAATGAAGACAGTTGACAGAACCCACCTTATACCACAATCAAACCCCCAAGGACATTGAATAGGATAAAAGAAAAAAAAATCCGAAGGTCAGCAACTTCAAAGATTGAAGAAACATCAGCACACAAAGATGAGAAAGAAGTAGTGCAAGAACTCTGGCAACTCAAAAAGCCAGTGTCTTACTCCAAACAACCATATTAATTTCCCAGCAATGGTTTCTAACCAGGCTTAGGTGGCTGAAATCACAGAAAAAGAATTCAGAATATGAATAGGAATTAAGATCATCAACATACAGGAGAAAGTCATCCATTCCCATGAAGTTAAGGATTACAATAAAATGATAAAGGAGCTAATAGATAAAATGGACATTATAAGAAAGAAGAAATAATCTGATCTGATAGCTGAAAAATACTCCACTAGAATTGCATAATACAATCATAAGTATTTACAGTAGAATTGACCAAGCTGAGGAAAGAATCTCAGAGCTCGAAGACAGGCTCTCTGAAATAACTCTGTCAGAGAGAAATAGAGAAAAAACAATAAAGAAGAATGAACAAAATCTCTGAGAAATGTGGGATTATGTAAAGATAAAAAATCTACAACTCATTGGCATCTCTGAAGAGAGAGAGAGAAAGCCAACCAACAATATGGAAAACATATTTGAGGATATTATCCATGAAAATTTCTCCAACCTCGCTAGAGAGACCAGCATTCGAATTCAGGAATTGCAGAGGACACCTGAGAAATACTGCATAATAAGACCATCCTTAAGACACATAATCATCAGATACTCTGAAGTTGAAATGAAAGAAAAAATGTTAAAGGCAGCTGAAGAGAAGGAACAGGTCACCTACGAAGAAAACCCCATCGAGCTAACAGCATGCCCATCAGCAGAAACCTTATAAGTCAGATGGAGGTCCTAAATCCTGCATTCTTAAAGAAAATAATTTTCAACCAATAATTTCATATCTGGCCAAACTAAGCTTAATAAGGAAAGGAGAAATAAGATTTTTTCAGACAAGCAAATGCTAAGAGAATTCATTACTACCAGACCTGCCTTACAAGAGGTCCTGCAGGGAGTGCTAATGTGGAAAGGAAAGACTGTTATTAGCCATTACAAAAACACACTTAAGTACATAAACCAGTCATACTATAAAGCAACCACACAAGTCTACAGCTAACCAGCTACAACATGATGACAGGATTAAATCCACACATACCAATATTGAACTTAAATGTAAATGAGCTAAATGCTCCAATTAAAAGGCACAGGGTGGCAATTTGGACAAAGAAGGAAAACCCAATGGTACGCTGTCTTCAAGAAACCCATCTCACATGCAATGACACTCATAGTGTGTCCGGAATTGGTGGGTTCTTGGTCTCACTGACTTCAAGAATGAAGCCGCGGACCCTCGCGGTGAGTGTTACAGCTCTTAAGGTGGCACGTCTGGAGTTTGTTCCTTCTGATGTTCGGATGTGTTCGGAGTTTCTTCCTTCTGGTGGGTTCGTGGTCTCGCTGGCTCAGGAGTGAAGCTGCAGACCTTCGCGGTGAGTGTTACAGCTCTTAAGGCAGCACGTCTGGAGTTGTTCGTTCCTCCTGGTGGGCTCGTGGTCTCACTGGCTTCAGGAGAGAAGCTGCAGATCTTCGCAGTGAGTGTTACAGCTCATAAAAGCAGTGTGGACCCAAAGAGTGAGCAGTAGCAAGATTTATTGCAAAGAGTGAAAGAACAAAGTTTCCACAGTGTGGAAAGAGGACCCAAGCGGGTTGCCACTGCTGGCTCGGGCAGCCTGCTTTTATTCTCTTATCTGGCCCCACCCACGTCCTGCTGATTGGTAGAGCCCAGTGGTCTGTTTTGACAGGGCGCTGATTGGTGCGTTTACAATCCCTGAGCTAGATACAAAGGTTCTCCACCTCCCCATCAGATTAGTTAGATACAGAGTATTGACCCAAAGGTTCTCCAAGGCCGCACCAGAGCAGCTAGATACAGAGTGTCGATTGGTGCACTCACAAACCCTGAGCTAGACACAGGGTGCTGATTGGTGTGTTTACAAACCTTGAGCTAGATACAGAGTGCCTATTGGTGTATTTACAATCCCTGAGCTAGACATAAAGGTCCTCCAAGGTCCCACCAGTCTTAGGAGCCCAACTGGCTTCACCCAGTGAATCCCACACCGGGGTTGCAGGTGGAGCTGCCTGCCAGTCTCAGTGCCGTGCGCCCGCACTCCTCAGCCCTTGGGTGGTCGATGGGACTGGGCGCCGTGGAGCAGGGGGCGGCGCTCATCGGGGAGGCTTGGGCTGCCCAGGAACCCACGGAGTGAGTGGGAGGCTCCGGCATGGTGAGCTGCAGGTCCTGAGCCCTGCCCCACGGGAAGGCAGCTAAGGCTCGGTGAGAAATCAAGCGCAGCACCGGTGGGCTGGCACTGCTGGGGGACGTATACCCTCCGCATCTGCTGGCCCGGGTGCTAAGTCCCTCATTGCCCGGGGCCAGCAGGGCTGGCCGACTGCTCCAAGTGCATGGCCCGCCAAGCCCACGCCCACCCGGAACTCCAGCTGGCCCGCAAGCGCCGCACGCAGCCCCGGTTCCCGCTCGCGCCTCTCCCTCCACACCTCCCTGCAAGCTGAGGGAGTGAGCTCCAGCCTTGGCCAGCCCAGAAAGGAGCTCCCACAGTGCAGTGGTGGGCTGAAGGGCTCAAGTGCCACCAAAGTGGGAGCCCAGGCAGAGGAGGTGCAGAGAGCAAGCGAGGGCTCTGAGGACTGCCTGCACACTGTCACCTCTCAATAGGCTCAAAGTAAAGGCACTGAGAAAAATTTGCTAAGTAAAGGGAAAACAGAAAAACAGCTGGGATTGCTATTCTAAATTCACACAAAACAGACTTAAAACTAATAACGATCAAAGACAAAGAAGGACATGACATAATGATAAAGGGCTCAATTCAATGAGAAGACCTAACTAACTAAATGTATATGCACCCAATACAGGAGCACCCAGATACATAAAACAAGTTGTTAGAGACCTGTGAAGAGATTTATACAACCACAAAATAATAGTGGAGATTTAACACCCCACTGACAGTATTAGGCAGATCATCTAAGCAAATTAAGAAACATATTTGACACCTTAACTCAATCCTTGAGGAAATGGATCTAATAGACATCTACAGAACTTTCTACCCCAAACCAAAAGAATATACATTCTTCTCATCTGTACGTGACACATCTAAAATTGACCACACAATTAGGCATAAAACAACCCTTAGCAAATACAAAGAAAAAAACCTCAAAATCATACCAACCACACTGTTGGACCACAGTGCAATAAAAATAGAAATTAATGCTAAGAAAATCACTCAATCCATACAATTAAATGTAAACTAAACAATCTGCTCCTGAATGACTTCTGGGTAAATAATAAAATTAATGCAGAAATCAAGAAATTCTTTGAAACTGATGAGAAAAAAGATACAACATATGAGAATTCCTAAGATACAGTCAAAGCAGTGTTCAGAGGGGAATTTATAGCACAAAATGCTCACAACAAAAAAGTTAGAAAGATCTTAAACTAACAAGCTAACATCACATCTAGAGGAACTAGAGAAAGAAGAGCAAAACCAATTCCAAAGCTAGCAGAAGAGAAGAAATAACCAAAATCAGAGCTGAGCTGAAGGAGACTGAGACATGAAAAAACACACAAAAGACTGGTGAATCCAGGAGCTGGTTCTTTGAAATAAGAAGATAGAAAGACTGCTAGCTAGATTAATAAAAACAAAAGAGAAAAAATTCAAATAAACACAATCAGAAATGACAAAGGAGACATTTCCACTGAGCTCACAGAAACACAGAAAAGCCCTCAGAAACTATTACAAACACCTCTATGCACACAAGCTGGAAAACCTGGAAGAAATAGATAAATTTCTGAAAACATACAGCCCCCCAGATTGAACCAGGAAGAGACCGAATCCCTGAACAGATCAATAAGAAGTTCTGAAATTGAATCAGTAATAAAATGGCTACCAACCAGAAAAAGCCCAGGACCAGATGGATTTATATATAAATTCTACCAGATGTCTAAGAAAAAGCTGGTACCATTCCTACTGAAACTACTTCAAAAAATTGAGGAGGAGGGACTCCTTCCTAACTCATTCTATGAGGCCAGCATCATTCTGATGTCAAAACCTGGCGGAGACACAACAACAACAAAAATTTCAGGCTAATATCCTTGATGAACGTAAATACAAAAATCTTCAAGAGAACACTGGCAAATGAAATCCATCAGCACTTCAAAAACTAATCCACAACAATCAAGTAGGCTTTATTCCTGGGATGCAAGGTTGGTTCAACATACTTAAATCAAGAAATGATATTCACTACATAAACAGAACTAAATGCAAAACCACACGCTGCAGAAAAGGCTTTTCATACAATCCAACATCATGTTAAAAACTTTCAACAAACTAGGCATTGAAGAAACATACTTCAAAATAATAAGAGCCATCTATGAAAAACCCACAGCCAACATCATATTGAGTGGGTAAAAGCTGGAAGCATTCCCCTTGAAAACTATAACAAAACAAGGATGCCTTCTGTCACCACTCTTATTCAATATAGAACTGGAATTCCTAGCCAGAGCAATTGGGCAAGAGAGAGAAATAAAATGCATCCAAATAGGAAGAGAGGAAATCAAACTACCTTTGTTTATCGATGATACGATTCTATGCCTAAAAAATCTCATCATTTCTGCCCAAAAGCTCCTTGATTTGATACACAACTTCAGCAAAGTTTCAGAATACAAAATCAATGTACAAAAATCAGTAACATTGCTATACACCAACAACATCCAAACTGACAGAAAAATCACAAATCCAATCCTATTCACAATAGCCACAAAAATAATAAAATACCTAGGAATACAGCTAACCAAAAAGGTAAAAGACCTCTAATATGAAAATTACAAAATACTACTCAAAGAAATCAGAGATGACTCAAACAAATAGAAAAACATTTCATGTTCATGGATATAAAGATTTAGTATTTCAAAACTGCCATACTGCACTAAGTAATTTACAATTTCAATGCTATTCTTATCAAACTACCAATGATACTCATCACATAATTAGGAAAAGCAATTTTAAAATTCATATGAAACAAAAAAGAGCCTGAATAACCAAAGCAATTCTAACCAAAAAGAACAAAGCTGGAGGCATCACATCATCACATCTCAAACTATATTACAAAGCTACAGTACCCAGAACAGCATGGTCCTGGTACAAAAACAGACATATACTGCAATGGAACAGAATAGCAAAACCAGAAATAATGCTATACACCTACAACAGTAGGATCTTTGATAAAATTCACAAAAACAAGTAATGGGGAAAGGACTCTATTCAACAAATAGTGCTGGGTTAAGGGGCTAGCCATATGCAGAAGGCTGAAACTGGACCCCTTCCTTATTATACCATATGCAAAAATTATCTCATGATCAGTTAAAGAGAAATCTAAAACCAAAAAGTATAAGAACCCTGGAAGATAACCTAGTGTATTAGTTCATTCTCTCATTACTATAAAGAATGACTTGAGGCTGGGTAATTTATAAAGAAACGAGATTTAATTGACTGACAGTTCTGCAGGCTGTGTAGGAAGCATAGCTGGGGAGGCCTCAGGAACCTTACAATCATGGTGGAAGGGGAAGCAGGCATGTCTTACATGGCTAGAGAAGGAGGAAGAGAGTAAAGGGGAAGGTGCCATACACTTGTAAACAACCAGATCTCATAACAACTCACTCATTTTATCATGAGAAGAGCAAGGGGGAAGTCCACCTCCATGATCCAATCACCTCTCACCAGGTACCTCCTCCAACCTTGGGGATTACAGCTTGACATGAGATTTGGGTGGGGACACAAATCCAAAACATATCATTCTGCCCCTGGCCCATCCCAAAGCTCATGTCTTTCTGACATTGCAAAGTATAATAATCCCTTCTCAACAGTCTCCCAAATCTTAACTCATTTTAGCATTAACTCAGAAGTCCAAAGTCCAAAATCTCATCTGAGACAAGGCAAGTCCCTTCTGCCTATGAACCTGTAAAATCAAAACCATGTTAGTTACTTCCAATATACAATGGGAGTACAGGCATTTGATAAATACACCCATTCTAAAAGGGAGAAATCAGCCAAAACAATGGGGCTACAGGCCCCATGCAAGTCCAAAACTCAACAGGGTAATCATTAAATCTTTAAGCTCCAAAATAATCTCCTTTGACTCCATGTCTCACATCCAGACCGCATTTATGAAAGAAGTCAGCTCCTAAGGGCTTGTGCAGCTCCGCCTCTGTGGCTCTTCAGGGTATAGCCCTCTTAGCTGCTTTCAGAAGCTGGCATTGGGTGCCTGCAACTTTTCCAGGCACAAGGTGCAAGCTGTCAGTGGATCTACCATTCTGGGTTCTGGAGGATGGTGGCCCACTTCTCACAACTCCATTAGGCAGTGCTCTAGTGGAGTCTCTGTGTGAGGGCTCCAATCCCACATTTTCCTTCTGCAGTTCCCTAGTAGAGGTTCTCCATGAGGGCTCTGCTCCTGCAGCAGACTTATACCTGAACATCAAATTGCTTCCAGTTATCCTCTGAAATCTAGGTGGAGGCTCCCAAGCATCAAGTCTTTTCCTCTGTGGACCCACAAGTTTAATACCACATGGAAGCCTCTAGGGCTTATGCGTTGTATCTTCTGGAGAAGTGGCCTGAGACATATCTGGGGCCCTTTAAGCCATTGTTGGAGCTGGAGAAGCTGGGATGTAGGGAGCAGCGTCCTGAGGTTGTGCAGAGCAGCAGAGCTGTGGGCCTGGCCCATGAAACCATTCTTTCCTTCTAGGCCTCCAGGCCTGTGATGGGAAGGGCTGCCTCAAAGGTCTCTGAAATGCCTTTCAGGCATTTTCCCCATTGTCTTGGCTATTAACATTCCGTTCATCTTTACTTATGCAAATTTCAGCAGCCAGCTTGAATTCCTCCCCAGAAAATGAGTTTATCTTTTCTACCATGCAATCAGACTGCAAATTTTTCAAACTTTTATGCTCTGCTTCCCTTTTAAATATAAGTTCTAGTTTCAGATCATCTCTTTCTTCATGCATAACAAAAGTGACATTGGCTCCAGTTCTCAATAAGTTCCTCATCTCCATCTGAGACCTCCTCAGCCTGGATTTCATTGACCGTATCACTACCAGCATTTTGGTCATAACAATTTAAAGAGCCTCTAGGAAATTCCAAATGTTTCCTTATCTTCCTGTCTTCTTTTGAGCTCTCCAAACTGTTTCAACCTCTGTCCATTACCCAGTTCCAAAGTTGTTTACACATTTTCAGGTATCTTTATAGCAACACCCCACTTCCCAGTACCAATTTTCTGCATTAGTCCATTCTCACATTGCTATAAAGAACTACCTGATACTGTATCATTTATAAAGAAAAGAGGTTTAATTGACTCACAATTCCACAGGCTGTACAGGAAGCATGGCTGGGGAGGCCTCAGGAAACCTATAATCATGGTGGAAGGTGAAGGGGAAGCAGACACATCTTACATGGCTGGACATGGAGGAAGAGAATGAAGGGGAAGGTGCCACACACTTTTAAACAGCCAGGTCTCATGAGAACTCACTCACTATCATGAGAACAGTAAGGGGGAAATCTGCCCCCGTGACCCAATCACTTCCCACTAGGCCCCTCCTCCAACACTAAGGATTACAGTTTGACATGAGATTTGGGGTGGGAACACAAATTCAGACCATATCACCTAGGAAATACCATTCTGGACGTAAGACCAGCAAAGACTTCTTGACAAAGATGCCAAAAGTAATTGCAACAAAGATTGACAAATGAAACCTAATTAAACTGTAGAGCTTCTGAACATTAAAAAAACATACACACAAATTAAAAAAATAACCTATCAACAGAGTAAACAAATAACCTACAGAATGGGAGGAAATTGTTTCAAATTATATATCCAACAAAGGTCTAATATTCAGTATCTATAAGGAACTTAAACAAATTTACAAGCACAAAACAAACAACCCTATTAAAAAGTGGGAAAAGGGCATGAACAGAAACTTTTCAAAAGAAAACATCCATGTGGCCAAGAAACATATGAAAAAATGTTCAACATCACTAATCCTTATAGAAATGCAAATCAAAAACACAAGGAGATACCATCTCACACCAGTCAGAATGTCTATTATTAAAAAGTCAAAAAATAACACATGCTGGTGAGGTTGTAGAGAAAAGGGGATGCTTATGTACCGACGGTGGGAATGTAAAGTAGTTTAGCCATTGTGGAAAGCAGTTTGGCAATTTCTTAAAGAACTTAAAACAGAATTACCATTTGACCCAGCAATGCTATAATTGAGTATATACCCAAAGAAATAGAAATCATTTTACCATAAAGAAACATACAAGCATATGTTCATTGCAGTGCTATTCACAATAGCAAAGACACAGAATCAATCTAAATTCCCTCAATGGCAAACTGGCTAAAGATAATGTTGTATATACACAATAGGGAATACTATGCAGCCATAAAAGTGAATGAGATCTTGCCTTTTGCAGGAACATAGATGGAGCTGGAGGCCATTATCCTAAGCAAACTGACACAGGAACAGAAAACCAAATGTCACATGTTCTCACTTACAAGTGGAATCTAAATGTTGAATATACATGGACACAAAGAAAGAAACAAGAGATATCAGGGCCTACTTGAGAGTGGAGGGTGGGAGGAGGCTGAGGATCAAAAAATTATCTATCAGGTACTATGCTTAGTACCTGGGTGATGAAATAATTTGTGTACCAAACCCCTGCAATGCACAATTTACTTATGTAATAAACCTGTACATATACCCTCTTTAACCTAAAATAAACTTTTTTTTTTTTTTTGATATGGGGTCTCACTCTGTTGCCCAGGCTGGAGTGCAGTGGCATGATCTCGGCTCACTGCAAGCTCCGCTTCCCGGGTTTATGCCGTTCTCCTGCCTCAGCCTCCCGAGTAGCTGGGACTACAGGTGCCCACCACCATGTCCAGCTAAAATAAAAGTTTTTTTTAAAAGTATTATACAATAAAAGGTAGAAATAAGTAAAAACAATTGAACATAAAAGAATAGTAAATAAAATTACTGAAATAGAAAAGTTATGGAAGATCTAGACCTTCAGATATTAAAATATAAAATTATAAAGCCTCCATAATTGAAACAGTAAATCACTCATAAATAAATAGCTTTGCAGAATCAAATAGAAAGTCCTGATACAGACCCAAGTACACATGGAATTACTGGATATAGGAGTAGTGGCATTTCTAATCATTTGAGCAAAGATGAACTTTAAATAAATGGTGCTGGTATAACTGTATAGTCTTCTGGGTAAAGATAAAGTTTGATCCATGTCATACACATAAAAAACCTCCAAATGGATGGGAGATCTAAGTATTAAAACAACACAAAACCATATAAACACTGGGAGAAAGTGTGGACGAATTATTTTATAATCTGGGAATAGGAAAAGGCTTTCTAACTGTGGCTCAAAATTTAGATGCAATAGAGAAAAGATTGATAAATTTGATTACATTAAAAAACCTTCAGCCTGGGGAAAAACTTTTTTTTTCTATATTATTAACATGGTAAAAAAAAAACTACAAACAAGGAGATAATATTGACATACATTTAGAAAAAGAACTAATATCTTTAATACATTAAAAAACTTTTAAAAATTGAAAGAGACCCTTTACATTCACTAGGGTGACTATAATCAATAAGACAATGAAAAGTATTGGTGAGGATCTGGAGAAACTGGAATTCCCCTTCATTGCTGGTGTGAATATGAAATAATAGAGCACTTTAGAAAATAGTTTAGCGGTTGCTATGCTTTGAATATTCTCTCCAAAACTTATGTTGAAGCTCAATCCCCAATGTAACAATATTTAAAAATTATGTCTTTAAGAGGTGATTGGGTGATGAGGGTTCTGCCTTTATGAATGGATTAATCCACTCATGAATTAATGACTTAATAAATTAATAGGTTATCATGAGAGTGAGTCTGATATAAAAGCCAGTTTCATTGTCTCTCATGAGTCCTTTTGCCATTTGTTTCCCTGTGCTAGTTTTGGATGCTGCAGAGAGTCTCCAGCAGCAAGAAGGCAATCACAAGATGCAGCCTCACAGCCTTGGACTTACCAGCCTCCAAAACTGTAAGAAATAAATTTATTTTCTTCATAAGTTACTGAATCTTAGGTACATTGTTATAGCAACACTAGATGGATGAAGACAGCAATTCTTCAAAAATTTCAACAGAGTTACCATATGATCCATAATTCTACCTCTAGTTATATGTTTTATATATATATGTATATATATACTATGTATGTATATATATAGTATATATATGTATATATATACTATGTATGTATATATATAGTATATATATGTATATATATACTATGTATGTATATATATAGTATATATATGTGTGTATATATGTGTGTATATATATGTGTGTGTATATATATGTGTGTGTATATATATATATGTGTGTGTATATATATATATATATATACACATAAATTGAAAACATATGCCCAACCAAAATTTACACATGCATGTTCACAGCAGCATTATTCATAATCGCCAAAAAGTAAAAACAGGGCCAGGTAAGGTGGCTTATACCTATAATCCAAGCACTTTGGAAGGCTGAGGCAGGAAGATCACTTCAAGCCAGGAATTTGAGACCAGCCTGGGTAATATAGCGAGACCTCATTTCTTAAAAAAAAAAAAAAAAAAAATTAGTCAGGCATGGTGGCATATACCTGCAGTCTTAACTACTTGGGAGGCTGAGTGGGGAAGATCACTTGAGCCCAGGAGGTTGAGACTGCAGTGAGCTATGATTGTGCCACTGTACTCCGGTGTGGGCAACAGAGTGAGACCCTGTCCCGGGAAAAAGAAAAGTAACAGCTGAAATGTTCATCAACTGAGGAATGAATAAATAACATGTTTGTGATATATCCAAATAATGTTATAATATTTGGCAATAAAAATGAATGAACTTACAGTATATACTGCAAAATAAAGTAACCTAGAAAACACCACGCTATATGAAAGAAACCCCCTACAAAAGGCTACATATTGTACCATTTATAAGACATTTTCTGTGTTTTAGAGCATTCAGGCTGCTATAACAGAATACCATAGACTGAGTAGCTTATAAACAACATAAATTTATTTCTCATAGTTCTGGAGATTAGAAAGTCCAAGAACAAGGTGCCGGCAGATTCAGTGTCTGGTGAGGGCCCTCTTCCTTATTCATTAGCTGTCCTCACTATAACCTCACATGGCAGAAGGGGCAAGGAAGCTCTCTCCAGCCTCTTTAATAAGGGCACTAATCCCATTCATAAGCCCTCATAACCTAATCACCTCTTGAAGACCCACATCATCACCTTGGGGGTTAAGATTCAACACATGACGTTGGGAGGAAGGTAAATATTCAGTCCACTGCATCCAAAATAGGCAAATCCACAGAGCCAAAAAGTAAGTTTGTGGTTGCCAGAAGCTGGGAAGAAGGGTTTATGGTGAGAGTAACTGCTAAGGATGAGGGTTTATTCTCAGAGTTACAAAAATTTGGAATTATATATCTATCTGAAATTACAAAGTGGTGATGGCTGCACAATTTTGTGAATATACTAAGAACTACTGAATTGGACACTATAAAAAGATGAATTTTGTGGTATGTGAGTTATATCTCAACAAATTATTTTTAATGAGGGAGAAATTCCAAAAACTAGATCACAAAATCTGCAAATGACATTCATTTTAAAATGTAGATTTTGTAAAGACCACTACTAATATTTTTCTCCATACTAATCATCTATTTAGATTTATCTCTCTTTTGGAATCTAATTTGGATGATTATGTATTTTCTGGAAAAAGCTAATTCATTCAAATTTTCAAATTTACTTGAATGGAGTTTAGCTCATAGTTTTTCTGTGATATGTTCTAAAATACTGGTTTTGTTTTGCTTCTCGACTCAGGGTTGTTTAAGACTAACAACTCACAGTTAGTCCTTAAACCAGCAGCAGATCTGGAATATGTTTAGCAATGAAGAATGTTGAATCCCACTCACCATCTATCTAATCCAGGTCTTCACTTTGACATGTGATCTGCAGCAGGTCTTCTCTCTGGTTCATTATATGTATAGCTTTATATATTTTCCTGGGTATTGAGAAGAAAGTGTTGATGCCTAACATATTGCTGAATATTTATCTGTTAGAACTACCTTATGTGTTGTTAGTTAGAGTCTCTCTCCCTTACTTTTTTTTCTCCTTGTTCTCATGGAATAGGAAAGTTAAATTTTTTTTCATTTTGTTTCTATATCCCTGGTGTTTTCTGTAGTTTTTCTTTATTACTTTTGGTGCTATGTATATTCTGTAATACACAAATTCATGACAGTTTATCATGAATTTTTTCACCAGTTTTGTTGGATTTTATGACGTAGTGTTTTCAAGAATGGTTCGTGGTGCTATATTCCTTAACTTCTTTACATTGGAAATTGTTTCCTTTGAAAAATTCTTGGTGATTCCTATTATTTCTCTGTCAACTTTGTTGAATGCTTCCCAATATTCTGCTGTTAATTCCTATGAATAATTTTGAGGCCAGCCTCATCTTCTCCCTTAAAAATGAGTTAGTCTCTTGCTTGTATGACCAGAAGTTCACCATAGTTTGACCCGCTGCCCTAGGATTCGGTCTGATTTTGCATTTGCCTCAGATTTTTTATTTTTATTTTAAAATAAAGTAGTATATAAATAGTTGCGTGAAAATAATCTTGGAAGAATTTTATAAACTTTCACTTTATACTTCCAGCCTCCACTTTGAAATGTGCTACTTATGCATGTACGGTGAGCAGAGTTAACATACAGTTAAATCTAAAGGTTGACAGGCAATAACACATTTTACTAATTTTGACTCTTTCCATATATAACCTGATATCACACTTCCCTTTCAAGTTCAGTAGGTGGGGCATGTGCAGTTGAGCACAGATAAATACAAAGAGTAGGGATAGCCAACTCCATTGGTCTCCGGCGATGGTGGGAAAAACATTCTTTGCTGCTATCTCTGCTTGGCCACTGGTGCACTAGTAAGTTGTACTGTGGCCTGTGCCAAATTTGCCTTTGAGCTACATAAAGCAGCTTTAAGAAGAGAAGTTCTTTGTAACTCTTGTAGAGAAATTCTTGCAGTAGCTCAGACCAAGGGCAGAGGCTCTGCTGGATATATGGAGATAATTGGTTGCATCAGTCAGGAATTCCTAGAACTCAGAGAAGCCTGAATGCCCCAGGTCTTTTTCCTCATGAGTTGACATTTGCTCTCCCTCAGCAGCTACATTCCTGATTGCCATCTTCGTTTTCCCCTCCATTCTACGGCATCTGCTTCCGGCAAAGGTGGTATGTCTCTCTCGCTCCTTGTTCAGCTGTCCTCTTCTGTCGCTCAGGGCTGTTGAATTAGGCACAGGAATGCATCTGGTCTTCTCATATTCTTAGCTCCATGCAAGGGTCATTGGTTTACTTCCTCATGGTACTTACTTTTGGGGAGCTCCTTAGGGTGTTTGAAATTTGCATAGAAATATGCTCCTCTCAAAATCTTTTCTTGACTTGGTCTTAAATTTGGTAGGTGTTTTCAATAGATTCTGGGTTAGGCTGTGTTGTTTCCTAGTATCACTAAAAATTGTTTTTCTCTCTGCTTTTAATATTTGTTATTTTATCCAGGTTTTGGTGAATAAAATGGGGAAGAGAAATGCCTTAATACCTCTGTTTTAACTCTATTTTGGCTTCCCGGTGGGCTTTTTGGTGGTTATTCTTCCTGTACAAAGACCTAGTCTAACCTACTACCTTGTTTTCCTCTGGATTAATTTTCTCTCTTTCCATACTTCTCTCTTTCTCTAATACATATACACATACTCAGACATATAAACTCACTCTAAGATCAGAGTAGAAAATGCTTTTTGTTTAGTATGAGGTAAGTAGTAAATACTTGTAGGTTAGCAGTGAAGAACTCTGCGATATGGTAGTGAAACAGAATAAGAGGAAATTAATAACATAAAAAATTGCTGAGATTGACTTAAGTAATGCTTTTTGAACTCTATCAACTGAAGTAGGCTTTTTCTCTCTCTCTAAATCTCTGTTCCAGCTTATTACCTTGCAAGTCTGATGTTGCCTAAATAAAGAACAGATTCTGGGAGTCTTTATAAATGAACTTACAATGTCCTTCAAAAAACACTGAACTATGATTTCTCAAGGAATTGAAAATAAAATAGGTCCATTTCCACTTAACTGCTCTGATACTGACATTCACAAAATATAAGTAAAAAGAAGAGATACTGGAACTTTGTTCAATAGTTCTATGTTTATTGGCTTCTTTTTTAAAGGTGAGATAAATTTTAGAAAAGTACTTTAAATACTAAAATCATAGGATGCATTCTAAGGGAGACCATATTTCATCTAAATCATATGGAGAGTTATGAATAATTGGAAGGATTTTGACCTTTAGTTTGAGTGAAATAAGAAGCAAGTGTGAAGTTTTGAAGAGTAACACAATATGACATAACAGGATCACTCTGGTTGCTGTGTGGAGAAAAGACAGTGAGTGCAAAAACAGAGAGATCAATTAGGAGGCCAATGAGAGAACTCAGATAAGAGATGATGCTGGCTTAGATCAGGGTGGTGGCAGTGGGAATAGTAAGAAGTAGTAAAGTTAGGAACATACTTTGAAGACAGTATTTGCTAATGGACAAGATGTAGGATGTGAGCAAAAGAAGGAAGTTAGGATGAGATTTAGCTTTTTGTTCTGAGAAACTGTAAGAATAGAGTTACAACTACCTGAGAAGAAGACTAGAAAAATCTGGTCATGAGGGAAATAACGGGAACTCACTTTTGGACATGTTTTGTCTGAGATGTTTATTAGTCAAATAGAGTGGTTGCGTAGGCAGTTGGTATGTATGGATCTAGAGTTCAAAGAAAAGGTTTTGCCTGGAAATATAATTTGGTATCATAGCATATAGATGGCATTTAAAGCCGTGAGTCTGGATGAGATCACTACGGAGTGAATGTGGAAGGAAAGAAGAAAATCTTGGGCACACCCACTTTTAGAGTTTGGTAGGTAATGAGGAACCATCTAAGAGATAGAGCAGGACAAAAGGAAAACCAGGAGAATATAAGGTCTTCCTTCAAGGAATAAGGAGTGATCAACTGTGTCAAATGCTGATGACAAGTCAGGTAAGACAGGGACTAAGAATTGAACATTGCATTTAGTAATGTGGAGATCCTTGGAGATCTTGAGAAAAGCTGTTTATATTTACATGTGCATATTTTTAAATTAACTTATTCTCTTCTATGAGTATCCAAGCACCACAAAACAGACACTGTGTTTTCTTTGCTCACCAGAATATCCACCACTTAGTATAATAAGCATGTGTAAGTAGTTGTTGAATAAGCATATTCACTGAGGATGACCAAATTTTTATCTTTATTTCAGATCTTGTTCTCAGTTCCTAAATAATATATTAAACATTCATGGGAAACTCTCTCCCTGGATTTTCCACAGTCACCACCAATTATTAAGGGACTACTACAGACCAAACTCTGACCTTGGTCTTGGAATTAGAGAAACAAATTAAATAAAATCACCCTCCTAAAGAAGTTTGTCATAACTGGGGAGACAGACAAATGAACAGACAACTAAAATGCCCTTGGATAAGTTTAGTGATGAAAGTGAGGGAACTTTGTGAAGATGTGGAAAGAATACCAGGTGGGCCCAGGGGTGAAGGTAATGGGAATGTGGGGAGGTGAAGACTTCTCAGAGGCCACATCTTTGAGCCTAGTTAGCAGGCATCATCCAGGTGAAGGCATATGGGAAAGGCAAACCACAGAGCAGCATGTGTGAGATATGTGGGCGAGAACAGACATATCCTACAAATAGATACATATATTTCTTCTCAGCTTTTTTCTGGTGTGAACCCACCCTCCCATCCCTATGCCTCCCATCTTCTCTAGCTCTATTCTAGGTTTTTAAATTCCTAGTCTGTTTACTTCTTTCCTCTTTCCCTCTGTTCTACCTCCTTATTTGTGGCTGACTCCTCTTTCTAGCATAGTGCTTTTTCTGATTTCCGATTTCCTAGGCAGAAGCTTACTTCTTTGATTTAACTTTGAGTTCAATCTGATAATTATCTTCCTCCATATGCAGCCCTGAGTGATATGCCTGGACTTTAACTCCTTCTCCATTTCTTTCCTTCACTCCAGAGGGGCCTGAGACTCACATTGTTTCTCTTTCCTCTTTCATGTCTTCTTCAGAATCATATTCTCTAGTAAAGCCTGACGACCTGAAGTTTCCTAAACGTACCATTCTATTTAACACTTCTGAATGTCTCTTATGCCCACCATGAGCTTCCTCCCCAGCACACACTGCCCTCCTCTGGTGACTTACATTTATTCTGCAAGGTAACTAACAGATTGCCTCTATAGTAATGCTTTATCAATATAGATTAAATTAGGCTACAGTAACAAATACAATTAAAATCTGTGACTTAACAAGACAGAAGTAAATTTCTTGTATTTGGAATATCCTGCATGAGTCTGAGAGATGATCTGAGGAGGCTGTCCTTTTTGTAGAGGCCTAGCATTGCAAGATCTTTTGATCTTGCAGGAACTCCACATCAACAATGGGAGCAGGTTCCCATTGGAGCAGGTAAAGCCCATGGCCATGGGGACTGGTAAAGAGAGCATGGAAAATTGTGCACTGGGCTATTAAATGCTTCTGCCTGGTAGTGACATGTGTTGCATTTGACTACATTTCATTGGCATGTGTCCATGCATATATTCAAAGAGGAATGTGCCCCGAAGGGAAGGAGAACCAGAAATCTTAGTGATTACCAGTAATGTCCACTTTGTGGGACATATTAGTAAAACGGTATTAGTGAAGACAGAAGAGGAAATTCTGTGGCTTATTGGTTATCATTAGTAACTTATTTACTCTGTAAATTATATAATTTCTCTCCACCTTTGTTTCCTCAGCTCTAAAAATTGGAAAAACAAGAGCACCTACCTTGAAAGAATCATTGTGAGCGTTAAAGTGCTTAGAAAAGTACCTAGCACAAATTAAGTTATCAAAAAAGCACCATCAATTTTTACTGTGAACTCTTCCTTGAGCTACCTGCCTTATCGCCCCACCTTGCTGAATGAAGTATTTTTTCCTCTGTGTTTTTACTTTTCTTGGTGTGCAATCATAAATAGGTCCCTTTATCTCACAATTGATTATTTGTTTGGATGAGATTATGAGTTTCCTAAACCCCAAAATTTTGTCTATTCAACACTGTACTCTGGAATTTAACACAGTGCCTACCATAGAGTAGGCAGTCCATATATGCCTTGTGCATGAATGAATAAGGAAACAAAGGAATGAACGAGCTTGTAGTTTCAAAGCTCTGCACTGGGGAATAATAATGTTTAGTCTTATAAACTCTTCCTATCTTTTTTTCTAAAGTTCCACCCTTTGATGATATTCGAATTCCGAAACTACTTGTAGACAAATGTTAAAAGAATGGAAGCATTTTTTGTCTGAATATTTCCATACTTACAAGTATGCTTTCCTTATTCAAGACCTCAACTATGCTACTCACGGTGGCCCACCAGCTAGCAGCCTCAGTATCACTTGGGAGTTGTGATGCTGAGACTTGCTGACCCCACCCTAGACTTACTGAACTTCAGACTCCACCTTAGACTTACTGAATCAGAATCTACATTTTAACAAAATACCAGGTGATTCATATGTGTACTAAAATTTGAGAAGCGCTGGTTTACAACACTTACTGGAGTTGCCAGAATGAGCTTATGTACCGCCCCATTCATGTGGCTATGAGCTAGAGACTGAGAGAATTCAGCTACAGTGAAGTTGTTTTGGTTGACATTGTTTCTTCTGGTTGATTTAATACTGAAGAAAAAAACTTGCTTCAAATAGCTCTAATATTAGCAGAATATGTTTAGTATTTGGGGCATTATGAATTTAGAAATGCTTTGCTTGGGAAGTTAAAGGGTTTGACAGTTAACTTGATTAGTATTAATTGACTTTTTTGGGGGGGGGTCACTAAATGTAAAAAGCATACCTGAGAGAATGAGGAGGGGAAGGACATTGTGTAAGTAACAGATGGCTTTTGTCAGATGGTTTTATGACATGTAAGGTTGAGGTATTTCTTCTATACATTAGCTGACCCTTACAGTGTAGAAGACTTTATATTGCTTCTTCTATAACTTAGCTGATCCATATATTGTGGAAGACTTTATGTAAGTTCTTCTGTAAATTAGCTGACCCTTTATATTGTAGAAAACCCTGTATAGGTTCTGTGAAAGAGCTCAGGCAGCTTGACTTCATGTATGTCTATAAAGTGAGTAGTAATGGATCCTGGATAAAACCTTAAAAACATATTTTTAAAGTGTGCACAAACTGTACTCCCTGCTGTAAGTATTTTTCATGTGAATGATTGACGGTGATGCTTGATGTCTGCAATGACTCAAAGCAGGGAAGAGACTTGCCACAACTAGCTCACACATGAGCGGGGAATAATAGGGAAGCCAACAGAATCTAGCAAAAGAGTGATTTGGCATTATTTTAAAGTTTCTATTTCAGGGACCATCAAATGACAAGTTTTACCCACAAGGTCTATTTCATGATCTTCCTTGAAACTCTGTATAGAAGGAAATCTCCTATCCTCCCTCATAATAAGTAATACATTGCAGCATAGGAAATGCTAGTGCAGGGTTATGTGAGGAATTTCTTTTCTATGTGAAAAATTGCCAGAAAATTTCTTACAACTTTGAGGATGCTTTGGGTTTATGGGAGATAGTACAGGATACTGATAGGGTTGTATATAAATGTGGTCCATAGTTTTTTTTAAATAGTCACCTCTACCTAAGAATCATCAGGCTAGATTTGATCCCCAAAATTGCTATCTTTTTCTTAGTAGCTGTACATTTCTGGGCTGCTGAGATTGCGATATTCATTTTGTTTTACTCACAGATAGAAAAGCCATTAAAGATTTATTGGATAATATATTCATAAGAAAGTGATAAACATTCAATATTATCTATCAAATGAAAAAACACATGCTGATTTTTATCATATTTTTCTTGTTTCTTTAGCATACCTATTTCCTAGAAAATGTACCAAACATAAAAGAAACATGTTTACCAGGAGATACTGCTGTATCTTTTTAGCAACCATAACAAACAGTTTGCACAGCTATTTTAACTTGTTTTGATGGATTAACTGGTACTTATGACAACAATTTCTTGAGTAGATGATTATTTTGTAATGTTATTATCAACAATATATGGAAAACATCTTTCTGTTATGAGAAAGATCAGACATTAATGATGAAATAACTGAATGGAGATATTTCTGCCTTAACATTTCTTATTCATGTGTTTGCCAAAAATATTTCTATACTGTTATCTCAATGACATGGTGCTAAATATATATACTTTCTACAAAATCAAATTTGTCATGTTCATATATAGTACTTTATGTACATTGTCATATCCCCATAGTTACCAATCTATCATAGTGGCTCAGAAACAAAGTTTGTGTTTTCTCCTCTTTGTTGTTATGTGAACAACAAAGCACTTGCATAACTTAAAAAAATAACAGGTAAATGAAGCTTTGAAGGCAATTGCTTGTTTAAGAAGTAAACATCAATTATAAGTGAATAGAAAAGCCCAAAATAGCCAAAACAATTTTAAAAATGATGTTGAAGGTCACTTACTTTCCAATTTGAAAATTTATTTTAAAGAAATTCCAACATTCCTACATAACACCATGTCTGGTTCTGATGCCTGCTCTGTCTCTACCAACTGTATTTTTTGCCTTTGGTAGGCCTTGTAATTTTTTCCTTGTAGCCAGACATGATGTACCAGGTAAACAAAATCACTTGAAATAGGCCTTTAGAAATGTGGCAGTGAGGTGTTGGGGGAGGCAAGCATCATTCTACAGTTTTGTGATTTGGTCTTTCACTGGACATGTGCCACTGGACTTTGAGCTTCACAAATGTTTCTTGATTTTTAATTCCCCCTTGCAAGGTGGAGTTGGTTATTTCCTTCTCCTGCAGGGAAAGCTAGAGCAGATTGTACCCCCCTGGAGTTTTTAGATCTCAGAGTTGTCCACATTGAGCTTCCAGCAACTCATCAATTACAGTTCAGGTTTTCCTACCCTAGCACTGATTCCTGCCGTGGTTTCCTGAGTGGCTGCTATGGTAAGCCATGACTCCCTTCATTGTCCATCTATCTCTCCAATCCTGGGGGCTGCAGTTTGCCCTGTGTCCTCAACTCTTTTATGGATACTAAAAAAGTTGCTGATTTTTCAGTCTTTTTGCTTTTTTACTTGATATGAGGACAGAGAGGCAACTTCCAAGCTTCTCACATGCAGAACTGGACCAGAGTATTTATTAATATAACTTTATTGAAGGATACTATAGACATCATATAATTCATCTATTTAAAGCATACAATCTAGTGATTTTTTTACCAACTTTACCAACTTGTATAACCATTATCATAAATAAGTTTTAGAACACTTCCATCACCCTGATAATATCTTTCATATTCTTTTACTGCTAATCCCCAACTTCATCTCCCACACCTTGTCCTGGGCAATCACTAATTTTTTTCTGTTTCTATAGAGTTTGATTTTTCTCAATATTTCACAAAAATGAAATTATACAATATGTGATCTATTGTGTTTAGCTTCTCTCACTTAATGTAATGTTTGAAGATTGGTTAAGAACCAAATGTCAGTGACGAATAAAAAGACCCAACATAGTTACGTCGTAACATGTATCAGTGGTTGTTATGTATCATTCTTTACATAAAATTCTGTGTACATGATACAAAGAATGTATTATTCTTTCTTATTGCTAAATGGTATTCCATTGTACAGGTATACTACATCTTATCTATCCATTTGTCAGCTGATTGACACTACATTGTTTCAAATTTATGGATATTATAAATAATACTGTTAAGAACATTTATGCACAAATCTTTGTCTGGATATATGTTTTAATTTTTTCTTGGATAGACACCTCATAGTGGAATTCCTGGAGCATATAGCAAATTTATGTTTAACTTTATAAGAAACTGCCTAATTGTTTTCCAAGGTAGTTGTACCATTTCATGTTCACATCATAAAGTAGGAAGCTTCCTGATCTCTATATCCTGGCCAATACCTGGTATGGTCTATCTTTTTGAATATAGCCATTCTAGTTGGTATGAAATGGTATCTCATTGTGGTTTTAATTTGCATTTCCCTACCAACTAATGATATTGAGCATCTTTTCATGGGATTATCAGCCATCCATACGTTGCTTTTTGTAAAATATTTATTCAAATTTGTTGTTCATGTTTTTGTTTAGTGGCTATTCAAATGTTTATATGTCATTGTTAAATTGTATATTCTGGATATACTTAAAAACTCAGATACATTTTGCATGTATTTCCTTCCTTTCTGTGGTTTGCATTTTTATTTTTTTAATGGTATATTTTGAATTTTGAGGAAATCCAACCTAGTAAATTTATTATGAACCATGCTTTTGGTGGTGTATAGTATTTAAGAAATCTTTACCTAATCCAAGATCTCAAGTATTTTCCCCTATGTTATCTTCTAAAAGTTCTAATGTTTTAGCTCTTTAAATATGTGACCCATTTTGTGTTAATTTTTGTGCATGGTGAGAGGTAAGGGTCTAAGTTCATTTTTAAATTTTTTGACATATGGATATCCACTTGTTCAAGCAACATTTGTTAAAAAGTGAAATGAATTGTCTATAAATCTATAAACAAGAATATGCTTATTCTTATGCCAACAACACACTGTTTTGTTAACTGTAGTTTTATATTACTTTTTTTTTTTGAGACAAGGCCTCATGCTGTCACCCAGACTAGAGTGCAGTGGCAAGACTGGGGCTCACTGCAGCCATAACCTTCCTGGCTCAGGGGATCTTCCCACCTCTGCCTCCAGAGTAGCTGGGCTACAGGCATGTGTCACCTGGTAATTTTTTTTTTTTTTTTTTGGAGAGATGGGTTTTGCCATGTTGCCCAGGCTGGTCTCAGAGTACTAAGCTCAAGCAATCTGCCTGCCTTGGCCTCTGTATTAGTCTGTTTTCATGCTGTTGATAAAGACATACCCAAGACTGAGCAATTTATAAAAGAAAGAGGTTTAATTGAATTTACAGTTCCAATGGGTGGGGAAGCCTCACAATCATGGTGGAAGGCAAGGAGGAGAAAGTCATGTTTTATATGGATAGCTATAGGCAAAGAGAGAGAACTTGTGCAGGGGGGACTCCTCCTTCTAAAACCATCAGATCTCATGAGACTTATTCACTATCACCAGAACAGCACAGGAAAGACTTGACCCCATGATTCAATTACCTCCTACCAGGTCCCTCTCACAACATGTGGGAATTCAAGATGAGATTTGAGTGGGGACACAGCCAAACCATATCAGCCTTCCAAAATGTTGGGATTAACATTTAACAGTGAGCCACTCTTCCTGGCCTAGTTTTATATTACATTTTGAAATGGAAAGGTTGAGTCTTCTCACTGTGCTCTTCTTTTTTAAAAAAATTAATTTAATTTAAAGTTCTGGGATACATGTGCAGGGCATGCAAGTTTGCTACATAGGTAAACATGTGCCATGGCAGTTTGCTGAACTTGCTGATTTCTGCCTTAATTTCATTATTTACCCAGGAGTCATTCAAGAGCAGGTTGTTCAATTTCCATGTAGTTGTGTGGTTTTGAGTGAGTTTCTTAATCTTGAGTTCTAATTTGATTGTGCTGTGGTCTGAGAGACTATTTGTTATGATTTCAGTGCTTTTGCATTTGCTGAGAAGTGTTTTACTTCCAATTATGTGATTGATTTTAGAGTAAGTGCCATGTAGTGGTAGGAAGAATGTGTATTCTGTTGTTTTGGGTGGAGAATGCTGTAGATATCTATCAGGTGCACTTAATCCAGAGCTGAGTACAGCTCCAGTATTGAGGGATTTCTTTTTAAGTTTATTAAGTGATCTTTGTTGGCTTAAAATCTGTTTTGTCAGAAACTAGGATTGCAACCCCTCCTTTTTTCTGCTTTCTAGTTGTTTGGTAAATTTTCTTCCATCCCTTGATTTTGAGCCTATATGTGTCTTTGAACATGAGTTAGGTCTCTTGGATACAGCACACCAGTGAATCTTGACTCTATTCAGCTTGCCATTCTGTCTTTTAATTGGGGCATTTAGCCCATTTATACTTAAGGTTAATGTTGTTATGTGTGAATTTGCTCCTGTCATCATGATGCTAGCCTGTTATTTTGCAGACTTGTTGATGTAGTTGCTTCATAGTGTAATTGATCTTTGTACTTCAGTGTGTTTTTGCTGTGACAGGTAATTGGTTTTCCTTTCCACATTTAGTGCTTCCTTCAGAAGCTCTTGAAAGGCAAGCCTGGTGGTGACGAATTCCCTCAGCATTTGCTTGTCTGAAAAGGATTTTATTTCTTCTTTGCTTATGATGTTTAGTTTGGCTGGATATGAAATTCTGGGTTAGAAATTCTTTTCTTTAAGAATGTTGAATATTGGCCCCTGCTCTCTTCTGGCTTGTAGGGTTTCTGCTGAGAGGTCTGCTGTTAGTCTGATGAGCTTCTGTTTGTAAGTGACTTGGCCTTTCTCTCTGGCTGCACTTAACATTTTTTCCTTCATTTCAACTTTGGAAAATCTGATGATTATGTGTCTTGGGGTTGACCTTCTCATAGAGTTTCTTAGTGGTGTTCTCTGGATTTCCTGAATTTGAATGTTGGCCTGTCTTGTTAGGTTGGGGAAGTTCTCCTAGATGATAACCTGAAGTATGTTTTCCAACTTGGTTCTGTTCTCCCTGTCACTTTCAGGTACCCCAGTCAGTCATAGGTTCAATCATTTTACATAATCTTATACGTAGTTCTTGGAGGTTTTGTTCATTCTTTTTTATTTTTTTTTTTGAAATAATCTTGTCTGTCTTATTTCAGTATGATAGCCTTCAAGCTCTGAAATTCTTTTTTTCTGCTTGGTCTGTTCAGTTATTGATACTTGTGGTTGCATTGTGAAGTTCTCGTGTTGTGTTTTTCAGCTCCATCAGGTCATTTATGTTCCTCTCTAAACTGGGTTATTCTGGTTAACAGCTCCTGTGATGTTTTATTATGGCTCTTAGCTTCTTGGCATTGGGTTAGAACATGCTGCTTTAGCTCAGTGAAGTTCACTATTACCCAGCTTTTGAAGCATACTTCTGACAATTCATCCATCTCAGCCTCCACCCAGTTCTGTGCCCTTGCTGGAGAGGTGTTGCAATCATCTGGAGAAGAGGCACTCTGGCTTTTTGAGTTTTCAGCATTTTTTTTTGATTCTTTCTCACCTTCATGAGTTTATCTAGTTTTGATTTTGGAGGCCGCTGACCTTTGGATGGGGTTTTTGTGGGGACACTTTTTTGTTGATGCAGTTGTTGTTGCTTTCTGTTTGTTTGTTTTTCTTTTAACAGTCAGACCCCTCTTCCATAGGGCTGCTGTGGTTTGCTTGGGGCCCACTCCAGATCCTATTCTTCTGGGTCCCTCCTGCAATTGAAAGTGTCACCAGTGGAGGCTGCAGAACAGCAAAGATGGCTGCCTGCTCCTTCCTCTGGGATCTCTGTCCCAGTGGGACACCAACCTGATGCTGGCAGGAACACTCCTGTATAACATGTCTGACGACCCCTGCTGGAGGGATCTTACTCTTACCCAGTCAGGAGGCACGGGATCTGGGGCTCTCTTAATGAAGCACTCTGGCTGCCCCTTGGTGGAGGGGGTGCACTGGACTGGGGGAAATCCTACTTGTCTGGGCTGCCTGGATTCCTCAGAGCCAGCAGGGGGAAAGACTAAGTCAGCTGATCCATGGAGACAATGGCCACCGCTCCTCCTAGGGGCTCAGTCCTAGGGAGTTTAGAATTCTGTCCCTAAACTCTTGGCTGGAGTTGCTGAAATTCCTGCAGGGAAGCCCCACCTGGTGAAGAGGGATGCATCAGGGTCTGGTCTAAAGAGGCAGTTGGGCCATGAGCCACAGCCACTGTGCTGCATTGTGGGTAATTCCTTTTTGATCCAAACTGCCCAGTCTCCCTGGCACCAGCAGGGGAAAAATGGCAGGCTGGAGCTGCAGCGATGGCTGCCATCCCTCCCCTTAGGAGCTCAGTCACCTTAGGCAGCAGGTAGTCACAGTGATGATGTCTGTCCCTCCCCTGCAGAGCCCCATAGTCTTAAACAGTATCCAGCAGAGTGGCTGCTAAGAATCTGCATAGCTCTGTGCTTGGGACCCAAAGCCCTGGTGGCTGGCATAGGCTGATGAGGAGGATCTCCTGATGCACGGGTTGCACAGATCCATGAAAAAAGTGTGGTTTCCTAGTCAGAGTAGCACAATCACTCACCACCTCCCTTGGCTTGGGGTGGGATCTCTTCTTGCCTCTGTGTGGCACCCAGATGGGCCTTACCACCCTGTTTCTCCTCACTCTTTGTGGGTTGTGCCAACTGCCTAGTCAATCCCAATGAGAGAACCTGGATACCTCAGTTGCCGGTGCAGGATTCACTCATCATTTTTGTTCTTCTCGGTGGGAGCCGCCAACCACAGCTGTATCCAGTTGGCCATTTTGGCCCCTCCTTGTGCTATTCTTTTCAGAATTGTTTTGTATATTCTAGACATTTTGCAATTTCATATACATTTAAGATTATCTTCTCAATTTATGCCCCAAAAAAGCCCACTAGAATTTTGATAGATATTGTGCTGAAGCTATAGATTAATTTTGGGAGAATACAGTCTTAATGCTATTGAATATTTCAACTGATGTATAAGGAAAGTCTTCCTAATCATTTAGAAATTCATTTTCTTCGGTAATGTTTGTAATTGTTAGTGTACAAGTCTCTCACTACTTGTGTTAAATTTATTTCTATGTATTTATAAATATATATATTTATCACATCTGAGTATTTTGGAGTCTATTATGATCAGAGGTGGTTTTTAAACTGTGCATCCAGATATTAACAGTGCTTATGTATGATAATGTATTAAGAAGTGCAATTTTATTTTTAAATTTTGACCATATTTTCCAAAATTTCCAGAAAGTTCATAACTGTTTTTAAGCTGGTGACATCCCAAACATAATAAATCAACAATATAAAAAAATGAAAGGGAAAACAGCAATAATATTCAAACTATTACATATTGCACTCTTACTATGTACCAGGATTTTTTCTAAGCACTTTACATGTTTTACCTCACTTAAACCTGTCAATGACCTTGTGACTTAGGTCTATTATCATGTCTGTTTTATTGATATAAAAACTAAGGCACAAAGTAGCTAAGTGATTTGCTTAAAGTCTCAAGGTTAGTAAATGATAGAGCAGTATTTTGAAATGGCTCTTGATCCTATGCTCTTAACCACTTAATATTGAAATAAAATCCATCAAAATATTAATAGTAGATATCTCTGGGTAGGTTATAATAGGTTTTCTAAATTAAAAATGCTTTTCTGAATTTACCAAATGAATATTAATACTTCTGTAATTATACTTTTTTAAAAAACCACGAATAATTTAGTGGTGAACTCTCTTCATGGAATTTTTTTTTTACCGGATAGATCAGCTTGAAACTTACAGTCATCAATGGTGATTCAATGAGAAAAAATCTTATGTTTCTCTATAAAATACCTATTCTGTCATAAAAAATTTAAACTTAGAACTTGTGTTACTTTAACAAAACCACAAGTAATATCAATAGCAATTATCAGTAGGGTAACAAAAAGTGCACATTCACATATTCAATAAATATAAATAAGAAAAGGAAATTCAAATATTTTTAAACAATTTATTTTTTAAAAAGACATGCAACTCATTTTCTTTTATTCATATACAGTTAAACAAATTTTATGTAACATTTGAATTGACATTTTCCTTCAGGTTTCTTCTGTTTTTGTGTGTTGTTAATGGACAGGCTTTTTAATGTCCCAAAGTCATAAGGTCATTGGAAAAGCATTGTATCCTATAATAAAAAATTGCTACGTCTCTAGTTGTTTTGCTCAGCAAAGGCATAGGGCACGGTGTCTTTTAGAGACATTGCTCCTGAGATGGGAATAAAAGATTTTGACCTTTTATTATAGCATTCATGAGTCGAAAGAACTCCATTTATTTTAGGTAAAAAGCAAAAAGAGCAAATTGCCTATTTTCAGTAATTCAAGAGTGACTGGAGTCACCTACAACTTGCCAGTCAATAGTTTTTTTAATAATGTTTCCCATTTAGAAGAACTATTGTTTCACTTGTCTTTAAAACATCAGTGGCCCTTGGCTAGTAATTTGAATACACATACATTGCATACACACAACTATGTGACCATAGGCACTGGTGAACTGTAGTCATAAAGAGTACTACAACACTGTGTGAAAATTTTTCTCCTCTAATGGATAGGACATATTCTTCAAACTGAGAAATAATTCAGAAATTGACTCTTTTTTTAAATCACACTTTAAGTTCTGGGATACATTTGCAGAATGTGCAGGTTTGTTACACAGGTATATACGCGCCATGGTGGTTTGCTGCACCCATCAACCAGTCATCTACATTAGGTATTTTTCCTAATGCTATCCCTTCCCTAGACCCCACCCCCCAATAGGCCCTGGGGTGTGATGTTCCCCTCCCTGTGTCCATGTGTTCTCATTGTTCAACTCCCACTTATGAGTGAGAACATGTGGTGGTTGGTTTTCTGTTCCTATATTAGTTTGCTAAGAATGATGGTTTCCAGGTTCATCCGTGTCCCTGCAAAAGATATTAACTCATCCTTTTTTATGGCTGCATAGTATTCCATGGTGTATATGTGCCACATTTTCTTTATCCAGTATATCATTGATGGGCATTTGGGTTGGTTCCAAGTCTTTCCTATTATGAATAGTGCTGCAATAAATATATGTGTGCATGTGTCTTTATAGTAGAATAATTTATAATCTTTTGGGTATATACCCAGTAATGGGATGGCTGGGTCAAATGGTATTTCTAGTTTTAGATCCTTGAGGAATCACCATACTGTCTTCCACAATGATTGAATTAATTTACACCACCACCAACAATGTAGAAGTGTTCCTAGTTTCTCCACATCCTCTCCAGCATCTGTTGTTTCCTGACTTTTTAACGATTGCCATTCTAACTGGCATAATATGGTCTCTCACGGTGGTTTTGATTTGCATTTCTCTAATGACCAGTGATGATGAGCTTTTTTTCATGTTTGTTGTCCGCATAAATGTCTTCTTTTGCAAAATGTCTGTTCATATCTCTCACCCTCTTTTTGATGGGGTTATTTGTTTGTTTCTTCTAAATTTGTTTAAGTTCCTTGTAGATTCTGGATATTAGTAGTTTGTCAGATGGATAGACTGCAAAAAATTTCTCCCACTCTGTAGGTTGCCTGTTCACTCTGATGATAGTTTCTTTTACTGTGCAGAAGCTCCTTAGTTAAATTAGATCCCATTTATCTATTTTAGCTTTCGTTGTAGTTGTTTTTGGTGTCTTAGACATGAAGTCTTTGCCCATGCCTATGTCCTGAATGGTATTGCCTAGGTTTTCTTCTAGGGTTTTTATGGTTTTGGGTCTTACATTTAAGTCTTTAATCCATCTTGAGTTTATTTTTGTGTAAGATGTAATGAAGGGGTCCAGTTTCAGTTTTCTGCATATGGCTAGCCTGTTTTCCCAATGCCATTTATTAAATAGGGAATCCTTTCCCCATTGCTTGTTTTTGTCAGGTTTGTCAAAAACAGATGGTTGATCAGATGGTTGTAGATATGTGGTGTTATTTCTGAGGGCTCTGTTCTGTTCCTTTGGTCTATATGTCTGTTTTGGTACCAGTACCATGCTGTTTTGGTTGCTGTAGCCTTGCAGTATAGTATAGTTTGAAGTCAGGTAGCATGATGCCTCCACCTTTGTTCTTTTTGCTTAGGAGTGTCTTTGCTATATGGGCTCTTTTTTGGTTCCATATGAAATTTATGGTAGTTTTTTCTAATTATGTGAAGAAAGTCAATGGTAGCTTGATGAGGATAGTATTGAATCTATAAATTACCTTGGGCAATATGACCATTTTCATGATACTGATTTTCCCTATCCATGAGCATGGAATGTTTTTCCATTTGTTTGTTCCTCTCTTATTTCCTTGAGCAGTGGTTTGTAGTTCTCCTTGAAGAGGTCCTTCACATTTTTTCTAAATTGTATTCCTAGGTATTTTATTCTCTTTCTAGTAATTGTGAATGGGAGTTCACTCATGATTTGGCTCTCTGTCTATTATTGGTGTATAGGAATGCTTGTGATTTTTCCACATTGATTTTGTATCCTGAGACTTTGCTGAAGTTGCTTATCAGTGTAAGGAGATTTTGGGCTGAGACAATGGGGTTTTCTAAATATACAAACATGTTGTCTGCAAACAGAGACAATTTTACTTGCTCTCTTCCTAGTTGAATACGCTTTATTTCTTTCTCTTGCCTGATTGCCCCGGCCAGAGCTTCCAATACTATGTTGAATAGGACTGGTAAGAGAGGGCATCCTTTTCATATGCCAGTTTTCAAAGGGAATGCTTCCAGCTTCTGCCCATTCAGTATGATATTGGCGTGGGTTTGTCATAAATAGCTCTTATTATTTTGAGATATGTTCCATCAATACCTAGTTTATTGAGAGTTTTTAGCATGAAATGGTGTTGAATTTTATTGAAGGCCTTTTCTGCATCTATTGAGATAATCATGTGGTTTTGTCATTGGTTCTGTCATTGGGTGTATATACATATTAAGGATAGTTAGCTCTTCTTGTTGTGTTGATCCCTTTACCATTATGTAATGCCCTTTATTTTCTTTTTTGATCTTTGTTGGTTTAAGGTCTGTTTTATCAGAGACTATGATTGCAGCCCCTGTTTTGTTTTGTTTTGTTTTGTTTTGTTTTGTTTTGTTTTGCCTTCCATTTGCTAGGTAAATATACTTCCATCCCTTTATTTTGAGCCTATGTGTGTCTTTGCACTTGAGATGGGTCTCCTGAATACAGCACACCGATGGGTCTTGACTCTTTGTCCAATTTGCCTGGCTTTGTCTTTTAATTGGGGCATTTAGCCCATTTACATTTAGGGTTAATATTGTTATGTGTGAATTTGACTCTGTCATTATGATGCCAGCTGGTTATTTCACCCATTAGTTCATGTTATTTGCCCGTTAGTTGATGCAGTTTCTTCATAGTGTCAATGGTCTTTACAATTTGGTATGTTTTTGCAATGGCTGATTCCAGTTTTTCCTTTCCATATTTAGTGCTTCCTTGAGGAGCTCTTGTAAGGCAGGCCTGGTGGTGACAAAAAATCTCTCAGCATTTGCTTGTCTGTAAAGGATTTTATTTCTCCTTCTCTTATGAAACTTACTTTGGCTGGATACAAAATTCTGGGTTGAAATTTTTCTTCTTTACAGATGTTGAATATTGATTCTCACTTCTTCTAGCTTGTAGGGTTTCTGCAGAGAAATTCACTGTTAGTCTGATGGGCTTCCCTTTGTGAGTAACCTGACCTTACTCTCTGGCTGCTTTTAACGTTTTTTCCTCATTTCAACCATGGTGAATCTGACAATTATGTGTCTTGGGGTTGTTCTTCTTGATGAGTATCTTTGTGGTGTTCTCTGTATTTCCTGAATTTGAATGTTGGCCTGTCTTGTTAGGTTGGGGAAGTTCTCCTGGATGCTAACCTGAAGTATGTTTTCCAACTTGGTTCCATTCTACCCATCACTTTCAGGTACACCAATCAAATGTAGGTTTGGTTTTTTCACATAGTCCCATATTTCCTGGAAGCTTTGTTCATTCCTTTTCATTCTTTTTTCTCTAATCTTGTCTTCATGCTTTATTTCATTAAGTTGATCTTCAATCTCTTATATCCTTTCTTTTGCTTGATTGATTTGGCTATTGATCCTTGTGTATGCTTCACAAAGTTCTTGTGCTGTGTTTTTCAGCTCCATTAAGACATTTATGTTCTTCTGTAAACTGGTTACTTTTGTTAGCAGTTACTCTAACTTTTTTCAAGGTTCTTAGGTTCTTTGCATTGGGTTAGAACATGCTCCTTTAGCTTGTAGGAGTTTTTATTTCCCACCTTCTGAAGCCTACTTCTGTCAATTTGTCAAACTCAATCTCCAACCAGTTTTGTTCCCTTGCTGGTAAGGAGTTGTGTTCCTCTGGAGGAGAAGAGGCGTTCTGGCTTTTGGAATTTTCAGCCTTTTTGTGCTGGTTTGTGCTCATTTTCATGGATTTATCTACCTGTGGTCTTTGATGTTGGTGACCTTAGGATGGGCTTTTTTGTGGATGTCCTTTTAGTTGATGTTGATGATATTCCTTTCTCTTTGTTAGTTTTACTTCTATCACTGAGGCCCCTCTGCTGCAGGTCTGCAGGGGTTTGCTGGAGGTCCATTCCAGACTCTGTTTGCCTGGGTATCACCAACAGAGGTGCAGAACAGAAAAGATTGCTGCCTGTTCCTTCCTCTGGAAGCTTCATCCCAGAGGGTCACCCACCAGATGCCAGCCAGAGCTCTCTTGTATGAGCTATCTGTCAACCCCTGCTGGGAGGTGTCTCCCAGGAGACACGGGGGTCAGGGACCCACTTGAGGAGGCAGTCTGTCCCTTAGCGGAGCTTGAGCACTGTGCTGGGAGATCCACTGCTGTCTTCACAGCCGGCAGGCAGGAATGTGTAAGTCTGCTGAAGATGTGCCCACAGCTGTCCCTTCCCCCAGGTGCTCTGTCCCAGGGAGATGGGAGTTTTATCTATAAGCCCCTGACTGGGGCTGCTGTCTTTCTTTCAGAGATGCCCTGTCCAGAGAGGAGGAATCTAGAGAGGCAGTCTGACTACAGTGACTTTGTGGAGCTGCAAAGGGCTCTACCCAGTTTGAACTTGCAGCTTTGTTTACACTGTGAGGGGAAAACCACCTACTCCAGCCTCAGTTACGGCAGATGCCCTTCACCCCACCAAGCTCAAGTGTCCCAGGTAGACTTCGGATGGCTATGCTGGCAGTGAGAATTTCAAGGCAGTGGATCTTAGCTTGCTGGGCTCCTTGGGGGTGGGATCTACTGAGCTAGACCACTTGGCTCCCTGGCTTCAGCCCCCTTTCCAGGGGAGTGAATGGTTCTGTCTTGCTGGCATTCCAGGTGCCACTGGGGCATGAAAAAAAAAAACTGCTGCAGCTAGCTTGGTGTCTGCCCAAATGGCCACCCAATTTTGTGCTTGAAACCCAGGGACCTGGTGGTGTAGGCACCCAAGGGAATCTCCTGGTCTGCGGGTTGGGAAGACCTTGGGAAAAGCATAATATCTGGGCTAGAATGCACCATTCCTCACAGCACAGTCCCTCGAGGCTTCCCTTGGCTATTGGAGGGAGTTCCCCAACCCTTTGCCCTTCTTGGGTGAAGAGATGCCTCGCCCTGCTTTGGCTCACTCTCTGTGGGCTGCACCCCCTGTCTAACCAGTCCCAGTAAGATGAGCTGGGTACCTCAGTTGGAAATGCAGAAGTCACCTGCCTTCTGCATTGATTCCCTGGGAGCTGCAGACTGGAGCTGTTCCTATTTGGCCATCTTGCCCAAATTTCTTTCCAGAAATTGACTCTTAAATGTAAAATAGCTAGAGCTTCAAGCCTCCATTGAGTTTAATGTTTAAAGGTGAAAAAATGTCTTGAGATCTATTTGATATTAAATCAGTGTTATAGGCACAATGATATAGGCTGACACAACTTGCTCATATATAAAATTAAGTGCATGCATACTGTTCTGCAACTGCTTTAATTTTAAAGGAAAAAAACAGAATAATAACTGGAAACCTGTAAGAAAAAAATTTGCCCACTTTAATCTCCAAGTCATATTTTAAAGCCTTATGTAAATAGAAAGCTGTATTCTCTCTTGGGCTTATTTGGACCACATGGAATTATGGACCTAAAAATTATATAAATTCAGAAGGTATTTCAATTATCCTGTATCTGCACAGGCCAAGAAGAAGCAAGTCTTAGTATGGCAAATGTTGTCAGTAGGATTCACCACTGCCGCTCTTAACAATCCATGTAAATTGCCGCATAATTAGCCCAGCTGCAATATTCCATCGATCATGAAGACAAGCTGCAGAGAACCAAAGCCATTGATTTTGTCTGCTGTGTCGTGCTTTGCTAACCATGTGCAGACCTGGATTTAAACACAGGGGAATGCAGAGCCTACCATGTGGCTTGCTTCTGCATTGGCAAACAGTGCGGGAACAATTAAAAAGGGAATTCTGAACAACTAGAAGTGACTGTTTTCAAAAGCCTGAAAGTACATGGGGTGTCCTTGGAACCAGAGCTATCTGAGGGGCCCACATTTCCTATTACTGCTGATTAGGAAGATAGAATTAATTAATGCCTCTCTTAGTCAAGACCCCCTTAAAAGAAAAGAAGAGTGACTTAGGGATGATAATGGTAGTAAAGGAGACCACATGTTGTTTTTAAAAAAAGCATGGAATGATTATCATTGAATGATATTAATAACTTGGGAAAATTATGTAATCTCAGAAGGCTAACCTGGAAGCTATCCAAAACTTATTTTTAGAATCAAACATGCCAGACACATTTAGACAAAACCAATATTCTAACTCATCAAAGATAGAAACTTTGCAACTATATGCTGGAGACCTAATCTCAAAAATATATATAACAGTTGTTTTAGAACAAAATGCATATTTTATTGGTGGCAAAAGTTACCAATTTAACAAAAATGTCAAGTACAGATAAAACGGAATCCTTACCTTCCTTACCTATTCTATATTCAAATTGATATAAATTGTGTATAAGATCAAGAATATAATCTGTGATAGGCCAGTTATTAGGAAGATTCAACATAGTTTGACAAAGCTACTATTTTCTCCATTCTCCTTTTAAACTCTGGTATGGCCAGCACAGAAGGGTCCTAGGGTAGTGAGGATAAATTTAATCTGTATGTAATTTATTGACAGAAAAAAAAAACTTTTTGAAAGCGAATTACATGTAGAAATAAGCTACATCATTTGTTTTGTATTAGATTCTTCAGAAAAATCTTTTTTTTTTTTTTTTCTCAGATGGAGTCTCGCTCTGCCGCCCAGGCTGGAGGTGCAGTGGTGCGATCTTGGCTCACTGCAAGCTCCACCTCCTGGGTTCACGCCATTCTCCTGCCTCAGCCTCCCCAGTAGCTGGGACTACAGGCGCCCACCACCACGCCCGGCTAATTTTTTTGTATTTTTTAGTAGAGACGGGGTTTCACCATGTTGTTCAGGATGGTCTGGATCTCCTGACCTCGTGATCCTCCCGCCTCGGCCTCCCAAATTGCTGGGATTACAGGCGTGAGCCACCGCGCCCGGCCAGAAAAATCTTAAAATCAAACACAAAGACAACAGAGTAAGTCAAGGGATTTGAAAGAAAAGAGATTCATTCATTAGGGTAGACCCAGTTAACTGAGAATGGATCAGCACAATTAATATTCTTTTGGAAACAAGAAGAAGTATTTGAATCAGAAAAAGTATACAGCTTTGTACATGCATCTGATTTAAAAGGAAGTTTCAAGATATTGTTTAGTTTCTGGATATGACTTGATAAATACTAATACCAAGTCATACCAAGAAACTAAAGTTTATAGGAGAGGAAATGGATTTCTCTGAGAATTTGGAATAGTAATTTATTTAGATTAATGCCACTAAGACTTATTTATCAATATATGAGACTTGATACAACATAGCATTGAGATTGGATATCTTGTCAGTGCCTGAGATCTTTCTGTGGGGTAAGTGCTGTGAAGACAGCAGCAGGGATAGGAAATGCTCACCCTCGTAAGCAGAAAGCTACATGCACTTAGTATGACCAGGAGAGGCACACAGAAATGCTCCAGGAAAGTAGTTCTTATTGAGGAAGAGTTTTAATACCAAATAATAGGATGGTGGATATTTATCTAATGGATGGTATGAACAATCTAAGAGCTGTCAATGTAAGGACATTTAGCAAGACAGATACGTTGACATCAGGCAATCCTGTCAGCAGGTAGCAGGGTTCCAATCACAGGAAGTGTTCAGGGAGAGAACTGTCATGGATAGTGCGGATTGGCTTGCTCAGAATTGATTCCCACCTCTTTCTAGTGCGCCTTTCTACACTGCAGAGGCCGTCGAGCTAAAATCTGCATTTCCCACATTTCTGGATGTAATGTATGCTCTGCCAACCAAATGGCCTCACATAAGACTTAAATCTAGAACTGAAATAAAAACGAAGGGAAACTCAACAACGTAAAACCCAAAACTCTAATCAAAAATGGAAAATGGACTTCAATAGACATTTCTCCAAAGAAGATATGCAAATGGCCAATAAGAACATGAGAAGATGCTCAATGTCACTAATCACCAGGGAAACGGAAGTCAAAGCTACAATTTGATACTCTCTCACACCCATTAGGATGGCTACTATTGACAAAATAGAAAATAAGTGTTAGTGATGATGTGGACAAATCAGAATACTTGTGCACGGTTGGTGGGAATGTAAAATGATGCAGTGCTGTGGAAAACAGTATGGCAGCTCCTCAAAAAATTAAAAATAGAATTACCATATGATCCAGTGATTCCATTTCTGTATATACATATAAATAAATCAAAAGCAAGGCCTTGAGATATTTGCACACTCATGTTCGTAGCAGCATTAGTCACAATAGCTAAAATATGGAAGCAAACCAAGTGTCCACTGATGAATAAATGCTGCAAAATATGGTATATACATATGAGGGAATATCATTCAGCCTTCAAAAGGAAGGAAATTCTGACATGCACTACCACATAGATGAACCTTGAGGACATTTGCTAAGTGAAATAAGCCAGTCACTGAAAGACAAATACCACATGATTCCACATATATGAGGTACTTAGGGTAGTCAAAACCATAAGAGACAGAAGGTAGAAGGGTGGTTATGAGGGGCTGGGGGGGAAGGGGAGATAAGTAGTAAGTTAGCGTTGAATGAGTCAGGAGTTCTAGTTTTATAAGATGAAAAGACTTATGCAGATGGATGTTGGTGATGGCTGTGTAACTGTTAATTTTACCCAAATTTTAAAAATTAGACAAAAAATAGAGGGAAAAGTGGCATGAGGTGCCTACTTTTGCTGGTGCAGATCAAAGTGGGAGTGCTTTGATCTTGAGTTAGCAGCTGTCATCATGGCTTATTGATTTATCAGGCAGCTTCCTGATTATGACCATGGCAACAGCATTTTGGGTGGTCCATTTCAGCATCATGATTTAAGAGATTTTTCTGGAAGATCAGTCTAAAGTCTCTTCAGTTTATAAACAATTTTATACACCATTTCACAACTCATAAAACAAATTTCTTTCTGTTGACACAACCTAAAGTGGCTTTTGTTCTGTACAATTAAATCCCAATAGAGTAATTGCTGTCTCCAGTGGTTGCAAGCAACAGACTCTCAAATAAATGAGCTTCTGTGATTCATTCGCTCACCAGTTTGAACTGAAGACAGCTAAGATTCTCTGAGCATTATAACTGGTACATGCTGTTAATATATTAACTTAAATAATCACTTGGGGTTGTTTAGAATAAGAAGTCTATCAAAGGTGATGTTTTGAAGTGTTAAGTAACGCTGATCATTATGGGAAAAATAAAGAATGTAATGATTGTTGTGTGTGTGTGTGAGGTACTGAAGTTTTTCCTCTGTTTCAAAAAGCTTAAAGAAAAAATGATAAAATGGGACTTAAAGTTCTCTGTTTAAAGCATGGTCAGATAATCAAGGAACTTCTATGGTTGCCTTTAAGAATCTCCTCTGTCTTGTAGTTGCTGCACTGACAGAGCCAAAAAGCAGAACCAGTATGATTCTTAAGTTGCTGAACTGCAAGGCAGGATGAATTCATACATTTAAAAAGCTTTTTATGTGAGCATTAGGACATTTATTGGAAGGAATGGGACCAGGAAAACTGAACCAGGGACATATGATACATTCTTATGTCTCCAAGTACCTTAAAAACTCAAATTTCACTAAGTATTTCTTTTTATTTTATTTTATTATACTTTAAGTTCTAGGGTACATGTGCACAACGTGCAGCTTTGCTACTTATGTTTACATGCGCCATGTTGGTGTGCTGCATCCGTTAACTCGTAATTTACATTAGGTATATCTCCTAATGCTATCCCTCCCCCCTCCCCCCACCCGACAACAGGCCCCAGTGTGTGATGTTCCCCACCCTGTATCCAAGTGTTCTCATTGTTCAATTCTCACCTATGAGTGAGAACATGCGGTGTATGGTTTTCTGTCCTTGCGATAGTTTGCTCAGAATGATGGTTTCCAGCTTCATCCATGTGCCTACAAAGGATATGAACTCTTTCTTTTTAATGGCTACATAGTATTCCATGGTGTATATGTGCCACATTTTCTTTATCCAGTCTACCACTGATGGGCATTTAGGTTGATTCCATGTTTTTGCTGTTGTGAATAGTGCTGCAGTAAACATACGTGTGCATGTGTCTTTATAGCAGCATGATTTATAATCCTTTGGGTATATACCCAGTAATGGGATGGCTGGGTCAAATGGTATTTCTAGTTCTACATCCTTGAGGGATCACCACACTGTCTTCCACAATGGTTGAACTGGTTTACAGTCCCACCAACAGTGTAAAAGTGTGCCTATTTCTCCACATCCTTTCCATCACCTGTTGTTTCCTGACTTTTTAATGATCGCCATTCTACCTGGTGTGAGATGGTATCTCATTGTGATTTTGATTTGCATTTCTCTGGTGGCCATGATGATGAGCATTTTTTCATGTGTCTGTTGGCTGCATAAATGTCTTCTTTTGAGAACTGTCTGTTCATATCCTTTGCCCACTTTTTGATTGGGTTGTTTGATTTTTTCTTGTAAATTTGTTTAAGTTCTTTGTAAATTCTGGATATTAGCTCTTTGTCAGATGGGTAGATTGTAAAAATTTTCTCCCATTCTGTAGGTTGCCTGTTCACTCTGATGGTAGTTTCTTTTGCTGTGCAGAAGCTCTTTAGTTTAATTAGATCCCATTTGTCAATTTTGGTTTTTGTTACCATTGCTTTTGGTGTTTTAGTCATGAAGTCCTTGCCCATGCCTATGTCCTGAATGGTATTGCCCAGGTTTTCTTCTAGGATTTTTATGGTTTTAGGTCTAACATTTAAGTCTTTAATCCATCTTGAATTAATTTTTGTATAAGGTGTAAGGAAGGGATCCAGTTTCAGCTTTCTGCATATGGCTAGCCAGTTTCACCATACGCAAATCAATAAACATAATCCATCATATAAAGAGAACCAAAGACAAAAACCTTGTGATTATCTCAATAGATGCAGAAAAGGCCTTTGACAAAATTAAGTATTTCTTGAAAGCAGAAGCAAACCTGTTTCCTGTTTTATGAGGCTGTTTCTTTTTGGCCTGAGGGCCCTGCAATAACCTCACTGGAGGGAGTTAACCCACAAGGAGGTGTCAATCCTCTCTACATGCCCTACCCTCTAGCATTTCCTTCCAATCCTTAAGTAGAAGCAAATCCAGCATGCTGATGTGGTGGCAAACAAACACCAAGTCAAAGCTGAAGGGATAAGTCTTACCCAACAAAAAGAATCACAAGAGTTTGCTCATATGCAATGGCAAAAACCTGGAATATGTGTGGCAGTGGATTTCAGTGGCTCCAAACCAGGAAAGGAGAAGCATAATTTTAGATTGGGTTGAATATTTTGCATTGAGTGCACTTGCCAGAGATACTGGGTTCAATATGCTCACTTGAGCAGCTCAGAGTGTTTGATAGAAATGTGGGTGCATTGGCAGTCAATGCTTAAGTTATGATGCCAGAAATTTCTTGGGATAATGTAGAGAAATGGATGCAAACATAAGGAAACATTGGGGTATATTTATCACATGCAAATCACTCATCTATACCTAGCTATGCCTCACAAGAGAGCCCAGAATTTACCTTCTTCATTGAGGCACTACTTTCATCAAGAAATAACTTGATAAGTATCAGAATGGCTGTCCTCTGCAGGCCAGACCTGATGGTTGTAGGAGCAGCTGCCAAAGAAAAGGACTCTCTGATTTCCACAGTGGGATGGGGACCTAGGTAGGAGAATGATTTCTATGGGGAGATAGGGGCCTAGATGGCAGAATGCAAAGGACAGCACAATGATAGGGCTCAAAGACAGAGGCAAAGTAGGTGTGGTTACTGCAATATAACGATAGTAGAACTTGAGCGATGATCACGAGGTTTGACTGGGAGTGGCTAATGGAGTGAGAAGTTGCTAGGACTGAAAGAGGAATGCAGCCATTATCATCCCCTTTGATCTGTATAAACTGACACCAAAGCAAAAACAAAACTCTAGGTGATCTGAGGAACTACAATGAAGAGTTATGGTCCTATTACTGGTTCATAGACCCATCGCCCATAAATGATGGGGAAGCCAGGAACTCTTGAGGAAGTACCCTATGACAGTGCCACAAGCATGTACTGTACATCTTCATTCTCATCACCTCCTGAAAAGGGCTTGTAGGCATCTCTCAGCAAAACGAACCACCCAGATCTCTGGGGAATTATTGACATGCGCTCTAGCTAATATCAACCCTGGGGGACCCAGAATGCCACTGTGGTCTTCTACTCTGAGGAGGCTTATAGGGGTCAGGGAATCTAAGTAGGGATTTTGTCTATGTTTGCCTCACAGTGGGACAATGTGGACCCATTGGTGAATTGTTCTGCGTTTACTTCCCTAGTTTCCATTTGCACAGTTGGAATAGACATACTCGTCAACATCTCCACATTGGCTTTCTGATTCATGGAGTGAAGGCTTTGAAGGGCCAGAGAAAGCCTCTGTGCTAAGGGTACTACCAAAATGCCACACACCTGGAGGGGTTGTAGAGACCAAGGTTGCTATTAAGCAGTTGGAAAAGGTAGGGGTCATAATTCTTATTACATCCCCCAATTTCTCCACATCCTCATTAGGTTCTTGCATCCTCATTAAGCTTTCCCGTTTGACTGGTGAGAAAATAGATGGGTCTTCGGAATAATAGCAATGGATTATCACAAACTTAATGAGAGAGTGATTCCTGTTGAAGCCACTGTTCCATATGTGGTTTATTTTCTGGAGCCAGTCGGCACAGACTCTGATGTCTGATATACAGAGCTATCTATCAAGTTGGCAAATGCTTTTTAAAAAAATACTCCAATAAAAAGAGACCACAGAAGTAATTTCCTTTCAACTGGCAGGAACAGTAATGGACTAAGGGCTACATCAACTCTCTGGCTCTATATGACAATTTAGTGTAGGGATTGGCAAACTTTTCCTGTAAAGGGCCAAATAGTAAATATTCTAGGCTTTGCAGGCCACAAATGGTCTCTGTTCCATATTCTTCTTCTTCTTTCTTTTTTTTTTCAACTTCACAAAACAAAAACCACTCTTAGCTTGCAAGATTTACAAAAATGGGGTGCAGGTCAGATTTGACTTCCAGGCTGTAGTTTGCTGACCCCTAGCCTAGCTCACATGGACTTTGGCCATCTCACCAGTCCACAAAACATCACACTGTTAATTACTTTGACACCACTATTAGTATGGAACCCAATGAGCAGAAGGTAGCTTAGATGTCTTAATAAGACATTTTGATGTCAAAGATGAAAGATAAATCCTTTGAAAGTTCAATGGCCTGTCCAAGATACAAAGCCAATTTTCAAAAAATTGTTTTTAATGTGGGGGTTCACTAACAAGGAAAAATACAGTCAGTAGAACTGGACACAGGCTCTGGGAGGGATGAACAATAAATATCTCAAACCTGGCTCTTCCAGTATCATGTGTCTGTCTTCAACACCCTCTCATGAAAGGCCTTTGGAACTGAGAAGTGTCAAATGGCTCAGCTACAAGGAGAGGAGAAATGCAGTGGCCAGGAACTACAGGCTTTGATAAAACAAGTCTCTGAAATATTGATTCTGAGCCTCTTCACCAATAAGCCATTTGGATTGGGAATATTGTCTGTCACTGAGATAGAAGCCAGTCACATTTACCTTTAATTTTATTCCTCAGATTCCCAGAAAAAAAATCTACCTACAGGTGATATAAAAATAGCTACGTCTCAAGAAAATTTAAAAGAAAGAAACATTCAGAGATTGCTGAAAACTATGTAATTATGTAATTGTGCAAGTAGGTATGACTTTTCTTCTTTATTCATTTTAAGAACAGTTTAAATTGGCTTGTACATTATAAAAATTTAGCCTTTCATCAATACTTGGATAAATAAACTGCAGCCTCCCTGGAATATAGATTATCAAGAGACAATCAAGCTGTGGTTTACTATTTCACGTAGTATGCTTTCTCTTTCAGACCTAATAAAAGCCACAACTGCATGTTTTAGTGTAGAAAGCAGAACAAAGACCCGGCAGTGTTCCTCTCATTTTAGAAAGATAAAGCTCCACAATTAATAGCATATTAGGAGTTTGACCTGAACGGTAAGAGATTTGACTTTCCTATGCTGTTTTGGCTTAACCCCATCTATAAGTGTGGTCTGTAGTGGTGACAAGTACTTGAACCTCTCTCTTTGATTCCATGACCTTTAGTAGAAACATATTTCACTGTATGTGTGTGTGTTTTCATCAAAGGCTACTTTCTTATGTGAATGTGTATTCATTTCATTAAGGACCTCTATTAGCCTGGTGGCTAATATCCCCTTCAAGCTGAAATCCCCAGCTCACAGCTCTCTGCTCTCAGACACAATGCTAGGATGCTCTTTTTTTTTTTTTTTTTGAGGAGTTTCATTCTTGTCACCCAGGATGGAGTGCAGTGGCGCAATCTTGGCTCACTGCAACCTCCACCTCCTGCGTTCAAGTGATTCTCCTGCTTCAGCCTCCCGAGTAGCTGGGATTACAGGCACCCACCACCATGCCTGGCTAATTTTGTATTTTTAGAGAGACAGGGTTTCACCCTGTTGATCAGGCTGATCTCAAACTCCTGACTTCAGGGGATCTGCCCACCCCGGCCTTCCAAAGTGCTGGGATTACAGGCTTGAGCCACTACACCCGGCTAAGATGCTCTTTAGAGCATGGACATCTGATCTAAGGCTAGCTTACCCATGTATGGGTCTGCAACCTATGAGGCAGCTTGCTGCAAGAGGCTCTCTTTTTAACAGGAGAGATGTTAATGACCTCAATCTAATGCTACCCTTTGCAATTTAGACTGAGGAGAATGGAGATCATTCAGTTAGTGGGAGGAGAGGAAAGGGTTAACTTTAAATAGAAGCACAGTCAATGAAAATTGCTGAGAAGTATTAATTATCCAAGGGAAGCATGCAGAAGATACCAAGACTGTGGTCCTGGATGGCAAGTTCCCCAAGTTTTCCTCATCCCTCCCCTCGTAGCTATGTAGTAGAAAGTAACTGGGACCCCAGTAACACCAATGCCAGCAACTTCTCTGGCAGAGAAAAATAACAGATACAGGGAGAAGGGACCCACCATTACAGGCCAAATACCGCAGACTCCTAGTATTTCATGTTTGCCCAGTGTGTCTGTATTCCTTGTAACTATCACCCAAACATTTGCAATTTCTTCAGCTTTCAAGGATCACACTTCCTTTAACAAATAAGATTAGTTAGGGCTGTCATCCTGTTTTATTTTAGGAAGTCTAGTATTTTTTTTTTGATCCAAAACATGTTTATATATTCCACCCATTTGTTCTGGTTTGGAAAGCCCCTTTACCTAATCATCTTCTGGTTCCAACACCATGGCTGGTTTCTCCAGACTGTTGCTGCCTCCCTTGCTCATCCTGGGAAGGAACAAAGTTATCAGGTTAGGCTAAGATTCTGTGACTGACTCTACTTTACACCTGGGAGATGGATGGTAAGCACAAGAAGGAATGACAGTGGAGGAAGAAAAAGAAAAAATACCATGCGATTTCTTAGTCTTCTATACTTCTGAAGTCCTTCATGAAGAGTACGTGGGATGGGGAGTGTTATGGATTTAATTTAATGTTTTCTCCTTCTTTCCAAATTCATATGTTGAAATGCGAATCTGCAATGTGATAATCTTAGGAGGTGGGGCTTTGGCTACTAATTAAGTAATTAAGTCATGAGGGTGGAGTTCTCATGAATGAGATTAGTGTCCTTATAAGGAAGAGGCATGAAGAAATGATTAGTCTGGTGAGACCATGTGAAGATATGATGAGAAGATGGCTGTCTATGAATCAAGAATCAAGACACAGAAACTGCCGGCACTTTGAACTTGGAGTTTCCATCCCCCAAAACTGTGAGCAATAAATGTTTGTGGTTTAAGCCACCCAGTCTATCATATTCTGCTGCAGCATTCTGAGCTAAAATACGGGGATGGAGCAAATGGGGGTGCTGAAGGGATGCAACTTGTTCTGCCAACATGTTACAGGCAGTATTTCCCAGTTTTAAAAGAAAAATACCTTTGGTTATGGGTTCCCTTCCTGGGGTCCCGTTCCCCTAAAGTCTTTTGACGTCCAGCAAGAGGCAAATCCAGTTTCTCCCTTATCCACTAACCCTATCCCTCAGTTCAAAACCTTCCTCCAAAATACATCATGCTCATAAATTTGGTAGGACCCAGAATCATCTAGAAGACAACACTTTTCATCATCTTACAGAGCTGTTTACCCCTTCCCACTATTTTAGAACTCCCACTGTAGAATATAATTCTTTTTGACTTTACCATTACAAAAACCCACAAAGTACTTTTTCCCAAAATAGAAAAAAATTTGACCACATGGTTCAAGTTAAATCTCCATTTGGAGAACTTGATAAAATGTCACAGTTTTAAAATAGTGGTGTTTCCCTTGCCTTCTGTTCCCACTCACCCCGGCATATCCCATCTATCAAAGTTTTAAAAAATACTTGAGTCTACTCTCAGCTAGAGCTTTTGGGTATAAAACCAGAAAAGGGTAACTCAGATGGAGGGGGAAGTTTATTTTTACATTACAGAAAGCATTAAGTGAATCACTTATTTGTTTTTATTATAACTTTCATGAAACTAAAATTCAGTCCTGTAAAATGTAACTTCATTTTAGGCCAAATAAAATGGTTGTCTTTGGTTGTCTATTCACATTGATGAATTTTCTCAACTTTTTCCTTCTTTTTTTGAAATAGGTTTCAAATGATCCTATTTGCCCATAAGTGCTGTGTTTCAAAGGAAAAACATTTTTGAGCTATCTATAATGATTTCTCAGCTTTTAACTTAGAGAATGTTACAGTGATTCTGTGTGAGAAGCTTGTATTCTATTTACAAAGAAAAATATCTGTAACGTTATATTTTTCTGGAGTATGCTGTAGATACAAACACTTCAGTGTATATAAAAAAAAGTTACTCTGGAATGTCTAAAGTTTTAAAAAAGTTAGTGATTCCACACGTGCATACACAATATACATACATACACAGTCACATATTTGTGTAACACTGGATACTACTTTTGAAGTATTCAAGATGAATTTTCTCCTTGTGGTAACAAATTCTTTCTCTGAATCTACTCTCTCATTATGGTCCCAAGAAAGGGAAGCACAAGCGACACCAGATGATGTAGGAGCCTTGGGAATAGGGTGGGAAAGTAGAAAGCTGGGAGAGGAGATAGGGCAGAAAATGAGGAGGAGGAAGGGCAGGAGAATGGTGATTTTCCTTGTTCCTCCTTACAGGTTGATTGGCAGTGGGAGAGAGTAGATATAACAAGATACAATTTGAAGAACTCCAAACACAATGTGTCTCAGAAGTCTCACACCCCGCATGGTGTAACATGCTAGAGAGCATTGGCAGAGGGAAGTATCTGGACAGGTATGCCATGCAGAGATGCAAGGTTCCTGATGACCTTGTGGAGCAGGGAAGGGTACTGAGAAAGCCATGGATCAGAAGGTGCTGATCTGTGGTGTGGATCCCCATCCAAATAGGGAGTCCAAAACAGCCAAAGAGGAACCCCCCAAACTGACAGATTTTCAAAAAGTTAGTGAGAAGTTCAAATTGGATCTAATTTCACTTAAAAATAAATAAATATAACATTCCCTAGATTCCAAGCTCTCAGAATTTTCTGGGGCCTTTGCATCTGTTGCATAAACCTAAATAAAACATGGTTTTACTCTTAGGAGGAGCTTGCAACCCAGTGAAGGAGACAGATGGGTAAACAAATACAGTGCAGTAAGAGACACAACCAAGTAAAATGCTCAGTGCTAGGAGACCACAGAAAAGGATTAACCGGGCAGTCTTCACAGAGTAGGTGATGTTCCAATCAGACCTGAAGGATAAGTCTACCAGGAGGGCCTTACTCATGCCTGTGATGGGATGCCTGCCAATTATGTTCCCTGAAATCCTCCATCTATCAAATGCCACTTCATGAAGATTTTTCTGATCCTTCCAACTCGATTTGGTTTCTCCTGCCTTCTAATATTCATGGCACTTCCGCTTACTCTATTGATATATAATATCTCACTTCATTTTGTACCTATTTGCATACTTTCCTTGTCGCCTCAACTAAATTATATCTGCTCATCGCTGTGTTGCCACATCCCCTTACCTTGTGTGTGCTAGACACTGTTAACCTAAGTAACAAACACAGAGAGGCTCTCTTAGAGAAAAAGTTACTTATTTGAGAATAGAGCATTGCAATGGGAATATGTGTGCATGTCATAGAAACCATGTGCATATTCAGGGCGGTAAAGAAAGTCAAAGGTTTTTAAAGGAAAAAGGAGGAGGATTATACAACTGATTCAAAATGATATTATTTGGCTACAAATACCAATACCAGGGATGATTCCAGGCTGGGTTGAACGGGCAGTTGCAAGGCAGATGTCCATGCAGAACTATTTTTTGTGTAAGGTTGTGATGGCCTAAAGTGTCAGGTTGTGCTTTTTGCAGAGCTCTTTGTGAGAGTTTTGTTACGAGGATACTCGTGTGGGAACCCTTTCTTCACGGCCTTCCCTGGCGCTGTTTGTTAGGGAGGGTTTTTTTTTCTTAATTTAACATTAGTGTTTGACATCTGTTATGGGCTGAATTGTGTCCCCCTCACCCCAGAATTCATATGTTGAAGCCCTAGCACTCAGTGCCTCAGGATATGACTGTATTTGGAGATAGGACTTTTAAAAAATGCTTAGGTTAAAATGAGGCCATTAGGGCAGGCCCTGATACAATCTGACTGGCATCATTGTAAGAGGAGGAAATTTAGACACATACAGACACATCAGGGTTGCACATGCACATTCCATTTTGATACTGATAACTTTCATACACTCAATAAATATAATGTTAGAGTAAACCAAATAGGAAATAAATAATAGAAGATAGGTTTATGAAAATCAACTTTGACTCTGCCAAAGAAGGGAGACAAAATGGTGCCCTTTTCACCTTTTTATTCCCAGAGCCAAGCACAATTTGTGGCAAGTAGTAGATGCTCAGTGAACACTTGTTAGAACTGAATTGAAGATATAGGGAAGAGGGTTGTAAAGATAGACTGAGAGTTAGAAGTGGTTCTGCCGAGAGTCTCCATAACAAACTCTCTGGAAAATTCTTTGCTCATATGGCACGGACTTTAGCCAGATTCTCCAGAAGGGTGTTACTTTTCACAGGTGTGGACTAGTATTTCTATGACAAATGTGAGGTTGTAGGTAATGGTGAAATAGCTAGCCTAGAACACAAACGTTGGAGGATTTCATGAGGACACTCTGCTGTTGCCATGTTCATCTCCATCTTCTTCAGTCTCAGCAAAAGATTATGGGTAAAAAAAAAAAAAGTAGCACAAGATGGACAGCAGGTCATGTCCTCACAGTGTCTTGGATTTTTGGTCACTCTAGGAGGAAGGGACTATTATCCCTAGTTTTACAGATAAGGAAACAGAGACTCAGAAATTTTAAGGCACTTATGAAAGGTCACACAGCTGGTGAATGTGACACCATGAATGGAGCCCTAATTTGTCCAATTCTGAAGCACGAATTTTGCCTTGATGAACAAATGAAGGAGAGGAGTCTCCAGAGATACAGGTTTAACTAAGAGGTTCTAGTTTCTCCTGACATCTGACCAATTCTTCTGACTTGCTCTGGTGATTACAGTTGGTCTATTTCAGCCAAAATCAGGTCACCAGGAGATGGCAGAGCTGGATTATACCAAGAAAAAGAGACCCAGGATGGTATTTTGACAAGATGATTAGATATAGAGAAAGTTTTGAAAATAGGTGAGAAGAATCTATTTATGTCTTTAAGTGTGGAAGATAAGATAGAGACATTGATGAAGAAAATTAACAAAATATTCAGAGGTAAGATGCTCACTTCTGGAAAGAGCGAGTGGCTCTCATCAATCTCTCTGATTACCACAAACATTTCCTAAAATGTGTCTGATATATAAGGTTCTTTTCCATTTTATGCTTTTAGTGACATAATTAGGTAATAAAAAAGTGTTTGGATGAAAATAGGGAGAGTAACAAAAATAATTAATTCAGATGCTTTCTTTTTTGAAGACTTCTGTTAAAAAAAGCTTCCTACTTCTTGAAATGAAGCAGCATAATACTGTCACCTTCAATCCCCCTAAATTTGAATATAGCTATCTTTACCTAATGCTTTTCTATAATTTTTCATTTGTGATTTTATTCTTTTGCCGGCATTTGCTAAACATAATCATGTAAGCTATTATGTTGTAACTTACAGATACTACTCTCTTTAAGAAAATAGCATTTCAGGATCAGATGCGGTGGCTTATGCCTGTAATCCCAGCACTTTGGGAAGGCCGAGGCAGGCAGCATCAGGAGGTCAGGAGATGGAGATCATCCTGGCTAACACGGTGAAACCCCATCTCTACCAAAAATACAAAAAATTAGCTGGGCGTGGTGGTGTGCACCTGTAGTCCCAGCTACTCGGGAGGCTGAGGAAAGAGAATGGCGTGAACCTGGGAGGTGGAGCTTGCAGTGAGCTGAGATCGTGCCACTGCACTCCAAACTGGGTGACAGAGCAAGACTCCATCTCAAAAAAAAAAAAAAAAAAAAAAAAAAAAAAAAGAAAATAGCATTTCAAACAATACATCAGTGAGAATTATATATATTAGCAGATTTTTTTTCAGTTAAATATATTTTTCCTACAACCAGATTTAAAGAATCAGATCATCTAGGACAAATATTCTTAATATGGAATCATAGATGCTATTCAGGGGTATCAATGAGCTTCCTGAGAAGATATTAAAACATGAAATATAAAAGGATATCAGTTAAGTTTTTAAACCTTGGGTATAAAAAGTGGAACATAATTTTTCTACCATAAAATTAACTTAATTATAAGCCCCTATTTGTACTCAGAAATAGCAAATTTAATTTAGTTTTCTTAGTTGTATCCAGTAATCTAAACCAAGTCTACCCTGGTTTAAAACTTACTCAGTTTAAGTATTGCTGCCCCTCCCATTTTTCCTTCGCCTTTACTTCCAGGGGAGCTTGTTGGTCCAGGGGAGACTTACACAGCATCATGACACTGGGGGACATGTCTGTCATTTTCTGAAGAGCTGACTTGGCTTCCATTCTAGAGGTGTGAATGAAGATGGCATTACTCTAGTGCATAGCCACTGACTCTTCTGAGGTCATTGCCATGGCAATTGTAGCCACACCTTTATGTTTCCATAGACAGGCCACGCCCTTTCCTTGGCATTTAATCTGGTCGCCCTCCCAGGGGACCTCTTGGTGATTACCTGTCCTGCTGGCTGTCACTCCTGACTAACTTCCAGGCCTCCTATAGCCCAAAGGAACCACAGCCTCTTCCTCATCACTTAGGCAACAAAATCCCAGGGATCATTAGCCCTTTAGGATCTAGATAAGGCATGCTAGCATTTATATTCCCACTTTACACCCTTGCCTTCTTGATACTCCAAGGGGAAAACAGTACAAGTATTTACTCTTGGGTCCTCTTTACAGAAGGGAGAAATTTATATCCAAACTTCACCCCCAGACCCTTTCTGGAGTTTGTTGTAGTGCACATTTGTTATGGGCTGAATCTTGTCCCCCTCAAATTCATATGTTGAAGCCTTAGCACCCAGTATCTCAGAATATGACTGCATTTGGAGATAGGGCCTTTAAAAGACAATTAGATTAAAAGAGGCCATTAGGGCAGGCCCTAATCCAATCTGACTGGTGTCCTTATAAGAGGAGGAAATTTAGACGCACACAGACACCAGGGCTGCAAATGCACACAGGAAAGACCACCTGAGGACACAGCGAGACAGCAACATTTGCAAGCCAAGGAGACAGGCCTCAGAAACCAAACCTGCCTATTCCTCAGCCTTTGACTTACAGCCTCCTGAACTGTGAGAAATACATTTCTATTGTTTAAGCCACCAAACCTGTTGGTAAGAGGTTATGGCATCCCTAGTGGACGAATACAGCATTCCCCACATTATAACTCTCTCCCCTCCTTCTAAGAGCTCAGTCTTCATTTCCTACTACAGCTTATTTAGGACTCATTGGAGCAGGAGCTGGTGAAGAGGGAGCTAGTTCTCTGCATTCACATATGTCCCCCACCCCAACCCATTTTTTGGCTTGTACATACCGGGCATTTTGAAGGTTTTAAGAATCTGGAGTCTTTATTTCATTTGTTCAAATAACAATGACTGGGGGAAGACAAAAGCAATATAAAGTGTTAAGTTCCAGGTCTCAAATAAATATGTCATATAACATCCCATTGTAACTGTGTGTGTGCATGCTCATATTTTTCTGGGAAATGAGTCCACAGCTCTCCTCAAATTCTCCAATGGATTTATGACTGCAAAAATGTTAAGATTCACCACCCTATTATATTTGAAATGTGACTCATTTTCAAATATATGATTTACATACAATTTTACAAATATAACCACTATGCAAAGCGCAAGAGCCACGAATATTTATTTTCAATCAATGTAAAATTCTAGCACACTCATTTGTTTTATTTTAAAAATCTCTTATTTAATTTGCCATGAAAAAAGAAGCTAAAGTAAACTGTCTGTGAAAAACTTGATTTCTTTCTCATACTCACCCAGCCCCATGCCGAGAGATCATAAAATCATACTGCTACTTATACTGGGAACAGCTATCTTCGAGCACTACCAACAGTAAGAGGCATTCCATCTTATTCAATATTCAAACATGCATATGCATTAATACACCATAGACATTATTGCTTTTTTAATATTTCTTTTTCCTACTTTCTTTTGTCTTTTGTGTCAATGTTGATGAAACAACCAGGAATAGGAGATAGTAGTGGTCAGGAATGACCTGTATTCCTTCCCTCATTTTGGGAATTTTCATCCTTTTTCTTCTTCTTCAGCCTCCCACTATAATCTACCTAATTACTACAGTAGGTATGAAAATGTCACTTGATTACCATCCCTGGCCAAGGTTGTTGGCTGGGGTTTGGTAGCTGGAAGAATCACAGTACTTGGAGAATTTGGAACTGGTTCACAAGTTATAAAGTTTAAGAGTCGTTAGCCACCATGCAATTTAGTGCACACCAGAGAAGCAGAGAGTGAGACAATGTATGTGGGGAGAGAGAGAAAGAGGGAGAGAGATACAGAATGGGACAGTTAATGTAGTGGGGGAAAAGAGACAGAGAAAGTTCTAATGGCCTGTCTGTTTCCAGTCATTCCTAGTGCCCAGTTGCATTCTTGTTTTGGGGTTCCATGGGGCAGCCAAGTATCTTTACAATAATTTATCCTTTTTACTTTAGTTCTTATTTCTAACAACATCCCCCTTAATTTAAATACACACAGACATACACACACAATATACACACAAGAGATGATGCTAATGTATACATAACAAAGTTTCTGTAATTTTTAAGTTTTTAAAAATTGAGATGAAAACAAGGACTTACTTTACAAGTTATTGTTAACATAACTGAGTAAGCATTAAAAAACCTATATGATGCTTGGTGCTATATTCTAGAAGAGATTTTGAATAGTGAAGGATCATAAAAGTAGATATGATGTCATATTAATCTCACCTGAGATAAAAATCTAGAGGAACAATGAATCTATGGAGAGAGTGTAGGCTGCTTCACTGCAAAGGCGAGTGTGACACCAACCCTGTAGATCCTGGCTTGATTTTATTGCTTTAGACAGCAAGGTAACTACAGGGAATCACCTTTGACTTCTGGCCCTACAAAGATATTTCAAAAGGAAATGAAAAATATTTTGTCCTTCATTGGCAAATGGAGTTATGTTTTGGGGGTACAAGTCAGCAAAAGTTCAAGGTTTGTAAAAGTGAATGCTGAATGAGTTTATTAAACCACGGAAGCATCTGAATCCTCCAGGCTTATTCAAGGAAAAAGCCACCAAATAACTAAAAAAGGTAAATATCAGGATGATTGATGGATTTTTAAAAATGCCTTGTGGTACATGCATCTGATGGCATCCTGATTCATATTCTCTCTTTTCTGAGAATTCAAACTTCCTACGTGATGTACACAAGTAAGTCACATATTCTTCAGCCGCCCTGTAAAAGGACTTTGTCAGCATGGTCCATGTCTGGACTTTAATTATAATAGGGTCCTCTAAGCATCTCACTTTAAACGTCCATTTCCATAGAATCAGTAACTGCATTTATTTTACAACTCAGTCTTTTAGGAGGTATGGTTTGGTATTTCTGGCATTGCTGCTGTAGTCTTCATAAACACACACACGCACAGACACACACACACACACACTCTTCCACTTAGAGGACAGATATGTTAACCATATTTCCAATTTAGTAGCAAAGCTCTGACATCCTAATGTCCTGATATTATTTCAATCTCTCTCTATTGTGAGAAAAATCAGAAACTGCCCAGTGAGAAAGTTGTATCATCTTTCCAGCAGATCTCTATGAACACGGCTTACCCATTGCTTGGAGATGGGTGTGTTCAGTGCTGCCCCATGGAGGAGAAATCTAACTGTGTGAAGGCTTCTCAAAGCTGATCCACATCTTGACAGGGATTATTTGTTCCTCACTCTCCTATCTCTCTGCATTCAGCTCACTTGGGGTAGAGGCTGAGCATAGGAGAAAAAGCTTGAAGAGAAGCAAAAGGAAGGGCTTCGGGGGCGCCAAGCAGTTTCTGGCCTATAGTGTTTATTATTTGATTCTATAAACATTTATTGAAACTACAGAATATTAGGTATTGTCCCAAGCTCTGGGAGCAGAGTGATGAAAAAAATAAATGAAACGAACAAACAACTCCCCCCACCAAACAAAACAAAACAAAACAAAACAAAACAAACCCAAAGTCCCTGTCCTCATTGGCAAGGCTTATAATGTGGTGGTCAAAGGTTTGAGGAGTGAAAGGATGCCTAGATGCGGGCAGTGACAGCAGGGGTGACAGCTGGGGGTACATACAGCTTCCTGGTTTGTGAAACTGTTAAGCCCCGACTTAACCCAAATTGATTTCACTGTCCTGACTTTGAGATTCCAGTCTTTTTGCATGGCAAATGTAACACTTGTGTACAAGCATTCGTACACTGCTTTACTTAAAATGTGATTTTAAAGCGCCCTCAGGGAGAAGGGCTGGGGTGTCTTGATGGGCTGGCTCTGGGCACCTTTACCTTTGAACGGCTCCATCAAAACCTTTCCGAGAGAGCCGCCAGGTGGCACCTGTAAAGCGCAGATGGGGAGAGTCATTTGCCCCACACCCTACACAGCCCGGAATAACCAGGGTGCGTGCTTTCCCCTGTGGGCTTGTTAGGGGCTAGGAAGTGGGGGAGTTTTAGTCTCCGTCCAGACTGCTTGCTTACATACCCCGTTTTCCTGATACCCCAACACATTCAGGGCGGATTTGTCCCCACGCACCCGGGATATCAAAGGCATGTCATACGCTAGTTGGGAGCATCTCGGCCTCAGTCACCCGCCGCGACGTGGGAACTGGCGGTGGGTGGCCGAGGGCTGCTCTAAGCTGGTCTCCTCAGCCCGACCTCTGCCCGGGGCAAGGGGGAGGAGGGGCAAGAGACAGGGGTCCCAGCGCGGCTGCAGACTGGGGTCCAGCAGGCGTGAATGGATGCCTAGACGCAGGCAGTGACAGCAGGGATCCCAAGCCCCTTCCAAAAACCCTCGGTCTAGGGACTGCGCTGCCATAGGCCGGGGTCTGGGGCGCTTTCTTCCTCCCGCGGGTTCTTTCTCTGTGGTTTCTCCTGCCCCCGCAGCAGCGTGGCGGCCTCGGGTCCCCCCTCGTCGCGGTAGCGGTGATCCCACAGCCCAGTCTGGGTGGGCGACCCAGCGGGCAGAGGGGCCGCAGAAAGGGGTCGGGGTACGGGGTGTGAGCACACGGAGCCAGCGTGGTAATTTCGGGGTGGGCAGCCGGGCCACCATCTCCGCTCTATCAGTAGCGGGAAGCGAGCAGCGCCAGTTGCGCGACTGTCGCTGCCACGGCCGCCTCTACTCGGTCGCTGGTGACATTGGGAGGAGACCGCTTGGAGAGAGCAGAGGAGGAGGAAGAGGAGCGGGGAGGGTGGGGGTTGGGGTGGAAGAAAGTAGCAATTGTGCCAGGGGGCGTGTGAGCAGCCGGAGAGCCAGCCGCGCTGGTGACAACTTCTCTGGGGCGCGCGCGGGGCTGGTAGGCGAGGAGCGAGCAGGGAGCGCGGCCGAAGCCAGAGGCTGGGGGAGCTGCTGGAGCCTCGCGAAGCCGCGGCCGGCGCCCTGCGCCGTCGCCGCCGCCTGCTAGTTTCCTCCGGGTTCTCAGCCCCGGGTACTGAGGCTTCGGTCTATAAATAGCAGGTTACAGCTCCTCCTGGGCGCGCACACGCTCACACGCTCGCAAGCGAACGCAGGAAAGTCAGGCTAAAAGTGTCTGCTGCTGCTGCCGCCCCCCACTCCGCCTCCGGGAGAGGTAATTACCCGCCTGGGATCCTAGGGCTCGGTGGGGGAATTTTGCAGGGTGGGGTGGTTGATGGTGGGTAATCCGGGAGGCGAGGGAGCGTGTCTGAGAGCGTGGCGGCACGTCTTGGAGGGGGGAGCCTGTCTGTTTTGCATCAAGTTTCTCCGTCTTGCAGCCTCCATCACCCCTCCAGCTCTTTAGCTTAAAGGGTGGGGTGGGCTGTCTCTCCTCGGCTGCTGGGGTACCCCTGTCACCGCGCCTACCCTCTCGCCGAGCGCCCCTCTGCCCGGCGCGCGCGCGTTTTCGCATTCTCACTCACACACGCACACTCTCCGGGCCCCCGTGGAACTCTGAGCTCTGGCCTCGCTGACCTTCCAAGGCTGCGCCCACCTGCGCTGTCCCTGAGAGACGCTGAGGTTGGCCCGGGCACTCGCTCTCACTTCCAATCCTGATGATCGCAAGCTGCCGCCGCCGCCGCCGCCGCCGCCGCCGGCCTGGGAAGAAGTCCTTAAGGAATAGAGGCAGTGGTGGGGAGTGAGGGTGACTGATGTTGGTGGTCCCGGTTGCCTTGTTTTTTGTTTTAAAAATAAAGAGCCCATCTCCTTGACCACCTTCATCCCACCCTCAACAACTCATTCTGGCAGAGAAGCCTGGCATGTCTTCTCTCGGCCATCAGGCAGCATCTCTTGTCCTTCCCCAAAGAGGTCTCGCTGAGAGGTTAGGGCCTTGGCGCAAGAGTGCCTGGGTTTGGACGGGGGAGGTCATTGTTTCGGGTCTGAGAACTATGCTGCAGGCTCCTCAAGCTCTCTGGCGCTCAGGCAGGGCCCAGGGCCGGGGAATGTCTGGGAGCCTGGTTCCTGAATGTAGTTTCAGGCTGGTAGCTGATATGAAGATGAGGATGCTAGAACCACATATACCTGTTTTTCCCCCTCCCCACGCTTCTGAATTCTCCCTTCCTTGGGGGCAGTAGTTTCTGCTCCTGGGGAGTCGGTGGAGAGGGGCCCAGCAGTTTCTCTTTGGGGACAAGAGGGTGAGGAAGCACATATTGATTAGGTTGTTGCTGCTGCTGCACAAAACTTACTGGAAAAACCCGGTAGGGTTTTCTATTACTCTTGTTTTAAGGATGTAAATTTACTCCTTTTCCTCTTTTATCTTCTCCCTAACCAGAACTAGTTTTCCTTTCTCTTTCTGGAATGTTATTTGAGGTCATTATATTTTATGACTCCAGATGTTACATTTTGCATATCTCCTTCCTGTCAGTATGACAGACAGAACTTGTTTATAAAGGTGTGGCTCTGTAAGTAAAAGCCTAAAGACAGAGGATAAATTCATCTTCTCTCTCTCAAGATGAGCTCCAGATAGTTCTTTTATAGGTGTACAACTACATTTCAAAGACCTTGCTTGAAAAAGGACTTTTCTTAATGAGTTCTGGACCAGAAATGGTAGTAATCTGACTCAATGATAAAGCAGCGCATAAGGTGCAAGGAATCATCAACAGGGCAGCTGGCTGATGATGTGTAAGAAGTTGAGTAAAGCAAGGACTGGGCAAGTGGGCATTGTCAGTTCACATACTATGCACAGAAATGCATCCTCTCCTTTACGCATTGATGCACATACATGCATTATGTGTTCCTTTGTGATATAATCCTGTAAAGCATTGATAGGAAATGATCAATAGTTTTGTGAAAGGTACATGGGCATTGAAGGTTGAACCTCGTGAATTTGTAGTAATGTAAAATGCTATTGCAAAATGGATTGCTTTTTCAGTGTATTTCCTTAAAATGTGATGTAGAAGATTGTCCTTGAAAGGTTATGAAATGTGTGTGTGAAGATAGGCTAAATGCTCAGTGACATTAAGAAACATGTTTGCAGATTGAAATACTGCTCTTATTCTAGGAGAGTATTCTCTTTGATTAAGCAAATCAATATTTATTTGTGATAAAATAATGATCACTATGATGTGCATATTTATAACTCAAATTTGCTTTTGACTCTTTATAAAGTGTAAGAACAACCAGATAGACCATTTAGTCTTGTCCCTCTATTTAAAGTAGCATGCAGTCAAAGGTATAGGCAGAAAATACTTTTAAAATGTTGTGTTTGAGCTTCAGTTTGGGGCTGCAAATTGAATGACTTCATGTCTCATAAGATTTTTGTCAAAATACTAAATCGCTCTACTATCATAGACCATCAGTTAAACTTGATTATAAAATAATGCTATTATATTTTAGTTGTGTGAAATGGAAAATCATTAAGCTTAGGGAAAAGCCAGATATTTGTTCTAAATTGTGCAAATTGAAAGTAATTAATTCCTTTCTGAAACCTTGGAGCATCTTCTAGTATAAGTACTATAAATCCCCAGATGGGTAACAAAGTTAACTTTCACTACCTTGAGGGAGAACCCAAGATGACAATTCTCTGAAAGACAGAAAAAAAACCTGCTAACTGATCTTAAAACTCATAGCAACCAAATGAGTGGCAGTTTCTAGGTAAGTATTTGACATCTGAGAACAAAAAGTTAAGAAATTATGGAATCATAATTAGTGAGTAAAATGCTTACTGAATATCTATTACATTTTCTTATTTCATACTGAGTGATGCCCAGTAGTACTAATATTAGATATACAAATATCATACCTAATCTGTACAAAATAAATTTTTGTCTTTCACAACTATGGGGATTTTAATAGATAGAAATGCCCTGTTTTAAATAATCTCAAGTTAAATGTTCAGGTGAAAGCTGTGTGAGTCTCTTCTGTATTATGTACCTTAGTTTTTCAACATGTCCTGTATATCTTTCTAAAGCCTTAAGGAATCTTTTCCATAGGCCACTTTGTTAATACTTTTAAAAAATGTTGAGCTAGAAACCTTTGATTAGAGAGCTCTTTAGAGCATACTCTAATCATATATACTATAATATTTAGGCTTCAGAAATGAGATTATTAAATAATTTTAGTTTAAACATTTATTTTTAGATGAATCCAAGTGATGATGCTATGATTGAATTTTGTTGTGCAAGATACATGTAGTCTTTGTGTTCTAAAACTTTAGAGCAGTATATACCTAGAAAAGATCAGTATATACCTAGAAAAGACATTAAGATATGTGCAAAAATTTTAATTACTCTTTCAGTCTCAGGCACAATGGTCACTTGAATCAAACTGTGTTAGTTTATTTTTTTAAATATATTTTCACTACCTTGTAGATTAAAAGAAACATTTAAAATGTTTAGGAAATTTTATGGACTACATTATATATAATTTATATATGTATATTTATATATATCCAGTATATTATATATAGTATATATATTATTATATATAAATATATAATAATCATATATATTTATATATATCATTATTTATATATATTTTGATATATATGATATATAAATTTATATATATCATACATATTTATATATAATTATATATTTATATATCAGTATATTATGTTAGGATTATTATAGATATATTATATATTATATTAATATTATAATATATTAATATATTATATTTATATATTATATATTATATTAATATATTAATATTATATTATGTTATATATTAACATAATATATTATGTTAGGATTATTATATATAAATATATTATATATTATACATATAATAATACAATAACTATCTTATATATCATATATTATATATTATATATAATAGATATTGTATATATTATAATATAATATATGTAATAGTTTTTTAAATAAGGCACAGTTGTACTCACTATCTTATTTCTTATTTCTTGGAAGTATCTTGCTATCAATGGTATACCATAAGGCCAATGGAATATCTAGGAGCCAGAACTTTAGATTTTTTTCAATGGACTGTGTAATTTCACCAAACATTAGCTATTATAATAGATGTCATTCCAGCATGATGTGAATTGGGTTTCAATACAGTATATGTCCTTAAATAATATATTTCAAACTGAGTTTCTTGAGTTGCAGTATTTTGAGTAAATTCTATCTTCTGTATTAGGCAGCCATGCCAACTTGGTGTCCTGATTTTAAATAGCCCTATGAAGAACTAAGTGAAATAGAATTGGCAGTAATTTGTTTAAACTGATTAAAGGAAATTTTGAGAAGTTTTTCAAATCATGTGGTTTTGGTTATACATTTCTTTGGGAATTATCTAAATCAATAATATTCAAGGGAATGAAGGCAACATCTCCTCCCTTAAAAGGAGAGCCTGTATCTATCTATCTGTCTATCGATCTATCTATCAATCTATCTATCTGTGTCTATCTATCTATCTTTACATACTCTTCTGGTTATGAAAATAAAGCAATACAAAAAACAATGGTGAAATTACTCAATTGTTTTTCTTTGTTGTTTTACAAGGATAGAAAAGTTTGCGAGATACACAGACAACTTTAATTGTCATGCTGACTTCTAATGATTGGAGTAACAGCATCAATGTAAAGCATCTTCCAAGATCAAAAGAAAAATATGATTTTTAAAAATTTTCATTTACTAGTTGTTTATAATAGATCATTTATTTATATATTTTAAATAGCTTTGAAGGAGAACTTCGAGATTTTTATGTTTCTCAAAAGAGAGTGTGAGTTTTTAAATGTTAAGCAACAATGATTTACAAGGAATCCTCTTAATATTTTTTACTATGAAAAATTTGACAGAAATATGAGCCTTTCACCTTTCACCTTAGTTCTTAGAATAGATAGTTGTAGTGCATTAAGTAGATCAGACTTGGGGACTACCATTTTAGAATACAATGAATTAAATAGAATATACTCCCTGACCATCAATAGCAATCTTTCCTTTAGTTCTTTCAAAATGGTTCTCATTCATTTTCATGGGGCTTTGCTTTCTTAGCCAAAAGATCAGAGATGAGCTCTTGCCATTAGAACAACCAAAACACAAAAACTATTCAATGCTGGGAAAATAAAAAATAAAGTAGGACTAAAACCAGTGGGATCTTTAATTGAAGTTAGAACCTATAGGTGCATGGAGATTATGGTTATCTCCAAGGAAGCTTTAAAGTACTGTTAGTGATCAGTTAACACTCTATGATGTCTTTTTCAACATCTTCTTATGCGAAACTTGCTAGATAACCACATATTCCACTTAGAGATTAGCATACATCACATTCATAAGAGAATAGCTGCATAATTGATGCGCAGTAGTTAAAAATCACTTTTTTTTAAAAAAGTAAAAATTTCTTGTCTTCCTTAACAAAACCTGTAAATCACTTTGTTTTTAAAAAGAGGATGTCTTTATTAACAAGACTTGCAATTTTTTATATTAACTAATCCATTCAGATCTTTTAAATTTTAATTTGAGATGGGTGTGATTTTATGGTATATGTCATTGCATTTATCTCCAATAGCATTCTTATTTTGAAGGAATTATGAATAAAGTATTTTAGACCTGTTGTTCTGAATAAATTTTGTTTAAAATATAGCATTTCCACTTTGTGGAAGACATCCATTGTGCATTTGGTGTTAAAGAGACATTTAGCACTAGGTGGCAGTGTGCAATGCTTAGAAACCTTGAGTCATTTTAAGTGCAATATATTCATTTTTTAAAACTTTTCTTTTAAACATAATTTATTTACATCATAGTGAGTTAATAAAGTTAAAGTCAACAGGCACCTAAATTCTTAGTAGTATATTCAGAAGATCTATTATGAGTAATACTTTAAAGATTTGATTGTAATATTTAACACACTCTGCTTTTATGTGAGATCTGCTTATGTGAGGAACTGTTAGGAATTAAATTAAATATGCTAAAATTCTGTTTGTGTCTGGGTAAGAGAAAGGAAAAAAAATTAAATGAACATGATAGAAAAAAACTTATGATTATTCTAAAATAGATATTGTATTAACCATTTGCATTTTTAATCCTAATCCCCTCACAGCATCTGCTGAGCAAATTCTTTTTTTCTAGGAGTCAAAGACTATAACTATTATTTTTTTTCTGTTGCATTGCCCTTGGAAGAATGCAAAAAAAGTGCAAATTACCTCAATGACACTTCAGCAGATCCCCTAATGTCCTCTGTTATAGTGATGACCCGGTCACCAGTGACCAAATTGAATCAGCCATATAGTACTATAATTTATTGGTTACAATGACAGCTGAAACTTGTTTTACAATTTCTTCTTGGTTAAGCTGGATATATACACCCTTGCCTTTGACTGAATAATTAAATTATGGGACATAGCTGAGTCAATTAATTTATTCTGTCATCTGTGCATCAGAATGCGATCTCTGTATTGTTTAAGTGTCTGGTTGGAATGTCCTCAAGATCAATGTGGTGGACATTTCAGCCATGTTCACTGGATGTGGCTATTGTAAGAATGGAGAACAAAGAAATTAAGTTAATGAACCCAAATTGGCATAATTAAGAAATGCATTTCCTTTTTTAAAAGGTTTTTATTATGTAACATTTCAAAGGTAGAAAATAAGAGTAGTACAATGCATTCCCACATACCCATCAGCCAGTTTCAATAATTGTCAAATTGTGGCCATTCTCATTTCATTTACAGTCCCACTCACATTTTCCCTCTTAGGAGTTTTTGGAAGCAAACCTTAGAAGTTACATCAAAAGAAATACACTTACAAAGCAGTTATTTACAAATATTTTTATCATACAAAGGAAAATTTAAAAAATAATTACTATAGTAAAAACACTACATATTTTACTTTAAAAGTCCAAACTCTTGGCATTAGGTAAATTAAGTACTTGAACTTGTTACATGATTGAGGTATAGACTTCAGTTTATGTCCTATGTCATTTTTTTTGTTGTTGTTGTTGAGATGGAGTCTTGCTCTGTCGCTCAGGCTGGAGTGCAGCCTCTGCCTCCCGGGTTCCAGTGATTCTCCTGCCTCAGCCTCCTGGGTAGCTGGGATTACAGGCGCACACTACCATGCCAGGCTAATTTTTGTATTTTTAGTAGAGATGAGGTTTTACTATGTTGGCCAGGCTGGTCTCGAACTCCTGACCTCAGGTTATCCACCCGCCTTAGCCTCCAAAAGTGATGGGACTACAGGCATGAGCCTACCAGACCCAGCCAAAGTTTTACTTTTATAAGCGGCAGACATTGTAGATATAGCAGACCCATGGAATACAACAACTTAGCTTTTCATGAGTCAAGGTTTTACCATCCATCTTTAAAGGTACATGACATATAGTAAGCTATAATTTTACTGAGGTGTGAATTTAAGTCACATCCTTTTGGAGACTGAACTTTCAGTGAGTGAGTCCAGCCAGTGGCCTGGCAGCCACACCCTCATGTAACTTGAAGCACTGGTTGACATATTCTGTCACTTTCTAGGGCAGTCTGTGGTGAGTGTGTTTGAGAACTGGGGAATCTGAGAAATTGTTTGGTTTTCCCCTTGGAGAATGTCATTGATCTCCTGAAATACACCTTTTGGATTTCATATAGAGTTGAAGTTTTAAATGAATAGAATTTTTTCAGATTTTAAAAACTTGATGATAACCACTATGTATGAATCTTTGTGACATTGAGTATCTAAAAGCAAATATAATTCCATTGTAAAACAATGTGTAATTTGTACCTAAAGGGTTTATGCCATGGTGTGTCTTTTATACTTGCAAGTTATATAGGGAGCAAAGCATATGTATAATTTTCTTAATATTAGATACATACTTTTTTGACTTTTTTTGAAATTTACTGCAATATTTTTTTCATACGGTATGTTTTAAAGACTGCCTCCCAATTTATTCATGCTATTCATATCCTTTTTCCTATTTTATATTTTGGGTAGGAGTAAAGAAGAGTATACACTCAGATTAGTGTAATGAGAAATAATTGATACAGCTGGCTTCTACTCAATTTCTAGGATTTCTTTCTTTTTTTTTCCTACTCTCTATTTTTCTGATTATAAATGTACGAAGTCTCCATTGAAAAAAAAATGGGAAGTAGAGAAAAGCCCAAAGAGTCAGAAAAAAATCATCAAAAGACAATATTGTTAGAATTATATCATATTTACTTCTAGAGTTTGTGTGATTCTTTCATATAAGTTTAGATATGTGTGTGTGTGTATGTGTGTGAAAAATGAATGCCTGCTTTTTGTCGCTTAGAATTCTATAGTTCAATTCAATTGAATTATTGATTGAGTCTTACTATTTGCCAGCTACTGTGATAAGCTCTGTTCTGGTTCACAGCAATAAATACTTAAAAAAAAAAAAACACCACTTTCCCATGGCTGTAAGCACTTGTCTAGCTTTTCATTGCTCTTTAATAGGCCTATGAATTATTATCAATTGTTTAGCCTTCCCTCTCAACTTAGACCTTAAGATTATTGGTAATGTTTTTGCTATCACACTGTGATGGATATTTTCTGTATGATCTCATTTTTTTATATTCCTTGTCTATTTTTCTCATTATTTTTCTTAGGAGTGATTCCTAAATGTGATATGCTGGATAAAGGGTATGAACCTTTTAAAAGTGCCTTATACATATTACCAAATTGCTTTCCAGAAAGCTTGCACTCATTTCATTCTTTCTGGAAGATATAAATCATTTTGCCATCCTCACCAGTATTGAGGGATTTTTTTTAAAGTTTGTTAATTGGAAAGGTGAATGTGATTGTAACAACAACAACAAAAGCTAAAATTTATTGAGCCCTTCTTATAGACAATTTACCATGCAAAACCTTTATATTATCTCATTTACTCTTTGCAACAACATAAAGGGAGGACAATATTTTCATTCCTATTTTAAATGTTCGAAAACTTATTTTTTGAGAGGTTAAGTGACTTACCCAAGATCACACAGCAGGTAAGTGGTAGAATTGGGTCTTGGACCAAGATTGATTTTACTCAGAAGTCTAGGCTTTAAAGTACTATGCAATATATCCATGTAACAAGACTGTATTTGTACTCCCTAAATTTATACAAATAAAAAAAGTACTATATTCTTCTACTATTGTTTGAGATTGAACATTTTTGAAATGTGTATTTTTATTTGTACTTCATTTTGTAGTGCTAATTCATATCTTTAACCTGTTTGCATATTGAGACCTTGGTTTTCCTTTATTATTATTATTATTATTATTATTATTTTTGAGACTGTGTTTCCCTCTTGTCATCCAGGCTGGAGTGCAGTGGAGCAATCTCGGCTCACTGTAACCTCCGCCTCCAGGGTTTGAGTGATTCTCCTCCCAAGTAGCTGGGATTACAGGCACGTGCCACCACGCCCTGCTAACTTTTGTATTTTAAGTATAGGCAGGGTTTCACCATGTTGGTGAGGCTGGTTACGAACTCCTGACCTCAAGTGATCCACCCGCCTCGGCCTCCCAAAGTGCTGGGATTACAGGCATGAGCCACCACGCCTGGCCCCTTTCATTAATTTTTAAATGTCCTTTACATATTAGGGTAAGAATACTGACCCGTTGTCATTTATGTTATTAATATATATTTTTTAACATACAAAAGTTGAAAATGTGTTTATGGATAAGTTGAATGTCGTATTTCTTGTGTGTGTGTGTGTGTGTGTGTGTGTAGACAGTACTTTTTCATTTACCTAAATTAGGTTTAAATTTACCTAAATTGTTTTTCTCCTAGAAAAATTTATATCTAATTCTTTAATAATTTTTTTCCTCTCTAGTCTATCCAACACTTTTTTTGTTGTTGTTATATGATGTGAGATAAGGATTAAATTGATTTTCTTCTTAAAAATAGTTAAGCGTTTTTCCAACAGCAGTTTTTAAATAATTCCTCTATTTCCCACTTGTTTGTGCTTCTATTACCTCATATTACATTTTATTTTTCTAGAGGTATACACACACGCGCGCACACACACACTCACACACTCTCACCTAGATTTCTGGTTCTGGTACATTGATTTAATTATATCAAACAAGCTTAAATGTCATTGCTATTTCCTTAATATCTGATAGGATTGATACCTTCTTCTTCTTGATTTTCTCTGATGTGTGTGTGTGTTTGTGTGCCCCTTTTAAGACATTCTCACTGATATTTCTTCCAAACTAATTTTAGAATAATGTTGTAAAGCTGTGCCAAAATATTTTTAGATTTCAATTGAAGTTTCATTGAGTGAATAAATGGAATTGAGGAGAATTAGATTTCAAAATTTAGTCTTATTATCCAGTAACCTGTGGTATCTCTCACTAAAGATTTGATTTTTGGGGACTTTTCATGCCATATGCAAGGACTCATGCTAGACATCAGTGATTTTGCCCAAACATTTTCTTTTTTCATGCTTCACTCTTCAAAAAGACTAAAGAATTACGCACCATACCCTATGCCCCATAGCACCCCGTTAGCTTCAATCATTCATGTTCACGTTTGGCCTAATGGTGTCTCATGGTCCTCCAGGAAGGGAAACATGAAGCTTGAAAATGTTTCTTTGCAATTTCTAGGCCACAACTCTGCTCTTAAATTATTTTATTTACATTAACCTAAGAAGATATACTCAGTATAAATGTTTAAAGAATGAGTACGAATAATAGTTAATTTCTTAAACAGCTCACTCAGGTGTCATAACATTATCCAAAATTATCTATTACTTTGTATAACAACCAAACACAATGCAGCAAACATTGCTCAGTGTGATATTTTGTTTCCATTTCAAATCTGACAAAATTATCCCTAAAATAATAGACTTTTGGCCCATTACAATAGAGTGGCAAAGTTGGATATCTAGCCTGAAACTCTAGTTCATGTATTTGGGTCTATATTCTAGTTATAGACATTTTTTAAAATGAAAATAGTCCAGAATTTTTTTCATACGTATAAGCTGTTTATGTATTTCTTAAATGCTGCATAACTATATACTATAGTTCTCTTTCTGTGACCTTGGTATACGAACAAATTTACTTATTAAAATCACGCAGGAGAGAAAGCCTTCCTTTTGTTAACAAGAGCCCTGTGGTTTATCCTGAAGCTGAGACTTATTTATCTCAGGCTAGTGGGCCCTACATCTCCTAGTGCTGTCTCAGGAAGCTGCATATAGATAAGATGGATAAATATTGTGTGGAGGCATCTTCAGGCCTACTTATCTACTCCTCAATTCCAGCTGTGTTGTTTCCAAGGGCAGTTCTTCTGTGTGGTGGGAATTGTGTGTCTAAATTATATGCGAGCTATAAGCTTTGGGAATGTGGAAGGACCATATTTACCTTTCTGCCTAAAACTTCAGGGGATTCCACATGGGTGGGTTACCAAGTCAGATTCTACTACTAACATCCACTTTCCTTTTCATAGGCTAGATAATTGAGCTCAGCAACAAATGAAAACAGGTGAAGAGCTTATAATTTCCTTTTGTTAAGATTCTCGAATTTCCATGCTTCAGTTTACATGTTTCTTTTGGGTTGAGTGTTTGAAGCAACAAGAACAATGCCCTAGCAGTGATGAAAAGCCCCTCAAAACCTCAAGGGAGTTTTTCTCCCACTTATTTAAATTTTCTTGTCAGAATCTCTTAGGCGATGTGGTACTGATAAAGAGTGCATGTGAGAGAAAAAGAGATCAATGTAGATACTGCAGAACAAAAACATTGCAATGGGATTCTAAATCATACTACATTTAACTTGGGACCCTAACTTACACAGACATGTATTTTCTGTTTCCAACACATTGGTCTACAAAAACATTAATTATAATAAAAAATGAGAAGATTTTATGGAAAATACAGTCTTAGTTCAAGAAGGTACCCTCAAGGACCTCTAGTTTTACTATTCCCATGCTCCATTTTAGGATGACCAGCATCTTGATTTGGTTGAGACTGAGGAGTTTCAGTGCCAGCACCAGGAGGTACCCAAGCAAATGGAATGGTGGCCACTTTGTCTCCACAAACAAAAAAGTATAGGGAGAGCAACAGGTAGCAGTTTTTAAAAAGTCTGTTGTAGTTAGTAGAAAGGAGTGACAGGTTTTGGTATTTGAGTGTTACCTGAACATCCTACGAATAATAATCACCTCAGAGATGTTACAAAATCTGGATTCATTGTCCTTTGCTGGCAGAAACTGGGTATTTCTTATTTATGTGCTTATCCTTATTTATTCATAATTTATTCCCTGCATACTTCCAAAAATGATTTGAGATGGCTTACAGTAAAACCACATAAAAATATCGAGTTTTTACAGCAGTTCAATAATAATGTAAAATATATATTTTGGAGCTTGGCTACATGTTAGCATGCCTTTAAAATTAAATTTGATAATATGAATACTAACTAGTACAAAATCTGAGGTGCTTTAGGTAGAAAAATATATTGGGACATTCAAAAATCACTACCCAGATTCCCATGATTTTGGATAAAAAGGTAGCAATTATTTGAGCAATTATTTGGTGTTATAAATTTCCCACCAGATAGTCTGGGTGCGCTATTGAGGTGAGGCCTGGGATAGAAGAGCTTTGGGCTCATCTAAATAGGAATGGCAGTTTTGTTCACATGCATGCTTTTGATTTTGGCTTTGCACATTCTAGCATTAGAAACAGTTGCTAGAATGCAACTGAACAAACTTGCATTTATTAAAAAGACCTGGTGCTGGCTGAGGTGGGAGGTTCGCTTGAGCCCAGAAGTTTGAGTCCAGCCTGGATAACATAGCAATACCCTGTCTTTAAAAAAAAAAATCATTGTATTCTATCTGAGTCTTTTTTTTCTCCATATATTGTATAAGGATAATAACCATTTCACAGATTTGTAATAGTAATTAGTGTGATTGTCTAAAAATGACATAAATATATAAAATTATAGTATTAATAATATCAACAGCTATTAATATGATTGTTATTGTTATATTCTATACTCAAAGATCATTTAGGATGCAATTACAGCTTTACCTGTATTTATGAGAAACTATATAAATTCATCTTGGGTGATGTGGGTGGCTGAGCATATTTAATAGAGAAGAATATTTACTTTTATTTAGCTGCCTGTTAAAATGTTGAATTACAAGTACACTCAATTGACTCTATGGGTATCATAAATAAAATTGCTGCATTATGTGTAGCACCCACCTAGAGCTTCTAGATGACAAAAACATAAGTTTTTTTAAATTGAACTTAACTGTCTTTAAACAAACTATGTCTATTCACATGTCATGGTCTCCGCCATTCCCTATTGTCATATACCTGACCCACTTCACTTGTGTATATTATTTGCCTGTCCCTAAAAAAACTTGAGTCTTCCAAACTAGAAAAAAAAAACTAGAAAAAAACCTTCCAAACAAGAAAAAAACCAAATGGATTACATATTCCCCAAACAATCCTTTGTGCGTATTATCATGTAAAACAAGGCTTCAGCAAAAGGGAAGCAACATACACTTCACTGTTATGTTTTCTGACAGTGTTTTTATTTTAATACACTTTATGGCTGCTTAAGACCTAAAACTTGACTTAAAAATGATTGGTAGACTTGACATTCTTTTGTGAAATTTAAAAATCCAGTAAAAATTATTTGTGTGTGTGTGTGAAATGGATTAGGTATAAGACAATGCGGGGGGGGAGTAGAGACTGTGATATGTGAATAGACATGAGCTGTCTAAAAGCAATTAAATTAAATTTAAACAAATATTGTTACCCTGATCTGCCTAAAGCAGTTTAAATTCATATACTGGGTGTTCTTCACTTGAGCTTCAATTGATGGGAAAGAAAATGCCCTTTGGGAGTGGCTTACCACTGCGTTGGCCGGGGCCAGGTGGACTTTTCTCCCTTGTGGTTATGAAGTTGAAGGTGACTTCCAGTTCAGAAAGGCTAAAAGCAATTTATGTATCTGTAGGATCCTTTGCTTTGCCATTTGTCTCCTCTTTAAATTGGAAAATGGTTATTTAGCTCTGACTGGATCAATCTATTGAACATATACATGCTGTCTGAAGATCCTATGATGACAATCATCATAAAATTGCCCAGGAATTGGAAATCTTTAATCATGCATTTTGAACATTCTAGCCAATTTTTTTTTCATGGTCTAAAACACATTATAGTTGGAAGGAAACATCTGTTGCTTTTCATGAGAGCTTTGGAACCCAATATGCTTCATTTACACGGTCATTTTATGTGCGTCGGGCACACTTAAAAATTTTACTCATCACTGAATTATCTACTCGGCACATTCCACATAAGCAGAAATAAATGTCAACCTCCATCAAATCCACTGGTTAAAGCCATCCGTAGAAATTGGCAGCTAAATGTAGAAAAACCACTGTACATGCTGGATTGTTTTTCCCTCCTGCTGTCTTAGAAGATATGTCTTGAGCACAAAATATATTTTATTTTTAGGAAGGGTTTGTTTACGCTGGATGGTGCTAATGCTGCTAAGGTTTATTTGTACCATAGCTACTTACAGTGCAGATACCATGGGAATTTATACATACTGTAAGAACAATATATATAGGAAAAAAATAAGTACACCTTGGGTGATAATTCTTCATTAAAATAACCATGGATTAAATCTCTTTCTATGAAGCATCTTCTATCTCTTAATGGAGGACTGTTGTGAACTAACATTGCATGAACATTGCAGATATATTTGCTGATGTGTGAGGTGAAGTTTGTTTGCAGATTATTCAACATAAAGGCTTAATCTTGGGAAGAGGAAAAAATGCTTTTTGAAAAATATGAGAGGAATTTGTGTTTTTAGCCTAATCATAATTCATTGAAAACACAAGAGAATCTGTAGGTACCATGTTCTTTAAATTAATGGATAGTGAGGAATCTTTCTTTACCCTTGTGAATCCTTGTAGAAGACATTTGCAGAGAAATTACCAGATCTTCTCTCCTATGGGGAGATTAATGTTTTAATATGCAAAAGCAGACAAGTCACAATTCTTTTGCTCAATGGCACTCTGAGCTGCACAGTTTTACTGCTTTATTTTCCCCTTATATCCTATCTTCCTGAAGACTTCTGTACAGTCAAATAGAGCCACTAAAGCAAAGCCATATCTGGCCTGCCCTTGAAGACTCTGCTATATAGAACTGTCAGGCAACTGTGACTTAGATCTGGTGGAATAACTATCTACATGGCAGTATTGAGATTTTCTTGCTTATCCATTTCTTTGGAATTTAGTACTCGATTTACTGGCATCAAAGCTGAGTAGTAGAAAATGGGTGAGGGGAGGATGTATCCTTAGGTCCTCTCACATCTTTGTTTCCAGAAAAAGTAGAAGGCAATAAAAAGCAGTTCTTTAATAACCCACCACCCAATCTACTACACTCTTGCATCTATTTTTTTTTTTCCTTTTTTGAGACAGGGTCTCACTCTGTCACCCAGGCTGGAGTGCAGTGGTGTGATCTTGGCTCGCTGTAGCCTCTGCTTCCTGGGCCCAACTGATCCTCCCACCTCAGCCTCCCTAGTAGCTGGGACTACAGGCATATGCTACCACACCTGGATAATTTTTTTTTTTTTTTTTTTTTTGTAGAGACAGCGTTTTGCTATGTTGTGTAGGCTAATCTCTAACTCCTGGGCTCAAGAAATCCTCCCATCTCTGCCTCCTAAAGTGCTGGGGTTACAAGCATGAGTCACTGCCTGCCCCACTCTTGACTCTTGTTGCCATTCTCTTCTTTCTGCATAGGTAAACTAAGCCCTGAACCTCTGCATTCAATCCTGTTTCCTCCTGCAGTCTCAGGGATCTCTATGTGGCCATTATTCCTTGTCTCCAGTATCTTCACTTCTCCTTCTCCTCTGCCTCTTTTCTTCCAGCAGGGAACACACTCAAGATTTCCACACATTAAAAGATTAAGACTCCCTCTCCACTCCATATTCCCCTCTAGCTAGCCTCTTTTCTCTTCCGTGGCAGAGCCAAGGATCTTGGCAGAGGTGGTCAGCATTTTCTATACCTTTCCATTTCATTATAGTCTGGACTCTACCTCCACAACTCCAATGAAATTGCTTTTGTCAAGGTCACTAAAAGAGAGAGACTTCGTATTACATTTCATAGGTACTTCTCTGTCTTCATTTTACTTGACCACTTGGCAATATTAAATTGCATTAATCCCTTAGAAAAATTCTTGCTTTGGTTTTCTTGATACTGAATTTTCCTTTTATTAAATTTAATTTTTGAATATAAAATATCTTGGAGATATATATGTATCTATATATGTGTAGATACATGTATCTATAACCATTAGATCAGTTTGGGTAGACTTGACCTCTTGTAATGTTGATGATAACCTTTGTATTCATGAACACAATACATCTCTCTCTTCTGCAGTGTCTTTCAATAGAGCTTAAACATTTGCTCTAGAAAGGTCCTCTACATCCTGTGCCAGATTTATTCTTAAACATCTCATTTTTATTGTAGTTATTAAAATGGTATAATTTTTAAAATTAAATGTTTTAATTATCTGTTAATGGCATATAGAAATATTATTGATTTTAATGTATTGACTTTATCAGTCCCGTTACTAAATTCTCATGTTAGTTTTTTTCTGTAACTTTGGTATTTTCTAAGTAGAACATTTGTTGTAATAAAAGTCTATTGCTAGTAAATGTTCTTGATTTCTGTTTATCTTAAACTGCTTTGTATGGAGCTTGCTGTTGAATGATAATGTTATACAATTTCAACTTGACAGTTTTTCTTTCAGCACTTTGAGGATATTGCTCCACAGTTTTCTGGCTTCTATTGTTACGATTAAGAATTTCACTGTCAGTGTAATTGCCATTTCTTTGGAGTGCTCTGTCTTTTTTTTTCTGGTTAGGATAAAGGCTAACCACAAGGAATAGTGCAGAAACTCAGGAATAGCATCAACACAACTCTAAGTGAGGGAGAAGTCACTGGAATTAAGAAGAAGGGAGGCTTTGTGGAGCAGGTCCACGTAGAGGGAGCAATGACTTCTGTCAAAAGGCACAGCCAGTCCTGGGGACCTCACAGGGCAAAAGCCAAGGGCATAAACACCTGGACTCACTCTCCCTCCTCCCTCTGATCTACCTGTGCTCCACATTGGCTAAAGTCCGTCAGAAGTCAGGGGTCATTATATGATTGCTGTGATGATTCCTACAGGTCAGCTTTCTGATGGCAAAGAGCATGGTGGAAAAGCTGAGAAGAGTGAATCCAAGTCAACATAAAATATTCAGCCCATGATATTTTCTTTTCTCTTCAAACTTGTCTAGTCATTTTTGACTTCTTGCTCCTTTTTCAAATTTTAATTCCGTCTCTTATTTCTTTGGGCACTTCATGCATAGTTATTTATGTTGTGTCTGTTAGTTCTGATATCTTAAGTCTCAATCTCCCTCCTCCCTCTGATCTACCTATGATCCACCCTGGCTAAAGTTCATCAGAAGTCAGGGGTCATGATACGATTTCTACGATGATCCATACAGGTCAGCTTTCTGAGGGCAGAGAGCATGGTGGAAAAGCTGAGAAGAGTGGATCCAAGTCAACATAAAATATTCAACCCATTATATTCTCTTTTCTCTTCAAACTTGTCTAGTCATTTTTGATACTTCTTGCTCCTTTTTTGAATTTTAATTCTGTCTCTTATTTATTTGGGCACTTCATGCATAGTTATTTATGTTGTGTCTGTTAGTTCTGATATCTAAGTCTCGAGGTTCAATAACTGTTGGTTGTTTCTGCTATCTCTTGCTCACTATGGCTTGTTTTCTTGAGTTTATGTTCATTTTTCAATGTAAGCCCACTCTTGTCTAAAATTAATCTCTGCTATTCTTAAGAGATCTGAGTTGAGGAACTTTTTCTCCAACAAGGATTTGCATTTTTTTTCTGTAAGATATCATGGACTTCCACTAGCCTTCTCTGTCTAAGTAGAGTCTTTTAAACCTTGGACTCATGTAAAAGAATGATTATATGTACAGTATTTTAGATAAGGTAATCAATTTTTTTCATTCTCAGAACTATGGTAGAGATCAACAGATTTCTTCAGCTGTTCCTTTTCTGATAGGCAGAAATCTTCCAGCCCAGCTTTTATGGACGATATTTCACTTTTGAGTATTGTGTAAGCTATATGGGGCTCAGGTCATCCACCCCACATAACATAGATTTAAGGCCTTAATATCTATTCTCATATACCTGGACATTAAACTCCCCAAGGCCTAGTTTCCTGACATTTTATATTTGTCTTATCCTTTTTAAATTTATTTTAATTTTAATTTGCCACAGAGAGATTTTCTTTAATTTCTTGTGAGCTCAGCATTGTATATGTTATGGCAATTTGTCTGAAATCTAGGACTTTGGTGTGAAAGAAGATCATCAGTTCTCCCATTTATTCACCCTTTTTCTTGGTTTGTCACCCTTTGCAATATCATTTTCCTGATTATCCTTTAAGTTTTGGGTACCTCAGAGTTCTGTTCAACTCCCTCTTTCCATATCACCTTACACTTACAAATTCATTATTATTTAACTCACAAACTACCATAATCTTTATGTGGGCAGGAATTGTTTTGGTATTTTTCACCAATATCTCCTTAGTGTTTAGCATAATATCTAGCACATAGTTCTTGTCCAATTCACATGTGTTGAATGAATGAGAGAAAGAAAGGACCATTAACGTGTCTCAACAGAAAATGATTAATTTGTTTTTTCTGTAGATAGGGAGGGTAGAACAGCAACAGAATCATAATGGATAAATATTTTCATTTTACTTCAGTTTCCTGAAGTTTGAACTTCTCTTTAGGAAATATATTTCTGACTCTAAGTTTGTCTCTACCTTCATGCTATAGACAATGTTAAGTATGTTTACCACTTTCTTAAAAATATGTACAGCTGTAATGTACTTGGGCAAATTCTAAATTGTTTCTGTTCATGATGAGACTTTCACTCTACCCAGGGGGATATTATTGCACCTTTTTTGGTGAATGGTAACAAATTATTATTGGCTTTTTTCCAATTTATACGAGGACCTTCTAGTTTGTGTGTGACTTTGTTAAGTTGGATGACTGGACTTGAAGACTTAGGTTCAAGTGGAGCAGATAAAATAAAATTAAGTTCTGCAAATATTCAGAGAATACAACACTAGAATATGTAGACGAGCACTTGAAGTGCACAGAGGGATAGGAGTAGGGTGAAATCTGACTTTATCAATATTGCATGGCTCTTATGCTGACAACATGGGGCTGGCTGGTGTGTTTAAGATTCTTCCCACAGAGGATAGTATGAAGAACAAGCTACTGCTGTGTGGGGTGAAACCAAAGACTGACCCTCAGAATAAAGCACTTGCGGCTTTCCAAACAACAGGCCTAGAAAGTGAATGACTATTAGGCACAGTATGGCAGGCAGGCCCTGATTTGCATTCTACAGTGAGGTTTGAAAACAATGGTGGGGAAGATGACTTTGGCATAATAGGGGCTACCGAAAGGCACCAATAGGCCTGTGGACAAAGAGATGCTGCTGCAAATTTCAGTAGCTACACAGGAAAAGCTATTTCAACAACAGCGACAAGCTTCCAAGAGCTTTTAATAACGAAAATGGTTATTGTGCTTCATCTGGGCTATTTTAAAGAACTTCCTGGGTCATTCACTCTTTCTGTATGTTAGAAGCTGAAGAGTTGAGTTTGTGAAGACCAAAGTGGAGAGAGCTCTTATCAGAGTGAATGGAAACACAGGCTTAGCTGGCTGTGAGTTTCCACAGAGAAACAGCAGTTGAAAAGAACAGTATCTTGGGTGAGGACACTGTAACCAAAATATCAGAGAGGCAGAACTTGTTCAGGAGGGCAGATATTGTAAAATTTTAAATTTTAATTTAAAATTTTAAGAGATTTGAATGGGAAAGTTTTGTTTGTTAGCTTTGGTTTTATTTGTGTGTGTGTGTGTGTGTGTGATTTTATGAACACAATTTAGCATTAAGAGAATGGAAAAGGGGACAGGATTCAGTGCCTACTGGGACTCAGATTTGAGGACACCAGGCAAAATCTGCAAGGGCAAATCTAAAGGACATGTACTTCTTAGGTAATAGGCTGAAGCCAATGCTATTGATTCTTGTGCAGTGTCCTGAAATGCAAGAATAGTAAAAACGAAGAACATGGCCTATGAAACTTAAAGTATAGCTTAGCCTCATTCTCTTGTGCAGCCAAATAAATTTACAAACTTAACCAGCTGAATTCTGGGGAAAAGATACATCATGTTCAAATTTTGGCTGTCAGGGCTGGAAAAAGAAAGATGTGATTACCGTTTCTCATATATGTATATATTTCATGGATGAATTTGTTGAGTAAATTTTACTCAAGCTATTTGCATCAAAATTACATTTGAGCCTATCAATGGCGATGCGACAACACAAACAAATTAAAAATCAGTGTTTAGAACAGGGCATATAAACAAAGGAACATGTGAAAAGGGACATTTGTTTTCCACATCTGTAAAAACACGAGATAAGACAAAGGGTTATTGAGATCTCTTCTAGCTTAAGCATTATAGGACTTTTAGACTCTACATTTTACATTTTAGTTTTTATTTCTTCTTTGCTGTACCCTATACTATAGCCAAATAAGCCTACTTGATTTTTCCCAAACACATCTCCTATTTTTTTTTATATTTTATCCTTTCAGAGCACTCTTCTATTCCAATTCTGCCTCTCAAAATTCTACCCATACTTTAAAGTTCAACCTAGTTCACATGCCAGCTTTTCCACAAAGCTCTCCCCATATACTCTAACTCAAGGTTATCTCTAGGTGCTATGCACAAAAGCACTTGTGGCTCTAACACTTTTTACTTGCTTCTTTGTAGTACGGTTATTTCTTTATATGCCCACTCTTAATAACTCTACTAGATTATAAGCTTCTTGGGGTCAGAGATTCCACTGTTTGATTTTCAATGATATATGATATGATATGATATGATATGATACATATATATATAGTGCCTGTGCACATATATGTTGACTAGAAAGTTTAGAAAGAAAACAACTTGCTGGTAATAAAGTCAACCAGACAAAGTTACAGTAAAATCTTCAACCTATGTAATACATTTAGTGAAAACATTCAAATTTTGTGATTTAGCATCTAAAACAAGTGAATGGGAACTCTTCTGGACATCTGTATTTCCAGATGGTGATAAGTTAGATTATCAATACTTACATTATAGTAATTGTAGTAACCACATCCTCTCTTGGAACAAAAGTACTAAGGCAAAAGAAAGGCAAAAGAAGTCAAAGCGAAGAAAATAGCCTATTGTGTTCACAAAATGCAAATAGCCTGCCCTTTAAAATATGTCAAAGGAGCATGGTTACTAAAAAAGTCTGACATGTACTTTAGTTCATCAGTGAGAACTAGCACACAAATCCAAGGATGCAGTGCTATTTCACAAGGTTGTCATAATTTTTTTCTCCTCCAGTATATTTCCTAGTTTAAATTCTCTAGTGCCAAAGTGAAAAAAACTTAAAAAAAAGTCCTCAACACTTTGTCAATGAAAGTATTTGCAAACCCAAAGACAAATATTTCCATTTTAAACTATATATTTCCAATTTATATTATAGAAATTAAGATACGTTTTTTAAGTTCTAGACTTTTTTTTTTAACAAAAAAGGATCCTTTTTATTTAAAAAATTCATTTCTATAAAGTAGAATAACATTGAAGTAATCAAACCATCTTTTTGAGAGAGAGGCATTCAACCCTTGTATCTGAATAAAGAAATGGGGAAAATGAATCAGAGTTGAGGTTGCTATGACAGCTCATAACTAAAGAAATTCATTTTTCTGATACTGTGCAGAGAAAGCTTCTGGATTGTGCCTTTGAAGGGAGTGATTCATACCAGAAAAGCCATAGCTCTTGGAGTTAGAATTACAGTTATGGTTAACTCTCAATTTTAAAGTAATTGCTTATTTAATTGAATAGGTTGAAGGCAACACTTAACAACTACTCTTGGCCTGTTATAGAATGTTTTAGAGCCACGATGATTTAGAGGATGACAAGGTGGAAAAGAGCCTAGAGGACTATTTTGGCCTGGGTTCTCCAGAGAAATAGAACCAGTAGGAGAAAGAGATAGAGATAGAGATAGAGATAGATAGATAGACAGATAGATAATAGATAGGTAGACAGATAGATAGATAGTTAAAAGAGGATTTATTATGGGAATTGGCTCACATGATTATGCAGGCCAAGAAGTTCCACAATCTGCCATCTGCAAGCTGGTGATCTAGGAAAGTGAGTGGTATAATTCAGTCTGAGTCTAAAGGCCTGAGAACCTGGGGGGGCCATGGTTTAAGTCCCAGAGTCTGAAGGCCTGGGAACCAGGAGCTCCCATGTTCAAGGGCAGGAGGAGATGAATGTCCCAGCTCAAGCAGAAAGAATGACTGTGTATTTCCTCTCACCTTCTGTTCTATTCAGGCCCTCAATGGATTGGATGATGCCTTCTCACATTGGTGAGGGTCGATCTTTTTTACTCAGTGTAGTAATTCAGTGCTAATCTCTTCCAGAATCACCCTCACAGACACACCCAGAAATAATGTTTTCTGGCTATCTGGGTATACTTTAGCTCAATCAAGTTGACACACAAAAATAACCATCACAAGGACTGACTGTTCTTACACAGTGCAACCTTTGCTTTCTCATTGGAGCCTCCAAGAGTAGCAAGAATAGCTTTTATCAAAACGCTATCATTCCAACTGGAACAATCAAAAGTCAGTTGTGTCCTAAAGACAGCATACTTTTTTGTGAATTAGTGTTGAAAGTAGAGATCATTTGGAAGACAAAATATTTAATGACTTATATGACGTATAAACAGCAATAAAGCTGTTAATGGAAAATGAATCTTCATCATTTATGTTATCAAGATTAATAGAAATTTAATCTATGATTTCAAAAAGACTACATATTAAAATTTTGTCATCATCTTTACTCAAGTGGATTATTTTGGGAGTGAACAGATACTATTATATTCTTGCAGTATTTTTACATCTTTTATTATTATGAATTATTATTTTATTTCAGATGCTTTGGAAGTATTTTACATCTTAATGGTTTGTGTTCATGTTAGAAGAAACTCTACTTTTTGAAGAGGAATAAATGCTGTGAAAGAGAAATAAATGAACAATGTTATTACTATATTATGCTACTACAAAAAGTTCACTTCATTAATATCTTGGGGAAAATATTTTAGTTTGCTTCACCAAATACTTCTGGCTCTCTGCCTTCTGAGCTTCACAAGATTGTACTTCCTAGCCCCTTGTGGGTGGGTGGCCAAGTGACTAGTTCTGACCAGTGACTTGTGAACTAAAGTGGCCTTTGTGTCACTTCTTTACCTGAGCATTTTACTGCCAGTGTGTCACCCTCCAGAGCTCTTTTGTTTGTCCTTTGCTATGATTACAGATACCTTTTGAGATGGTGGCCACTCCTTCAACCCAGATCCAAGAGTAGGATATGCAGAGCAGGTCCTGGAGCCAACGCATGAGAAACATGTATAGTGAATGAGAAAGAAACCTTTGTAAGAAGACAGGAAGATTTTGGAATTGTTTGTGAACATAGCATAACCTTGCCTATTGACTGAAACAGAAGGAATTCCAAATTGTAAGACTAGGCTAAGAGACTATGTAAAAATGGAGAGAATGTCCACTGTTGTTGTTGAGGGGATCTGAGTCACTTTTTTCATGTAACAGAAGGCAATATATTTTGTCTGGTCCTTTAAGACAGTGGTTCCTATCCTTTTTGGCACCAGGGACCAGTTTCATGGAAGACAGTTTTTACACGGATGGAGTCGGGGTGGTGTAGATGGTTTTAGGATGAAACAGTTCCACCTCAGACCTTCAGGCATTAGATTCTCATAAGGAGTGCATCCCAGATCCCCTGCATGCAGAGTTCACAATAGGGTTTGCACTTCTATGAGAATCCAATGCTGCCACTGATCTGACAGGAGGCAGAGCTCAGGTGGTAATGCTCACTCTCCTGCAGCTCACCTCCTGCTGTTTGGTCTGGTTTCCAACAGGCCACAGACTTGTACTGGTCCATAGCCCAGGGGCTGGGAACCCCTGCTTTAAGGCACAGTGTGTAAGCCATTGTTTCCTCATCTGTGAAATGGGAGTGATCATCTTAGCTCTTACCTCCTGAAGTTGTGATGGTTAAATGATAATGCACTTAAAGTGCTTGACATAGTGCTGCACAGTAAACATACCGTGAGCTTTAGGTTTTACTGGTTTTTGTGATTAGAGTTGAAAGGAATCTTGAATTATTCCAGCCAAACTTCCCAGCCACTTGAGAAATCACTTTTGTAATATTTTTGGTGGGTAGCTCTCCAGCTTTTGCTTAAAATCTCCAGTGACAGGGAACTCACTTCCTTGTAAGGCAGCTGGAACTTCTTCCATATGTGGGAATGAAGGCCATCTTCCCATGGCTTCCACCTATCACTTCTCACCCTGGCCTTTAGGGACACACAGGTAAAATCTAATTTTTCTTCCACAAAATACTGCTAGTTCCTTTAGCCGATCATTAGATAATAAGACTTCCCCACACCCTCACTTCTTCTTTGATGTGACAGTGACTCCTTTTGGTGTGTGTCTAAACTGAAATACAGACTGCTGTACTAGCATAACGGTCAGACTAGTGTTTGTTGAGGGCTCACTACCTGCCAGCCTGTGTTCTCTCCACAATTCTATGAGGTAATTCTTGTTATTATATTCAATTTATGTTTAAGAAACTGAGAAAAGTAAAAAAGATATCGTTCTATTTGTTTATTGTTGAATACATAGGAAAATATTTGTATATCTAGTTATAACTGGAAATTCACAAAATAAACAAAATAAAAATATGTTAAATAAGGCTACATAGTTATGGCAATTTGAAAAATAAACTATACCTACTAATATCATGTTAATATTAATTAGGTAACCAATAATATAATGTAGAAAATGTATATTATTGTTATGCTTATATTGGTAACATTTTGGATTATTCTAAGCAACAAAGAAAGAACTTTGTCCTCCAAAAAAGGTATAGCCACCATATGGTGTCATTTTAATTAAGGCAGTGTGTATTTCTAATATAATGTAAGAAAATAGAAAACTAACTAAAATATAAATCTAACTGCTCCATGATAAAATAGTATATAAATCAAATAAATAAATCCACTCAAGAGAACTTAGGCTCAAGAGAGTGTAATAAATAGTATATCTTCAGTGAAGTTTTTAATAATGTTATTACTAAAAATGTGAACTAAAAATAAAGAAGCAATTGACCAAGTTCTCAAGAGGCATTATAATTCCTAGAGAAATAACTGACCAAAGGAGCAAGCCTGCATATTGTGAAGATAATTCACACAGCTTGCTAATAAAATGCAGGAGACAGATAAAATTCTTAACTGACTATAACCAGTATAAAGTTGTAATAGAAATCATGAGAAAGAGACCACTTAAAATCCATCAAATACACAAGATCAACTTTATAAGACAAAGCATTGAAATTAGAATAAAAGGACTCGGACTAAGCTAAATAAATTCTTTCCTTAAGCTTTGAGGGTCAACTTTCCTACATAAAAAGATTAAAAACAAACAAGAAAAGCAAGCCAACTGATTATACATACAGAAAAGGAGCAAAGGGAGAAACTGTTACAATACATTGCAATCATTCATTTGAATAAAGCATTCCTATTTTCCTTCTCAACACCGTCACAGCTTGGATGGGCAATGAACTGGCCAACTGAAATATGGAAAGTTCTGCCTTTGTATACAATATATTTGTAATTCTAAGAACCTACTCAAAATTTATTACATTTATGTGACCTCAAAATGAGGAAGGATTTTGTCTTAGTCCATTTTGTGTTGATATAAAGGAATACTTGAGGCTGGGTAATTTATAAATAAAAGAGGTTTATTTGGCTCACAGTTCTGCAGGCTGTACAAGAAGCATGGTGCCAGCATCTGCTGTGAGGGCCTCAACTGTTTCCACTCATGGCAGAAGAGGAAGGGGAATCAGCATGTGCAGAGATCACATGGTAAGAGGGGAAGTGAGAGAGAGAAAGCAAGGGAAAGGAGGGAGGTGCCAGGCTCTTTTTAACAACCAGCTCTTGTGGGAATTAATAGAGCAAGAGCTCATTCACTCTCCCTTCCCCAGAGAGGGCATCTACTCGTGGGGAATCCACCCTCATGACCCAAACACCTTTCATCAGGTCCCATCTCTAACATTGGGATAAGACTTCAACATGGGGTTTGTGGGGACGAATCTCTAAACTATAGCACATTTATTCCAATACAATCTAAATTAAGCCAAAATAATTCAGGTTTTGAGACAATAGCCTAACCTGGAGGTACACTGTTTTATGTTGGACTTTCAGGAGCAGAGCCTGAGACAAGGATTCAGGTGCCATTATTTATTGAGGGAATGCTCTTCAGAAAGAGGCTATGAGGGAGGAGGTGATGTAGGCTGGGGAAGGAAGGGTGATTTCAAGTAAATTTTAGCCTCGGCTCGAGGCAGATTCACTGTAGGACTGAGAAGAGGGACTGTGGAGGAATGAAACACACCATAAGCCACGTTATACTTTGAATTGCCAGCCAAGGGTGTCTGTCAATAATTGGCTATGAGCCCTATGAACCGTGTGTGTGTGCGCGTGTGTGTGTGTAACTTCCCTGGTGAGGTGGCCCCCTATTGGCACTGGCCTCATAAAGAAAGATCTGGACAGGACATCAACATAACCTCTACCACATACGTATTTGAATTTTGGTTTTACCAACTTACTACGGCCTTCAGAAATACATTTCCTATATGCCTTTCCAGAGAGAAAAGGAATGCAGATAGAATTTGCAGCACAAAAATTATACTAGTGTTTCACCCAGATTGGTAGATAGCTGTAGATTTAGATGAAGTGGGTAACAGTCTTCATTTTGAATTCCAGTTTCATAATCCCCTAAGATTCACTTTGAATTTTCTAGTTGCCATTTTAAGACCTCCCATTTTGTGTGCTCAGTTTCTTGCCTTGTTGCTTGGTGACTCAGATGTGAATTAGACCCTATATTCTGCTCTCAGTAGGGACAAATCTTTACAAGTTGGTTGGAAATGGATGAAACTTCTCAGCACAATTTCTGCAGGCCATATGATAAGGACAGGGTAAGGACTAGGAGAACCCTGGATGTAGCCCTTTAGGGCTTTTGGTCTGTCTTTGAAAGGGAAATTGTTTACTCAAGCTGCTAAAGCTGTTTATTACTTTCATCAGTATATACTGCGTCCTCAGTTCTTGATCTTTCTTTTACCCCAAGTGTTTCTACCCCAAAGGGTGGGAATACAAGTGTTCGGGCTTCTCTTCCTTCTAGGGTAAATACTAAAGAGTAATCCCAGCACACAACGCATGACTGGAGTCCTTCATCTCTCAACAAAGATTCGTCTTGAGCCTATGGGAGCCAACTGCTCTTTTGGTGCTGGGTATAAGGCAATAAACCAAATTGGAAAAGTGCTTGTCCTCTTGGCATTCACATGCTAGTGGACCAAAAACTCATAAGCCAATATGATATCAGTGGAAGAGACACACTATGGGTAAAAATGTAACAGAATGAAGATAAAAATAAAACAGGAATGTTGGGTGGTTGCTATTTTATATAAACTAATAAGGGCGAGGGGCTCTCTGATGTGAGAACAATTGAACAGTGACCTGACAGAGTTGTGGTGGTAGGAGGAGAAGAGAGTTGTAAGCAGCAGGCACAGCACTTGAAAGCGTATAGAGGCAGCTGCTGGCTACACGGATCGGGGCAGGAGGTGATCCCAGGAGCTCAACTAGCCACAAAAATTTTTATTGCTAATGCTGTATCAATTTCCTTTCTATATTGTCAATGAAATGTTTATAATAAAGATTTTGAAGTATATTATTTACTTTATTCAAATTTTGATTCCTACAGAAATTGTAATTCTGTTGAAATATAGATATAGATAGAACTGGAAATACACACACACACACACACACGTTTAAATTGCCTTCCTTTTTTGTAGAAAAAACAAGCCCTGGAATAGCCTCTGAGAGAAAAACCCATGGAAATTTTACTTTGATAAAATGCCAGTAATGGCATAAAAAGCTGCCCTGGTGTTGTTTCTGGGAAAGCAGGCATTTCTCAATGAAGGAGTGATGGATGGTCTTTGAAGTTTAAATGATATCAGAGAGGAAATGAAAAACTGGCCAGGGCAGGGGAGTAGGGGGGACTCAGTGACTACATGCAAGCTGCACATAGTTCAGGTTCTTCTCTCACACTTTTTCATACGATGCCAAGAGTAGCTGGTTTCTTATCATCTTTGCATTCTTTAACATTATTAGAGTTCCATTTCCTTACTATTCTGAAGACTTGATATTTTTCCTATCCTGTTGCTTTCTTGTTACTTAAATGTTTTCTTCCTCTCAATTTTTCTCTTTCCCTCCCTTTCACTCTCCACTTCTAGAAAGTGGGCCATTTATTTTTCTAATTCTAGTGAAAGGGAAGCAAAATACCACACAGCTAAGTTTATCTAAGAAGTCCCAATTTCCTGGTGTCTTTTATTGTTATTTTGGTTTCCTTTTAACGTCAATATATAGCAGTTATAAAGTAGGTTTAGATGTTTTTATATTTTTAGTCCAAATAAACCCGAAGTATAAAGTTGCACAATATGATGATGGAAGAGACCCAAGAAATGTTGTTATTTAAAACTGATTTAGTTCTAGTTGAAAGCTGACTTCCTGGGCGATGTGCTGCCAGTGAGTCTTAATCCCTGGCTTCATGGTTTGTGGTTTATGTGGGCTGGCATGCTAAGCATTTAATCGTTAGTCACCATTCTTTTCTGAGGCCTGTGTGGCCAAGGCATTATCGTCACCCTGTCACTTACCTAGACATGCTCCTTGGAAAGGAGGTGAATTGGATCCATTAAAAGTGTGAGAAGAGCTGGGAAAGGTCTGATGCAGCCGTACGTTCAAAGATTAAAGCACTCCATATGCAGTTTGACTTTGTAAAGCTTGGATAATCGAGGAGAAAGCAAGGGGGCTGAAGAGGCTTTGAGTGGCCTGCTCACTTGTCTGATGGAAACTCATCAGATATGTGACTGATAATTTTATTTCACACATCTTTAGTATTATGTTTTAAAGTTTTAGGGATGGCTGGAAACCTCACTAAAAACTCTTATACTGTAGTCAGAATGATCAACCACTTTGTTAAATGAATGAGTGCAATACAAGGTATAAGAACAGGCTTATCAACCACTGAGGAACTAATGAAATGCCATTTCCTCCCTGATCCCCATCTTCATTGTTATGTCCTTTATAATTTTTTATCTAGGACAACCATGTTGACAGAGAAGGACTGGTATGTATCAGTATTTTAAAGAGTTTTATTTAAACTGAAACCATTCTTATATCAATTCTTATTATACTAACTCATATTAACTTTACTCAATGAATCTGCAAAGACCCTATTTCCAATTAAGGTCACATTGTGAGGTCCAGGTAGACATAAAGTTTTGGGGGCACTATTCAACCCAGAACACTTCCCCACAAAACTCTAAATGTATTTGAAAGCGTGTATTATACCTTATTTGTTTCCCAATATCTAGAGTGGTATTTGGAACTCAGTAGGTACTTAATAGTTGTTAAATGACAGTTTTACTTTGAACATCCAAATATACTATTAAGAAAAAATAACGGGTACCTAAGAACATTTCCATGAGGGAAGAGTAATGGCTGAATATGTGTGTGTGTATGTATATATATATGTATATATATTTCTGTATGCATACGCATATGTAGGTATAGGTATATTTTTATATATTTATGCACAACTTTCTAAAGAAGTTAGGCACCATGGGATATTGTTATTATTTGTTTTTTTTAAGATGAGAAATAATTTAAGCCTGTTGCCCTAGAGAAATGACTGGAAGTTAAGATTTAATGGGAGAAGAGAAGATCCTTTAAGATCGTTACTAACTCTTAACTTCAACGATCTTTAAAGGGAAGATCCTTTTTCCTTCTCACACTAACTCTTAACTTTTCCTATGGTAGAATATTTAACAAAAGGGCATTGAAATTATAAAAACATAATTTAAAAGGGTATCATCATAATGTTATTGATGAAATAATTTCTTACGAAATGGAAATTAGCAACTTTGAGTTTACCCTGACTTAATTTATTCTGAGAAATATCTTCTTCTCTAAATCTTACAACCCTAAAAATGAAGAATAGAAATACATCCCTTCAATAAGATATCTATTCCTAAAGGCTCAATCTTGGGTACAAAGGCAGAGGTATTTCCCCAAGAGGGCCTGCTAGGAAGAGAAGCAGAAGACATGCATTTCTTTCTGTCCTGGAGTGAGTCAGCCTGCTCACTTCTCTGACATCAGTCTGTTGCCACAGAAACACTGGTGGGGACACACATTTTGCATTACGACTTCACAATAGAAAACAGACCTTTATTTTTCTTTTGCTTCTTTACACAGTAAGTGGACAAGGCCTACAGTGAAAGGAAAAAAAGCATCTTGTTTGAGTACAAAGTGAGCAATTTACAAAAGTGAAAATAAAATTAATAACTACCTATGGAAGAAAAATGAGGTTTTCTGGAGTAGGTTTCTCACCTACCCTTTAAAGCAGGGCACCTTAATTTTTGAAATGTGTTTTCTTCCAATCACCTGATTTGGGATAAAGAAAAATAAACAGAGAATGAGGCAAATACTTATAAAAATATATATGGAATTAAGCTAATGTTTTGTTAAGCTTTACTTATATAATTTGTCTTCATAAGAGTAAAAATCTAATGACAACTAGATCCCTGCAGAAAGACATAGTTTCAGGTGTCAGATTTGATTTTTTCATCACAGCTTACGTTTAAAAGAATGAATAGCATGAAGGTAATTGTTTTTTTAGACGGAAACCTCTGAGTGGCACAATAGAGTTATATTAGTATAACTTTAGTTAAAGTAAACATTATCCTAGAACAGTATGGGATTTACAAAAACATTAAGGAAATAGAGTTTCCATGCATTGCACATCTGATTTCTCCTATTAATAACATCTTACATTAGTATGGTACATTTGTTACAATTAATGAACCAGTGCTGATACATTATTAACTACAGCTTATCCTTTATTCAGATTTCTTTAGTTTTTATCTAATGCCAGTACATCACGTTATATTTTAGTTGTTATGCCTCCTGAGGCTTCTCTTGGCTGTGACAGTTTCTCAGATTTTCCTTGTTTGTAATGACCTCAAAATTTTGAGGAATACCAGTCCAGGCATCTTGTAGGACACCCCTCTAGAGTAATTTGGTGTTTCCTCCTGATTCCACTGGATTTATGCATTCTTGGGAGGAAGACCAGAGAAGTAAAATGTCAGTCTCCTCACATCATATGAAAAGTACATATTAGCCACATGGCTTAATACTGTTGATGTGAACCTTGATCACCTGATAAGGTAGTGTTTATCAGGAGTCTCCACTGCAGCACCCCATCGTTACTCTCTCCCTCCTCTTTTCCACATTGGACTCGAAGGAAGGGAGTTACTGTGCACAGCCTACACTTCAGGAATGGGAATGGGGGAACTTATGCTCCATCCCCTTGAGATTAGAGTGTCTGCACATATTATCTGAAATCCTTTTTCACAGGAGTTTTGTCTCTTCTATATTTAATCCATCATTTATTTATATCACTATGGACTCATGGATATTTATTTTATGCTTTGGGTTATAATTGCATACTACTTTATGAATTTTATTGCTCCAATTTTTCCAGCTTTGGCCATTGGGAAGTCTTTCAGTTGCTCCTGAGTTCTATGTGTAGCTTTTAGGTCAGCCAAAATGAATGAAATGGGCCATGACATCTCTTTCCCTCTTCATACAATAACAATAACTCTGTAAAATGATTTTGGAGAAAAACAGAGAGATTACATGGCCAAGGTAGTTAGTAGTAGGTAACTGAACTAGATAGTGGTATCTATTTTCTATCTTTGTTTTCATTTTTATCTTAGCATTTTGTTAATTTATACTGTCTCAAGAAAAAATAGACACATTTTTCAATTTATGCTAACATGTTTGCCAATTATTTCATGCTTTAAGTAGTTTTCCTTTAACTTCTGGGATGTTGGGGAAAAGGCTGGGGATGTGGGTGATGAAGAAACATTCTCCCCATTGCCTGCAGCCTTCCACTGACATTTTGTTTTTGCTTGAAGATATTGTACTTAAAATACAATCTCCTCTAGAGAGGATGCATGATTCTCCTTTTCCCTGTTACCTGCTTTCTCACCATTTTTCCCCTTCTGTCTTTTGCACAGTAATGGTGGAACACCCTGATAGGGGAAATGTATGTCCCATTTTTCAGCTACTTCCAAGTAAGAATCCCCTCAGCCTGCAGCTGTAAGCACTCTCCAGTCAGTCCACATTTGAAGGAAAGGTTGAGCTCTTTTCTATAACTTTTTCTTCCTCTTGGGGGTAACACCAAATTGGGAGCAGTCTGGTGATTTGGAATAGAGTGTTTTGGGGTTTGATTAGAGAAACTAGTATCATGACTTTTAAAGCAGTTGACACTGTTTTATTGAGTACTCAAATTTCGGTTAAGAATATAAATACTTCCCAAAGACACAAAGTGAAGCATAATAAAAGGAAGGGAGAGATAAGAGGTTACATCAGTTACTTTGTTGTTTCCTAGGATATAAGGCCCCAATATATTATAAATCATTGATTTAGTATTCATGTATTTTGTTGGTTGCACTGTGATCTTTTTAGATGAAACTTTTTATTAGCTCAGATCTATAATATGTGCCATGAGAAAGCTTTGCCAACTTATTTTATGTGATATTGTTTATTTCTTTATTGCTTTATTGCCAGTGACAAAGTATAGAGCAAAGCTCCATTGAATAACCCCGAACATCATTCCATTTCTTAGTAACACAAGGACAAACGAAAGACAAGAAAAAATTGATATTAGAGAAACATTGTGTTATACTTATTTACTGCATTAACCCAACTGACTCCTACAAGTAAACTCTGGGCTCTGTTCATCCAGAGATTTTTGGCTCCATGTGATGATTTGTCTGGAGAGGTTTGTTTTCTAGGAGATCCACTGGCATTTCTTTGTTTATCTTTTATCAAATAAATGGGGAGGAATGACAGAACAGGTTGTTATAAGAATGTCCAGAATAAGATATTAGTTTCTACTCTGAAATGACATAATGTTTATGAAAAGGTTATAAGGTTGTAAGATAGTGTCATTTTAACTCATTATTGGCTTGGGATATCAACAGTACATGTATGAGTCTCTTTGCTGGGTTTAGAAAGAGTTCATGTAGCACTAGAATGGAGTGGAAGAAATTCCTTCTATAGCGAGACTGGTTTTAAATTTCGTGTTCAACATTTTTAGGAGTTAGCTCACAAGAACATGAGAAGCTGAGGCAGGGGATATGGCATTAAATTCCTGGACTGCCTTATGTTATGAATATAAATTCAATGTTGATCATAGCAAAGCCTTTTATTTTTTGGCATCTAAAGGACAGATGAAAATCCCCCATATGTGACTGGTAAGATGTTCCAGATGGGTATTCTAATAATTATAAAGGATTGTCATGCTTTTACATATACAACCTGTCAAATCTACATCAATGGAGAAGGTGGAAATTCTATCATCCTAGAGTCTGCAGATTCTAGAAGTCTTTATTGCTCAAAAATATTTCACTAAAATTAGGTGTTCTAATGTCTTTTTTTTACCTTGTTATAAAAAAGTATAAATAAGACATCAATAATGTAATATAATTGTTTCCAGTTTTTTTTTCTCTATGGTAACTTAGATATTACTTAAACCCTTTAAACATCCATGCTGTTTATTTCTCAAAATGAATAGCACGTGCTTATGTCCATTACAATACAGTAGGCAAGAAGACAAACATTTTGGTAAGGATGGGATTGAATAGAATTTAGTGGAATTTGTTAAACAGCTATATTTATTAAAATGCACAATACTATTTTCTAACTTTAAAGGGAGGAAAAGCAAAACAAAAACAAGAACCTTGATGATGAAGCATCTGTCATGACATACAGAGCCAGAAAAAAGTGCAATGTTTCTCTTTGAGAACCACAGCTATGAGAGGAGTGTGGCTTCTGGGGCAGTGTAGGAGAGGTACAATCCTGAAACTTCAAACTCTTTCTTCACTGTCAAGGCTAAAATACCATGGGTGTGTGGGCAGGTGCATGCTGGTAGATATATATCATTTCCTGGAGGGCCTGCTATCACTGGAATATAGAGTTCAGCAAAGAAGTATGCAATAACTGTAAGAGGCTTTAATTTTTATTAAGAAGCTCTATCTCTCATTAGATTTTAAGCTGTTTGGGAGCAGGTATTGGGTAACTACTCATCTTCATACATCCATGCAATTCTCGTGGTGCCTTATGCTTAGGAGATTCTCAAAAAAGATGTTTTGTGAAATAGAATTATTGAGTTTGGATTTAGGGAGACCTGGGGAATGATACCTGGTAGTTGAGTATATATTTATTCAATTATTTAATCATTGATTGCATAATATTTTGAGAACTACTATGTGCTAGCAGCGCGCTTTTCTTTGGGGATATATTGGTAAGCAAACAGAGATATAGGTCCTAATCCTCATGGAGTGGGGAGCTGATGAAAATAAAATGAAGAAATGATATTCAAAATATTAATTGCCAGATGGTCAGCTGAGTTATAAAAATCAATGTACACGCAAAATTTTAAACATAATTATTTTATTTTCTAATCTAACTAAGTGACATATCTAAGACTGCTTACCAAGTGCTATAAATAGGAATGCAAATTGTTAGTCACATCATTCTAATAATTTTCAAATCATCAGTTGATTTTTTGATTGTATCAATGTGATATACTATTTCTGGGAAGCTGTCAATAACTAGAATGCCCCTTTCTGAATCATGACATAGCAAATTACATCAAGCTTTCCATTGATATCCACAGTAAGTGCACCCCTAATAAGCATGTTCATGCAGTTGGAGGGTGGCTGGCATAATGTCTTTGGGTCAGGACAGGCTATGAACCTGGATGTCAGCAATTCCCTTCAGTGCTGGAGCCCAGGAAGACTGACTTGGCCCTCTCCTCTGTCAACAACATCTGCACTAATGCTGCCTTCCTTGCCATCAGCAGTGCCCTCTGCCTGCATTATGCTCCTCTGAGGCAATGATAGCCACTGCCTATGACTCCACTACTACTTTGGTGTGCTGAGCATATATATGCACAGGTGGAGGTAGGGAAGACATCTGCACCAGCACTGCATCGAGCCCCAATCTCAGCCTCTACTGCTGCAGCAATATCTTTAAGTGACTCCTTATAAGACAGTAAGTGTAGAATTTAACAACTGGATTGAAAGTAGATTAGTATTTTAACAACCAGTGCAGAAAAATGTCAGCAGTGCATTTACATAACATTTTTCATTTTTAAATGGCTAGAATAGAACCTCCTTCTGTCTGGACATGTATAATTTGTTAAAAACAAGAAGAAATACTTCTAAACCAATGTATTTTTTGAATGACAATTTGTATGCAAGACACTTTTCTTTCAGACAAGAGGATTAGGGGTCAGATCTAAGTATAAGTGTAGGATACATAAAATACCAACAAGATTCGGTCCTGGAAAATTTCTTTAGTGACTTTAGGATTACAATGTGAGACTAATAACAGCCTTATGTGTGACCATACCTACAGTATGAGCATACGGCTTACAAGTTAGTCAACTGTATATTGAGGTGACAGTAAAAGCAACTGGGAGAGTCCTTTTTGTGCCATAGAAATTTAATAGATGTTAGGTGAGCTGATTTTATGAAATCACTCGTTAGGTACTAAAAATATGATTGTGTATATTAGCTGTGGCCCAATAACTGAAATGTTAATCTCAGTAGATTAGTACTCATACTTACAGCAGTAAAACATTTATATTCTGAATCAATGAATAAATAATGCTGATGGATCAAGGTGTAGTTCAGGATTATGGGTAAAAATGCTGATACCACAGGAACAAAGGCACATTCTAAACTCTGTGTGGATGCATAGTGAACAAATGTGAAGAATACTATTCTATAATTAAATAATAAGTGGCAGCCTCACTGATGAATGTTTGATGACAAATTCTTTTTTATTTTTGGCAAGATATACATAACTAACATAAAATTTACACTTCTAACCATTTTAATTGTATAATCCAGTGGCATTAAGTACATTCACATTGCTTTACAATTTGATTTTTTTTTTTTTTTTTGAGATGGAGTCTCACTCTGTCACCCAGGCTGGAGTACAGTGGCGCGATCTCGGCTCACTGCAACCTCCATCTCTTGGGTTCAAGCAATTCTCCTGCCTCAGCCCCCCGAGTAGCTGGGATTACAGGCACCCACCACCATGACCAGCTAATTTTTGTATTTTTAGTACAGACAAAGGTTCAAGATGATGGCCAGGCTGGTGTTGAACTCCTGACCTCAGGTGATCTGCCCACCTTGGCCTCCCAAAGTGCTGAGATTACAGGCATGAGCCACCGTGCCTGGCCCATGATAAATTCTTAAGACCAAGGCCATGTAATATCCCGTGGATTTTTTTTTTTCTTAAACAGGAAAAGTCAAACCTTTTCCAGAGTCATTGGCTGCAACTTGACTGTGTCCTGCTGACTCAGGGAAATCAGTCATAAGGAGAAAACAGGGGAAGAAAGACCATGGATAACTTATGCAACATTCACCACTGTTAAATAAGCTCTGATACATATTCTAGGATGTTTATACAATTTTTTCTTTGCATTTGAGTCAGTACTTTTTTCCCAGGATGACAGAATATAATTACTAGCTTGTAAATGAAGATTCAGTCTGTGAATCTATCCTCTATAATCTCCATTTATACCAAATGGGTGCCATGTGGTACCTATTACTATAGAGGTACCTGGAGCATCAAACATTTGTCTTAAATACAATATTGAAGGTATTAGAGACTAATGGATCTCTGTAACACTTGTTAGAACAGCTGGAATTTTAGAAGGCCTTTGTTTTTTCAAAGAGTGAAATGAAAATTAATTACTAGGTCTTAAGAAATATGCAAAGTCAGGATTAAGATTTAGCACTGCTATTTAGTCCTCTTAACGTCTTTTCTTATATTACATCAATGAAAATTAAATAAGAAGGAAGTATATATACCTACTATGTACCCACAGAAATAAAAAATAAGAAATAAAATTATATTTTGGAATCTTATAGGTTTTACATCTTTTTAAATAAAAATATTGACCATTTTCCCTCATGCTTTTTTAACATTAAAATTTTTAGCATTAAAATTTATTCACCATGTGCTTGATTCCAAAACATCATTCACTGATAAAAATCTAATCCATTTACTGATAAGGTTAACATACAATAAGGTTTTTAATGACTTATATACAAAGATTCCTGCAAATGAAAAATTAAAAGTATTTTGTATATTTCACCTAACAAACTGAATATTTGATTCTAATTTTTGAACATTGTATTCTAACATTAACAAATCCACAATTATTTAGGATAACAATATTAGCTGTTTAGGCACTGCCATGTCATACTAAAAGATATAGATGATTTTCATCCTAAAATTCTTCAGATTCAAAATCTTTACTATAATAAGTAGTGAGTTATATAAATAAATATTCTAACATTAAAAATTAAAACATTCTGAAAAGGTTATTTCTTATGTGGCAATTTCTATAGTGTTCTGATCATAAATTACATGAATAAAAATAGAGAATGATAGGGACTTATGTTTGCATTGTCAAAGGCTATTTCCACATAAACAGTCTCTGTTAAGTTCTAGATCCTCCAGTATAACTACCTCTGAATATACTCAGTTATATTCTTATTAATTACTTATGCATATTATTTATCTAAAGTAGTCTGTTGCCCTGGAAAAAGATGGGTACAGTGGGAAGTACAGCTGAGATTAGATTCAGTCTCTAAATAAAGGTTGTGTGTTGTTTTCTTCCTGACTAGATGATTCTTTGAGTCTTGAAACAGGTATTATAAATCATTTGAGAGACTTTCTCTCTGTCATTTTCTTATGTATCTTCATCCGGCTTTCAATTTGAGAAGTTTTGTGAATTATCTGCATTTTTACTGTCCATTTAAAAACCTTCAAGAAAGAATCCTAGGAAGTCTCACCTGTTGTGAAACCTTATTTGGTAATTATTTTCAACATTTGTTATTCAGCAAAATGAAACAAGAAAAAGAACAACTACTCTCCCCTCAAGAAAGAATCTAGTTGGTGGATGGATGGCTTGTTTTTCTTTGTTTCTTTTCGTGTGTGTGTGTGTGTGTGTGTATTTTATCATGAAGGTCAATGAATAACAGGGCTCCTTTAGAGAAATAGCAAGAGTTCAGTAAAGTCTTTTATTTTAGGTGGTAATGGAAGATGATGGAACTTGGCAACTTAAATATTTATAACGAAGTTGGAAAATCAAAACACCACCTGTGGTACCTGTGCAACCCATGCATAGTCAAATGAATTTTGAATAACACATAGACAAATCTTAGTTTTCACATAGTTCTAGTATAAATGTTAGCATATTTAGATAAAATATTGTTTCAAAATGCTAGGGCAGCCAGGTTAAATTGATTCTTACACTCTTATTCTTACAGCTAAGATACTGTCAGAAAAATAAAAGTTGTGACATTGTAGGCAATCAGGGGCTACTGAAAGTCACTGTGTGTAATTTACTGTGCATGTTGCTGAGTAGGACACAAAGATGAACCCTAAGGAAACATCGTTCTCATCATATCTCAGTGGATGGTTGCACGCTTTGGTCTTGCTCCTTCCAATGTGTATTCCACATTGCTAACCAGGTGAACAGATGCATCTGGCCATATGTTCTCCCTGCTGATAGATATTCTGGCTCCACATCACTCCAAGATGAAGTCTAAACTATGTAGCATAAACTGTCCAGGCCCTTGATAGTTTGATCATTGCCCTCCCCCTCCCATACTCCCTTTGCCCTTTGAATACCACTTTCCAGTTTAGCAACACATTGTTCTCCAAACTCATCTTTGTGCTACTTTACACATTTATTAGTTTGCACATGCAATCTCGTCCTCCTGGAATGTTCCTCTTCTCTATTCCTATGGTCTGTTTTCAAAATTGGTACAAGATACCACCTCTTTGGGGAATTTTCTTGGTGCCTTTTTGTTACCTTTCTACTTATATATATATCCCATGTTTCACGCCTCCCTTACAATATTTGCTACCATGGAAGGAAATGGCTCTGGCTAATAAGCACAATCAGCACTCAGTGTTTGTTGGATCATATTGAGTTGAATTAACGGTGCTTGTGCATCATTTCTAGATGCTTACAAACACAAAAAATTTATAGCAAAGCAAAAGGAACAGCTCATGTAACATCACAATCATGTAGCAAAGCATCAAATATGATTTTTTGTCGGATGAACATGTTGAGGGGCAGACATGATGAGAATGGCAGTCCTTGGAAATGAGGCTGCTCACCCTGTTCAAGCTCTAGGGAGACTTCATGTTTGAATTTTTCTCTCCCTCACTCTTTAGCTTGTTTCTTTTTCTTCTCCTTTCTTTCTTTCTTTCTTTCTTTCTTTCTTTCTTTCTTTCTTTCTTTCTTTCTTTCTTTCTTTCCTTCTTTCTTTCTTTCTTTCTTCTTTCTTCTTCTTCTTTTTTTTTAACAGGGTCTTGCTCTGTTGCTCAGGCTGGAGTGCAGTGGCATGATGTCAGCTCACTGCAACCTCCGACTCCCAGGCTCAAGTGATCCTTCCATCTCAGCCTGTTGAGCATCTGGGACTACAGGCACATGCCACCATGCCAGGCTAAGTTTTTGTATTTTTTTGTAGAGATGGGGTTTCACCACTTGTCCCCGGCTGCTCTTGAACTCCTGGATTCAAGTGATTCACCCCCCTTGGCCTCCCAAAGTGCTGGGATTATAGGCGTGAGCCACCTGTTCCTGGCTGAATTTGTTTCTTAAGACGTTATTCTGCAGTGTTTTAGAGAAAGGTGTTTCTTTTTAAAAAAATGTATTTAAATTTTTGAAGAGGTAATACATATATATTATCAAGTGCCTGAAAATATAGTGCACACACGCATTTATATGTTCTTTTTTCCTCTTTTTTTTTTTTTTTTTTTTTTTTTTGAGACGGAGTCTCACTCGTTCTCCCAGGCCAGACTGCAGTGGTGCCATCTCGGCTCACTGCAAGCTCCGCCTCCCGGGTTCACGCCATTCTCCTGCCTCAACCTCCCTAGTAGCTGGGACTACAGGCGCCCGCCACCATGCCCGGCTTATTTCTTGTATTTTTAGTACAGACGGGGTTTCACCGTGTTAGACAGGATGGTCTCAATCTCCTGACCTCGTGATCCGCCCGCCTAGGCCTCCCAAAGTCTGGGATTACAGGCGTGAGCTACTGCACCCGGCCTCTTTTTTCCTCTATTTTTAAGCAAAGAGAATGACATACTTATTCATACTCTCCCATACCTTGACTTTATTCACTTAACAATACAGTTGAGCCTTGAACAATGTGGGATTTATGGGTGCCAACACCCGTGCAGTTGAAAATGAATGTATAAATTTTGACTCCCCAAAAACAACAACTAATAGCCTACTATTGAACAGAAGTCTTCCTGGTAAACAGTCAACTAATACATATATTGTATGTTATATGTATTATACACTGTATTCTTACAATAAATTAAGCTAGAAGAAATAAAATGTCCTTAAGAAAATCACAAGAGAAAATATACTTATTACTCACTAAGTGGAAGTGGGTCATCATAAAGGTCTTCGTCCTCATTGTCTTCACTTGAGGAGGCTGAGGAGGAGGAAGGAAAGGAAGGGTTGGTCTTGCTGTCTCAGGGATGGCAGAGGTGGAAGAAAATCTGCATGTAAGTGGACCCATCAGTTCAAACCCATGTTGCTCAAGGGCCAACTGTAATTTATATTCCACTACCTCACTAAATCTCATATTTATTTTGGTAGTTTTTCATTGGACTTTCTTACTCTAGTTGTATAATCCTCTTATCTACAAATAGTTCTAGTTTATTCCATCCATTCTTTTTCTATTTATTATGTCTTTCTACTTATAATTGACTCCCCTAATACATCTTATATAATGTTAAGTATTAACAGTGATTGCGGACATCCTTTTAACTTCTGTAGTGGAATGTCCCCAGTGTTTACGTACTAAGAATATTTTTCAGTGAAATTATGTTAAGGATTTAGCCATCAATTTTCTATTTAGTTAAACATTTTGAAAGAATATGTATTTATTTGTCAGATGGCTTTTTAGTGTCTGTAGAGATTATCTTGTGCTTTCTATTCATATTTATTAATATAACCATTCGGTTGTTTATCTTAAAAGATCAGTTGAATGCTGCGTGTCAGGTACTATTGTAGGTGAAAGAAATATAGTGGTGATTGATACAGATAGAGTCCTGCCCTCTTCGAATTTAGGCGAGCATGGTGACTCATGCCTGTAATCCCAGAACTTTGGGAGGCCGAGGCCAGTGGATCGCTTGAGCCCAGGAGTTCGAGACCAGACTGGGCAACATGGCGAAACCCCATCTCTACAAAAAATACAGAAATTAGCTGGACGTGGTGGCACAAACCTGTAGTCCCAGCTGCTTGGGACGCTGAGGTGGAAGGATCACCTGAGCCAGGGAGGTCAAGGCTGCGGTGAGCCATGATTGTGCCACTGCACTCCAGCCTGAGTAACAGAGTGAGACCATGTCTCAAAAAACAAAAACCAAAAAGCAAACAAGCAGTTCTTTGAGTCAGTTCTAGAAGGTGATATCAAAACGCTGTAGAAAGTGCTATAGAATAAAGCAAACATACAAGGAGAAAGGAAAGGGAATCAAAAGTGTCAAAGTGAGGGTAGGACGGTTGTAACTTTAAGCAGCATGGTCAGCATAAGCCTTACTGTAAGGGGGACACTTAAGTGAAACAATGAAGGAGGAGATGAAGTATTCAACCCTGTGGTTGCTTGAGGGAGGTATTCCAGACAAATAAATAAGCCAGGCATATTCCTCAATTGTTTGAGAAGCAGCAGAGTGCACAGTATGACCTAGAGAGAATAAGACCCAGACGCAGCAGGTGCCAGATTATATAAACCCTTCAGGTTAGTGTAAGAATTTCGGTATTACCATGAGTGAAATGGGAAGTCTTTGGCAGGTTTAGAGTAGAAAAGTCATATGATCTGACTTCAATGCTAAAGTGATACATTTATTATAAATAGTATATTTCCTATTAGAATAAGCCATATCTGGTCACGATGAGCTATTCTTTTTGAAGTAATAATGGATTTTGTTTGCTATGATTTTATTTATTTATTTATTTATTTATTTATTTATTTATTTATTTATGATGGAGTCTCACTCTGTTGCCCAGGATGGAGTGCAGTGGAGCAATCTTGGCTCACTGCAACCTCCACCTCCCGGGTTCAAGCGATTCTCCTGCTTCAGCCTCCTAAGTAGCTAGGATTATAGGCACATGCCGCCATGCCCAGCTAATTTTTTTGTATTTTTAGTAGAGACGGGATTTCACCGTCTTGGCCAGGCTGGTTTCGAAGTCCTGACCTCATGTGATCCGCCTGTCTCGGCCTCCCAAAGTGATTTTCTCAAGGATTTTTACATTGATAGTCATAAGTGAAATTGGTCTGGATGGTTTGTGTTTTCACTGAGTAATCCTATTGAGGATTAACATCAGTGTCTTGCTTACTTCATAAAAAGAATTGAGAGGTTTCTTTTCTTTGTTTTTGTTTTTTTTTTTTAAGTTTTATTGAATTCCCCTGGGAAGCCAGAGACATATTTCTTATATCATCTATTCCTGCCTTAGAACACAGAAGGGAAGTCCCTTTGTAGGGTTCTATCTCTGTAGTAAAATTAAAATATAAAGTGTTGGAGATAGTTTTTTCCCCTCTTTTATGAAAAAAATGTAAAGAAGAGTCTTTGTGTCTTTGTGGAAGTTTTTTCCTTATATAACAAGGAAATAAAGAACTAAAAATGATTTTACTGACAATATTCAGCACTTTTCATGTCAATAAAAAAAGCTAATAAAAAAGCATTTCTGAGTATCTACTGCCTGATTATTAAATGAATATATTCTTAAAATTACACTATCTATACTTATTAACTAATAGATGTAATTGATGGCTCCTGCAAAAACCCATTTTATTGTATAAGGTTCTTTAAGGAACTGGTTTTTGATGTTTCATTTCTTTCTTTCTTTCTTTCTTTTTTTTTTTTTTTGAGACGTAGTCTCACTCTGTTGCCTAGGCTGGAGTGCAGTGGTGCAATTTCGGCTTACGGCAACCTCCGCCTCCTGGGTTCAAGCGATTCTCCTGCCTCAGCTCCCGCCCTGTAGCTGGGATTACAGGTACTCACCACCATGCCTGGCTAATTTTTGTATTTTTAGTAGAGACGAGGTTTCACCATGTTGGCCAGGCTGGTCTCGAACTCCTGACCTTAGGTGATCCACCTGCCTCGGCCTCCCAAAGTGCTGGGATTAAAGGGATGAGCCACCGCACCCAGCCTGATGTTTCATTTCTTACATCCTACCAGATACCGCGTTCAACTTCATTATTTTGCACAGGGAAGGCACAAAAATAGTCAATACCACTTTTAAAATTATTATCATTAAAAAAAAAAAGAAACTGAAAGAGGAAAAACTCATTCCCAGGTTAAAAATTGGAGTTTCTCAGCCTCAGTAGGCTGAGTAAGTTGACATCTTAGCCTGTGCTTTCAAGGTAACTTCCGTACCATTTTAGTAGGCGAGTTCTTTGAGAAAAATGCTAAATTCTTTTGAGATGCTTTAACTTCAAAAAATAGGATTCTTAACAACTGAATGTGGAATTTGGAATAAACAGTGAGGGATTATTTATCTTTCCTATAACAAGTGAGTGGATAGGGGATTCCAGGATTCCAGGTTCACAAACACAGACCTCTGGGAAGGCTTCTCTGTGATTCTTTGGGCCATCTTTGGGACTCTCATTCTCACAATATAGCACCAAAATATCAACATGGCTTCTCATTAGTTCTCACATTCAGGAAAAAAAGGTAAATTGTTCTTCATACTTGTTTTCTCTTTTTATCTAGAAGAAAACTTTAGATACATCTTTATTGGATATGAATAGGTCAAATGCCTACTAAACAGTCTCTGGCAAAAGGAAGTAGAATTACCGTGACCTGCAGGTACCATCATGATTCACTCTCTGGGGATTTGCCACATTAAAAACCTGTTGGGGCAGGAAGAGATGTGGTGGAGTGTGAAATGTCTTCTGGGTAGGCTTTCAAGTATCTGCCTCAATACTTGAAAGCCAAACCCTAGTGACCTTTGAGGAGGATGAGATCGTCTGTGATCTTTTCATTTCTGTATGTGACCAAGTCCTACCAATGATTTTCCTGGTCCCTAACTGAGTCTTTTTTAATCTGTATGTTGATGACACCTAGGTCAATTTCTCCAGCCAAGCTCTCTTTCCTGAGATTCAGATCCATGTATTTATTTAACTATGGAGTATTTACCAGAGGCATGTAGCATGATTACAAAAAAAACTCGACAGGACCACAACAGAATTTGTTATTATTTTAGTCTATCCTGCTCCTTCTCTTGGATTTCCTACCTCAAACAATGGAACTGTACCTTCCCAAATACTGAAACTAAAAATCTGGGAGTCACTCTGACTTATGCTTCTCCATTATAACCTATATCCATCACTGAATTTTAAGATTTTTGCCTTCTAAATATCTCTCAGAATCTTTCACTGACATCCATCTGTACTGGTTTGCTTGGGTTGGCATAATAAAATACCACAGATTGTGTGGCTTAAACAACCAAAATTTATTTTCTTACAGTTCTGGAGGCTGAAAGTCGAAGATGGAGTTGGCAGGTTTGGTTTCTGAGGCCTCTTTCCTTGGCTTGCAGATGCCTCCACTCGCTGTGTCCTCATACAGTCCTTCTGTGCACGTGCAACCCTGGTGTCTCTGCATGTATCTAAATTTCCTCTTCTTATGACTCCAGTCAGATTGGATTGGGGCTTGCCCTGATGGCCTCATTTTAACCTAACTGCCTTTCTAAAGGCCCTCTCTCCAAATACAGTTACATTCTGAGGGACTGGGGATTAGAGCTTCAATATGTGAATGTTTTTAGGATGGGAGGATAATTTAGTCCATAACACTGTCCCTGTTCTACTGTCTGAACTTTGGCCATTATCATCTCCTGCTTAGATTACTGCAACCACCTGTTTTCCGCTTTTGACCATACCTCCAGTTTTTTCCTTATTTTGCAACTATCCTGTTCTTTATGTCTCATCTTCATACTCCATTTTTTTTTCACTACTTTAATCTGCTATGTAAGGCCCTTTGATCTGTCTCTGGTCAGCCTTTCCATCTTTATCTCTTGACAATTCCTCCTCCAGCACACTCTTCATCAAATCTATTTCCAGCCAACATGGATCTACTTCAGATCCTTTAAGTGACCTTCTCTACAGATGGACTCTCAGACAGTCCCTTTGTTTGTTACTAATTTCCAAAGTTGAATAATGTGCTGTCTTCTGTTTATTCCCTCTTCTTGAGTTCAAGGCTACCATTTAATCACCTTTAATCACTTAATGGAAACATAAGACGTTCCAAGCATAGTACTAAGGAGGAAATACTAAAAGGGATCCCCAACATGTAACACACAAGTAATTAACATAAATCCCTGAAACAGAAGTCAGTATTATACTATAACATCCTGTGGTGTTTTAGGGTTATAAGCTAACTAACATAATAAGGTTACTTAGTGCTTTGCCTTTAGAACTTAAAATACTAAGAGATCCAAGCAAATTTTTAGGGTTTTCCCTTTCCTTTCAGGAATCTGTATATAAATCTCATGAAAATTCAAATTCTTTAATATTGCTTAATATTTCTGGTGATCCAATTTCCATTTGATCATACATATATTATATCATTATCTTAACTTGATGCCATGCAAAAATCATTATGATAGGAGAGAAAACATGATTTGTTAAAGCAAATTCTTTACAGCCTTGTAAATAAGTACTAGTAGTTTGTATTTGACTCAGAATCTTTACCTGCTTTACTGCTTCCATGTAGATATGCTGGCCATAAAACAAATGAAACAAGCAGTGTGTTTGTTTGCCTGGTATAAATTATTACTCACTTTTGGGAGAAAGGAGATTGCTATTTCTGTTATTGCTAAGGTTGCTGTACGTACATTCAACCTAAAAGGCATCATGTTTTCTCACTCATTTTCAAAGTGCTAACAAAGAACTCTCACCTATCCCTTTTAATTTTTTATGCAAAAACATTTTATATAAGTCAAAGAATCACCCTGCTTAAATTATAATGCTTTTCCAATTATTGCATTCAGAATGATCTTTCTATAGTCTAAATTTATTGGACTTCTTTTAGATTCAGTATTTATACTTCTGGAAATTTAAGCTGTGAAAATAATCCAAAAGAGGCAAAGATTTTATGTATAAGAGTGTTCATTGCATCATTATTTATAATCTGAATAATTGATATATTGGAAGAACAAAAAATACTTATTGCAGAACAAGAGTTCATTAAAATTTGATAAATAAAACATGTAAAAGATATTCATAAAGAAATTTATATGTGGGAGGAATACTTTTGTTACAATATTTAGTAAAAACAAAACAGGGAACAAACTTGCAGATACACTAGATGCACTATTAAAAACACACTATGTATAGTATATACAGGGAAAATATGTGGAGAAATATGTTGCAATGTTAAAACTGAGCATCTCCAGATTATAGAATTATGAGGGTTATTATCTCTTCTATACTTTACTTTTTGAATTTTCTACATTTTTATGTACTATTTTATAATCCTTCAAGATTTACTTAAAATATTTTAAATTAATAGTTCTTTTAATAGCATACATATTTTTATATTATTTTTTGAAAGTAGAATGCAAAATATTAGCTGTGTTGTAATTTCAGCTATGTTAAATAATTGAGATAATTGCCAAAGTATCAAAAGTGGTTGCTTCTGAAGGGTGGATTATGATCATTTGTAGTGTATGTTTTTTGGAATTGTCTAATTTTTCCACAAATATATACCTTTTAATGTGTACAATTTAAAATTGTTGAAAAATGCACATGACTATTCAAAATATATTGAGACCGATGAGTTTTAGAAAGTAATGAGGAGAAAGTAATCCTGAAATATATATGGGGAAAAGCAGAACAAGGGGTTGTATAAGTAGCATTTATAAATAATGTTAGTCTTAAAGCTTTTAACGGAGATTGAATTTAAGAATTCCTTTTCTATAATGATATTCCATGGACATTCATCCCAATATTTAACTCTAGTGTTTTTATAAAATTTATTTCATTCTTTAAAAAAAATTAGCAGTGTATTATGTGCTCATGGGTAAAGTCCAGTACTACCAAAGTGTTAATCAAGGAAAGCATCAGTCTCTCATGGTCCCCATCCTACTGCTCCTATAAACACTTTAACCATCACACCATTTCCGGTTTTTGTTCTCCTATTAGTTAAGGCTATAACTTTAGTATACTTTATACACACACACACACACACACACAAACATATACACATACATACACATTGTATACTGTATATGTACTTATATATACTTTAAATAAATAATATACTAATTGATTTATCAACTTTCGGCTTATCTCTACTTCTCTACTTCTTACTGTGAAATATAGTAGTTTATCTCATTATGCAATCTCCCCCACACAATTCCTTCCCTTTTTAAATTTTGAATAGTAACATATTTCAGAAAAGTTCTTCAATTATGTATCTGCATCACTTTTGATGACACATTTTAATTTCTACTCTTGTTCTGTAGTCTTTACATGGAGACTCCTTATTCCTCATGTTTGGGGGGTATTAGCACCTCTCCTCTTTCCTACATATTTACTTAACTCCATCTTCCAACATCTGTGAGCTATAACTTCACTTGAACATTATTAAGGTAAGTAGAAAATATTCACATTCTGTTCTGAAACCATAATAAGTTTTTTCATGCTTTAACTCTAAGTAAATGCTAAAGATGATGAGCTAAGATTATTTTCCTTCTTCATGGGCCCAATTACCCACTTCTTATCCTCTTGAATCTATCATCAAGGTCACATGAGTAGTGTTGTTTTCTTGTACTCCGCTAATTGCTCAAAATCATGCCACATTTTGGGTTGCTTTTTATGTGTAAAAATAGTTTTCTATTTTTCCTAGTGTTTCTCTTCTTCCCTCTCCTGTCCTTCCTTTGGTAACAGTAAAGAAATAGGTGCCTTTTTGTAATATCAGTAATTTCATTTGACTTATTTTTGTTATATTGATTAGAATCTATGTAATTTTTGTGATTTGAGATTTTTCTATTGATGCTCCAGTGTTTTTCTGTCCCTATTGAAATCAATTGTTCTTTAGGCTTTCTGCATAAGTGATATTTCTTTTCACTTTATTCTGGCTTACTTCTGTTGTTGTTGTTATTTCTTGTGTCTTTCCCTTTCTTGATTTCCATTCTTGTTTTGATGAGACCATCCTCAAGTGACTTCCTCAGAGGAGTATATGGCAGATAAATTTCCTGAATTCTTGAATATCTGAAAACATATTTATTTTACCTCACATTTGAAAATAGACAATTTAGGTTTAATCTTTTTCCAATAAATTCTTAATGCATTACTCTAATTTTATTTTATAACATTTAATGATAAAAATGACAAAATGATTGCCATTTTTTTTTGTTAGCAATCTTTTATTATTTTCTTTTACTTTGGAAGCACTTAGGATATTCCCTTTATGTTAGGGATATAAAATGTCATGAAAATTTGTCTAGATTTGTTTTCTTTTATCAGTTTGGGAAATTTGATGATTCCAAATATTTTCTGTCTTCATTTTGTAGGAGTACAATCACCTAGATATAGATATTTTATGTCTTTTCTCTCTTAGCTCAAATTCTCTTCTCTTCGCCTTTTTGCTCTGTGTTCCAGGAAAATTCTTTGACTTTATCTTCCTGTTTTTCTGATGGTAATCATGACTGACATTTATGGAAGCTTTTTTTGCAATCTTATTATATAGCAGATTTCTTGTTTTATAGGTGCTATGTTTCAAAAGGCAGTAGAACGTAAGTCTAAGAATAGAGATTTTAGAACACCTGGGTGCCTATTTTGGCTCAGTCACTTACTGTGTGACATTAGACATGTTTCTTAATTTCTCTGAATCTAGAGCTCTCTATCTGCTTTTTTATAAGGACACTAGGAACATTCCATTAGATTAAGCATGTCAAATTCTCAGTTGAGAGCATGGCACATAGTAAGCTCTAAATAAATGCTAGCATTTTGCTTTCTTGAACTTCACTGATGAATATAATCTCAGTTTTTCTATTTGTCTTTCTCTTTTACGGTGGCAATATGTTTAATTATTTCCAATTTTCTGTTTATGTTTGAGAATATGGAACTAGATTCATCATCTAGGTAGGCAGTATAATTTTGTTCTCTGCTATTACACACAGACACACACACACACACACACACACACACACACACACACACACACACATCTGTTTTCCGCATCAGTTTCTGTGAATAGAGGAGCCTTTTGGAAACTCTCTGGATGTGGATAGGTCTTGTAAATGTCAACCGATGTTCTAGGGTGAATGAACAGAAACCTTCCTCTAAGGCTGAGAACTCACAAATGCCAGAATAGGTAGGTGCCAACTTCATTATCAATAGTCTAGTTTCTGCAGCAATTATTTAAATCTGAGGAAAGAGCTCTTTTAGACTTTTTTTTGTGCCAGAATATAAATGTTAAGCTGCTGGTGGCTCTGCCTTTATATTTTGGCAGAAAGAGGGGATCTCCATGGGTAGCCTTTCTGCAGACAGACTTTTTTACCTCTTCTCTGTTCAGCATCCCTTTTGCCTGCTATCAACCGTGTCTACTGACTTTAGCACAGAGCATGTTCAGAGTACTCATTCCCTGGTTAGAGTGTCTTCTCTTCTGTTTTATTCTTAACAGGTTTCCAGCAACTTTCTCCCTGTTAAGAATTTAATAATTTGACTGCCGAACCCTCGATTCTTTTAATATATTTTTCCCTTTTATGTTGATTTTTATCATTTTCATGGCACTGTTGTCTTTGAACAAATGAGAGGCAAAAATTCTGCTCTGCCCTTCAAATCGAACAAGAATCCTCCAAGTCTGTTTACTTCTCCTTAATTCATTCATTTTACAACCTATCATTCATTCTACAAGCATCTCTTAAGCATGTTTAAATGTCCTTGTCACCTATGAGAAGATGCATGTAGAACGATGATTATCTTCAAGATCCTCACATTTATTATATCATAAATGAATACTGTAACCAAATTCAACAATAAGGGGTTTTATTTTAGGAGGAATGGATGTAAAATGCAATGAACGTGGAAGGATTGTACATTTTTCTCATATTAGATAATATTCTTAAATTGGAAATAGTGATTAAATTAGGCGAGAAAATATAGGAGGCTTATTAAATTGACACAGCAACTATGGAAGTTTTAGAAAAAGGATTTGTAGTGATATGAACAGTAGGATATAAAAGATTTTAAAGGTAGTTGATTAAAGGTACAGTTTATTAATCTGATTTATTTGTATTGGTTGTAGAGAGGACTAAAGCATTGGGTGAACAGAGATGACATAGTTTTTTTGGCCGCATTGATGGTTGCTTTGGTAAAATAGATACAATGATATTGATGAGAATAATGATGATAATTAGCATTTTTTAACCTCCTACTATGTGACAGATACTGTTCTAAGCTCTGCTATGTTTTTCACACAGCCTCGTGAAGGGAATCCTGTTAAAATTCATTTTACAAACTGAAAAACAGCTTTAAAAAGGAAAAGTTATCAGCCCAAGGACATTAAGAGGAACTTACAACAGCACTATCTCTTTGCTTTATTTTTGTTACCTATTTCAGAAAAACAACAACAACAAAAAACTATAAAATATGCATAAGGTATACAAAGTGAAAATATGGCAGTTTCTGACACACCCACCACTCAGGTTAAGAAAGAGAACAATTGCCTTTGAAGCTTCTCCAGTGCCCATCCGGTTGGCATCTGTCTGTTCTTCCTAAGACATAAATACTATTTTGAAGTTTGTGGCTACAGTTTCCTTGCTTTTTCTTTAGAGTTTATCTGTATTTCTTTATCCTAAAGAATATCTTTTTTGGTTTTTCATGCATTTAAAGTTATATAAATGAAATCATTATGTTTGTCAAATTCTTCTATAACTTGCATTTTCACTTAATGTTATATGTCTAACATTCATCTGTATTATTGCATACACCGGTAGTTATTCATTTCTAAACAGTATTCCCCAAAATGAGTATACCATGCTTTATTAATCAACTTTATTCCTGAATTATATTTGTCCATTACAAATAATACTGGATGCATATTCTTGTGCATGCTCCTATGCATGAATATATATATGTATATACACACACATATATATAACATGAAAAAAGTGTATACATATACACACACACCTAGGATTTGTATTGTTAGCTTACAGTGTATGAATGTATTTACATCTTACTGCATAATACCAATTTGCTTTCCAAATTACATTGCCCAAATTTTGGGGTTTTTTTATTGCTCCTTTTGTGAAGAGTTGTGATATTTCTTATTAGTCATTGTTTAATTGATTGGCATATGAGCTTTATATATTTATGCTAATATTTTAATATATTACAAATATTATCTCCCAGATTGTGTCTTAAATTTTCACTTTTAAAGTGAAATAAACAGAAGTTCTCCATTTTGATATAATCCAGGATATCTTAATGATTTGGGCTTTTTATGTTTAAGAAATCATTCTTTACCCTAGAGCATTAAGTATATTATGTTCTCTTGTTTTTTTAAAATTGTAAACTTTCATCTTTTACCCTTAGTTCTTTAGTCCACATAGAATTTTTTGTGTATGGTGTAAGTAGGGATCTAATGTGATTTTTCTTCCACTTTGTCTCAGCCTCTTTTACTGAAAAGTCCATCCTTTTTCTACCGACCTTTAATTCAGGCCTGTAATAAATCAAGCTTCCATATGTCTTTGATCCTGGGTCCTTCTTACTGCTGCCATTCTATTTGTCTATCCCTAATCTCCACCATCTTAAACTACAGCCTGATAGTCTGAATACTTTATTTATAGCTTAAAAATTATAAGACTTGATATCTGGCAAGACAGGTCCTCCTACCTTGTTTTTCTTTAGTAATGTCTTGACTATTCTCGATAATTAGTTCTTCCAATAGACACATTTTGGAATTAGCTTGTGATAGATAGATACATACATACATAGGTAGATCCATAGATGGATAGGCAAATATTTAGGTAGATAGATACCAACACTATCACCAAAAATAACCCATTGATTCTTTGTTTGTAATTGTATTGATTCTATAGATCAATTTGAGTAGAACTGACATCTATACATTATATAATTTTCCAATATATGAATATGGTACATCTATCCATTTGTTTAGTTTCCTTTAATATTTTGTAAAGCTTTATAGTATTTTCAGAAATGCATTGCATATATTTTGTTAAGTGTAATCTTAACTACTTTGTGGATTTTTTTTCATGCTATTTTAAAGTAGCATCTTTATTACATTTTCTGACTCCTTGCTGCTGGTGTTTTGAAATGCAATTGGTTTTATATTGTTTTGTTTTCAGTAACCCTTCTAAAATGTTTTATTAATCCTAGTAACAAATAGAAAGTGCTTAGCTCTGCACCCTATTCATTTATTTTTTCTTTTGTTTGATGTTTGAAATCACAGTTTTATATGCACAATTGATTAAAGTGCTTGGTATTACTGCCATCCTTTGACTAGGACTTTGAGGCCTCTGAGGAAAATCCTTACAGATACATTTTCTTACTTGCAGGGCTTGAACCCTAGCTGCTGCAACAAGCATGTCATTTGCTTTGTTTTGCCGTGAATTCTTTTTGTTCCACTGATCGTTGCTTTGGAATATGCATCCTGCTCATAGTTCTGCTTCTCTATTCAGCTTAACACTAACTGAGTTTCTATTGTGGGTAAATATTGGTCCATACAGTGGATTGGATGCTAGGGATACAAGAATGGACAAGTCAGTTCTTGTTTCCTAGTAATTTAGAGTCTAGTGGACTTTCTGGCTGACTTGTTCCTTATTAATTGTTTATTGCTAAGGGTAATTTATCTTCTTCACGAAGTTCCACTTCTGATGGGCAGTTACTAGAAGCAAAACATCCTTGTGGGTATTCCATATGTTTTTATCTTGGGGATTAAACAAATAAACGTGTGTAATTGATCGGCCCATCCCTGATTCTGTAGCACTTTTGTCATTTGCTCTTTACTTCAGAGGGTATCTTGGGATAGTCAAAGACTTAGAAGATGAGTATTTCGATGGAATGGATGTTGGGTCTTCTACCTCCTGAGTTTGGTTGCCAATGTCTATCTAGTAAAGGGAGCATCAGGGCCAAGATTGGGGTATAGAGAACCTTACATGGCCCAATCCATTTTGAGATCTACTTTTGATAATTTTTTATCTTGCATTTCTAAAAATATCTTGGGCACTTCATTTTCAATTTTGAAAGAGCGGCGTTTGAATTAAGTTTGGTATTGTTTTCACATCAACCCTTTACCTATGATGTGGAGAGAATCCATCCCCACTGGCTTTGTGTGGCCTGGAAAGCTGCTGTGCTTAGGTGTGTAGTGATTTTTCCATCTGAGAAGACTCTCAGGACATTTTCCACTCTAAAATTAATGAGAATATGGCCAAGGGATATGTCACTTTTTCTGAGTACATGGTAATGGGCTTATTAGTGTCCCTGTTTAGACTCACCTTAGAGCAGTTTCCATAAGCTAAGAAAAAGACCTTGGGGCAATGATTAAATAAACTATCATATATTCATATGATGGAAAATCATACAGCACCTAAAAGCATTCAAAGAATTATTAATGTTGTGAGAAAATGTTTATGATAAAATGCTAAGTGAAATTAGCAAAATGAACCTTTGCTGTGTGTTTCATATTAATATTCACTGAGAAATATGAATGATTCTTGTATTTTTTCTGTTTTTTTCTCTTTTACATTTTCTAAAATTTATATGTATTGTTTTGCCAATTGGAGTAACATTTTCTAAAAAATAATAAAAATTTATGTATTTATTTATAGAGTCTTACTCTGTTGCCCAGGCTGGAGGCACCATCATTGTTCACTGCAGTCTCAAATTCCTGGGCTCAAGCGATCCTTCTGCCTCAGGCTTCCAAGTAGCTGTGGGACTACAGGCACAGGACCACCACATCTAGCTAAAATTTATTTTTTTAAAAGAAAATATCCCATTAATACAACCAGTGTGATGAACTGAGGCATTATAGGGTTATTTACTTGGGAAATTTAAGAATTTGATCAACTTTAAACAATTCTCTCTTGGTTACTGTAATTTGAAGTTCACTTCAGAATTTCTTGTCAACCATACGTGGGTGCCAGGATTGTTGGAGGTGGGCTGTGAGCAGTGCAATGCAATATGAGAACATCTGGGTGGGAAATCAGTATTTAGGAGGATCAATGACAGTGGCAAGTTTAGATAGCAGTCAATGGGTGAGTAAGTAGCAGAGCCTGGGTGTCAGGGTGCACACTTTACAGGAGGGTGGTGGCTCTAGAAATAATTATAGCTGAAAACGAACGCAAAAAGAAGCCATTCATGATCCCTGAGGATGCACCCAAGGGGGCCGAGGTATTAGGAAATTCTTATGTAGGAAGATATGGGTAAGATATTAAACTAGTCACTGAACTGAAGCTAAATCATCAAGAAGAAATCAAGGCCCATGTTAGTGGCAAGACATGATATAGGCCTATTTAAAGCCTTCATGCTGAGTGAACACAAAATAAACTGCGTCATTCTAATCCTCCCCAGTCTATCTACCCCTTGCTGGCTGCAGTCTACACACACCTTTCATAGAATTTACCTTATGTTTGAGCAGTAGACAATGAGCTAATGCTATAGGCAGAATCTCATCTTAATTGCTGCTGTTATAATCTCTGACCCTTTAGTATACAGCCATTTCCTCCTCCTGGAAAATTGCTGAAATGAAATGAAATGAAACAAAAGCTCTTATAGAACAGCAATATTTAACAGTCCCTTTACACACAGCAGTAAATTTCTGAAATGAAGCCTCCATGCTTTGAAATTAAGCTTTGGTGATAAAACCAGAAAGTCATGCCCTTTCTTCAGCATCTGATTTTAGTCAGATCATTGCAATATTCTCTATCTCTATTTCCTTTCTATAAATTCATGATATATTTTTCTCCAGCTTTGAAGTCCAAGTTCAAAAGATAATAATGTATGTGAAAACATCAAGTTTCACCAAATAGTTATGTTTTATATAGATGCTAGGTATTAACTATTATTCTTTAATTAGAAGTTCTTAAATGTGGGCAGGTTTCTGAAAACTTGCAATGGAGTTTGTGTTTGGTGTTAGAGAGTGGGAGTGGGATGAAGTGTGGGGTTCATTTACCGGTGCACCCATTTGAGATGTTGGGCTTCATATGTCTCCCTTTCAAGGTCTTAAAAAGAAAAAAATAGGACATTGCTGGAACTTGGTTTATTTTTAATATAAGAAAAAAAGGACCTCAATTTAGAATAACATTCTTTTCTGCATCATATAGAAATAGATATTAATATATATTTTTAAATAAAGCAGTTTAATAGTTAATCAGTTTAATTACATAAGGTTTGTTTTTGTTTTTGTTTTTTGTTTTTTTCCTTCAGTTTGTTTCTTTCTCCTATATAGGCCTTGGGCTTTGAAAATCTATTAAAACTTTTCTAGTTTCCATGCCAACATCTACTATTTTTTGATGTTTTGATTATGGCCATTTTTGCAGGAGTAAGGTGGTATCACATTGCGGTTTTGATTTGCATTTCCCTGATCAGTAGTGATGTTGAACATTTTTTCATATGTTTGTTGGCCATTTGTATATCTTCTTTTGAGAAATATCTATTCATGTCCTTAGCCCACTTTTTAATGGGATTGTTTGTTTTTTTTCTTGCTAATTTTTTGAGTTCATTGTAGATTTTGGATATCAGTCCTTTGTCAGATGTATAGATTGTGAAGATTTTCTCCCACTGTGTGGGTTGTCTGTTTACTCTGCTGACGGTTCCTTTTTAGTTTAATTAAGTCCCAGCAATTTATCTGTGTTTTTATTGGATTTGCTTTTGGGTTCTTGGTCATGAAATTGTTGCCTAAGCCCATGTCTAGAAGGGTTTTTCCAATGTTATCTTCTAGAATTTTTATAGTTTCAGGTCTTAGATTTAAGTCCTTAATCCATCTTGTGTTGGTTTTTGTAGAAGGTGAGAGATGAGGATCCAGTTTCATTCTCCTACATGTGGCTAGCCAATTATCCCAGCACCATTTGTTGAATATGGTGCTCTTTCCCCACTTTATGTTATTGCTTTGTTGAAGATCAGTTGGCTGTAAGTAATTTGGTTATTTCTGTGTTCTCTATTCTGTTCCATTGGTCTACATGCCTTTTTTTAAACCAGTACCATGCTGTTTTGGTGATTATGGCCTTTTAGTATAGTTAGAAATCAGGTAATGTGATGCTTCTAGATTTATTCTTTTTGCTTAGTCTTGGTTTGGCAATGTGGGCTTTTTTGGTTCCATGTGAATTTTAGGATTGTTTTTTCTAATTCTGTGAAGAATGTTGATGGTATTTTGATGGGAATTGCATTGAATTTATAGATTGCTTTTGGCAGTATGGTCATTTTTCCAATATTGATTCTACCCATCCATGAGCATGGAATGTGTTTCCATTTATTTGTGTTGTCTATGATTTCTTTCAGCAGTATTTTGTAGTTTTCTGCAAGGAAAATTACAAAATATACCTAACCTCCTTCATTAGGTATATTCCGAAGTATTTTTTTGAAGCTATTGTAAAAGGGGTTGAGTTCTTGATTTGATCCTCAACTTGGTCACTGTAGGTGTATAGAAGAGCACTGATTTGTGTACATTAATTTTGTACACTGAAACTTTGCTGCATTAATTTATCAGTTCTAGGAACTTTCTGGAGGAGTGTTTATGGTTTTCTAGTTAAACAATCATATCATCAGCAAACAGTGACAGTTTGACTTCCTCTTTACTGATTTGGATGCCCCTTATTTCTTTCTCTTGTCTGATTGCTCTGGCAGGACTTCCAGTACTGTTTTGAAGAGGAGTGATGAGAGTGGCCATCCTTATCTTGTTCCAGTTCTCAGAGGGAATGCTTTCAACTTTTTCCCAGTCGGTATTATGTTGGCTGTGGGTTTGTCATAGATGGCTTTTATTACATTGTGGTATGTCCCTTGTATCCTGATTTTGCTGAGAGTTTTAATCTAAAGCGATGCTGGATTTCATCAAATGCTTTTTCTGCATCTATTGAGATGATCATCTGGTTTTTGTTTTTAATTCTGTTTATTTGATGTATCAACTTTTATTGACTTGCGTATGTTAAATCATCCCTACATCCCTGGCATAAAACCCACTTGATCATGGTGGATTATCTTTTTGATCAAAAATTGGATAAAGAAACTGTGGTATATAAATACAATGGAATACTACTCAGCCATAAAAGGAATGAATTAATGGCATTCACAGCAACCTGGATGAGATTGGAGACTATTATTCTAAGTGAAGTAACTCAAGAATGGAAAACCAAACATCATATGTTCTCACTCATAAGTGAGAGCTAAGCTATGAGCATGCGAGGGAACAAGAATGACACAATGAACTTTGGGGACTCAGTGGGGAAGGCCAGGCAGGGGTGGGGGATAAAAGACTACAAATTGTGTGCAGTGTATACTGCTTGGGTGATGGGTGCACCAAAATCTCACAAATCACCACTGAAGTACTAACTCATGTAACCAAACATCTCCTGTTGCCCAATAACCTATGGAAATAGAAAAATTTCAATAAAAACGTTTCTAGTTTCTCTAATATCTTAAAGACCATTCACATGTTACTAGTAGGTGACATGGCAGAACGTTTCTTATAAGGCTTTGGAAACCCACATTTTAGTATCAGGTTTATCTTAGAAAGTCCATCTTCTATTCTTTTATATGAGCATTTTTTAATCTTATACTTTTACTACTTTCAATATGTTTTATAAAAAGTTAACTAAAATTTTATTTGAGAATTATCTTGAATTTTTTGGAATAAAGATGCATTATTAAAGTTATTAATATTGCCTATTTTTTAAGTTATTATTTGCTCTAAATGTACTAAGTGTTTATTGGCTTGAATATTATAATTGCTATGCTCTGCGCCACATGGGTCAGCGTTTTTGAGACACTGTAAACAGGATAATGTCTATATTTTATAAGCTGGCTTTAAGGCTTCCCGCAACCGGAAGCAATCCAGTTGCTCCCATCTGAACTCCCAGGGCTTTCCTCCACTTCCTCTGAATTGCTCTACTCTCTGTGCTCATCACATTTCTGCCCTCTCCCCCTCCACCTCTCTAAATCTTGCACTAGTTTCTCGGTGACCTATTTTCTGATTCCTCAAGTCTACACCAGTCTCTCAGAATGTTTATAACAGTTATATTTACTTGGTGCTTATTGTAAATTACCATTTGCCTTTTTATGTGTGTGTTCCTCCACCTCCATTTTGATAGTAGATTTTTTTGGAGGGCAGTCACTATCTCCTGTGGGATTTTTTTATTCTTTAAACACCAACTTACTACTTTACCCAAAGCAGAATTTGGATATAAATTTGTAATTAACCATTGTAATTCCCAACTATTGCTGCATAAACAGGCACAGCTGACAGCTCAATGTATAAAATAAGTTGGTAATATGAATATGAATGAAACCCAGCTTATAGGTGTCTCAACCCATTTTGTGCTGCTAAAACACAATACCAGAGACTGGGTAACTTACAAAGAAAATAAATCAATTTTTCATAGTTCTAGAGGCTGGGCAATCCAGTATAAAGGTGCCAGCATCTGGAGAGGGCTTTCTTGCCACATCATCCCATGGTGGAAGGCAAGCATATGAGAAAGAGTAACAGGGGCCAAACTTGTTCTTTTATAAGAAACACACTTCCACAATGATGGTATTAATCCATTCATGAGAGCAGAGACTGCATGGCCGAATCCCCTCTCACTAGGCCTCACCTCCCAGCACGGTTGTATTGCAAATTAAGTTTTTGACACATGCTATTTGAAGGATAAATTTAAACCCTAGAAATAGAATTTCTTATTATCCTGAACCTGACATTTATTTTAACAGATTTTCTTTTTAGAACTGTTTCAGATTTACAACAAAATTGAGAAGATAGTACAGAGAATTCCTACATATCCCATGCACACAGTTTCCCTTATTTTTAACATTTGATATAATTAACCAACAAATATTGATAGATTATTATTAACTGAAGCTCATAATTTACACAGATTTTTAAAGTTTTTACCTAGCATGTATATAGTTTATTTTCCGGGATTCTATCCGAGATACCACATTATATTTACTTGTCATACCTCTAGATTCCTCTTGATTGTGACAGTTTCCCCCTCTTTAAATTTTTGACAATTTTGACAGTTTTGAGGATTACTGGTTAGGTATTTTATAGTATGTCTCTCAATTTAGACTTGTCTATTGTGTTTTCTTGATTATACAGCAGCTATGCTTTTAGGGGCAGCTCGGAGGAAAATGACAAATGTAGAGTGCCTTTTTTATCATACCATATTGAGGGTACATATTGTCAACATGATTTATTCCATATAGACCTTCATGCACCTGGCTGAAATACTGTGTGTTGTGTTTCTTCACTGTACAGTTACTTTTTCTCTCTCTCTTCATTTTCATATCAGTCCTTTGGAAGGAAATCACTGTATTCACTCACAGTTAAGGAGCAGGGAATTATGTTCCACCTCCTTTAGGGTAGAGTATCTACATACATTATTTGAATATGTCTCTTATCCCCTGCTTTTATTAATTTATTAAGTCATTTATATCAATATAGATTCTTAGTTAATTATTTTATGCTTTGGGTTATAATCTAATATGAATTTATTTTTTGCTTAAATTGTTCCAGCTTTGGCCAAACGGAGCTCTTTAACTTGTCTCCTCTGCTCCTTTGGTATAGTCCCATCAATATGAGGTTTTAGTTTCTGTTTTTGAGCACTTTCTTACTTACTTGGACTACAAGAGGCTCTAGCCTAATCTTGGATATTTCTTGCCTCAGTCCTAGAATCAACCATTTATCCAAAGAGCCCAGGTTCCTTTTAGTTGAGACTGGTGTTAGAAATCAAGATTTGGGTCCTATGGATATTTGTTTTTGCTGGGGTGTCATTTCATTTAGGTCCTCTCAGTTGACAGAAAAAAGAAATATGTTTATATATTAACCTGCATGCACATGCACACACTTCACTTACCTTTTGCTTGTATGATTTCAGATGAAAAGTTGGATATAATATTTATCCTTATTTCTCTAAATGCAAGGTGTCCCCTCCAACCCCCCTGGCTTCTTCCAGTAATTTCTGTCTTTGGTTTTATTTTGTTTGAATATGACATGGCTAGGTGTAGATTTTAGGGGATTTATCCTGCTTGGTGTTCTCTGAGCTTCCTGAATCCACGGTTTTGATGACTGTCATTAATACTAGACAGTTCTTCCCCCTTGGTACTTTAAGCATCTCTTCTGCTCCTTTTTCTTTTTCTTCGTTTTCTAGTATTCCAATTGTATATATGTTATATTTTTTGAACTTGTTTCACAATTCTTGGATATTCTGTTCTTTTTTCTCTTGACATTTTGGTTTTGGAAGTTGCTATTATTATATCTTCAAACTCACGGATTCTTTTCACAACCATGCCAGTCTACTTACAGGCCATCAAGAGCATTCTTAATTTCTATCATCGCGTTTTTGATTTCCAGCATGTTCTTTTGATTCTTTCTTAGAGTGTTCATCTTTCTGCTTACATTATCCATATACTCTTACTTGGATACTTTTCTCATTAAGGCCCTTAATATATTAGTTATAATTATTTTAATTTTTTTATCTGATAATTCTAAACTGTTTTATCTGAATCTCATGTCACAGTTGCTTTATGTCTTCAGACTGTGTTGTTTCTTCCATTTAATCATGACTTGTAATTTTTTATTGAAAGATGGGCATGATGTATTGGATAATAGTAAATTTAGGGGGAAGTTTTATGTTTTTCTGACAAGGAACTTAGCTGTGTTTAAAGTTTGCTATAGCTATAGGTACCAGAGGCTTAAATTTCCTCTAATTTTCTTGTTGTTTTCTCCTCTGTTGTCTTCGAGTTTCCCTGAGAACTCCTTTTTGAGTAGAATCTGTGTCTTCTTGATCTTCTAAATGTAATTCACTGTTACTATGCTGGAGCCCTGTTGACATTGCTGTACAGGTTTGAGTAGGGAGTGTATTCTATAATGTTATGATTAAGTCTGTCTTTTAGTAGGCTGTGTACCTGGGCTGTTACCTCCACAAGTATTTCTTAGCTCTTTTTTGTTATCGCTGTAAGTGAGACAGGAAGCCTAAAGGGGGCTGTTTTTGAATAATGACCCTGCTCTTAGGTCAGATAAAGCTCTGGCAAAGTCTTTTCTGGAAGACTTTGGTATGAGGAATGCTATGGATGCATTGTAAAAGGGTTACTCTTCTCTTTTCTCTGAAACAAACAAACAAACCAAAAAAAAACATTTTTCTCAGATCTTTACTGTGAGGACCTGTTTGGGTTCCTGGAGGTAAAGTCTACCAACTTGTGGGGTCTTCTTAAATTTGGTCTCCAGGAGTTTCTCACTCTCAAGCTAACCTGCATGTATCCTCCAGCAATTCATCAAAATTATCAGTTAAATGCTTCTATAAATTGATGGCTCCAGCAGCTTTTGCTCCAGGTAAGCTCTTCTTGGTTGTGACTCTATGTATTTGCCTGTCCTTTCAAATTCTGGGGTGGTGGTTTGCCCTGTGACCTCAGTTTTCTGGTTGGTATAAAAAAAGTCCTTGATTTTAATTTTTATTTATTTATTTATTTATTTATTTATTTATTTATTTATTTATTTTTGAGACAGAGTTTCTCTCTATCACCCAGGCTGGAGTGCAGTGGCATGATCTCAGGTCACCACAGCCTCCTCTTCCTGGGTTCAAGCAATTCTCCTACCTCATCGTCCTGAGTAGCTGGGACTACAGGCACATGCCACCACGCCCGGCTAATTTTTGAACTGTTAGTAGAGACGGGGTTTCACCATGTTGGCCAGGCTGGTCTAGAACTCCTGACATCAGGCCATCTGCCCGCCTCAGCCTCCCAAAGTACTGGGATTATAAGCATGAGCCACTGTGCCTGGCCACATTCTTGATTTTTAGTTTGTTCAGTTTTTTTACTTGCCCTAAGCATGACAGTGATGACTTCTAAGCTCTTTACATGCTGAAGGTGAAACCAAAAGTCTCTGGCATTTTTTTAGATTGAAAAGTCTTAAAATTTCTCCTTCTTATAAACTAATTTATCTCATTCTTTATAGTCCAATGATGTGCCTTTACCTGTTTGCAAACATTCTGTCTTTCCTCTTACCCTGCTCTACATTCACTATTTGCCACCCAGAATCTAGTACATTAGGTGCTTAACCCACCTCAATAATTGGTAAGAAAGAGGTGGGAAGGATTGGGAGAAGCAAGTAATACGCTACATGAAGTGTCATTACACTCTCTATTCTTTTTAATGCATATTTCTGTCATTTTAATGTTTTGCAGAGTACACAGAGGATTCTAAATTTCTGTTTATCATAATCCCAGTGTTGCAAAATGTGATATTTAATAAAATTAATCTTCCACAAGGGATACATAAAAGTGAAACTAGAAACTAAAAACTAAGAGAGAAGAGGGGAAAGGAAGCCAGGTCAATAAAAACTGTCTATGCGTGGTGCTTCGGTACTCCCCATAACATAAATATTGCCAATATGGAAGATACCCAATTCCAATTTAATTTAACATAAGCTTGCTTTAAAAAAGGTTAGCATTTTTTCATGTGTTTTTTGGCTGCATAAATGTCTTCTTTTGAGAAGTGTCTGTTCATGTCCTTTGCCCACTTTTTGAAGGGGTTGTTTGTTTTTTTCTTGTAAATTTGTTTGAGTTCATTGTAGATTCTGGATATTAGCCCTTTGTCAGATGAGTATATTGCAAAAATTTTCTCCCATTTTATAGGTTGCCTGTTCACTCTGATGGTAGTTTCTTTTGCTGTGCAGAAGCTCTTGAGTTTAATTAGATCCCATTTGTCCATTTTGGCTTTTGTTGCCATTGCTTTTGGTGTTTTAGACATGAAGTCCTTGCCCATGCCTATGTCCTGAATGGTAATGCCTAGGTTTTCTTCTAGGGTTTTTATGGTTTTAGGTCTAACGTTTAAGTCTTTAATCCATCTTGAATTAATTTTTGTATAAGGTGTAAGGAAGGGATCCAGTTTCAGCTTTCTACATATGGCTAGCCAGTTTTCCCAGCACCATTTATTAAATAGGGAATCCTTTCCCCATTGCTTGTTTTTCTCAGGTTTGTCAAAGATCAATAGTTGTAGATATGCGGCGTTATTTCTGAGGGCTCTGTTCTGTTCCATTGATCTATATCTCTGTTTTGGTACCAGTACCATGCTGTTTTGGTTACTGTAGCCTTGTAGTATAGTTTGAAGTCAGGTAGCGTGACACCATCACTGGCCATCAGAGAAATGCAAATCAAAACCACAATGAGATATCATCTCACACCAGTTAGAATGGCAATCATTAAAAAGTCAGGAAACAACAGGTGCTGGAGAGGATGTGGAGAAATAGGAACACTTTTACACTGTTGGTGGGACTGTAAACTAGTTCAACCATTGTGGAAGTCAGTGTGGAGATTCCTCAGGGATCTAGAACTAGAAATACCATTTGACCCAGCCATCCCATTACTGGGTATATACCCAAAGGACTACAAATCATGCTGCTATAAAGACACATGCACACGTATGTTTATTGTGGCACTATTCACGATAGCAAAGACTTGGAACCAACCCAAATGTCCAACAATGATAGACTGGATTAAGAAAATGTGGCACATATACACCATGGAATACTATGCAGCCATAAAAAATGATGAGTTCATGTCCTTTGTAGGGACATGGATGAAATTGGAAATCATCATTCTCAGTAAACTATTGCAAGGACAAAAAACCAAACACCGCATGTTCTCACTCATAGGTGGGAATTGAACAATGAGAACACATGGACACAGGAAGGGGAACATCACACTCTGGGGACTGTTGTGGGGTGTGGGAAGGGGGGAGGGATAGCATTAGGAGATATACCTAATGCTAAATGATGAGTTAATGGGTGCAGCACACCAGCATGGCACATGTATACATATGTAACTAACCTGCACATTGTGCACATGTACCCTAAAACTTAAAGTATAATAATAATAAAATAAATTAAAAAATAAAAAAAATAAAAGGTTAGCAAGACAAAAGTTAGAATAAGTCATTTCAGCTGAACCAGTGACCAGTAAGTAAAGCAATGGACTTTCTGTAGTAATTCTTTAAAGGGCAGTAATTAGATTCTTATTGTTACATGCTTATTTTCTTATGCAAAGTCCATTTCCATGGGGCTTTCTTTTATTTTAGTATTATATTCTATATGTTTAATATTGCAGTATCAGTGGCACACACCTTACGTGAAGATGTAAATCCTAATTTATAAAGATTTATTTTCCACTGGGTGTGTAAATTCTATGATCCTTTGCAAAATCATCCAATTTCTAATTTTATATCTTTGGTTTTTTTATACTTCTCCAGTTTCACTAAATCACAGATGGGAAATTTTCATTAATTCTACCACAATCAATCCAATTCATGTTTTTATATTATCGATGCCAGTAAATGGTCAGAATGTTTCTGGTGGCAGGAAACTAATCACTTCTTAAGATGATCCATTCCATAGTGAACTACCCTGGGTGTTACATGGTTCTCTCATAAAGTGACTGAAAGCTGTTCCCTCCTTTTTCTGTCTTTAAGGAGTGAGAGCCTGTTCTCAGCAGTACAACCAGTGGGATGTGGGGAGGTGAGCCCTCCCTATGGAAATAGGATCGACACTTGAAAGATGACTCATCAGCAGAGGAAACATGTGGACAGGAGAGTGCAAGTCCCCTTATGATGTGGAGGGAGAAGTACTCCCTTACATCCTCATAGGAGATTTGGAGGGAGAAGTACTCCCTTACATCCTCATAGGATAAATCTCTAAATGAAACACCTCATCCTGTTCCCACTTTCCTAACAACCACTCTTTCATTGACACCCAGCCCCATCACTATCTTGTTGAGAATCTGCCAAGTTTTAAGAATATCTCGCATGTACCTAAAGAACCGCATTGTTATAGCACTTTTTAGCTCACAAATTCAGTGAGTATTATGAGATTGATTTCTCTAACGCGTCTAAGGTCTTGAGATAAATGAGCTCATAGGCACTTTCTATATTCTCATTAATTTTATATTCACAACCGAAAAAGAAGCAATCACATAGCTTCTGACACCTTTATGAGAAGTATATTAAGATCGGATTCAGTCTAGACAGAATCAAATTTTGGTTAAAATTGGAAATTCTCTTTTTTTTCTGTTTCGAGACGGTGTTTCACTCTGTCACCCAGGCTGGAGTGCAGTGGCGTGATCTTGGCTCACTGCAACCTCCACTTCCCGAGTTCAAGCAGTTCTCTGCCTCAACCTCCCGAGTAGCTGGGATTACAGGTATCCACCACCATGCCTGGCTAATTTTTTGTATATTTAGTAGAGACAGGGGTTTCACCATCTTGTCCAGGCTGGTCTTGAACTCCTGATCTCATGATCTGCCTGCCTCGGCCTCCCAAAGTGCTGGGATTACAGGTGTGAGCCACCGTGCCTGGCCTGGAAATTCTCTTTCTTGAGTTTATTAATGCCTTAATTTCTTAGTGCTAAGTGTATGTGTTTTCAGCATGTATCATGTTAAACGTGCTGTGATTTTATGTTCTATTTCTTCCATCATTTCGTATTTTGATTAAGTCCTGTAGATTCTATTGCTGAAAATTCATTTGAATCCATTTCCTTTTTTCAATTTCCTCTGATATTAAACCTTAGTTGAAACTCTCATGACCACTCTTCTGGGATATTTTTGAAGGTCACAGATGAGAAAGTCTACTTGCTTTTATCATAGTGAAGATACAGATACTTAGCTTTATGGAATTGACATTAATAAACTGTGAAAATAATGTTCACTTTAAAGAAAAGATGTAATTGTGTCTAAATTGAACCTGAACTTATCTAAGCTGTCATTGAGGTGGCAGAAGTTGCTCTATTCTTTCTTGGCTGTGAATATAAAAGTAATGACATTTATTTAGTAAATATGGGCTCATTTCTCTGAAGTGCACTGCGATTTGGACACATCTTCTCTGATCTGCTGCAGCCTTATTATCTGGCTCAACTGCCTTGAAGTTTAGTCTCTGGTTCCCTTTCACTCCCTTTTGTGATCTCTGTCACTGTGACTCTCTTCAACCACACAGGTTTAACTATTAGGTTGGTGCAAAAGTAATGGCAAAAACCTCAATTACTTTTGCACCAACCTCATAGCTTTTCTTGGTTTTCTTTTTATCTTTCTTCCTTTCCCACTTTCATTCCTTTCCTCCCTTTATTCATTTTTATTTTGTTACAATCAAATGTTTAGTTTTCTGTTGTTTAAAAACCAGATATACCCTCCTGATCTCTTAGATGGAACAAGAACCTGTGTCTCATGGTTTTAGCCACTACCTTTTATGTTATAAACACGGAATGAAGGACAAGAGGGAAGGGATGCCATACCAATATTGACCTCAGTGTACCATGTTGGTACAAAATAATAAATAATAATAGCTGCGAGTCATGGATTTGTAGAAAGGATGGAAGGAAAAACTTTCTGATAAGATAGTACATGTATCACTAATGTGTCATTTTCTTTTATTATAACTTCCTTTGGTCTGTACTCTTGATGGTTTTAAATGTTATGAATTCATGTAAACTCCAAATCATGTGAAGGGGCATTCCAAAATTTTGTTTATAAATTACTGACTTGGGACTTTATATAATTAAAACATCCTTACCAATGTTGTTTGGGGTCCTAGGATACCCTAAAAAATATCATTCAACACACAAAAATGAATCTAAGATATATATTTAATACTTTTAGTACTTGTTACTGGCATTTATACAATTTTCTCAGAAAAAAATATTGAGTTTTATCTCAGTATGCCAAGGAGATTTGGCTGTGATTCTGTTAGGGACTGAGTTGGACGGGGTTGTAGGAGTGAGTCACCTAAAAATCAGAGGCATGTTAACACTATTTATGCATATGGAAAGTTACCTTTTCCATTTACATAAAAATATGCAAGCTGGTAATTTGGCTTACTCTCTAGCAGCTACATTGATTCCTATATTCATGGGGAGGGACAAGTATAAATGCTTTGAATTTAGACCCTCAATTGTCTGGTTGTATGTATGAACCAATCTCACATCCTAAATTATGTCATGTGTTGCTTACATGAGATTTTACATGGTCAGGAAATCACAAGTCATTAAAAACTGTAGATCCAGAAAGAATATATTGAAAATGAAATAACCCTCTACATCCTTGGAAGGTAAACTATATGAAATTCTTTCTAAAATAATGATTTTCAACAAAGTAGTGGTGGTAAGTTGCATGCTTGCCTTGTCAGAATCATAAACAATGTGAGAGACTGCTTTAGTTCTTAATATCTCCTTCCAACCCCCAAGACACACTCAGCTGAGAATCTTCTGTGGTAAGTCACTGATACTGATGGAAGCGTGCCATATTGCTCAGGAGTACTGGGTAGTGAAAATTCTCTAATGATGGGTTTATTAAGAGAAGGGTAATCAAATGACAGAAATCTATGTTGGAAAACCTTGAGATGTTTCAGAATTTGTGCTATAAAACTTTATGTAACTTGCTGATTTTTTAAAATAATAAAACAGGAATAGATACCTGAAAACAAGTCATGAGTCTCAAAAGAAATAATTTTTCTTGACCTGTAGCCAGCGTGTTCTTGGATGATTAAAATTCCTATATTAGTTGTGCTTGGAGAAAAAAAGATGAGTAAGGAAGGATGGGTGCTTGAGGCTGATAGCTTAATAAAAAGCAAAGACTGAAAGGAAGACAAAAAAGTCAACATATATTGAATACCTATTGCTAGGTCAGAGACTTCCACATATATCATCTGTTTTAAATTTCACAATTCTCCGTACTGAAGCTTACAGCATGTTGTTTTCTCCAGATGAGTATGTTGAGGTTCAGCTTAAATAATTTTCTCAAGGCATGGCTAACATGGTGTAATAGTAAAATCTGGCCTCATGATTTTGAGACCTGTGCAGTTACACAAGGCCACGTTCTTAGATGGGCCCCAAACTTAGATGGGCTCTGCTGTCACTGTCTTGAAATTCTTAAAAATTTTTGAACAAGGAGCCCACATTTTCATTTCATACTGAGTTTTACACATTATATAGCCAATCCTGCTGGTAGGCTGTGCCACTCTTTCCATAGATAATCTCTAAAGACACACTGTGAAAACTCTTCCCTGTAAAGCAGATGTAGAGATAGAGAGCCCCAGGGCAGACACAGCCAGAACTTTGTGTTCTGGAATCAAGATTTAGGCTTGGGGGATGTGGCTCCCTCAGAAGAAGAATCATTGCCTCGTATGATTGTGTAAGTAGTTTCTGGGTGCTAATGTGGCTTGATGCATTATATCAGTTTTCTATGGTTGTGTAACAAATTTAGTGACTTGAAACAACACATGTTTATTACCTCACAGTTTCTGTGGGTCAGGAGGTTGGGCGTGGCCTACCTGGATCAGAGGCTCAGGGTGTCAGTAGGCTGCAATCAAGGTGTTGGCTGGGCTGCATTTTTTTCTGGAGCTTAGGACCTCTTCCAAGATCATGTGATTATTGGCAGAACTCAGTTCCTTGGTATTGCAGGACTCAGGCCCTCAGCTACTAGAGGCCACCCACAGTTTCCTGACATGGGCTCCTCTCTCCATAGGCAGTTTACACATGATTGCTTCTTTAAGGCCAGCAGGAGATTCTCTGATTCTCTCTCTATCTCTCTCCAGTCTTCTGTAATGTAATTACAAGAGTTACGCCCTATCACCTTTGCCATATTCTGTTGGTTAGAAGCAAGTCATAAGGGAGGAGTTCCTGCCAAGGTCTTAACACCACAAGGCGGGGAGTACTGAGAGGTCACCCTAGGGGCTGTCTATCACATATAAAAGTCCATAGTTGTAGAAAGCTCTGCCTAGTTGAGCCACTGCCTTAACACAGACTGGTAGGACCACCAAATTTTGGACATGCATTCATGAGTGTAAAGAAGGCAGCAGGGAAACTCACTCCCCATCTTCACCTCTATCATGTAAAATTTTTGCATTGCTTTTTAGTTGCTTCAGGAATAAATCAGATTAAAAGCAACCTTGAACTGAGTTCCAGTCACTACTCATGATCATTTTCAAATTCAGGCCAGAATTCATGTGTGGACTAGCTCACTAGAGCTTTCCTAGAGCTTAATCTCAGGTTTGTGTGACTCTAAATTTTATACTCTACACTGGGATAGATCCAGGTCTCTAGGCTCTGAAATTTATACAATTTGTGGTGTCCCTTTTGAGCAAGAGAACACAAAATTATAATGTACAATATTCAATATAAATAGAATTTTTAAAATGGGAGGAGAAATCACAACAAATCATTCAAACCTTGGAGACTTGGGTGTCTATTTTCTAAGATATCTAAGCACTTTGCCAGAAATGCTTATGTAGAAATACTTCCTGTTTGCAGCCCAGCTTCCTTGCATATATCTGGAATATTCTATAGTTCCTGGCAACTTCCAATACCTAAGAAAGCCAGTGCAAATGATGAGCACTGAAGCTTCATTAGCTTCTCTGGAATTGTGCCTCTGCTTCCCACTATATCCTCAATATTCAACAAGCAGTCCATGGACCAACAGTGTTGTCACTTATGGGAGTGTATTAAAGTGCAAAATCTCTGGCCCCTTTCATACCTGCTGAAGAAAAACCTTCATTTCAGTGAGATCCTTGGTAATTATAAGCACATTAGTGTTTAAGAAGCACCACATTATACCACATACTGAGCAGCACTACTTCCTCTATGAGCTACACTCAACTTGTGTTTTCTTGGTCAAAGTGAGTGGGTAGTAGACCTTAGCCCACAGCTGATAACAATCTTGAAAAGAAATAGTAAGAGCAAGTCAAACTGCTTTGAATTAATGCAAGTCTCCAGGGTCAGACAAATTACATCGTTGGGGTAGAGAAATAATTTATAGCTGTGATTAGAGAAGCACATATCAGCGCTACTCCATATATGCTCTATATGGAAAGACATAGATATATTTTAAAATACAAAGATCCACCATATCAATAGGCTAAAATGAAACATTGTATGATCATATCAGTTGATGCAGAAAAAGCATTTGACAAAATCAAATACTCATTTATCATAAAAACTCTTACCAAATATGAATAGGAGCATTCTCAAAATATCATCTGCAAAAAAACCTACAGTAAACATCATGCTTAATAATGAGAAATGAGATGCTTCCTTCCTAAATAACATATCTGATAATGGACTTCTATCTAAAATATATAAAAAACTGAACATTCAAACAATCTGATTTTTTAAATGGACATAAGATCTAAATAGATATTTCACTCACTAAAGAAAATATACAGCATCGTGGCTCATGCCTGTAATCCCAGCAGTTTGAGAGTCCAAGGTGGGAGGATTATTTGAGCCCAGGAGTTCAAAACCAGACTGGGCAACACAGTGAGACCCCATCTCCATTAAAAGGAAGGGAAGAGGAGAGTAGGGGAGGGGTGGGGAGGGGAGGGGAGGGGAAGGGAAGGGAAGGGAACAAAATATGCAGAGGGTAAGTAAGCATACAAAAGGATACTCAACATATCCATATGGATATAATAAATGATTTAATAAGTAAATAAATGGCAGACAAAGACAAGTATCTGATGCAAATGAATTCTAAATATTATATGCTGATACTCTACCTTCATGAAGTTTGAGCATAACTATCCATTCTTTAACTGTGCTCTGTATAATGACATTGGTTCAAGAGTACAGTAAAGAAGAATGCATGGAGGAGAGTAACTTTACAAAGGAGAATCCTGACAACCACTGTCTCACTGAATGATCAAGGTCACCATCAACAGTGATAAATCATGTTCATGGTATGTTCCCTTGATACAGTATGATGAAAATAGCATTTTTACCATTGGTTTACTTCCATAAGCCTATAACCCCAGTTTAATTATAAGAAAATCATCAGACAAATTTCTGTTGAAAGACATTCTACAAAATACTTGACCAGTATTCCTCAAAAGTATCAAGGTCATAAAAGACAAGGAACCCTGAGAAACTGTCACAGTAAAGAGGAGCCTAATGAAATAGCTAGATGAAATCTGGACATTAAAAACTAAGGAAATCTAAGTAAAGTATGAACTTTAGTTAATATATTATATCAATATAGGTTCACTAATTGTGACAAATATACTGTACTAATGTAAGAGGTTAATAATAAGAGAAACTGCATGTGCAAGGTATATGGGAATTCTGCCCTATTTTTGCAATTTTTCTGTAAGTCTAAAACAGTTTCAAAATAGGGAACTCATTTAAAAAAGAGACAAACATGATGTGCAGAAGACAAAATCAATAAATAACTCTGGTAACTTGTAAATGGAACAGATGATTAAAAAATGAAAGAGATAATATTGATGAAGTACTTATAATCAAATAAGTGTTTATGAAGTTGTTGTAGGTGAATTACTTATAATTACTGCCTTCAAATATTTTAGATGTTGTATGTAAAGGGATCATGCTCACTTTAGTTTCCAGTGGCAGAAAAAGAACAAATTGATCAAAGTTCCATGGGAGCAGATTTCAACTTAGATTGAAAGAATAATTTTATGATTATTAAGCTGTCCAAATATAACTCACCTGCCTTTGGAGAGGATTGCAGCACTACCTTTTAATGATCTTCAGACATATGCTAAAGAAATGTCATAGTGAAGAACAGTTGTACAAGAATAAGCCCGAAGGTGTCTTCATCTCAGGTGCGTTAGCCAACACCTCCATGATTGCACTGGTTCAGACAGCTCCAGGCAGGCCTCAGAAACAAGTTATTTACTTATGACATCCAGATGGCAAGTTTTTCTCTGATCATTTTGGAATTACACAGTCTGGATAGAAAGGGAGAAATAATTGTTGAGCACTGTTTGGAAAGGATTAAAGAAAAGCCTCTGACATTTTATTTATGTACATGCACTCTTCTTTTCTCTTAAGAAAACTAACAAAAAGTTAAAGGCAACAAAATTAAGACATAAAACCCACCATGGTTTTAATATTGGATGTTATCATCTCAGTTTTAAATACTATCTGGTAAAATGATGCTTGAGGCCAATTCCAGTGAATAGGAATAACTTTTGGAAGGCAGCGCTACTGTTATCCATGGGAACAGATGGCTCTTACTCTCCAAAAATCTAGATCAATTTCATTCTCTTCTGGGGAAACAACAACAGCAGAAATTTTAGTCACCACCCTTCTGATAATACTGGAGAAATAGTGTTTTCTTGCTTATGTGTTTCCATGCCTGTGCATTTCTTCTTCACACATCTCTACTTTGTGACTCATGCTTTAAAAAATTACAGAACCTCAGGAATACAGAAATGAATATGAAATTATGATGTCTTATAACACATCTACCCTTTAAGAAGTGTATTGCATTGAAGCTCAAGCTGCTTTAAAATTTTAGCTCTTCCAGTAAAAATAATTGAGCTTGTAGATAGTAAATCTCACATCAAGAAATATCCTAGTATACCGAATGTATAGAGAGTAATGTGTGTGTGTACATTTGTGTGTGTGCATATGTGTAGCTCATGTGAATTTTAATAATAAACAGTATATTCCATTAGACAGTTCTGCCACTTTAAAATATGAGTACATGGTAAGTAGAAAATCTGTCATTTATAAGCTCTGTAATTGTTGGCAGTGGTTTGCATACAATAATAAATGTCAATAAGGTAATTTTTTAGTAGAAGATACCAACCTTTGGATTTTATGTCTGCTCTTGTGCCACACTAGAGTTCTAACATTTTTTGCTAATATTATTTATTAATATTAACTCATTTCTTCCTTATCTCTAGTCTAGGAGGATGCTTTCATTTTTACTTTCCAGCATCAGTTTCTAAGAGCATCCATTTCCTAAGTCCTTAAGATTTAGACCCTATTAACAGTTGTACTGTTAGATTGTGTCTTTATTTATTTTTTTAATTTTTAAACTTTTTTTTAGACAAAGTTTCACTGTCACCCAGGCTGGAGTGTAGTGGTGCAATCTCAGCTCACTGCAACCTCTGACTCCCGGGTTCAAGCAATTCTAGTGACTCAGCCTATCAAGTAGTTGGGATTAAAGGTGTGTGCCACCACACCCAGCTAATTTTTTGTATTTTTAGTAGAGACAGCGTTTCACCATGTTACCCAGGCTGGTCTTGAACTCCTGAGCTCAGGCAATCTGCCTGCCTTGGCCTCCCAAAGTGCTAGGATTACAGGCGTGTGCCACCACACCTGGCCAGATTGTGTCTTTAAAGCATCAACTTTCATAGGGTGAATTTTCCTTCATACATTACCCACACTCCTTTGGACAGCCACTTTTATTATTTCTTTACATGTCAATTTCCCTATGTAGACCTTAGGCTCTTTTACTGTTGGGTTTGTGTTGTGTTTATTCGTTTATTCCTTCTTGTGCCGTGATGGTGTTTTGCATTTGCTTTTGCACCTTCCTGCTACTGCCCACACTGGACTTCAGCTCCTTCCCTTTTCTTCCATCTACTGATATCTATGCATTATTTAAGGGTCATCTGAAATGCGATAGTCTGGGAGAAACAGATTGTTCACAGATTGTTCAGTTGGAATTAATCACAACTTCAACTCCACTTTGCTTCATTCTCTTTCACAGCTATTTCCTTCTGCTGTGTATTTTACTTATTGATGCCTCACTCCCACCCCAGAGACACACGCCTCCACACACTCTGCTGTAAGCTCCTTAAGGACAGGCCTCCCAGTTATCCCAGCACAGGATTAGTACCTTCTTCCCACATTATAGATACCTCATAAGTGTGAATTGAATGAATGACACATTTCGGGGCCTTATTAAGATCGTTTCAAAACCATCTATTCCCTGATGACTCACAAATTTTTATCTCCAACCTGGACTTCTCTTTACCTATTTTGTACTCACATATCCAAGTATCTACTTAATCCCTTGGCTGTCTAATTAGAATCACAAACTTAACATGATCAGAGAACTCTTGATTTATTTTTCTCTTCTTTATCTCAAGTAAAAGTCCATTTACAACACTGCAGTACTGTTCTCTCAGCTCATTGACAAATCTGTTTTTCTTCAAGTGAGAGAGAAGCTCATAGAAAATGGGAAGTTATTGAAGACTAACTTCATTATTTTAGCTCTTTGAACTCAGCCTTCAAATTCTGGTATGATGTGTGATGTGAAAAAAAATTACATTAAAAACTGACTCAGTAATCCTTGCAGAATACTGGTAACAGTTGTTTGCTTAGTTGGTTGGTTGGTTTACAAAATCAGATCACTTCTTGGTCACAAGAGTTTCTCTTGTGACCAAGACAAATGGTTTTCAGGTACAACCATTTATAGCACTGCAGTACCGCTCAGGCCAAACCTGAGCATAAGCCTTGATTTCTCCTTTCCACACTGTATTCATGAATAAGTCCTGTCAGTACATTACCAAAATATATCTGAGTCTTACATATTTTTACCATCTCCTTTTCCATAGCTTTGTTCCAAGCCACCATCATCTCTTACCTGGAATAGTATCACCATATTCTTTCCTGAACTACATTCAGAGCCTCCTGATTGGTCTACCTGCCTTCATTATTACTTCCCTAAAATTGGTTCTCCATACATTTGCCAGAGAAACTTCTCTAGGATGTACATCAGATCATAACATTCCCGTTTTAAAACTTCTCCAATGGCTTCTACTTAGAATTAAATGTAAATTTCTAACTACATTATCCAATGGCCCACTTAATCTGACCCCTAAGTAACTTCTAGCTTGTCTCTCTCCTCTTTGTTCATGTGGTATGGTGACATTTACCCACTTTCTGTCCCTCAAACATGACAAGGTAATTTTTTCTTATATAGGAACTTCGTCCTTGCATTTTGAGCTCAAAATGCTTTTCTTTCAGAGCTTCCCCTTCAAGTCCTCAGAAGTCTTCCCTGACCACCTTGGATAATGAGCATCCTATGATTTCAAGTTCTCTGTAGCCCATACTGGGTGCAGGATGCATTTGTTACCCGCACTTTCCAACTAGAATGAGATATCTACAATAGTGCTTGCCTTAATATGTATTTATTGACTGACTAACTGCTAGACTAATGCCATCTCAGTGACAATCTGCCTTGCTGTCTAGACGGCTGGATCCTTTTCTTGTGTTAAGAATTGTGCCCTGTCTTGTAGCTCTCTATGCACATCACAGCCTTTTCTTATGCTTGACTGTGAGCCCCTTGGAAGCGGATACCACACTTGTATCACCACTGCCTCTCAGAGAATGCGGCACAGATGGAGGCATGTGTTTTCTCTTTAATTCTGTAATCACTCTTTCCTCTTTCATTCTTTTTCTAATGGAATTGCTTGTTTGGTATAGGAAACTTAAATTCCTATTAAAACCTTTTAAAACTGAGATTGGGGAATTGATGAGGCCTATAATTAGTAAAAGAAACTCTGACCTAAGGTACTTGCCTAATGAAAGAATGTGGTAGGAGGGCAATGAGAATAGTTTCACTTAATAGAGGAGATGAAGATTTGATGCTCCTGGTGCCAGTTTATTAGGCAGGAAAACCAATGCTATTAATTCACTGAAAAAAAGGATCTGTCAGAAAAGTTCATCTTCTCTATAAGCTGAGAGACTGGCTTAGGTCTTCTCACAAATTACAGCCCTTTTACTTATATTAACATGATTAAATGTTTATCTTTATTATAAAATTTTAGATAATATAACAATATTATACATGGAACATTGATATTGGACCAAGGTTGATGGCTTTACTTCCAACCAATGGAATACTTCAGGTTCTTTGGCAAACTCTTGTGACCAAGAAGTGATCTGATTTTGTAAACCAACCAACCAACTAGGCAAACAACTGTTATCAGTATTCTGCAAGGATAACTTAGTCAGTTTGTAATGTAATTTTTTTTCACACCACACGTCATACCAGAATTTGTAGGCTGAGCTCAAAGAGCTACAGTTGGTCTTCAATGACTTCCCATTTTCTATGAGCCTCTCTCTCACTTGAAGAAAAACAGATTTGTCAATGAGTAATAATACCCAACGTGTGGGTCCAAAGGTATTTGCACTTTTACTTTTATGATTTTATTTTTTATTTTTTTGAGACAGGGTCTCACTCTGTCGCCCAGGCTGGAGCACAGTGGTGGGATCTCAGCTCACTGCCACCTCTGTCTTCCTGGCTCAAGCGATCCTCCCACCTCAGCCTCCTGAGTAGCTGAGATTACAGGGGTGCACCACCACACCTGGCTATTTTTTGTATTTTAGTAGAGATGGGGTTTTACCATGTTGGCCAAGCTGATCTCAAACTCCTGACCTCAGGTGATCCATCTGCCTCAGCCTCCCAAATTGTTGGGATTACAGGTGTGAGCCACCATACCTGGCTGGTATTTGCACTTTTAAAGTAAAAATTCCTGAGAAGAACAATCACTTAAGAGTAATGAATCATCCATAGGGGAATTTCAGACATAACGTTAATTCACATCATATCATTAAACACCCATGTGCCATGGTCCTAATGTCTACTCTAACGATAATATAGTAAATTAGCGGAGTTAAAAAATGGTTGCATGTAGCTTAGTTATAGTTTACTAAAATATCGCAGGTGTACTTATTAAGGTCTGGTTTCACTTGGGGATCCAGAAAAATCCTGCAAAGTGCCTTGCAGAGCATCGTGGGGACCTCTCTGTGCCTTTCTCACCTCCCTTTGGCTGAGTTCACAATGGACACAAGTAGAGCAGCTGCAGAGAGCATGCACTAGGTAGACCCTTCAAAGCCAACAGATTCAAAATGAGCTCACTATTTTCTTCTTCCTTCTTTAAGACGCATGTCCCTTATTTATTTCCTGTTTGGTTGACAGCATTGCTAAACAAGCAACCACTTAACACAGAAACCTGGGGTCATCTCAGGAACATGATTCTTTAATTTCCATGTATATCCAATCATCAAAACTTATAAATTTGACCTCTTCTCTTCACTACCACTCTTCCAGATTAGTTCAGATCTTCACAACATTTACCTTGGGCTATTGTAATAGAATACCATCTGATCCTTTCTGTATCCAGTATAGTTTTCTACAAATCGATCCTCCATACTTCTAGCAAGTTCCAAAAAACAAATCCTTTCCTTGTTCCCTGTTGCCTGTAGAATTAATCCCAAACTAAGGCAAATGTAGCTCTTTATCCTTTATGACCACATCTTGACCTCTTCATGGTACAGCTTTATTTTCTGACAGTCAGCCATGGAATTCAATGTCTTGACCTTTTTGATCCCCTGGCTGTTCTCTAAAAGCTTCATGTTCTTTCTTGTTTCTGTGACTTGCTTCTGTATATGTTGCTCTCAGTACTTGAAATGCACATCTCTTGCTATGTGCCAGCTTTGCTTTAACCACTTGACATGAATTACTTTATTAAATTCCTACAACAATGCTCTGAGGTAGATAATACAGTCAATGCCTTCACTGCCTTGTGTCATTGTGACTTAACTCTGATTTCAGTCATCTCCATGGCCATTCCTGAGGCCACTCCTATGTGACTGCTAAGATTGTGTTCAGATAGCACATCCTCTGGGAAATCTTTCTGACTGCTATGACCTCTGGGCAGAGTGTGTTGCTATCTACTTTGTGTAGCAATTACACCCAATATATACGTTTATCTTGATGTCTAGTGCTTTGACTGACAAATGCTTCTTTGCTGCCTGTAGTACACTGTGAAGAGACTGAGAGCAGTCTTTAGTATTTATTTATTCACTTAATTTATTGTTATTATTTTTGTATCACATGGTATAAAGCACTTAGTGTCTGGTAGGCACTCAGTAAATGTTAAAAAGAAGAATCACAGCTAACATAATTGATCCCTTGCTATATGCCAGGTTCGTTCTAACCACTTTACATGAATTACTTTATTAAGTCCCTACAACAATGCTTTTGAGGTAGACAACACAGCCAATGCTTCCAGTGCCCTGTGTCACTGTGACATAACTCATATTTCAGCCATCACTATGGCAGAGAGTTTTGTGTGAGCTCAGACTTGTGCTGAGTGTCTCACCCCATGCACAAGTATCAGTCTGCCTGTTCAGGCCTTCTCTAAAGTGCAGGAAGTCACTAGATCTTTCTAATGTCCTGGCACAGAAGTGAAGTGGATTTAACATTCTCAGGGCAACCCTCAACCACAGATGCACAGGAGCTGGTGGGTAAATTCTCTAGCTTCCCACCCTTTGAATGGACAATTCTAAGAGGCATTCTGTACACTCTTGGAAGTCTCAGCTGAGTCAAACTTCCATTGCTTATAGAAGCAACTTCTGTAATTTACTCCTATTGTAGCTCTGTCTCACTCTTGTCATTCGTAACTCCTTCCAGAGAATTCTCCCAAGCCAAATACCTGCATCCAAGATCTTGTCATGTTCTATTTTGGAGAAACCCAAATGAAGATAAGTACTACTATTATCCCCAGTGTATTTGAAACAGAGGCACAGAGAGGCTAAGCTAAGTTACTTGCCTAAGACTTTACACCTGGAAAGTGAAAGAGACTAGATTTGAACTCGGATAATCTGGCTGCAGAGCCAGCCCATTCCTGACTATCACTCTATGCTCAATGAGGTTTATAACAGATATAGGGGTCTCAAACAGTCTAATATTACCTACCTGCCCTTATAATGTTTAAAACTTGTCTTGGCTGGAAGGTTAAGTTTTCATATCTCTTACCTAGGTTTGGAAGCAAGGGCATACTGCTTCTTTAGATTTTCACCCTCTTTCAAATGAATTCCCACTTTTAAGCTCCAAAGTGTTTTCCCCTCCCCCACCGGAAGAAGAACAATCTAAAAGAGTGACAGAGCAAACATTAAAGTATTGTAACTTCCCACTTTCAAAAGCTCCATTTTTAAAATCTCACATTGGAGGGCTTTGAATAGAGGCAGTGTGAAAAGTGGAATGAGCGTTTAGATTATCATTGAGGAAACCAGTGTCATCTGAATCACTAACTAGGTTCATCACCTTGGGTGGCTTTATTCCCCAATCTGGGCCTCAGTTTTTCCTATTGTGTAAGATAAAGAGTTTGAGTTAAAGTGGCTGCTCTTACTGTTTTTAGAGTCATTAAGAATCTTCTGAACTCTATGTATATCATCTCTATTATTTCTCCTCCCACTCTAAATACACATCCACATGTACATGTATTCTTCCTTGAGTAATTTCAGATGCTGGTGTCATCTCTGGATCCTCTGGGGTTAAAAATCCATGGACACAATCTCTAAATCCTATTCCAGTTCCAGCCTCCTATGGTCTTAGGTAAGGAAGCACACATTGATTTCATTTTGCTTTAGATTTTTTTTTTGAGAAAATACTTTATGGCTGGGCATAAAGGTTCATGCCTGTAATCCCAGCACTTTGGGAAAGAATCACTTTGGGAGGAGAATCACTTGAGGTCAGGGGTTCAAGACCAGCCTGGCCAACATGGTGAAACCCTGTCTCTACTGAAAATACAAAAATTAGCTGAGTGCGGTGGTGCACGGCTGTAATCCCAGCTACTCGGGAGGCTGAGGCAGGAGAATCACTTGAGGTTGCAGTGAGCCAAGATTGTGCCACCATTGCACTTCAGCCTGGGTGACAGAGTGAATGAGACTCCATCTCAGAAAAAAAAAACAAAAAAACACCTTATGCTTTCTGCTGTCAGACTAACCATAAACGAATTATTTAATGAGTCCAGGTGATTTTTAAAATAGACATTAGTGAGAAGAAACAAACATTTATATCTTACACCTTATTCTGTTGTTATTCTATGGTTGAATATTTTATTTCGCCATGACAGTAGATATGTAAATGATTGACTGATAGGCACACCCTACAAATAATGTTTGTTGTACAATATAAATAAAATTTAACATAATGAGAACATGATGGGTAGGTATTCTGATATTTCTGTTTCTGATTCCAATATCTGTGATTAAGATGTTTATGCAAATGTTTCACTGCTCTGGACTGTTCTATAAGTTATATTGATTCAATATCTCTACTTTCTTTAGAGAGAAAAATCTCATTAAGTGAGAATCTAATGGGCTGGAAAAATTCAACAGACTAACCTCAGATGAAGTAATATATTTATTGAAAAAAATAGCACCTTGTTAGCTGGAAAATAATGATACATTGACTTACATTGTTCTGTATTTGATTAAAAAAAAAAAAACCAGAAGCTTTTTGCTGAGTTTCTTGCACAAGTTTTATGAGCTGGATTATAGCTTATAAGAGATGATGATCAGAAAAATAATGCTGGATTTTAGTTCATGTTTATATAAATAAAAGAAAGATGTTGGCATACTATGTTGTCAACTGGTTTAACCGATATCTCCCTTAGAAGTGACAGTAATAAGTTAACAGTGAAAATCCTTACAATTTTCTGGATCTATCCAAAGTCAGTTCTATTTTGTTAATTTTATCTTCAAGCAAATTTTCTCTCACATGATTGTTTGGAGGAGAGTGGGGAAATACATCTATTTTCAATTACAAGGACCACCTTCCACCTGTCTACTGATTTTCCATTACAACCCTTCCTCTAAATGCAGTCAAAGTTGTTGGTCCAGTCTGAATTTCTGTGCTGTATTTGGAAAGAGTGTTTTGGTGCAGTCCACCACTTGCTGTGCTTTAAGACTCATGATATACTCAGGTGGTCACAACTCTTGTGTAATTTTATTTTGCAGAATTACACATCCAGCCCTTCAGTGCCACCCCCACCTATAAGTGCCTTGTAGACCTCATTTCCCTCACCTGTGCTTCTGGATCCATGCTTAATCTTTTAAAAGCTTCAATATCTTCATTGCCTTGCTAATCTCTAATTTGGGGCCATTCCATTATCAACTTTTTTCACTGTCAGATTACCAAGCTTTGTTGCAGAATGCCATGACATTTTTTGGACTGAGGTCTGTGCAGCATCATGATCTCTCACCTCTGCTGTATCCTCACTGTGGCTTAATCTCCTATTTATCTTACTTTCTAGGATATTTCTCAAAGTAATTGCACCAAATGTTTTTCACTTTTTTCAAACACCTGATTGCACCATCCCCAGAGTAGATTATTTACTCTTAAGAGAGTAAATCTCATATGTCCCTAGTCTTAACGAGTTTCATGGTTCCCTTTGTCCTTTCTAACCAAGCGAACGTCTTAGCCTCATATTTAAGGGCCTCGATGGTCTAGCCTTAACCTCCGTGTTCTAGCATGTGTATCTGAGGATCTCCAGATACACATGCTAGACCCTCCTGTTAAGGGTCTCTTGTCTTCAGAGTAGATCTTGATTAACATTAATGTCAGGAGGTGGGAGGGTGGGGTAGAGGATGGAAACTAATGCTGGGTGTTGCAGAATAAAGAAATCCTCAGAGATTTAGGACATTGTCCTCTCTCAGAAATATCTCTGGAGGAATAATGGCTGCTATGAATTCTGATATGTTCCTAGGAGAACAGCTGGTTTCTCTTTGTTCTTGTCAAAACAAGATGGTTATGTTCACAGGGTGGGATCTCAGTATCATTAGAGCCCCAACTAAGATTTTTTTTTTATTTGACAGTATCTATAACATCAACAACTTCTTTGATGTCAGCCCAGTATGGTGCTGTGCCAGCTATTTTCTGACAGTTGCCTTGAATTTTTTATTATTGTGTAAAGCAAGAAATGACCTTTGAGGATTTCAGTATCTGTTTGATGTATGTGTTCATTCATATACTTTTCCAACTACCATTTTAAAAGTCAAGAAATGAACCTAAGAGTTTAGTGAGAAAAGAGCTTCTATTGTTTTTAGTTTGCTTGTGAGTTTTTACTTACGAAGTACAGATTAAATGCAGTTTGTATTTCAGATGTAAATTATATATTTTTATTGCATATGCATGTGTAATTTTGTCTAACACGTCAAAAAGGGGAATAAAAATATCTTGAGGATGTGATGAAACTTTTTGGAGAAAAGAAAAATTTACGCTCTCATAAATTATTAATAAAATTAGCATTCTGTCATAACTTTTTGAACTTGAAATAAAACATCTTAAAATGAATAAGCTCAAAGAATTTTAAAGAGCAGATTGAGCTTTTAGGCAGCCTCAATGAATATGTTGAATCATTAATTTTCTATAGAATTTCCTTTCTGTTTCAATTTTATGAGAGCTTAGATAATTTCATGTCTTGACTATTGACATTGCTTCTTTGCTGATTTTTTAAAAAAATTTTTACAAAGCAAAATTTGTAATTTTGTCTTTAGAAAATTTCCTAACCACAGAGATGTATGGCATAAAAATTGAACCATAGTTAAAATTGGTTCAGGCATCACTTTTACTTTGGTAGTATACACAGCTAGCACACTGGTGGTTACTAGTTTCCTACTTCCTTATGATATTATTTATTTGTTCTTTAGAAAAGCAACAAGTACAATTTGAATATATTTATGGCTTCCAAGTTTTTCCTTAAGATCTGATGTTATATTATGTTGTAATTGTCAAGCTCAGTTTCCCTTCTCAATCATGGGTTGATTTTTCTGGTGAAACTCTTCCATCCTGTTTATTAGGACAATATGTTGGTTCTTCACAATGTTCTGTTGTTTGTTTCTTGGTTTTACATATTGTTATTTAGTGTTAAATCTAATCAAGGGGGAACATTAATTAATATCTATCAAAATATTATTTCTCTTAAATTTGCCATTTTAATTTCATCAGTAAAATGTGTTAATGACTTTTAAAAAATTATGAAAGACTTCTGTTAGTGTTAACAAGTTAGCATACTTGGAGAGAGACTTAGAATATATTTAAATGTAAGCTTCTAAGCAATTTTCACAATATCATTTAAGATTGAAATAAGATAATGTAGTCGCAAGTGAGTAGAAACTGATGCTTAGAGAAATTAAAGGACTTCTCCAAGATGACAATTGTAGTCCATTCACGTGGCTATAACAGAATACCTTATGCTGGGTTATTTGTAAATAAAAGGAATTTATTTCTCACAGTTCTGGGACATCCAGGCTGAAGGCAGCAGTAGATTCGGTGTTTGGTGAGGATTGCTCTCGGCTTTCAAGATGGCGCCCTGTTGCTGTGTCCTCACATGATGGAAGGTGGGAGGGCAAAAAGAATGGACAGCTCCCTCACACCTCTTTTATAAGATCATTAATCCCATTTGTGAGGGCTCTACTCTCATGATGTAATCACCTCCTAAAAGCCCTACTTCTTAATGCTATCACATTGGCAATCAAGTTTCAACACTCAGACCATAGCAGTGACACAGTTAGCTGCTAAGATTTCATTCTTGTTCTGATATGGTTTCTTCCTGTTCACATATCCTCTTCAAATATATGGCACACACACCACACCACATATAGAATGCTTTCTACTGCAGTGATGATGGAAGATAACGTACTTGTTGCTTGTCTGTTAGAAAAGTGTACTGCAATGGGTTAGATCTAAACTAACAAGACAGGGAAATTCATGGACAAATTTGGTCTGGCTTGCTGAAAAATGCTTCTTGTAGGATTGCTTTACTGCTCAGCAATGTGCCATAAGCGAGCTTTATCCAGAGGCAGTGTCACTCAGGACAGCTATTTTTACTCTTGAGTAAGCTCACCTCACAGGATTATGGTGGCTCCCATAATTATACTGAAAATTTTTATCCCTAAGATGATCTGTCTTCCCAAAGTTTTTCTTCTGAACTTAGGAAAATCTGTGCATATGTATTTGTGTGTGTGTTTGGGTTGGGGGTGCAGTTAGAGAAGTGAGGTGGGTGTGGTGATGGCTTTCTATTTCTCCACTCTAGTATTAACCAGTGTTTCCATGAGCCCTGAAGGCTCTAAGATGCTTACAGAATTTGAGGGAGTTGCAGAATGAGAGCCAGGGCACTTAACACAGACATGTAGAGTGTGTAGAGTGCATCAAAATGAAGAAACGAGAAAAAGCCTGGTGTGTGGGCATTTGGCATAACATGACAGACAACTCTCTGCCTGAGAAGATTAAGGTCAGTCAACTCCAAGCCATGGCCTCAAGTTATGCAACACATTTTTCTTTTACATCCAATTGTATCAGGGTTTCATATTGACTCTAGAAGATCAGAAATGATCATTTTTGGCTAGGAACCATAATCTGGCTAGTTCCCATACCTACACAGCTGGCCCTGCTGTATTTTGAGAGGTTTTAGGAATGGTTTATGCTCCACCTTGGCTAGAATTATGTTATCTTGTCTTAAGTGTCTGAATGTGACTGATTTGTATTTGAATATATAAAAAGTCTGGGCTGCCCCAATGTTCCCTTTTAACAGAGAATGCCTAATGTAATTTACTTAATGTGATATCTGACAAAAAGGGCTGGTGCAATCTTTCTATTTCTGTCAATGTGTAAAATAGAAACAAATATCACAAGTGCTTGGTCAACTTGACAATGACTTTCAATTGAATTTTTCTATTATAGGTTGGGCTTTAAAAATCTCTTACAACAATTATTACAATGGCATCCACTGTGAACACTCTTTTTATAAAATTCAAATTTAGTAGAAAAAATATGACTCAGTTATTTGGCAAATATTGGTGTGAATACTAAAATGAACACATTTCTCAATCTTGGCCACATACTGATGTATGTTTTTGTGTAGAAAGATTTTCATGGTACCAATTTAAAATAAATTATATGATGTAGTACATTTTCTCTATTCTCAAATGGGGAGATCAATATGGAAAAATGTCAAAAGGAACCTATGCACAAAACTTCAACACATTTTCCAACTTGCAGAAGGACTGAGGACTCCTGTTAGCATGACCGAGAGGGAAAGTGGAGAAGGCTGCAGAATACAATTAAAAATGCTCAATAAGGTGTGGATATTTTTTAGCAAAAAGCAAAAAAAAAAAAAATTGCTTATTTTATGACAATGTAGTTATATAAGCAAAATAATTAGGTCCATATTGTGTTCTTGGGAAGATAATGGATGCTACGTCCTGGGCCAGAGAAGCTTCTGTGTGAGTATGTGTTCATGTTGCAAGATTTGGGAGAATACAAATAAATAAGAAATAACAGAACACTGTGATGTGTACTATATTAGTGGGTGAGACCAGGTTGCTAGGTCTAGTGTTCATTTTGGGGAATACCTAACCCAGCTTTGGGAAGAACGTTCAGGGAAGAATTCTTGAAGGTAATAACTTGTCATCTAAAATGTAAAGAATGAGTACAATTTAGGCAAAGTAGAAGGGTTGAGAGTAGAGAGAAATAATTGCCAGTTATGTTCCTGGATGTGGTAGCACCATTGCTAGGCCAAAGGCAAAAGAGAAAGCATGGTTTGTTCAGGGAACACTTTTCTTCATAAAAAGTCCAATTTTCAGTGGTTTTATACAAAATTTAATATAAGAATAGGTAGAATCATTAAAATGATCAGATTCACTTTTTTTTCAATTAGCTGTTCTCATGTAACATGACTTTCCCAGTTTTTTGAGTCAGTAGTTGAAAGTATAAATTTTCAGCATAATTGATTGCTCTATAAGAGTATTGTGGCTCTTCAGCATAATTGATTTCATCTCTGGAATTGGTTTTGCAGGCTTTTACATGTGTTGCCACTAGCTTCAAGTATACAGCTGGTCATTTATGTAAATTGTCTATTTGAATAAAACAATAACCTTTTACGATAATTTATATCCTTTTGCTATGTTTTTCTACCAAGATCTCTGATTTTAGTTTCCTCTCTGAATCTCTTTTGTTAGTTAAAAGATGTTTTGTCCTCCCCATGTGTGACATGGCAGAGAAGCTATTAAAATGATATATTACTGTTCTTAAATATGATGGCATAAGAATAGCATTTTCCAGATTTATTTGTTCAGAAAATGTGTTCTCAAGTCCATGATACTATCTACTTAATGAGAAATGTAGGTTTCTGGATATTTGTGAACTTTGGCAGTTGTATATTTAGTGACTGCACTGACAGATCTTGGTTTGAGGTACTTGAGTTTGGCTTTAATTAACTGAGGCAAAATATCATAAAAAATGCCAACAAATAGAATTTCTGGTTTTCTTTCTGCAGAGAAGAAAATCAGAGGACTTTTCTTAAACTTATTTTTAAGTTTAGGAAAAAGCCCCCCTTTTCTCCTGCCCCTTGGAGAGCTGAATCAATAATTCGCATGTTCTTTTTTTGTTTCTTATTATCTAAGTATGTACCAGAATTGCTTCACAGGGCAATTAAATTTTTTTTTTTTTTTTTTTTTTTTTTTTAGAAAAAGCTCTATATAAGCTCTGGGGTAAGTTCTGGTTGAGAGGCAAATTACCTTTGTGATCTCGGACACATCACTTAACTTCTTTGTGGCATAGTATGTTTGCTCCATTCATTTATTGATTCAAAATGTATTGATTGTTTACCATGTGCCTGGTGTTATATTCAACTTTTCAGGGGGACTTAGGAGTGAATTTTAGAACTTAGTAGCAGAAATGAGACACATACAAAAATTGTTATTAGGCAACACATACACACACATGTAATTCATGCAAAGCAGAACATTTTAAGTACTACAAGAGACTTAATATAAGATGCAGTGAGACTTCTTGGGATAGGTAATTCATTTTGAGTTGATATCATCAAAGATTTGAAGAGGAAGGATTTGGACTAGTTCTCTAATAGAGTTTGGGTTCAGGAAGATGTGGAGAGAAGACGAAATTGTGTTAGAATTTGAAAGAACCATTTTAATGTAAGCCTTGTTGCCAGGAAACTTGGAACTTGGAAGGAAACTAAGGTTGAAAATTAAAGTTGGTGACAGATCATTGATCTTGAATACAAAACAGGGGTTTAGTGTTTATTTTGTAGAACTTCTCTGAGATGTCATTAAGGGTTTGGCTTTGTCAAGACATTGGTTCAAGTGCTTTCTCTTCTACATACTAGTTAAATGCTTTAAGTAAGTCAAACTAACTCTTGAGAAACTTGCTTTCCTCATCTATAAAATGATAATAGCCATCTCATCTTTCTAGGTTTCTGTAAGAATTAGTAATAGCATGCATAAAGAGACAGTCACATAGTAGTTGTTCACTTTGTATTAGCAGTTGTTATCTACACAGTGAAAGGCTTTTAACAAGTGATTTTTTTTTTTTTTTTTTGAGACTGAGTCTCACTCTGTCTCTCAGGCTGGAGTGCAGTGGCACATTCTCAGCTCCCTGCAACTTCCACCATCTGGGTTCAAGCGAGTCTCGTGCCGCAGCCTCCCGAGTAGCTGGAACTACAAGTGTACACTGCCACACCCGGCTAATGTTTGTGTTTTTAGAAGAGACGGGGTTTCACCATGTTAGCCATGCTGGTCTTGAACTCCTGACCTCAGGTGATCCACCTGCCTTGGCCTCCCAAAGCGCTGAGCTTACAGGTGTGAGACATTGTGCCCGGCCTTAACAAGTGAATTTCAAGGTTGCTTTCTTTGTCATGTTTCTGTGATCTCTATGTGATATATTTGCTCAGAATATCATAGAATTGCAGAGTCCAAGGGAACCTTAGAGGTTTTCTAGTCCACTCCCTGTTGAGGGCAAGTGTCCCTTTTACAACTTTCCTGATTTTATTCTATACTGTCATGGGCCTCTGGAGGAACTTACAATTATGACAGCATTCACTCTTTTCCAAAAAGAGTCCTTTTCATTGCTGAATATTTAATGGCTTGAAAAATTTTCTATCTATTGATCTGAGATTCTTTTGCCTGGTAATGTTCATACATTAATTCCCTAATTCTTTTATTTCAGAGATAACAAATGACAGCAACTCTTCACATGTCAAACCTTAACTATTCAACATAAATATGTTACTTTCTTTCATGAGTTCCCCCTATGTCCTTTCACTTCTAGACCAAATATCCTTGGTCTTTCATCTATTCATCCTATGCTATGATTGCAAGATTCTTCACTTTTATGGTTGGCTTCCTTCGGCTGCACTTCAATTTTTAAATATCTTTTTAAAAACTATTATCCCAGAACTAAATAATGTCCCACTGATGAGATCTATTCAGAGCTAAGTACAACAAATCTTGCTTAATCTAGAATCTAGACCAGTGTCACTGCCTGTTGCCTATGGAGTTTAAAAAATGCACAAAGCCAAGTCCAATCCAAAAATATTCTGATTCACTAGTTCTAGATTTGGGCCCAGATATTGTCATTTTAAAAAAGCACCACAGAAACAATAGGAACTTTCATTCATTGCTGGTGAAAATACAAAATAGTGAAAATGCTTTGGGAGACAGGGAGTTTGCTACAAAGCCAAATATATTCTTACCCTAAGATCCAGCAATCATGCTCCTTGGTATGCACCCAAATGAATTGAAAACCCTGCACGTGGATGTTTATATTCATAATTGCCCAAATTTGGAAGCAACCAAGGTGCCTTTCAGTAGGTGAGTGAATAAAGAAACTGTGGTAAATCCAGACAATGGAAAATTATTCAGTGCTAAGAAGAAATGAGCTATCAAGTTAGAAAAAGACACGGAGGAAGCTTAAATAAATATTACTAAGGGAAAGAAGCCAACATGAAAAGGTTATATGCTGTATGATTCCAACTACATGACATTCTGGAAAAGGCAAAACTATGGAGACAGTTAAAGGATTAGTGGTTGCCAAGAGTTTCAGGGAAGAAGGGATGAATAGGCAAAGAATCAGGATTTTTAGGGCAGTGAAGCTATTCTGTACAATATTGCAATGGTAGGTATATGTCATCACATATATGTCAAAACCCATAGAATGTACATCAAGAACAAACCCATAGTAAGCTATGGACTTTGAGTGATAATGATGTGTCATTGTAGATATCCATTGTAAAAAATATACCACTTTGATGTGGTTGGATAGAGAATGAGCTTGGACTGTTGATAATATCAGGGTTGTGTGTTGTAGAGGAAGGGGTATATGACAACTCTGTGTACTTTCCACTCAATTCTGCTGTGAACATAAAACTGCTCTAAAAATAAAATTTACTAATTAAAAGCTCTACACATAACTTTGATATCTATCTGGGGCTGGAAGCCATAGATCTAGACACTATACTCAATTAATGAAGGTAAGATACCATAATGTTTATTGATTGCAGCCATACAACACTATTCATTATGTACCAGATTTGGGAACGGTTAAAACCAGTAGGACTCCTTTTTAGATCTTTCCAAAATTTGTACACTACATTTTCTGGGACGTAAATCTATGACTTTACATTTATTCTTATTACATCTCATCCTGGCCATTTGTAGACATTATTCTATATTATCATTGTTGTTTTCAATTTCATGTGCCTAATTCAGGTTATCCTAAAAATTCATTAGTTCTGGATAGGCATTCCAGAATGATAAATTTTACAAAAGCTATTAATTCAGGTCTGTTCTTTATTTATCATACTCTTTTCTTATGATTATAATGTGTTGTCCTTACTCATCTATATTTGACATATCTATTAGTATGCCTAATACTTTGAATCACCTTTCCTTTCTAAGTTATAATAATCTATGCCCACAGAGTTTGGAGCTGATAGAGAATGAGCTTGGAATGCCGTAGAGTAAGAGGAGCCTCCAGTTTTATCAGTAAAGTTAGGCATCTTACAGCTGTTATCAAGGATCTTATAAGATGATATTGCTGTAGCTTAGTTGGGATGATTTTGGGTGCAAGTATTAGGATCTCAACTTAGAGTGTCTTAAATAATAAGAGGATTAATTGTCTTACCTAGCAAGAATCCCAGAGGTAAGGCAGTTTCAATTTTGTTAACGCCGCAGTTTTCTAATGTCATGAAAATCTTACTTTATTTTCATCTTTCTACTCTGCCATCTTCAGCAATTCCTTTCAGGCTAACTTCCTTCATGGTCCCAAAATGGCTGCTACAGTTTTATAACATGTAGACATGACAACATCGAGGAGCAAAAGAGGAGCTCTTTCCTCTTCATCTCTGTTTAGAATCTTTTCATCAGACTTCCTCTCTTGTCTCATTCATTCGCCTGCACTATATCATATACCCCAGAATAAAGCAACCACTAGCAAGAGGATCTGGACAAATTATGATTCCCCTCCAGGGTCGAGGGCTGGGACTGGATCTAGAGATAAGGCCATTGGAGTATTTGATACCTAGTAAAAACTGGGGTTTAATGAACAAGACCTAAACAAAATCGAGATTCTGTGAGCAATAACAAAGGTGTTTGTGGGGAACAATTTCTGGGTGAGAAACTACTAGTGTTTGTTATACTACTAAAGCTCAAAAACGTTTTCTATTTTTAAAGAGTATATATTGTAATTATGCTACTAAAAATGTTCTCCAAATAGAGATTCTGGCTTTTTTTAAAGACCAAGCAAACATTTTATAGGGCAAAGTTAACAGGATAAACTATTATACTGATCACATGTTATTTTATTTCTCTTTAAAGCAAATTAATTAAAGCCCATTTTAAAAAATAGTTTGTGCATGGCTCCAGATTAATTTTATATCTGTGATTGTTGGCTTTATGTAGAGTATTCCATCCTTGCTCAGAAGGGACCTTCAGCTCTCAGAAGTAAGGGCTTCTTTATTTTTTTTCTTTAGTCTGTCTTACAATAACTCTTTTTAAAAGGAATCAAAATTATAGCTTTGTGTTTGGAAGTAATGGAAAAATAGGACTAATTGAGACTGCTGACAGAGGAAAGCATCAGGGAGAGGAAATATAATTTTCAATGAGCTGGATAGTGAAGCACAAATTAAAAATTTGTTTGAAAAAGTTCATATGAAGTCAATGCAATATTATTTTTAATTGATTCTAGTGAAATCTAGGGTCCAGAAACAGATAATGATATAGACATAGAATATAGTCTGAGGAATTCATGCACTGTGAATCACTCAATGCCCTTCAGAAAGAAAACTCTAGGTGAATGAAAGTCAGTAACTATTACTTAATTTCAATGCTAACTTAAGAAAAGATTAACAGATTTATGAGGATAGATAGAATAGAAATGTGTGCCACCTATAGAAGAAAATGGGATCAGTCATCAGAATGAGAGTTCCCATTCACTGTGATTGAAGTATGTGTGCAAGAGTCACCCACATTGTTTCATTTAATCCTTACAACCCTTTGAGGCAGGTGCAATATGAGGCAGGTCTAAATCATAAGAAATTAAGTAATTTGATGTGCCATACAAATGCAACATATTTTTAGTCCATGTTTTTCTGCACACATGTCAGTCTATTGCTGGGCCTGCTAGCTCCTCTCAATTCTAATGTGAATACACAAAAAGCCTATGGATCAGAGTTTAGCTATAGAAGAATCATTAAGCAATTTTATCTGACGCCTATTCTCAATACCTCATCATATTTAATAAATTCACTAAATCAGGAATGAGTTTCCAATCAAATTCACTAAAAAAAACACATTTTGAGACTGAATCTGTTCATGTTACTGATATGCATATAGTTTTAAGGTTGGCAAATAGTACAAGAACCCCCATACCCTGAGATAATAACTTTGAATTTTTAAAAAAATTTTTTGATTTGGGAAAGAATGCATTTTTCTAAGTAATGTAGACCTGTATTTAAAATGCTACTCCAAGAATTTTTAAAGACTGGATATGGCATAACTGTTAAAAAAGATACAACATGATAGTGAATATTGGCGTAGGCAGGGAGGAGATACAGAATGAAAGAAAAAGCAGGTATATACCACAACATGCATTAGGTTTATTCACATACAGACACATGATTTGGGTTCCAAGCAATTCTTTTTGTTGCTTGTCATTACTTGGGGTCACTGTTACTTCAGCCCAAATAAAAAGCTCACTAGTAAAAGATGTCCTGGAGAACAGCATGACTCATTTACTTGAGAAATTGAGTGCAAAAGAAACCCCGTAGCTAATAATATTTTGGAGTTATGTTTGAGAATCCATGGAATTATTAAAGGTATAAAAGGAAATTCTGAATGAAAAATTCACACTCATCATTCCAGATCAGCAAGTTTGGAAACAAGCACAATTGGCATCTACGGCATTAAATACAAACTTACTTGGAATTGCACCATTGTGATTCTGATTTTTCAGTTGCTGAAGGTGGAAATCAGTCACGAAGGTAATGCCTTCTAGGCTTTTCTTAAAAATTATTAGGAGCTGGATTGGGCGTTTGTGAAAAAAGGAAGGAAATGAAAGAAAGTAGAAGGAGAATTATACTTGAGATTTCAGGAAAGTGGTAAATGCTATCTTCAGAGTTTTAAAAATAAAATTACATGTAATAAGTATACTAGCTTTTTGTAGTAATTTGCACAAAAATGATATGCTATTGTTCTTAATATTTTCTTTGTCATAGTCATACTGATATAAAGCTCATCTTTTTTGTACATAGGAGGGAAAACAATTTATTTAAAATGTTTTATTTTCTCTTTGAGAAGCATATTCTACTATAGGTGAGATTTCAACAGTAAAATTAATCCTTAAAGTAAATTTATGGAAGCTTTTGGGTTATCTCTATTTGAAAAGACATATACTCCCAAGTGTCCCTAGATCGCAGTAAGCCTTAAATCTGGTCAAGAGCAAATGGAGAGAGGGGGGATCAATATGCACATTTGTTTTGAGAGATTCTCCTGGGCTGACCTGGTCTTTATCATACCAGCTGGATTGCTGATGTTGAAATGACAATCAGTACATCAACAACAAATCAATTTTGGCTTCACTATAAAGTAGGTTTAAGAGTATGAGTAATCCAACAATATCAAGCTAGCTACCAAGTAATATTGGATATATTTAAATATTGTGTGATAACGAGAATGAGAAAGACATACTATATTATTATTTTTGACCACTCCTCCATGTACATTTAGAAGTTTAACCTTGAAAAAAGTAAGCATTTGAAATAAAATTGTCACTTTATTAGAGCAAGATATAACTAATTGGTATAAGTCCAAATCTGGTTGGTGTAAGAACGGTCTTATAAAACTATTGTGTTGAGTATTTTTTAAACATTACATCTCAGTAAAATGCTTATTCTTACTAAAAAGTTCTGATTCTGTCAGAATAAAGGCTTTATCATGTGTCTTGAGGCTTGGAGCTCTCCTCTGCACAGAGCTGTTTCTGCCTAGGCAGGGTGTGCAAGAAATTATTTATACTCTTCTGAACCAGATCTATAGATCGTCACTCAATGCCTGGCTCAAAGAGATACTTAGGAAGTGCTTCCTGGGTCATTGAATTCTAGTAACTCTCTATTAATACATGCTGTTCCTTCCTTTGTTCATAGGAAAAAAGGAAAATTTGCTTTTCTTCAAAGACCTCTCAGGATGTACAGGAAAATGTGGCTGATAAAGAAGACACATCTGGTCTTCCTTTGTTGGGGAATTTATAGGAGGTAGTCTCAGCTGTCAGGCCGCTAGTAACTGATAATGTAAAATACGATGCTATGTGAAGAATTACAGAGGATCTGTAAGATTCCTGTACGACTCTTGCTGCCTGACAGCTGCATTCTGTAACTCTTCCAAGGACAAAAGAAGGACTCATTAAGTCCAGAATTTCCTCAGCTGGTTGCTTAAAATCAAACAGTAAAGCTGAGAAAGGACAAAGCTTCCCTCTTCTCCTCCAGCAACCAGCAGGGTGTTCACTTTTGACACATGAAAGACACATACTTTCAAGCCTTAGGGACAGAAGCTTGGGCGGAAATTCAGGTTGTGATTCTTGAGTCTAGAGAAGTTAGATCTGGAAAAGATCAGTAGTTGGGGAAACTGAAGACCCGTGTGGCAATTCAAACCGATCTTTAGGAGAGGATTGCCAGGACAGCTTCCTCCTGGATCAGAATTTTATTTCCTAGGCCCACATCCCCTTGCCTGTGAGGCACCTTTGGCCTCCTAAATCTCTGCTCTCCACAGGGAACAACTTAATTTTCTTTTTCAGCTGGATGTGATGTGATTCACTGATCTTCACCTTATGTGGCTAGCTTCCATTCTACAGCTCTAAAAAAAAGTCTACTTCCTTAAGTAGGTCTTAGAGGAAATTTCAACTTAGATGCCTCTAGGCTTACAGAGTTTGTGTTTTAGCTTTATATATTACAAGGCAGGCCCCTAGATAAAAATAAAATAGAATTATATGTTCCACAGATGTTAAGTGGTTTAAAATTTAAACCTTTTAAAAAAGTGGTTGTATACAAGATATGATATGCTTTGGGGAGGGTGAAATAAATTTCAGAAATACTTGGAAAAATACTAATTGTCTCTTTTGGACAGTGCATCAGGCCTTGGGGACAGTTTTGTAAGAGGTTGTCTCTTCTCTGTGTCTGAGTGATATGGTTTAATGATTGAAAAAATTATAGTGTCAAATGTGGAATAAGTGATAGAATCGTGTCTATCGCATCACTGTTCTCTGATGACTGACTGGTATGTTCCAGCTGACTTCAAGATAGTACTCTCTTTCATCATAGCTCCATATACTCCAGGCAGAAGCTATCTGCTTAGAAGACAGCCTTATTGAATAGAGCATGGCATATTAATAGAATCACAGAATCATGTGTCTTGAGGAGGCCATTAGGAAACATGAATTTAAAAAGCAGAGTGTTACTGCTTCTTGAAGATTTTCAGGGATGCATATTACATAGCTTTTTGGGGTAAAAGAGAGAGTGGAAACAAAGTATGTGTTAGGAGATGCTTTTATATCTTACAGAAAAATACATCTTGTTTGCCTGTTTAAACCCATTTTGTATTGCACAGTCCTCCACAGATGTATTACAAAAATCAGCTAATCAGCATCTGTCTCCTTAACACTCCCTCTCCATACTTGAGGTCAATTGTCGTCATCAGGCTTGTTTTTTTTTTTTTTTTTTTTTGACACAGTTAACTCCATTACTTTGGCTTTTTATGAAAACAAGGAAACAAAACTTTCTGTTTGCCCATTAATTCATTTATACTATTCTTAGAGCTCACTTTTATCATTTGACTAATGCCCCTACCTTCACATAGTTCTAACATGGAGCTTACATGGGCCCCTTTTTGTCATATTTCTTCTCAGTATTTCTCAACATCATGCTATTTTTACAGCTGTACTCAAAATTTGCTATTTGGCTACAGTGTACTTAGGTCTTTCTACAATAACTGTATTTAGTTCTTTTGCATACTGTATGAATTCCTAACTCTTCTACTTTTTGAGAATGTTCCTTATTAAGTTTTCTCATCTGATATTTTACATTTAGTCTACCTGTTTCTAGGTTATCCCATGTGTTTCACATTAAATGATCTAAAAAACAATAGTATTGGTCATAACCCTCCCCTCCTCAGGAATTGTTTAAATAGTGTTTAAATTCTATAACTTGGCATCCAAGACTGCTCATTATCTGACTTAAGAGTTAGTTACTCAGCATTCACTTCCAATCTGATTAGACCCATCTGCCAAGGGGCCCTTGTAATTGGACCCCTCAATCTTTCCTCTGTGTTTATGCTGCACCAGCACCACCTGCTCTCAGACCTCTTCCCATTACATCCAGGTGATCTGAAGCCCACCCAAGCTTTGTTCCCAGCTTATGTGCCACTTTCTTAGTGGAAACCTCTTCTATATATCTACATACATATCATGACAAACTATGAGTGAGAGTTACTGGTGGCCATAAACGCTAAGTTTAGTGAAAGAGACATCCTTCCTGACACTTGTCATTTAAAAAAAATCATACATTCCATCCACTTGGTAAATGATAGATTCTTTAATCATTCCTCTTTCATGGGGCAGTTTGGTCATTTTTTATTACTTTCAATTATAATGGTGCTGTACACATGATTACACCTGTGAAGTTTTTTCTGTATTTTTCAGTCTCTATATCATTAGTTCATCTGCTTTGTGATTTATCTGGAGAAATTTGGCCTTTGAACACTTACATATTCCCTAAATATTTTGTAGGAGCATTTTTTTTCCACATATGTATTGATATTCTATATATCAAAGTTTTATCTTTATTATATTACATTTTAGTGTGCAATTTTAAAATGTACTTAATCTATCTTGTGTCTAATGATTGTGCTTCATCTCTTGAAGAGTCAAGTTATTGTCTCATTTTCAGATGGGATGAAAAATACTTTTTTTATATTAAAATTGGTTTTAATTATTTGATGCTTTTGAAATGCATAGCCATGAGGTGGTGAATTATGAGTTTATAACATTTTTTCCACACTGACATCTTTACTAGTAGTAATTATTTTTCATCTATTATTGTGTGGCTCTGATTTGGGATTTATTAAAGTTTTATAATTGATTTATTTTCTTGACTATCTGTTCTCTTGTATTAATTTAATTTTCTATGTTGAATACTTATAGTTTCAGTAATTTTCACTTTGTAATGTAGGTTAACATCACATAAAATACATGTGTCACAGCCTTAATATTATTTTTATATAATCTTATCTGGGTTATTCTTCCAAAAGAATTGTATCAGCACTGTGTAATACTGTTGTTCTTGTAATCCTATTAATTTTTATCTTATACAGCAAGGTGGACACAACTTTAGAATTATTCACTGTTATATTTTAAGGTGAACTGGATCTTTTATTGAGTGGATACCTTTTTATCCCCAGTACTGCCTTTAGTCTTAAAATGGATTCTTAAAACGATGGCTACATCATTTTCTTTTACTTCTTTTAATTGGTTTACTCTTTTGATTCATCCTTCGTATCCAGTATGCCTTTGTAAGTTTGACTCTTTTGAAGACCATATTGTTAGATTTACTTGGTTACTTTTTTGAAGTTAGAAACTTTGTTTTTTAAAGAACACGTTTAGACCACTTTTATGTATTGTCTTACCATATATATATAAATAAACATATATATGTTTTATATATATATGGTAAGACATTATATAATATATATTATATATGGTAAGACATTATATATATTATATATTATATATATGCTGAGACATAATAAACATAATATATATTATATATGGTAAGGTATAATACATAATATATATTTTATATATATATATATTTGAGACAGAGTCTTGTTCTGTCACTCAGGCTGGAGAGCAGTGGCACAATCTTGGCTAACAGCAACTTCTCCTCCCAGGTTCAAGTACTTCTTGTGCCTCAGCCTCCCAAGTAGCTGGGATTATGGGTATGTGTCACCACACCTGGATAATTTTTGTGTTTTTAGTAGAGACGGGGTTTTGCCATGTTAGCCAGGCTGGTCTCGAACTTCTGGCCACAAGTGACCTGAATGCCTTGGCTTCCTAAGGTGCTGGGATTACAGGCCTGCACCACTGTGCATGGCCTGTCTTAGCTAATATATTTGAAAGTCCTTCTGCTGTTGTTTTGTGCTTCCAATTTGTCTTTTGTGTTTTTTCCCCTTGTACTTTTTGTTTTTCCTCTTTCTGCCTTCTTTCTCAGTGGGAAAGTTTCCCATTACTATTAAAGTTCTTTAATAGAGGGAAGAATATCATTCAATTTTCTATTTTTTTTTTCTGATTCAGTTTGGATAAGTTGAGTTGTTTAGGAAATGTCCATTCCATTTGTTATTAAATTAATTGACATAAAGTTGTTCATTATATTTTATTATCCATTTAATATCTGTAGAATCACTAGCACTATGTATTCTTTAATTATTAATTTTTACAATTTTGTTTCTTCTTTTTTCTGATTACTTTGCTGGGAGTTTACCAATTCTATTAAACTTTTCAAAGAACTAACTTGTGTTTTTAAATTTTCTCTATCATTTGTCTATTTAATTCTTTGGCTTCTGTTCTGATTTTTGATATTACTTTTCTTTTCCTTACTTTGGGTTCAAATTGCTCTTCCTTTTTTCATTTTTTTAAGTCAGAAACTTAGATTTTATTTTCTAGTATAGATAGGCATTTAAAGCTACACATCTTCTAATCACCATGCTAGTTGTGTCCTCTATTACTCTGTTGCATTCTTAACATTAATTTTCAAACATTTTCTAAGTTTCTTTGTGATTTCTCTTTGGTCTATGGGTTATTTAGAAGTGGGTTATTTAATTTCTAATTATTTGGGCTTTTTCTATAGATCTAATTTTTATAGATTTTTAAGTTAATTTCAGTTTAGGAAGAGAACATACTCTGTGAAAATTCATTCTTTTAAGTTTTTTAAAATTATACTCTAAGTTCTGGGGTACATGTGCAGAATGTGCAGGTTTGTTACGTAGGTATACACGTGCCATGGTGGTTTGCTACACCCTATCAACTCGTCATCTACATTAGGTATTTCTCCTAATGGTATCCCTTCCCCAGCTCCCCCACCCCTTGACAGGCCCTGGTATGTGATGTTCCCCTTCCTGCATCCCTGTGTTCTTATTGTTCACCTCCCAGTTATGAGTGGGAACATGCAGTGTTTGGTTTTCTGTTTTTGTGTTAGTTTGCTGAGAATGATGTTTCCAGCTTCATCCATGTCCCTACAAAAGACATGAACTCATTCTTTTTTATGGCTGCATAGTATTCCATGCTGTATATGTGCCACATTTTCTTTATGCAATCTATCACTGATGGACATTTGAGTTGATTCCAAGTCTTAGCTATTGTGAACAGTGCCACAGTAAACATACATGTGCATGTGTCTTTATAGTAGAATGATTTATAATCCTTTGGGTATATACACAGTAATGGGATTGCTGGGTCAAATGGTATTTCTAGTTCTGCATCCTTGAGGAATCACCACACTCTCTTCCACAATGGCTGAACTAATTTACACTCCCACCAACAGCGTAAAAGCATTCCTATTTTTCCACATCCTCTCCAGTACCTGTGGTTTCCTGACTTTTTAATGATCGCCATTCTAACTGGTGTGAGTTGGTATGTCATCGTGGTTTTGATTTGCATTTCTCTGATGACCAGTGATGATGAGCTTTTTTTCATGTTTGTTGGCCACATAAATATTTTCTTTTGAGAAGTGCCTGTTCATATCCTTCACCCACTTTTTGATGGGGTTGTTTGATTTTTTCTTGTAAATTTGTTTAAATTCCTTGTAGATTTTGGATATTAGCCCTTTGTCAGATGGATAGATTGCAAAAATTTTCTCCTATTCTCTAGGTTGCCTGTTCACTCTGATGAGAGTTTCTTTCACTGTGCAGAAGCTCTTTAGTTTAATTAGATCCCATTTTTCAATTTTGGCTTTTGTTGCCATTGCTTTTGGTGTTTTAGTCATGAAGTCTTTGCCCATGCCTATATCCTGAATGGTATTGCCTAGGTTTTCTTCTAGGGTTTTTATGGTTTTAGGTCTAATGTTTAACTCTTTAATCCATCTTGAGTTAATTTTTGCATAAGGTGTAAGGAAGGGATCCAGTTTCAGCTTTCTGCATATGGCTAGCCAGTTTTCTCAACACCTTTGTTTAAATAGGGAATCCTTTCCCCATTGCTGCTTTTTGTCAGGTTTGTCAAAGAGCAGATGGTTGTAGATGTGTGACATTATTTCTGAGGCCTCTGTTCTGTTCCATTGGTCTATATATCTGTTTTGGTACCAGTACCATGCTGTTTGTCTTACTGTAGCCTTGTTATATAGTTTGAAATCAGGTAGCGTGATGCCTCCAGATTTGTTCTTTTTCCTGAAGATTGTCTTGGCTATGCAGGCTCTTTTTCATTCCATATGAAATTTAAAGTATTTTTTTCTCATTCTGTGAAGAAAGTCATTGGTAGCTTGATGGGAATAGTATTGAATCTGTAAATTACTTTGGGCAGTATGACCATTTTCATGATATTGATTGTTCCCATCCATGAGCATGGAATGTTTTTCCATTTGTTTGTGTCCTCTCTTTTTTCTTTGAGCAGTGGTTTGTAGTTCCCCTTGAAGAGGCTCTTCACATCCCTTGTAAGTCATATTCCTAGGTATGTTATTCTGTTTGTAGCAATTGTGAATGGGAGTTCACTCATGATTCCACTCTTGTTTGTCTATTATTAGTGTAAAGGAATGTTTGAGGTTTATTTTCTGGTTAGTGTATGTCCTATCATGATGAATATCCCATGTGTTTTTAAAGAGAATGTGTGTGTAGTATTTGTTGAGTATAGTATTCTATAACTACTAATTAGGTAAAGGTGGTTAGGTAGTGTTATTCAGATTTTTTTCTTAATAAAGAAATAAAGAATAAAGACTTTTCATCTCTTCTTATATTAATTACTGAGAGAGTGGTATTACAGACCTTCAACAATGATTACCAATTTGCTTATTTCTCCCTCTATCTTGATCAGTTTTTGTGTTATGAATTTTGAACCTCTTTTATCAGGTGCATACATATTTAAGATTGTCATATCTTTCTGATGAGTTTACTCTTTTATTATTTTGAAATACTATTTTTGTTTCTTGAAATAGATTTTGTCTTGAGATTTATCTGTCTCATATTAACATAACCACAACAGCTTTCTTATGATTCCTGTTTATACTATATATTATTTCCATCTTTTTATTTTCAACTTATTTGTCTTTTCAAATTTAAATCGACTTTTTTGTAGGCACTCTTATTATACAGGACACTTTATGGGAACTAAAAAGTGACATCATAATTCCCCTAAAGTCTCCCGTATAGAGTATTTATTCCAAGGGTTACCAAATGTTTTCTGTAAAGGGCCAGATAGTAAATATGTTAGGTTTTGCAAACCATACAGTTTTTGTCAAAACTACTGAATTCTGCCATTGTAGCATAAAAGCATTTATAGAAAACATGTGAATGGTCAGGCGATTTTTTTCCACAAATATTTACGAAACAAGTAGGCAAGATTTTTCCTGCAGGACATAGTTTTTTGACCCCTTGTTTAGTCTTAGTCTAGTTACATTTCTCTCTCTGTTTACATTTCATGTAATTATCCATATGGTTGTGTTCAAATCTATCATTGTCCCATTTGTTTTCCTTTTGTCCTTTGTTTTTGTTTTGTTTTTGCTCTTTTTCTATTTTGGGCTAATTGGATATTTTTAAAATATTCTATTTTATTTACTTTATTGGCTTCTTAGCTCTTTTAAAAAATTCTATAGTGTTTAAGGTTAATGCTATCCTATTCTCAACTTTTAAGGTCTATTTAGATTCAGTGTTAATCCACTTAACACCTAACCCTTCACAGTTCCAGCTCCAAACCTGATGATTCCCATTTCTCAGTTTCTACTTCCCATTTCCCAAATATAATAAACATTCAACAGTAAAATTCCGTTAGCTTGTCCCTTATCCATTGTACCTTCTTTTGCACATCTTTTTTTATATACTAAAAACTCTACCTTGTGAAACGATTATTGCTTTTATAAAAAATAGCCTATCTTTTAAGAAATAATAAGGAGGAATAACATCTTATATTTATGTCTATTTATTTTTATGACTCTTCCCATCTATGGACATGACTTTTCATATAGTTTAATTTTTCCCTTTTTTATTTAACATTTTTTGTAGTTTATGTTTGTTGCAAATAATTTCTGATCTTTTGTTTATAATAAGATGCCCATTTTACCTTATTTTTGAAGGATATTTTTATTAGATATAAAATTCTCAAATAAATTTTTTCAGCATGTTAAAGATATTGGCTCATTGTTAGCTTGCCTACCTTGTTTAGATGAGCAGCCAGCAATTGTTTTTCATTATTGTTCCCTGTAGTAATGTTCCTTTTCCTCTGATTGCTTTATCTTTTGTTTTCAGTGGTTTGACCATGACGTGTTTGGGGATTTCTTTAATTTGATCTTTTTTAGGATTTTTTCAAATTCTGGATCCTATAAGTTGATTTTTCCCCATCAAATTTGGCATATTTTCAGCCATGAATTCTTTAAATACTTTATATTCTATTTTTTTCTTCCTAAGACTACTATTATACTTATGGTAGTTGTTGGATATTGTCCCCCATTTCTGTTCATTAAAAAATAAATTGTGCCTTTATCCTTCAGATTGCAGAACTTCAACTGATTTCTCTTTCACCTCACTGACTCTTCTACTATTTCTGGCCTGCTGTTAAACTCATCTAGTGAATTTTACATTTCATTTATTGTTCTTTCCATTATAGAGTTTCTATTTGCCTTTTAAAATAGATTTCATTTCTTTTCTGAGAGTCATCATCTGTTCTTTCATTAAGACTATATTTTCCTTTAATTCTATGAACACATTTTCTTTGGTTTTTTGAATATGTTTAAATAGTTGATTTAAAGTCATCATCTGCTAAATGCAAGACCCATGCCATCTCTGGGTCAGTTTCTTTTGATGGCTTATTCTTTACTATGTGTCACTTTTTTATGTCTATCTAGTAATCTGGTAATATAAGTAGTTATACATGGTAAAAACGTTTAGTAGATGATCACCTTGAACTCATGTATCCCAGGGTATACATTTTGTTAGGGCAGACCTTTGGAAAACCTTACATGTGTCAAAAGCCACTCTAACTGTTTCACTTAATCTCTGAACTCTATGTCTCCTGTAGATCTTGTCAAGATTTAGCTTTAAGCTTTGTTAGGGTGAATCTAAAACATATCTTACTTTAGCTCATTATCTCCACTCACAAAGTATGACTCATAAAGCAGCCAATTTCTCAGCTGGCTGCCTGGGGTATTAGACTGCATTAATGAGGTATCTCCACTCTGGGTGACATGAACTCCAATATCCACTGTCACTGCTTGACCTCTAATTTCTCTAACATCTCTCATGCATTCTCAATCAGTAGCAGTAACTCTCTAAAATGCCTCATGTATTCTTGTCCTGGACAAGTATAGCTCAATCCTTGGCCAAGAATTCACAGGGAATTCTGCTCAGATATCTGAAACCTCCCTTCTGAGCAGCTACTTCCTTTCTGGCTTCTTGCCTTGCATATTCCATTCACTTCAGCTTCCTTGAACTCTAATCTCTGCCTTCTAAGAGCTGCAGTCCCCTTTGCTTTGCTTGGATTCCAACTTGCTTTGCTGAGGTTGGAAAGTTATCACTAAGGAGATAACTGGGACTATTATGGAGCTTTCCTGTTACTCATAAAGTACAGTTTTGTGCTGCATGTTGTGCAATGCTTGAAAATATTTTCCCAATATATTTTGGCCACTTTTTGGTTGTTTGTACAGAATGGACTAATCCAAGACAAGTTACTCCATTATAGCCAGAAACAGAAATTCCTCATGGCTTGTTTCTGATTGAGATTTTCTGTTTTCTTCTGTTCACTCTGCTGGTTTGAAGTTAATACACTTGAATTCTATTTTACAGAAATTAACCTTAGAGTCATTACTTTTATAATCGGATTCTAAAGTTAATTCGTCTCTCTCGTCTCCTTCTCAGTATTGCAAGATATTATAACTGAAATTTTATCACCTCCCTCTTTTTTGGTACAATCACTTAGCTCTACATTGTTTTGTTATTTATTGAATTAAACATGATTACTTTAAATAGTTATTGTTGATTAAGTTTACCTACCTATTCACTATTTTTTCCAGTTCTTCTTATATCTCATACTTATCTGAGATTCTTTTCTTTCTGCCCCAAAATCTTTCTTTAAAATTTCCTTTCCCATGGGTCATTTGGTTGTAAACTTTGTTTTGATTCATCTGAATATATATTTGCTTCATTTTTGTTCTCAAATTATAGTTTAAGAACAGAGTCTTAACTGACTTTTTTTTCTCACTACTAAGACTATATTTTTTCTACAGCCTTCTGACATCCGTCATTGCTTTGAAAATCTGTTGATATATGATATATTTGTGATCTGTTTATTGCTAATTGTCTTAGTTTGCACTTATTAGAGTCAACTCAAGATGGGGATTCTCAGTTTTGTTAGTTGGAATCAGAAAAATGAAAACAGAAATAAAAACAAGATAGAGCAGGAAAATTGCAAGTTAAAAATGCAACTTAGCAGAAGATCAGCCTGGTCCCACAAGCATCTCTGCAACCTGAGGGTTCCACAAAAATGTCCCCCATTCATGCTAGGGTACTGGCCTTTGGTATCCTTTTATAAGTCATGCTTTGGCTGTGGGCTGTCCCTAGAGGGAGTATGAAACTTTTGAGACATTTCCAGTGATAGGAGGACAATTATCAATAGGAGGGTGAGTGTGGGTCTACTGTTTTGGTGAAGGAAATCTGGGTAGGGCACCAAGAGTCAATCTGTTATTTCAGGCTGTAAGAAGATCTCTTTATCGTTGGTATTCTACTGTTTTACTAGCTTCTTGGTGCAAATTTCTTTTTATTTATTCTGCTTGGAAAACTCTGTTTCCTGAACCCAAATATTTAATTATGGAAAATTGAAACTTCTTTTTTTAGTATTGTCTCTTCTAGATGACAAAATTTAAGAGTAAATGCCTCCTTAAACTTTTTGCCCTATTCCCTTGCCATGACCTAGGCCTGGCCCTGGTCTCTCCATTCTCTCTTCTCTCTTCTTCAGGGAATCTGACTGGTCACAAATTAGAACTTCCTATTTTCTTTTCCACCTTGCATAAGTTTTATCACTTTTTCTGTCTTTGTTTTATGTAATGATTCAAATGTATTTTTCAGTTTATTAAGTCCCTCTCTGAAGTTGTACCTAATTTTCTTCAATGCATCTATGCGATTATAATTTATTTATTTAATTTTTAATTTCTAGAAGTTACTTTTAGTCTTTTAAAATTCTAATTGGTTTTAATATCCTATTATTCCTTTGTTATGTCTTTAGTTTCTGTAAATGGTTTGGATGTGTGTTTTCTCCAAATGTCATGTTGAAATGTAATCCCCAGTATTGGAGATGGGGCCTGGTGTGAGGTATTGGATCATGGGGGCAGATATCTCATGAATGACTCAGCACTATCCCCTTGGAGTAAGTTCTAGCTCAGTTAGTTCACATAATATTTGGTTGTTTAAAAGGGGCTGGCTCCTCCTCGTCTCTCTCCTACTCCCACTCTTGCCATGTGATGTGTCTACTCCCTCTTCACCCTCCACCATGTTTGTAAGCTTACTACTATCCTCACCAGAAGCCAAGCCATTCTTGTATAGCCTGCAGAACTGTAAGCTAATTAAATCTCTTTTCTGTATAAATTACCCAGTCTCAGGTATTCCTGTATAACAACACAAGAATGGCCTAATACATTTCCTTTTTTATACTCTTAGGGATTTTTAACACACTGATTTTATTTTGTGTTATCTGACTGTACAAAGTCTGAATTCCTTGGCAATCAAATTCTAGTGTTTGTTGCTTCTTTGGACTTTCCTTTATAAAGGCTTACTTTTGGGTAGGTTGTGTAATTTTGGATTGCGAACTTATTATTGGTTTATTTAAAATTCTGGGAATCCTGAGATGTCTAAGATGAGGTTATATTCCTTTGAAGAGGATTTAATTTGCTCTTTTAAGTTAATTTATCTTCTGAAAGATTTTTAGGACTTATAAACTGTAGAAAACAAAGTCCAAAAGCCATGGGGGAAGGATTGTGGATTATGCATTTTTAGAAGAATTCCTTTTTTTGCTACTCCAAGCCAGAAATGTCACAAATATTTCCCTTGTCACTTACCCCTGTTAAGGTGCAATTTTTTTTTATTGTCCACCCTTTTGGGCTTTTGAGTGTTGTAAACTCCAACAGCTCATCTTTTACAAGACTAAAATCTTCTCCACTATTTCTTATAAGGCTATTAAAATCCAAGGTTCCAAGATCCTAGTGTTAGTAAACACCACCAATGTACCCATAATTTTTGCACTAGGATGTTAACCATTGTTTCAACTCCGACTTCATTTTGCCCTTGTGAGATCATCCTTACTTTTTTAAAATTCAAAAGTGCTTTTTAAAGTATGTTTGTTGTGTTTTATTAAGCATTTCTAAATGTTTTGAAGCAGAAAAGCGTTTTAGAATTACTAGTGTCTATATTGCCAGAAGCATAAATCTACTTATTGAGCACAATGTAGTTTTTATTTTTGTTTCCTTTTTCTGTCATACTTTGATAGTGGGATATGGAGGTATTCAACTATAATTCCATTTGCTTAGATTGTTTATTTTTTGAATTTAGATTTTTTGGGTTTTCTGTGCTTATGTGCTTTCCACATTGCAAAATTTGTTTCAGCTGAATTATTTCTGTTGTTTATGTTCTCCATCAAAATTGTTGAATCCTAGAAGAATAGAGGCAAAGACTGACAGTTAATTTTATCTAATTTTTAAAATGTTAATTCCTCTGGACACCTAAATTTGTATACTATGTTTTATACATGCTTTAGTGCGTTATGCACATAAACTACCTAGTAGTAAAAGTTCCATCCTCTTTCGGCTAAATCAGAAATGTTATGAAAATGGGAAAATTGTTCTTCATGTCTCTTTTCAATAGTTATTGTGAAGAGTAAGAGCAATAATATATATGTGAAAGAAATACCAAGTGATTAGTTTGAGCAAAGGCTCAATAAAAGGTGCTTGTAGCGTTTCTTAAATATAATGTGTTATTTCAGTTACATTGTGAATCCTTAAAATAACGTATTATTTTTTCTTTCATTGCTTTTAATCCAATGACCTAATGAGTTATTGGAGCCTCCTGCATTGATGCTAAAATTTCTGTATCATTGATGTCTTTTCTAGGCTCTTAATGTTCCTCTTTCTGTCTGTCTTTGTGGGATGCGTGGGGTGCTTCTGTCTTTCTACATTTTGTGGTGGTGGTGTATGTATACCAGTATGTTACATTGATAATTTTTTGATATTTCAATCGAATTTACTGAAATATAAATCTCTAAGAGATAAATATATTCATTTTACATAACTCTGATATGGTTATCACACGTCACACAGTTAAAATTGACTCATTACCATCTAATGCCCATTCTATAGGCAAACACTTCATATTTTCCTATTGGACAAATTCTAAACAATTACTTTCCTTGATACCATATGCTCAAGTAAATTAATATTCTTATCCTACTTAGCTCATATAATGGAATATCATTCAAGAACCAATGCAAAAAGATAAAGTGATAAAGAAATTTCATAATTTCTATCAAGATATGGGTACTAGAATTTCGTTAAAACAGTGATAAGCACTTACCAACATAGAATTTTGCCTTAATTTAAAAACTGAAATAAGATTGATTTTCTTTTGCATTAATTTACGGTTTTTGAAGTTTATTTGATGGTTTTCAAAGGGATATTTCTCTTTGAGGGTTTTATTTTGTTATTATGTTTGGTTTTGGACATTGTTGATGGTGATTGTTTTAGCCAGAGGCAAGAATCCTGTATTACTACAAAGTCATCTTTCTGGAACTTCTTCAGGACAGCTTATACAAAAAACAAGAAACCCCTAGGTCAACTTGTAAGTGAATACTTGATAGCTAAGAAAACCTGAGAAGAATTTCCACAAGACTTAAGATGAACATTGTGAATACAGCAGATAGTATAAAATCACACAGGATTTTGAGAAAATAGTAGCTCCTCTACTACTGATCTTTTAACTTAGGAACGCTCATAGACATTTACAAGGCTACACACTGGAGCTAAAGTATGTCAGTTCTGTATATTATTTCCAACTGATGGCATTTGTAGACACATATGGGGAATACAGAACCTTTCAAACAACTAGTTTTGCAGACAGCCCTTGGAATCTAATATGTTTATAAGAAGAGAAGCTTCTTTTTTTTTGTTTTTATTATACTTTAAGTTTTAGGGTACAGTGCACAACTTGCAGGTTTGTTACATATGTATACATGTGCCATGTTGGTGTGCTGCACCCACTAACTCGTCATTTAACATTAGGGGTATCTCCTAATGCTATCCCTCCCCTCTTCCCCCACACCACAACAGGCCCCAGTGTGTGATGTTCTCCTTCCTGTGTCCGTGTGTTCTCATTGTTCAATTCCCACCTATGAGTGACAACATGCGGTGTTTGGTTTTTTGTCCTTTTGATAGTTTGCTGAGAATGATGGTTTCCAGCTTCATGCATGTCCCTACAAAGGACATGAACTCATCATTTTTTATGGCTGCATAGTATTCCATGGTGTATATGTGCCACATTTTCTTAATCCAGTCTATCACTGTTGGACATTTGGGTTGGTTCCAAGTCTTTGCTACTGTGAATAGTGCTGCGGTAAACATACATGTGCATGTGTCTTTATAGCAGCATGATTTATAATCCTTTGGGTATATACCCAGTAATGGGATGGCTGGGTCAAATGGTATTTCTAGTTCTAGATCCCTGAGGAATTGCCACACTGACTTCCACAATGGTTGAACTAGTTTACAGTCCCACCAACAGTGTGAAAGTGTTCCTATTTCTCCATATCCTCTCCAGCACCTGTTGGTTTCTGACTTTTTAATGATTGCCATTCTAACTGGTGTGAGATGGTATCTCATCGTGGTTTTGATTTGCATTTCTCTGATGGCCAGTGATGATGAGCATTTTTTCATGTGTTTTTTGGCTGCATAAATGTCTTCTTTTGAGAAGTGTCTGTTCATATCCTTCGCTCACTTTTTGATGGGGTTGTTTTTTTCTTGTAAATTTGTTTGAGTTCATTGTAGATTCTGGATATTAGCCCTTTGTCAGATGAGTAGATTGTAAAAATTTTCTCCCATTCTGTAGGTTGCCTGTTCAGTCTGATGGTAGTTTCTTTTGCTGTGCAGAAGCTCTTTAGTTTAATTAGATCCCATTTGTCCATTTTGGCTTCTGTTGCCATTGCTTTTGGTGTTTTAGACATGAAGTCCTTGCCCATGCCTATGTCCTGAATGGTATTGCCTAGGTTTTCTTCTAGGGTTTTTATGGTTTTAGGTCTAACATGTAAGTCTTTAATCCATCTTGAATTAATTTTTGTATAAGGTGTAAGGAAGGGATCCAGTTTCAGCTTTCTACATATAGCTAGCCAGTTTTCCCAGCACCATTTATTAAATAGGGAATCCTTTCCCCATTGCTTGTTTTTGTCAGGTTTGTCAAAGATCAGATGGTTGTAGATATGTGGCATTATTTCTGAGGACTCTGTTCTGTTCCATTGGTCTATATCTCTGTTTTGGTACCAGTACCATGCTGTTTTGGTTACTGTAGCCTTGTAGTATAGTTTGAAGTCAGGTAGCCTGATGCCTCCAGCTTTGTTCTTTTGGCTTAGGATTGACTTGGCAATGCAGGCTCTTTTTTGGTTCCATATGAACTTTAAAGTAGTTTTTTCCAATTCTGTGAAGAAAGTCATTTGTAGCTTGATGGGGATGGCACTGAATCTATAAATTACCTTGGGCGGTATGGCCATTTTCATGATATTGATTCTTCCTACCCATGAGCATGGAATGTTCTTCCATTTGTTTGTATCCTCTTTTATTTCGAGCTATCTATGACAAACCCACAGCCAATATCATACTGAATGGGCAAAAACTGGAAGCATTCCCTTTGAAAACTGGCACAAGACAGGGGTGCCCTCTCTCACCAGTCCTATTCAACATAGTGTTGGAAGTTCTGGCCAGGGCAATCAGGCAGGAGAAAGAAATAAAGGGCATTCAATTAGTAAAAGAGGAAGTCAAATTGTCCCTGTTTGCAGATGACATGATTGTATATCTAGAAAACCGCATCGTCTCAGCCCAAAATCACCTTAAGCTGATAAGCAACTTCAGCAAAGTCTCAGGATACAAAACCAATGTGCAAAAATCACAAGTATTCTTATATACCAATAACAGACAAACAGAGAGCCAAATTATGAGTGAACTCCCATTCACAATTGCTTCAAAGAGAATAAAATACCTAGGAATCCAACTTACAAGGGATGTGAAGGACCTCTTCAAGGAGAACTACAAACCACTGCACAACAAAATAAAAGAGGAGAAGCTTCTGTTTTAGGGTCTCAATAATTAACTCATGAAAATTAAATAATATTCCAGGCAGGAAAGCTGATAAGGGAATGAAGCATTCCATATTATTAATTATAACAGACTAGAACACTTAGTGGTAAAAAAAAATTACAAGAGCAAGTTTCATAGAAATTAGGGAAATAAATTAGTTGAAGGAAGAATTAAGAAAGCCCTAGTTTAGAGCACTATGTCATCTAAAGCAAGTTTCTGAAACTTTAATATTCCTTCTGATCATCTGGTGCTCTTGTTGAAATGAAGAATCTGACTCAGCTGGTCTGGGGTGGAGCTTGGAATTCTGTATTTCTAACGAACTCTAGGTGATGGTGATGCTGCAGTTTATGGATCACCATTTGAGTATAAGAGGTCTAAACTCTCAGAATTTGACTTTGGCAATGGTGTGACATAGAAGGTAAGAAAATATGTAATAAAATACCTAAAATGCAATTCAGAGAATAGTGGTGGATGTGTGTGTGTGTGTGTGTGTGTGTGTGTGTGTGTGTGTGTGTTGCAATGTATAGAATGATATACGTAAATTTCTTTAAACTCCTAGGCGATAATAATTACTTTAAATTAAAGATATAATATGTTTAAAATTCTAACGAATGCATGAAAATATAGAAAATAGCAAAGACATACAAAGAATAGAATTTGTGGGGGACATACATTTAAAATAAAATGAGAAATTTCACAGTAAGAAGAATACATTCTAATAATAAGACATAGAGACAGAATTTGTGTTAGAGTAACAGGTGCACATGTGGAAAGAACTGAGGCACATTAGCTCAGCTGAGAAGTCAAAGGATCGGGGTTTGTGGCAGCTCCCTGCCTTCAAATCTTACTTTTGCTCGATGGCTGTGGCTTGGGCAACATGGTAACCAAACTGTGCTTCAGCTTACTCATCTATAAAATGGGGATAATAGTGTAATCAGCCAAGAAGGTTGTTATGAGTATTTAATATGCAAGACAGTAACTTAGAACAATGCCTGGTTTCTGTTTGGCAGTACTGAAGGATTAGTTTTATTATTACAATAATGATAATAATGTTATTTCTAAAAATTTAAGACTATACTTAAATTTAAGACACTAAGATTTAGTGTTTACAAAAGGAAATAATTTCAGAGGTCAGGCATAGCACTGAAAGTCTGACACTGGGTGTTTCCTGGCTAAAGTTGCCCAAATTTTAAGAATTTCTCAAATATATACACTGTTAAGTATACAAATATGCTTTAAAATTGAATAGACATATATTCTATGCTAAATTAAACGTACATAAAAGTGATTAAATAAACTGAGGAGAAATCTAAGTCAAAAATATTAAAAACAGAATGTGTTCTAGGGAAAGACTGCTGTTGTCTTCAGGTGCAGCCCTGAAACGTCGGTTCTCCAATGATCACACCTGTAGTGCTAATGAAGAACACCTGCAGATTGAAAGCTTCCTTTTATTTCTTCTTGATTACCTTTAAAATCAGGAATTATTTAAAAAATCGGCCAGGCATGGTGGCTAATGCCTGTAATCCAAGCACTTTGGGAGGCTGAGGCAGGCAGATCATCTGAGGTTAGGAGTTTGAGGCCTGTCTGACCAACATGGTGTAACCCCATCTCTACTAAAAATACAAAATTAGCTGGGCGTGCTGGCGCATGCCTGTAATCCCAGCTACTTGGGAGGCTAAGGCAAGAGAATCGCTCGATCCCGGGAGGCGGAGGTTGCAGTGAGCCGAGATCGCCCTATTGCACTCCAGCCTGGGCAACAAGGGTGAAACTCCATCTGAAAACAAACAAACAAACAAACAAAATCTAATAGTGCCCATTTTTTAAGGGCCATAGACAGATGAATTTGGATCTTAATGTCACTTGAAAAGTGTATCGAAGGAAAAGTGAGCAAATCTTAAGTGTACAACTCAATACATTTTTTGCAAAAGGAATATACCTGAAGATCCAACACCTAGATCAAGAAACAACATTTGGTGCACACCAGAGACTCTCCTCATGTCCTCTTTCAGGTACTGTATCCTCCTCAGAGCGTTTCCTCCCACTTTTATATAAATGTGTATTAGTTTTTCAGGGCTGGCATAATAAAATACGATAGATTAGGTGGCTTAAGAAACAGAAATTTATTTTATCACAGTTCTGGAGGCTAAAAGTCCAAGGTTAAGGTGCCAGCAGGATTAATTTCTCCCAAGGCCTCCCACCTTGACTTGCAGACAGTATCTTCCTGTGCCCTCACAGCCTGTGCTCATGCATCCCTCGTGTCTTTCTCTCGTCTTACAAGGACACCAGCTGTATGAGATTAGAGCACCACTCTAAAGACCTAATTTAACCTTAATTTTCTCCTTAGAGGCCCTATTGCCAAAGACAGTCTAACTGAGTGTTAGAGCTTTGCCATATGAATTGTGAGGGGATGCAATTGAGCCCATAACAGAATGTTTTCCTATAGTACATACTTTTTCCATGTGACTTCTTTCTTTAACATGGTTTGTGATATTCATATTGTTCATGTAATCAGGGTTTCTTCAGTCTCATTAATGCATAGCATTTCATTGTATGAATATATCTTAATTTATTAATCAGCTTTACTGTTTATGGAAATTTGGGTTATTTCTAGTTAATTCTTATTGTGAATAGTGCTACTGAGAATATTGTTGTACATAATATTCAGCAACTTTTATAGTGGAATTGCACAGCCATAAGGTGAGACACTATCAAAGGAGAGATACTACCAAACTCTTTTCCAAAATAATTACATGAATTTCTACCCCTACCAGCAGGATATGACAGTACCATTCTTCCACATCCTTGCTAACTCTTGCTATTATCTTTTTTTTTAATTCAGCCTCATTTGTCTGCTTATAGTGACATCTCATTGTAATTTTAGCTTGCATTCCAAAAGACTAATAAAGGTGAGGGATTTTTAGGATGTTTATTGAAAATTTGAAAGCCTTCTTTTGTGAAGTTTATATTTATGACTTTTGCCCAATTTTCTATTCAGTTGTCTCATTTTCTTATTGATTTATGAAAGTTTATTGTATATATTCTGAGTATTGCAGGTTTCTTTTTATACTCCATGGCTTGTCATTTCATATTCTACTTGGCATCTTTTGGTAAACAGAAGTTTTTAATTTAAATGCAGTCAAACTTTAATGTTTTCCCTTGACGGTTACCACTTATACTCTGTTTAAGAAATCACGATCTGCCCCAAAGGGAAAGATATTTTCTTCTAAAAGCTTTATTGTTTTGTTTTGAACATGTAAATGCACAACCTCTGGAAATGATTTTTGTATATGTAGGAGTCAGGATCCACTTTTTCCCCACAAATTGATATGTAATTCATTCAGCACCATTTAGTAAAGAAATTGCCCCTTCTCTACTGTTCTACATTGTCAAACTTGCCATAATTTACTTGTGTAATTTGTTGTTATAACTTGTGTGAGTTTGTTTCTGGACTTCCTCTTTTGTTTCATATGTGATTTGTCTGTCTTTGTACCAGTTACTGTCTTAATTACAAAAGCTTTATAATAAGTTTTGATATCTGGCAATTTAAAAATTCTAGTTTTGTCTTCCTTGGCTAATCTTGGCCCTTTGTATTTCTGTACAAATTTTAGCTTGTTAATTTTTATATTAAAAAAAGACTACTGGGATTTTGGTTGTGATTACCATGAATATCCAGATTAATTTGAAAATTGACATCCTTATAATATTGAGTCTTCCATGTATGAGCATGATGCATCTCTCTCCATTTATTTTTGTTTGCTTTATTTCCTTTAAATACTATTTTGTAGATTTTTGGTGTAGATATCACGAACATCTTTTGTTAGATTTTATTCTGAGTATTTGAGATATTTAATTCTCTTTTAAATGTTATAATTCTTATTTTTTATTTGTTCATTATGGTAGCATAATTTGTTCTTGTAAAATAACTCTGAATTCAGTAACATTGCTAAATTTACTAATTAAATCTAATAGTTTTCTGCAGACTCTTTAAAAACATTATTTTCATTTTAAATGTATTTCATCATTTATTAAAAGAAATGAATTAAAATTATTTTCATTGATATTTCTAGTGAAAATAAAATTGGAATTTTTATTTTAAAATATTAATTGAATAATAATATTAACTTATAGTGAAAAGAAAAGCTGGATTATAGATGAGAGTGTGGGATAGTTCATCAGCATGTGAGTAGATGCTAGATAAACTGGAACCATTGCCTCTTCTCTGTCTTCATAAGCATAATACTCTTCAGTAAATGAGTCTGCCATTCTGGTCTTTAGTTTTTATATCTATAAAATAATGATACTGTACTACATAAGTTTAAGTTCTTTTTTATCTGGGATGGATGACTGAGATAACTTTTTGCTAAATGATTGTGCTTTAGACTTTTTTCCTTTTCTGCTTTTTCTTTTATAGTCTTGTGATGATGGGGATAATGGGCCTCATGTGATCTCATTCTGGGAAAGGGTACTAGGTGGGACCAAGTCCACCTGCACTCCCCTGTCTCCTATTCATGGTATTTGAGAACTTCTATTGCTCCTGGATACCAGGTATTGGCTATTGAGATGATGCAATTTTGTCTCAGGTTCATCTTTTTAGAGACTGTCCTCCACTAATGCACCCTAAGTGTTCCTATATCATGTTAGATGTTGGATGATGTTTTTTTTTTCCCCTGAAAATCTCAAGTTCTTTTGAGTCTATGTCCTGAAAAGCCATCTGCTAGTCCTAATGCTTCTATTACCTTTATTCCACTTTCTTGTGGGGGGTTTCACTTAGAAAGAAGGGAAATGAAGACTTCATGTTTGACTTCCTCCTCTGTTTCTTTTCCTCTTGCCTATGCTCTTGAGCCTGAGGTAGTTTATTATATTCTTTTCTCCTCTTTTAGCATGGCAAAAGTCCTTGATCTAGTTTTCTAAGTCTGAATTCTAATATTGTAATGGAAACAAGAAAAGCCTTATATTCAAGATTATTGTCTTGCTATATGGATCCAGAATTATTGGCAGACATCAAAATGTAGACTGCCTTTTTTAATTTTATTTATCTTGTAGCAATCTTGATCTTTTTAGAGGCAAATGCTATGCCTGGCAGAAAGGTGAGGTCAGACACAGAGAAATGCAAAAGGATTGCATTTAGATATATTTCCAAACAACATCCTTGTTATCCTTGTTACATAATGTCATATCATATTTCTCATGTTATTTTGTTTTCTGCTTCTTTTCCATCTGACATGTCCAAATAGTGTTTAAATGTAATGTGGCCATGGACACAGGGAGGGGAACAATACACACTTGGGCCTTTCAGGGGAATGGGGTGGGGGAAGGGATACCATCAGGATAAATAGCTAATGCATGTGGGGCTTAATACCTAGGGGATGGGTTGATAGGTGCAGCAAACCAGCATGGCACGCGTTTACCTAAGTAACAAACCTACATGTCCTGCATCTGTATCCTGGAACTTAAAATAAAGTAAAATTAAATTTAAAAAAAAACTTGGTGCGGCAACAACTGCTATGCCACTGCTATGCAATTTCTGTCATAGGACATGGAAGGATATTATGCCACATAAGTCAACGCTGTCTACCTACATTAATAGATATTTAATAGATAGCAATTGTGTCTGCACTTAACAGGTACCTTCTCCATATATGCTGATCATTGAGTTTAGCACAAAAGGAAAAATGTGAGAGGCACAAGTTAAAATAACTGTCCTTGAAGAACTTAAAATATATCTGTGGAGACACGACAGCACAAGACAACTCAAGAAGGCAATATAAGTTATAGGCATTGACTATAATTGCTGCACAAGGTAGAAGAACGATAAAATCAACAGAGTCCAAAGTACCTGGAGATCACTTTCTGGAGAAGTTGTCATTAAAGCTTTGACAGGGCAGTACATTTGGAAGGTGCTGAGAAGTAAGAACTGAACCACAAGTAGAAGGAATAGACCTGAAGAATGGAACTGGGATAGAACAACGTGGCAGCTGTTAGACACTCCACTTGACTGAATAACAGAGATTATATTGAAGAACAATGTAAAATTCATGGAATGTATAGGACACCTTTAAAATAGTATATCCAGAAGACATATTGTATAATTTTTAGCTGTTTCCCCCATGAGTTTCTTAAAACACAAATTGTGAAAAACTAATATCATATGATGTGAAATTGGAAAACTTTGACCCCTTAAAGCAATAGCTATCAGATACTAATGTGATTTATAAACCAGATCACCTTGTAGAAATTCCCTAGTGGGAGTGTAAGAACTGGGTAGATACCTCCTACGTTTCCAATCCAAAAGGGCTGGGAGATCTGGAGATGAAAGGAAGATTTTATGGAGTGAACTGAAGGTGTACTCGAAATATACACAAGGAGAGATGGTGTAGGGTGTTTTCCCCCTCAGAACTAGAAAGAGCTCTTCAAGGAGACTCTCTAGAGAGTTTAAAAGGTATCTCTTGAAGTTTTGAGGTTTAGTGGAGACAGTGGACTGGATTCTGATTAATTCAAAGACCAAAGATGAGGTGGTGAGCAGCTTATGGTACAGCAAAGTAAAGATTCTGAATGGGGATTCATCTATTTTTCAGGGGTTGTTAGATTCCTCTGGAAGAGAGGTGGGCCACGAATATGAAAGAGCTGTCATGAGGTTGTCCTAGGTATTTCCTTAAGGCTTCCCAGCAACTGAACTGGTCTCAGCTGACTAGTGACTGTGGATGAAGTAAGTAACAAAGTGAGACAGTATGACCTGCATCAAGCATAGTACAGGTGAAAGGTCTCCAGTGATTGGAGGTGAGGATTACTGAAGAACCAGGAAAAGCTCAAACGGGGAGAGAATCAACTTTGTGCCTGTCCCAAAGAGGGAGCCTTCTTGCTTAGTGAGCAGAAAGTAAGCACTTTCCTGCTTCATTTACCTCTTGTTTCCTCACCTTTCCTTTTTCCACTGCTATATTCCAGAGGCATCAGGATCCAAGGTTCACTAGCTGGAAAAGAAGGACATGGGGGAAAAATAGGGACCAACAAATTCCTTTCCATTGGCTATTGGCTTCCATTTGCAGCAGATTCCAGCTGCAGGAAACTGTTAAAACTGTAAGTCAGTTTGTCACGTGCAGCTGGGTGTTCTGATTTCTAAGTTGAGAATGTGTTTGATGAGCTAGCAGGGATCCCCAACCCCCAAGCCGTGGACAGGTAACTGTCTGTGGCCTGTTAGAAACCGGGCCACACAGTGGGAGATGAGTGGTGGACAAGCAAGCATTACTGCCTGAGCTCCCCATCTTGTTACATCGGCTGCAGCATTAGATTCTCATAGGAGCATGAACCCTCTTGTGAGCTGCACATGCAAGGGATCTAGGTTACGTGCTCCTTATGAGAATCTAATACCTGATGATCTGAGGTAGAATGGTTTCATTTGGAAACCATTCCACCTCCCCCATCTTTAGAAAAAATTGTCCTGGTGCCAAAAAGTTTGAGGACTACCAATTAAATTAACCGTAAGATTTTTTTTTAATAAGTTCTAAGTTATCAGAGTCTAGATAGAAGCCTGATTCTTGTTGGCCGAAGACATGTGTTATTAGTTTCTTTGACTGCCATAACACATTACCACTAATTAAGTAGCTTAGAACAAGAGAAATTTAGTGTCACATTTCTGGAGGCTAGAAATCTAAAATCAACATGTCGGCAGGGCCCTGCTCTCTCCGGAGGCTCTAGAGAAGAATCTGCTTGATGCCTTTCTTTTAGTTTCTGATGTTGCTGGCAGTCCTTGGCATTCCTTAGCTTGTAGATTTATCACTCCAATCTCTGCCTGTCTTGTCATATGGCACTCTGTCTGTGTGTGTCTTTGTGTTCACATGGCTTTCTCTTCTCCATGTATGTCCATCCCTGTGTCTCATCTCTTCTTATAAGGTTGCCAGTCATACTAGTTTAAGGGGCCACCTTATTCTAGCATAACCTCATCTTAATTTACATCTTAATTGCATAAAGATTCTTTCTGAATAAGATCATATTCAGGGTAGGACTTCAACATATCTTTCGGGAGTACATAATTTAACCCACAACAGATGTTATGCAGATGTTGGTCTACTTGATGCCTGCACCTGGAGTTAGGGATTGTTATTGGTATGAATCAAAGTCTCTTCCTAATTTCTTTATTTAGAAGACATATATGCTGTACTCTTTCAAAATATACAGTGTAAGGTTCTGAGTCTGAAACAGTGTTTCGTAGTCAAGCCCAATCAGGGCTCAGCTATTAGAAATGCCACTTTATATTTTGTCCATTTTACTCCCAGTGCTGTTACTAATGTTTCTCCTCTTTGACATCCTCTGACCACTTTAACAAGAAATTGAGAAGACTCCCAATGGGCACTGTGAGTGGACCTTACGTTAATGTGGACTTCCTTTTTTTATGCTTCCAGTTTTTGTATGCATTACCCCATCTTCCTGGAAAGACATACCTGCTTACCTGTCTGTTAGGCTTAGTACTTCAGAGTTCTCTTTTGTGAAATTTTCTTAGACCAAATAGCGCTGACTGTCAGCCGTGTGCACAAGTTCAGCTATTCTGACTGATTTTTTGGGGGTTGGGGGACAGGGACTCATTCTGTTGCCCAAGCTGGAGTGCAGTGCTGCAATCTCGGCTCACTATAGCCTCTGCCTCCTGGTCTCAAGTGATCCTCCCATCTCAGCCTTTCGAATAGCTAGGACTACAGGTATGCACCACCACACCTGGCTAATTTTTGTTTTTGTAGAGACAGTGCCTTGCCATGTTGCCCAGGCTGGTCTTGAACTCCTGGGCTCAAGCAATCCTCCCACCTTGGCCTTCCAAAGTGCTGGGATTACAGGGGTGAGCCATGGCACCCAGCCCTGACTTATTTTTTAAGATTATGTTTTAAATCCTTTTCTGACTCCAGAATATTCTTTTAATACTTTCTGCTCCTTCAAAACTCTATGTATTATCTAATAATGATATTCACCAATTACTTGAAATAATTGTCCACAGATGTGTTTCCTCCACTAAACTGTGCTTTTCTTGAATGTCTTTTTGTTTGCTGTGGTTTCTTCAGTCTGCCACAGACGTTGGCTTGCAGTAGGGGCTCACCAGGTGTTTTCTGAATTAGATCGAGTGTTCATAAGAGTAGATAAGGGCCAGTTGCTTTAAGTGAGTCTTGAAGTATATCACAATTTCTTGAAGGCCTTCTTCAAGCTAAAGTTCTCAGCAAAATCAAGGGGAACCACTGCAGTCGAGCAGTTGACAGCTTACTAATCTTCTTGAAATACTGCTATTCAATCTTTTTCACCCACCAGCCTGAAAGACCCAGAAGGACTCTTTCTTCCTTCATCATCACAGAGTCTAATTAATAAATAAACAAAATAGGTAATGTCCAGTATGATATGATTTAATCATTTTATTGTGTGGCTCACTAGGGCAGTGATTCTCAATGGAATAGTAAGCCTTTTTTGTTGTTGTTCTTTAAAGAACAGTGATAATAATAGGAATAATAATGATGATATTATATTAGCTTATGCTTTCTCATGCTTAGCTTGGTACTATGCTATGTTCTTTATATGTATTTATCTCAATTATCACCTCCATGGGGGATAGGAAAAAATATCATTCCCATATTACAGATGAAAAATGAAGACTTACAAAATTTATTTGTCCAAAATACACAGTTGGTAAGATGTAGTGATTGCAGTTATATCACTATTCTTATGACTGCTTTAGTCAATTAATCAATGTTGTTTTAAACTGTTAGCATCTTCTATTCAGCCAAATAACTTTCTTAAGGGGTGAATTTAAAATTCTTACCTATGTATGTAACAGTCCTTTCTGGAAAGCTATTGCTCAGGCTTGAATTTTGTATCCTCCAATCTGAACATTTAGATAATGATGCAATAAAATCTATTATGGGATACTCCTCAAGATTGTTATACATTAAGGCAGGGAATAAGATATATTTTCATAACTTTTGACTTCGATAAAGTACTTTCCTCCTTGTTGCAGCATAGAAAAGCTCTGAAATTACATCTCATAAGGAAGGTAATCTGCAGTTATTTACAGTTGTCCCACAGTATCTCATTTTATTACTTTGTGGAAAGACCCAAACTTTCATGAATATTTTAAAACCCATGCTCACTAGCAGTGGAAGGAAAGTCAATTTAGATAATTTTAAATTCCATTTCAGTCCATTGTATTCCAAGTAAATGTTCTGTCCTGACATTGCTTACATCTTGTCTTTTGAAATGATGGAAGCTAATGCCTTTTCTTGCTCGAGTGCCAGTTTTGTTCACATGTGAGAGAAGAAAGAGAAGCAAAGAAAACAGGGCTGAGTATCTGCTGCAGTCACCCATGTTCTCAGCTGTAAGGGAGAAAGGACATTTGGGGAAGTGATTTGGCATTTAAAGCAAGTGTTTCCTGAGGCAGCTGCTGAATGGAGCTGAATATTTTGTTAAATGATTTTCTTCTCTGACCTTTATTACTAATGAATCTTCTTTAAGAAGCATTTAAAGAGGAAAAAAGAAAGGTTGTTTTTATTAATCTTCTTTCTCTTTTCCCGTAGAATACAAAGAAATGGTGTTACCTGGCAAGAGGTCTTCTGTCTTTTATGAAAAATTAGACAAAGGTAATGCTTATTTTGAATTGATATTTTTTCATTCTGTATAACTCTACATGAAACTAGTTGACTTTCCTTGATTATTCGTTTTAGATATTGAATTACCCATCAAAAAAGTAAATTATTATCTGAAAAGCCAAGGGAAGGCCTTACGATGATCATCAGATTGATAAAGTGAACAGTACATTTTTAGATATATAATAGCTTTTCAAAACATTGTGGGTAATGGTTAATTTTCTGATACCATTTTGAAGTTTATGTTAATATATAAATAGGATCTTGAGTACAGGATTGCAGTCTCTTTGGAAATAAATCCAATTGGTTTATCATATTTACAAATGATAGGTAATAACAGCATTAGACCCTTGTTAGGGTACAATGATAAGATTCTTTGTGACTTTATTTGGCGTTAGTCAGATGACTTTATGTATTTTTTTGAATATACAAAAAAAATTTCAATATGAATTTCTAGAAAATGTCATCAAGCTTTATGAAGACACCCTCATGCAAAATACATATTTTCTTTGGAAAGATTGAATTATATCATGCAGTTGTTGAATAGCGTGCCTGATTATACTTAACAGATGCATATTTAGTTGCTAAATTTTCAAATCACTATGTGAATTATTTACATATGTTGTTCTAAGAATATGAAAACTCATGCAAATATTCTAATGACATACGCATGTACACAAAGTGTGAGTATGGCTGCAGATAAACAATGTGTGTATGTTTTATGAATAAAGCTACTATCTCAAAAGAGATTTTTGCAGAAAAGTTTCAGACAGTTTAGAATTTTGAAGGGAACTGAGACATCCATTGAGTCCTGTCTACTTATTTAGCTATGAAGATGTGATGACACTGTATGTTCATGAACATATATAGTATATTAATGAAATGTATTATATATTTTTATATTAACTAGAATTGATTGGGTTTTATTTTTGACAAATTACTGAATTTCTAAAAATAAATGAGTACTGAAATACAGGTAGCATTTAAATGTAATGGATATCAGCAGAAAGCTTATTTCTGAACTTTGATTTGCAGTTGAGCAAAAATAAATTGTTAAATTTGAATTACAAATGTGATATATTTCTACATATTTCTGGCTTCTAGGTAATTCTTCAAAACAGGTATAAACCCCTTGAGAAAATAGCTTCTTTTCCTAAGGGTAGTCACCCTATCCAAGTTTTATCTATACTGAAATGTTAATTCAAATTAAAATGTTCTTAAATGGTTAATGAAGTTAATTGAGGGTTGTCTTTTACATAGAACTATTAGCTTTGACTCTCCAAATAGGGACATTATAAAGAGAACAAATTCCTAGACAATATGTGGAAGAGGTTGAAGCTGAGCTGTGTGATGTAGGCATAGGGAGATAAATGCTAGAAAAGTGCTTGTTGAAGGCAACTCAATGGAAGATGGCACAGTAAAGAGAGAAAGAGAAATATCCTGAATGAGATGAAGCCAATGAGGAAGGTCAGGGATCCATGTGCTTTAGAATATAAATAAAGCATGCAGGGAGCACAGACTCTCCAGGTTGCATTTATGTGAATTTTTCTTTTCTCAGAGATATGTATATACTAATATACTCATTTTTAGGCTTTTATTTTATTTATGTAAGCTATGTATAAGCTTATTTTGAAGTGAAGGTAACAAAGGAAGACTTAGGGTGAGGGAAAGTAATTCCCATTCATGGGATAGAATTTTCAGCATCAGTATACCCAGAGTAACAAAATTTGTTTTTTTTCTATTATGTAAATAAAGGAATCAAGGAATCATTCTGTGTATTGCCAAAATTTGGCATGATACAACTCCCAAGGTGATTATGATCCAAGATATGTATGTTGCTGTGGAGGTTGGAAGTGAGATATTGAGGAATAGCTAGGGATGGGAGAACTATGGCCAGGAGAAATGACGTTTATGTCATTATCTTTCTGGGCTGGTCCTATAGATTTGTTGAACTGGGGGTGTTTGCAATCTCGTAAAATTCCTATTAATAAGGTAATACACACTAACATATTAACATTCTGCCTATTATCTCAGATGGAATATGTGCATTTAAATTTCAATGTTTAAATAGTGGAAGTTTAAGACATACTAGTGAAGGTGTTATTTTTAAACAAATGGAACCATTCAGCTTTTCTTAGTATACATGATGACTAACACATTCATTTTGTGTAGGATTAATTCTGGCAATGGGCTCAGCATGCAATCTGTTGGATTAACCGACACTTTTATGTGTGCAGATACCTGTGAGTTCTACATTTGACTCTTTTAAAAAGGGCATTTAAACAACTTTTCAGGTAGCGTTTTAATGTGAAGTTATTGGTTATAAGTTATAGTTACAATTTTCTTAATTTTGTCATCCAAAGATGGAGGGAACTTCAATTAGTCAGGTTAAAATATCTTTCAATATACCTGGTAGGTATACCATGGTAGGATTACATGTAAAAATACAGACCGTGATTCTGTTCAATTTTTACATAGGTTTACATGTCCTGGAAATAGATCAAATTTCAATTAAGAAAATTTCATGACTGTAATTATATTTTTATTATGCAGGAATGTTAAATTTTATTCTCACATATATTGAATTTTTTCTGGAGGAAATTGAAATAGCATATTAAGAATTCAGCAATTCTTTTATGTACTGTAGGTTTACTATATTTAGGCTTTCTGTAAACACAATTTTGTAAATTGAAAAGAAACTGGGTTATAAGGCTACTATACAGGGTTACTTATGTTCAAGGACAGTAAGAAATAAGTTGTAAATATATTGTTTACAGATTGGTTTTATTTTGGTTTATTTGATGTAGGAAATGATACAGATGTGATACATGTTGAGATTTAAAAGGATACAAATCTTGTGATATTTTAAGGGTTTATTACAGATTATATTTTCTATTATTTATCACATACCTACTATAATAACAACTGAAAGTACAGCATCATAACTTGCAGGTTGATTAATAAGTTAGTGACCATGCATTTAAATGAGAGTTAGAAATAGTTTAAGGCTAGTGATGAAAAGTACATGTAAATCTCACAGTGCCGAAATTAGGTTCTATGTCTGATATATACCATACAATGCTTTACAAAAACATATTCATAACATCAGCACAGTATGCTCCCAATGAGTATTTAAACTGCAAATCAGAGAATAAATCATTGAACATTTTTATGGAGAAGTGATTAAAAAGTAATTATTAAAGAAAAATTTACATGAAAAGAAGCTGTTATGGTAGTTTTTAAGAATGTGGCTTTTATGATTTTTTTCATTTGCAAAAAGTTCTTGGTCTTTTTAACTCTTCTGGGTATTAGTTTCTGTGCAATATTTTATCTTTTTGAAACTCTCAGAACTATAAACCACAGCATTGTCTAGAATCAGCTCCTGCTACTGTTCAAGGTCTTCCATCAATTCCCCAGCTATGTTTCTTACCTTATTTATGTCTCTCTTAACACCACATATTCCAAACATTCTTGTCTTTGCTTAGGTTTAAAGCTTGGCTTTGAATGTCTGGTCTGCTTTCTTCTTTATTCCAAAAACTATGTAACCTTAAAACTTCTCTTTAAGATGCTTTCTGAGACCTTCATTATATTACAACTCCCTTTCTCCCTTAGCCAGCCTACACTACATTCACTCACACTTAGTTGTGGTATCCGCCATACTGTCATTGATTTGCATATTCTGGTATATTCTTGTATGTATACATATGTATATGTGTGTGTGTATATATATATAATTTGATATCATATATAAAGGTGCACACACAGACACGGATTTTTTTCTTCAATATAATTGTAAAAAAGATCTTTCTGCCAGCCACGTTTACTTTTCCTTATGAGTAAAGCAGACAAATTTTGAGTGAATGAGCTCCTTGAATCTCCAGGATTTCCATTGAAGGTATATTTAAAAGACTAAAAGATCTCTTTGTAATAAGAAAGTTATAATTTTGCTATGTTTTGTATTAATTAGGACTACCTGGAGAACCTACTATGCTTTTATGACATCTTTTTTTTTAAGACGGAGTCTCTCTCTGTCACCCAGGCCGGAGTGCAGTGGCGCGATCTCGGCTCACTGCAATCTCTGCCTCCCGGGTTCAAGCAATTCTCCTGCCTCAGCCTCCCAAGTAGCTGGGACTACAGGCACGCGCTACCACGCCCGGCTAATTTTTGTATTTTTAGTAGAGACGGGGTTTCACTGTGTTAGCCAGGATAGTGTCGATCTCCTGACCTCATGATCCACCCGCCTCGGCCTCCCAAAGTGCTGGGATTACAGGCGTGAGCCACAGCGCCCGGCCTTATGACATCGTTTTAATAAGAATAAAATCTAAATTCCAATCAACTAATTTATAACACCACTGTAGGAACACATTCTCTTCACCAAAGGGAGACAGCTTAATTTTATCACTTACTGGCTTTGTGCCACTCCATACATCATTGCAGAAAAATCTAACCTGCCCTACCCAACAAAAGCATTTTTGTGCAAGAGCATATACTCTGCTCTATAGTGGAGTCTCTCTAGGCTAAGATCCTAAAAGTACTTAAATGCCAGGTATGGAAATGGAGTAGGGTCATGGTTATTTGGAAAGCTGAAAAGAAATTAGGCCTATTGGGTTTGGGGAGAAGCCTTTGGGAATTGGGGCTCTCAGAGAATTGGCAATTCCCAGTAAAAGACTAAAGTCTTTGAGGGAATTGGTTCCTTTAAGGCTTTAGCAGATCTGCTCATTTTTATTTCTGGTTTTGCAGCACTAAGATTACTTTGGAAGGAGAATCACATCATTGAAGACAAAGTGATCTGGGCTACAAATAATTGGTAACATGTCCACTAGATTTTGCAAGTACACGCTTGAACATAAATGTATGTTTGTTCTTCTCTTTCTCTCTCTCTATATATATGATGCTGAAAATCATACACACACACACACACACACACACACACACACACGAGATGCACTCCAGCCTGGGTGACAAAGTAAGACCCTGTCTCAAAAAATAAAAAATAAGAAAACTATATATATATATATATATAGAGAGAGAGAGAGAGAGAGAGAGAGAGAGAGAGAGAGAGAGAGAGAGATTATATATATATGTATATATATATATATATGTATATATATACACATATACAGTTGGCTGTTCATATTAATGGGTTCCACATCCATAGATTCAACCAACTGGGAATCAAAAATATTTGGAAAAAAAAACAGACAATAAAAAATAATACAAATTAAAAGACAATGCAGTAAAACAACTATTTATATAGCGTTTACACTGTAGTAGGTATTATAATCTAGAGATGATATAAAGTGTCTGGGAGGATGTGCATAGGTTATGTGCAAAGACTATGCCGTTTTATATAAGGGACTTGAACATCCGCATATTCTGGTACATTGGGAAAGAGGAAACCTGGAACCATACCCCACTGGGTAATGAGGGATAGCTCTCTATATTTTTAATGAATTTGATGTTTTAAAAAGTATGCCACTAGATGTCAGCAGCAACCTCCTAGGGGTCCTGTGACCTTAATTTGCTAACAATAAAAAATGATACTTCATTAGAACATCTTACCTGAGAATAGTAGGTACTTAATTTGAAAGTTTAAGAACTATTTTTTTTGCCGTACAAAGAGTAGGAGTGCAGGCATAAAATATTTTTGAATTATTTTCTAAACCAGTTTCTGTTCACATGTAACAAGTTATTTTTACTTCCAGTATTCTCTGTATCATTGAGATGACAATGACGAATTATGGGTGAACTTGAGTAATTTGTCAGGAATTGTACCTGATGCCAGAGCTCTAAACTTCTGCTTTGATACTTTATGATTCATTTATGCCATCATTGGATGGGTATTTGTGCTTTGGTTTTGTTTCATTCTGTTTTTGTAACAGCATTTGGTGCTATAGCCCATCAGAAGATTGTGTAGTATTAATTTTTCGGCATCCACATCTGTGCCCTTTTTACTTAGTAAATTCTATCTTTAATTTTTTTCCTTAATAATTTCTAAACTTTCATGGATCTCTGTTCAGTTGTTACAAGGTACTCAACTTTTGGATAGATGCCATAGAGTATTATGAATGTTTGCTCATGAGTTGACAACATCATCTAGAAATAAGAAAAAATGATATTTTCCATGGATTATAGTACATATAATTTTTTAGTTTTTAAGAATTAGTAAAAGTATCTCATTTTTTTCAGAAATTAATAAGAAAATTATAGGCTGGGTTCAATGGGTCATGCCTGTAATCCCAGCACTTTGGGAGGCCGAGGCGTGCAGATCACTTGAGGCCAGGAATTTGAGACCAGCCTGGGCAACATCGCGAAACCCCATTTTTACTAAAAATACAAAAATTAGCTGGGCATGTGACGGGCACCTGTAGTCCTAGCTACTCAGGAGGCTGAGGTGGGAGGATCACCTAACCCCCGAGAGGTTGAGGCAGCAGGGAGCCGTGGTCACACCACTACACTCCAGCCTGGGTGGCAAAGTAAGACCCTGTCTCAAAAAATAAAAAATAAGAAAATTGTAGTATTGGCCAATGTTCAATAGATACTAATAATGTTATTTTAAATAATGCCATTAATTTTTTATAAGGTTAGGTTTACATTAGCAGGAGGATTCAATCTAATTTGTTGGATCTTAAGCATGATTTAGAAATCAGTCATAGGTGATTGGGTGTGAGTCAACCAAGTGTGAAGCAGGTTTGTAAGTGATAAAGAGAAAGGAAGAGTTGTTCCCATTTCTCTCCCTTGGAAAAAAATCTGCTTTAAATCCATTCAAGATGTAAAGATAATTATAAAAACATTTGCTTTCCTGAAGCACATTGTACCAAGGAAAATATTAATGTAAATGTTACATCTTTATCATGTTTAAGATTTTTTTAGTTGGTATAGTGAGGTGGGGCTAACTGAGCTAGTTCATAGGCTCAGGGAATATGTACTTTCATACTGAAGTTGTTATATTTGAGGATTATTGGTTTAACTTCATAAGATTAACACTGAGTTTCTTAAATCTTACTGAGTTTTGCATCTCTATTTTAGAACTACCAGTAAAAAGGACTTAACAGGATTTTCCCCAAGACTTTGATTGTTATTCTTTAATTATGTTTACAGGTGATGAGGCAGACATTTGAAATCATGCTACAGTTACTTGGCATATGAACATCAATATGAACATCAAGCTAATGCTGTACCTTTCATTCATGAATAGCACTTGCTCGTGGCCCTGACTACCTATGCCATGAGAAAGTGCTATTCATGAACAGAAGGCACAGCGCTAGCTTAATGTTCAGTTAAGACACTCTTATCATTGAGCCTGATGCGGACGCACAAGTTTGCTTGATCTAGAATAGTCCAGCCTATGCTTCCCATACTTAACTCTCTAGAAGGGGCAAGGAATAAGATCCGATTGGGGCATCTGTCTTCAGTCTGCCACTTTCTTCGTAATTTATAGTTAAATGACAACTGCTCATGAGGTATTTTGAATAGAGAGCCCGCCAGTTTTAAACAAACTGTTTTAACTACACTTAAAAAGCTAACTTCCATTTCTATATGTATCAGTGCATTTCTTCTCAACATGTTCATTTGCTTGTACATTTAAGTGGATTAAGTTAAAACAGAGAGAATGGGGTTTCCTTTGGGCTATTTCATAAATTCAAACACCTCAATCTGACATTCAAAGACTGCTTTTCTGCTGCTGCATTCTAAATTTTCTCAACCTCATTTCCAGTCGATTCCTCACCCAGATGTTGCCTTGTAGCTATACAGCCTGGTTGATCTCATATGCATACGACTTACTTATTTCTACCCTGCTGGCTTTGCATTTACCATTCTTTCTACCTAGAATTTAACTTTTTTCTCCCCTTTCCTAACATCTTGTTCTTCGTTTCAGAGACAGAAGAGTGTACAAGGGGCAATTCTTTTTTTTTTTTTTTTTTGCTTTCTTTTTTCTTATTATTATATGTTAAGTTCTAAGGTACATGTGCACAATGTGCAGGTTTGTTACATATGTATACATGTGCCATGTTGGTGTGCTGCACCCATTAACTCGTTATTTACATTAGGTATTTCTCCTAATGCTATCCCTCCCCCAATTCCCCACCCCACGACAGGCCCCGGTATGTGATGTTCCCCGCCCTGTGTCCAAGTGTTCTCATTGCTCATTTCCCACCTATGAGTGACAACATGTGGTGTTTGGTTTTCTGTCCTTGTGATAGTTTGCTCAGAATGATGGTTTCCAGCTTCATCCATGTCCCTGCAAAGGACAAGAACTAATCCTTTTTTATGGCTGCATAGTATTCCATGTTGTATATGTGCCACATTTTCTTAATCCAGTCTACCATTGATGGACATTTTGGTAGCCAGATAGTTTGGGTTCGAATCCCAGACTGGTAACTTCTTAGCTTATTGCTTCCTGGCTGAAGCAAGCTATTTAAGCTCTGTGTCTAATATTGCCTTCTTCTGCAAAACTGGGAAAGAAAGATTCTTACATAATTTAGTTACTTAAGTGAGGATATTAATAGAAACTTAGAATAGTTACTGGTACATAGTAAGTAGTTAATGTATATTAGCCACTATGAATTCCATCAAGTCAGTTTCAAAATTCATCCTCATAAAATTTAGTCTCAAAATTTACTGTCCTTCATGCAGCCACTAATCTCATTAGCATGTATTTCAAGGTCTACCTGCCCACTCTATCAGTACTTTTACATTTGGTAATCTATACATTTTAACCACTTGGTATATTCATTTCCTCATCAATAAAAAGGACAGTAATACTTGCCATGGTCATACCTAGGGTTATTATGAAGACAAAACTAGAAAATAGAAATAATAAGATTGATCATAGTAACCATTTATCCTGCTCTTATGTGTAAGAAACTGAATTAGAGGTTTTACTTATGTTAACCTATCACTTAATACCTTATCCTCATGTTGGTAGCAGGGTTCTAAGAAGGAGAAGGCAGAAATGTGAAAGAGCTCTTGAGGCCCAAGGTTCAGAACTGACACAAATTACTGCATGCTACTGACCATTACAATTGGTTGGATAGAAGAGGCAGGGTAATTGAGGTCGTTTCACAATGAATATGCCAGAAATCCATCCTACATATGAAAAAACTTTAATACAATGAGATTTAAATACTTGCTGCTAATGTAGACTTGGGACCTCTACCTGGCCTGTTAGGAAACTTTACCTTTCAGGATCCAGTGATTCTGCAAGGATTGGGCACGTGCCCTGAGCAGAATTATTCATAGCCATAACATGAGAAATGCTATTTAAGAGAGAAAGATTCTTCTTTTAGGATCAAAATTGTCAGGATGTTGACTTATGGCAGCCAGTAATTTTTTGTTCTGCCGTTTGGGGAAGATAATGCAACAGTTAAAAATTAAAAGAAAAAAATTGAGAGATAAGAAAGAGCCAAGATACAGAATGAATGAGCAAGTATTAGAAAGATGCGATAGTATCATTTGGGTCACTGAATCTAGCCATACTTGAAGCCTATAGCTTGCTAATTTTTGTAGAATATGTATGTGTATGTTATTAAACAGGTTTGACTAAGGTTTCTTTTATTTGAGAACTAAACAATTTTAATTAATGACAATGGATTAGTTTGCAAAAATGGCCACAGCAATGTCTCCAGTCTCAAATGTTTTTCCAGAACCTCGTTGGCATCCCCATCAAGAGGTGAGGACTATTTTCCCCTCCCTTGAACCTGAGTGGGTTTGTGTCTGCTGTGTTAAGCACTGGAGAAGTAATGCTATGTGATCTCCAAATGTAGGTCATAAAGTTGACATAGAAGCTGCTTGCCTCTCTCTTTTTTGGGACACTTGTCCTTAGAATCTGGCTATCATGTTGTGAGAAAGTCCAGGCCTAATGGAGTAACCATTTGTAAGGTGTTCCAGCTGACAGTCCAGCTAAGGTCTCTGCCAACAGCCAGCATCATTTGCCAACCATGTAAATAAACAAATCTTCAAATGGTCTCAGCTCCTGGCCTTGCCACAGCCCAAGTGATAATGAGTGAAACAGAGAAAAGCTATCTCCCCATGGTCCCAGCCTAAAATGCAGATGGTTAACAAAACAAATGTCAATATTTGAAGCCACTAAATGTTGGGATAATTTGTTAGGCAGTCATAGCTAACTGCAACCCTAACTTCTCCCAGAGCTCCTTCCCAGGGCTCTCTTCTGCTACACTGTCAGACCCTGCTCTACCTGGTACTGCCATTCCACTTTCACCTATGCCTTTATTTCTACACACTTTGCTTTACCAGGTGGTTATAGACATTTTGTATTCAGCATTGTATTTCACTGACTTTGTGATATGCTATTCTTGGATGAAAATGGGGTTGGAGATCCCCATGTTATTCTATGCCCCCTATTAAAAAGCTGGTATTCCAACTTGACAAATTCTACTCCTACTTTCTAGTGCTATGCTAGCGGATAGCCACTAGGCACATGTGATTATTTGAATTTGAGTTAAATTCAAATTAAATAAAATTGGGAATTTCTTTACACTAGCAACATTTCAAGTGCTCAATATTTATATGCAACTACTGGCTAACATACTGGACATTGCAACATTATAGAGCATTTTAATCATCTCATGGTTCTATTAGATGATACTGCTCCAATTTGCAAATCACACATGTGGCCCAAGGCTAAATCCTTTAAATACTAGGATTCAATGATGAAAATCTTTTTACCTAGAGCAGAGAGCTCAAAAGGATTTGGTCTCTCTTACTCAGGTTTGAGCTCTGGGAGAGGACAGAGATGAAAATCTCTACCTCAGTTAATAGGGTTGTGTTTCATTTATATTCACATGAAAAGACTACCTTTGGTAGACTTTCCTAATTTATTTCCTAGCCACTGCACATGTGGACAATTGTTTATTTTCTTGTTAACATTAGTTATATATAATAACATTTCTTATTAACATTAGTTTCTGTTTTTCAGTCCAGTCTGATTTGTAGAACAATTCAATTCCCAGAAGATAACCCAGATATCTTTTGCAAATATTTGGGGCCCTTGTTCTCCCAGCAGAGAGTCCTCGTGAGCACATAGGGCTCCTGTTGACTTGAAAGTGAACTCTGGCTGTGGAGTGGATATTACTCCCTTAAAAGAGAAAAAGAGTAACTTCAAGGCAAAAAGGGCCTTTATTCTCCCTGGGTGTAAGTTTCCTTTAAAGCTTGTTTATTGATTTTTCTTGTAACAACTGAGCTTGCAAGCTATAAAAGAGAAAAGCAAAAACAAATAGAATCAGGGAAATAATATCAATGATCAACAAGTTTATTCATCAGCTTTATCTCATTTGTAGTCAGCCACCACAGGCCTGTGAAATAAAAAGCACCACAAGCTGCAATCCCAGTTTTTATTATGGAATCCATAGACTTTAGCTGGTCAAAAGGGAAAACAAACACTTCAATTTTCAAGCAAGGGTCCATTGTCATTAAAAGTGATTGTGCCTGAATTTATGTCAACGTGTGAGGAAAGTGCAGAAAGTAAGTGAAAAGAAGAGAACATGGTTGAGGGCGTGATGCCTGGTACAATGACAGTGGCACCAATTTTGATCTCTAATTAGTCTGTCAAATTGCCTGAAGTACCCTCTGTTAATATTGTTCCTATAGGAAAACATATTTCTAAATTTATGACCCATGTGATGAACCTTTAAGAAAGTCCTCTCATTAGGTAATTTTGGAAAATGCTGAATTTTATATCTCCCTCCTGTAATTTTATGATGTAATTGTATGATGCACATTAGAATATTAGTCTCTGAGAAATCTTGCTGTAAAGAAATCTGTTTAACTTTGTTTAATCCAGCATTTTCTCAGATTGGTGGACCATTAAGCCTTCTATATTTTAGTGTATGTTTTCATGTAATACTCATTGCATCTAGTGGTACTAGCTTTCAATGAAGCACACTGTAAAATGCTGCTTTAGAAGAAAACATGGTTTCCTAAGTGGGCAGCCCAAAGTTTACCCAGGGAAAGGGTAACACTTTAACACATTAGCATTTGTTTAGACAGATTGGCTTTCCTAAATGAGCAGGATCTTAAAACCCCCAGGATGTAGAAGAGGCCAGCACATATTTCCTAAGGAGTGCTGTTTCAGGGGACTCCAGGGACACTCAAGGGTGGACAACCATATCTGGCAAGGCCTTTTCTGGGACATGAGGCTTTCAAAGCTGTGTTTCTGGAAAGGTTGATTTTGGAAGGCATCAAATGGGAGATTATTAGTTCAAGAAAATGTAATAGTGCCGCTGTGTGACTTTCAGAGAATGTTCAATCACTTCCTTTTCTCTTTGAGTAAGTATTTCTCAGAAGAGTAGACTTCTCTGTTTCTGCTTTCTCACCAACCATTTACTCTTTGATCCACAACAATCTTTCGCTTACTCTCTCATTCCAATAGAACTCCTCTTTCTCAGATTTTCCACTTGCCAAATGCAGTAGACTCTTTCTGGGTGAACTTACTAGCCTCCTCTATGATTCTGTATTCTACCTAAATGCTTTTGACTTCCATATTTCTATCTCTAGCCCAGGCTACACTTTGAGCTTCAAAATTGTATCCCCAGAGACATCTTGAACTTAGTTCAAAATTGATCCCATAAACTTGTACTTTCAATCTCTTCCTTCTATAGATTATTTGAAGACCATCATCTACCCTGTTAACCCAGCCAGAAACCTGGGAGTCATCCTTAATTTCTCTTTTGCTCTTAGCCTCTTCACAATTGATCAGCAAGTCCTACTGGTTTTGACAATTGTCAAAATATTGAGATATATACATGAGAAATGCTGTTTAAGAGAGAAAGATTCTTCTTTTAGGATCTGTCCCATAATTCCCATTTCTTTCCTTTCCTTAGGTTCTAGCAAAACACTGGCCTCAGAGTCAAAACACAGCTCTTCCACCTGATATATGGAGAGCCTGGACATGTTTGTTATTCCCCTTAATGTCTTATTTTCCTCATCTGTAAGATGGAGATAATAGTAAAACCTAAGAGAGTTATTGTAATTTTGTGAAAATTAGATGAGGATAAAGTGGGGATGTTGAGAGAAAATTAAGTTGTTTTCTTTCCTCTCCCTAGGAATGAGGGCTGGGGAGAAGTACTTATTTATTATTAGGGGAAAAATCTTAGTGGGTTAGTTGACATTTATATGGTAACAAATATGTCTTTAAAATGCTATAGTAGTGAATAAAAAGGAAAACAAGTACGTTTGTGATTGGCTAGAATTCATGAGACAATAATTTATCAATTTTTTTTTCTTTCGATATACAATGGTGGGCTATTGCCAGGAAAATAAAAGAAGGAAACTAAACTATCTTTAACACATTTTAGGACAATAGAAATGATCTTGTGTGTGATGGAGTAGATTAAAAGGAAGGACCCAATGGCAGCATGCCTTGGACATTTGGATTATCTGTTAATCCAGGCTCATGTATAGGTATCTGCATCTTGTAGGGTCAGCCAGCAGGAGCGCAGTTAAGGGTAGGATTCAGATGTCCTCATCTTTTAAGACCTGGCTATTAATTTCAGTCAATTTCATATAAACACCTCTTATTTTTGCCTAGTGGCTATCTTAGTCACCCTACTGCTATGACAAAGTGCCTTAGCTTGGTTAATTTATAAACAATAGAAACTTATTTCTAACAATTCTAGAAGCTGGGAAGTCCAAGATCAAGGCACCAGCAGATTTGGTGTCTGGTGAGGGCTAGCACTCCCTTGCTACGTCCTCACATGGTAGAAGGTGCAAAAGTGATGAGCATCTCTTTTGGATCTCTTTTATTTATTTATTGTTATTATTTTTGAGACAGAGTCTCACTCTGTCACACAGGCTGGAGTGCAGTGGCACAATCTCAGCTCACTGAAACCTCCACCTCCTGCATTCAAGCCATTCTCATGCCTCGGTCTTTTGAGTAACTGGAACTACAGTCATGTACCACCATGGTGGGCTAATTTTTGACTTTTTAGTAGAGACAGGGTTTTGCCATTTTGGCCAGGCTGGTCTCGAACTCCTGGCCTCAAGTGATCTGCCTGCCTCAGCCTCCCAAAGTGCTGGGGTTACAGTCATGAGCCACCGTGCCCAGCCTACACCTCTTATATAAGGTCATCAATTTCATCCATAAAGGCTCTGTCCTCATGACTTAATCACTTTCCAAAGTCCCCACCTCTTAATACTAATACACTGGCAAATAAGTTTCAACATATTCATTTTGTGGGGACACATTCAGACCATAGCAATGGCTAAGAGTCCTTTTTAAAACTGTATTAGTGAGAGATAACTGAATAGCATAATACACATAGCCATGTGTACTCTTAGGTTTACCATGATAAGAATAATAATAAATGATTGATGATAGTCACTCATTCTTTTAATAAATATTATTAGTCTTTTTCTATGGGCCACTGATTCTAGATGCTGGGAATATAGCAGTCTACAAAACAGAAATTACTGTGGTGCTCAATCTTATGATCCAGTTAAAGAAGACAGGCAGTAAACAAATAAGTATAAAGTATTCTATAAAGGGGCTATGGAGAAAAATAAAGCTGGAAAGGGGGTCAGAGTACGTTGTGGTGGGTCTGGAGTTATATATTTAAATAGGGAGGCCTGGGAGGCCTCTCTGAGAAGATTCTATTTGAGCAAAGACTGGAAGGAGGTCATAGGACCAAAGAGTGGTTTTGATAAAAGGAATCAAAACCTTTGATCTGACTTTCCTTTCACTAAGGCCATTCTAGCTACTTTTGACAATCAACAGAAGGAAAGATCTAGGCAAGAGACAATAGTAATGGGGCCCAGAAGAGGTGTTGGAAGGGACATGTTGCAGAGATAAAGTTCAATTTTAGTGTATATGGCTTCTCTAAGGCTCATGCTCTCTTCTGCAGAAGTGCCAGGATTTGAAGAGTAGAGTCAGGGAGAGACACCAAGGAACAAAAACTAGAGAGAAATACCAGAGTGATGGGAAGAGAATCATTTGTGTTGTCACAAAAGCAAAGACAGTGCAAGTTTTAACAAGATATGAACAATGTACACCACTGCAGAGAATTCAACTATGAATGTATTATATCTGAAGGAGATACATCAAATTTGACAAATAGAAGTAAATTTGTGGCATTTTCAAGAATAGTTTTAGTGGAGTTACTAAAGCAAAAACAACTGATTGAGATTGGGAAGTAATGAGGTATAGGTGGAGGATATAGATTGCTCATTCATGAAGCTTGGTAGACACAAATAAGTGGCTTTCAATATGTGAAAATAATATTTTGTTACATGAAAACTACTTTTTATATGTGCAGTACACTCATATTTTCCATTCTCCTCTTTATTATCTTTTTAAAAAAATGCTACATTTTATTAAATTGATTTTATAACCCACTCTAGGGTTTTGACTCATGATTTCAAAAACATGATCATATGTAGCAATCAGGGATAAAAGATTGCTTCTTGGAACCATTGTCCACATCCTCTACCATGTTTGTCAGTATCATATCTTGGCCATTTTGTTGAAACTTTCAAAAACATCATCTCTCTCTTACATATACAATTTTTACCCTTCAATGAATAATCACAAACTGGAAATCAATAGGAAAGCTAATCCAAATGTATTCTAGTATCATTAAGACTCAGTATACAGTTAAAGGCATTGGCTGTGCTCATAAATTTATCCTGCCAACAAAAAATATGGGCAAGTTTCCCTACTTTGATTTTATTCTGCCTCTATGACCTCTGAGATGGAGATCCATGGCCTAGAGCAGAAGGAATTAACTATGCTGGAGAGCTTTCATCCCTATTGAGATCTGGAATGGATCCTTCTTGAGCAGTGCTTGGCATATACTAGAGGCTAATACAGATTTGTCAAATAAACAAATAGTATTAAGTAATATATTTTTTGAAAGTCAGAAAACTTGCGTACGCCAATAGAAATGATTATTTCCTCCTGGGCTGTAAATCTATGCTAATGCAATGCTAAAGCTTATAGAACAGTATGAAGAATAAACTTGAAAGGAAATGAGAGGTGGGCAATAGATAGAGGGGGTTACAGATCAAAGGACAATTTCCCCTCTGAGACAAAGCAGGTAATAAGTTGAAAAGAAAGTGTATTAGTCCATTCTTGCATTGCTATAAAGAACTACCTAATACTGGGTAATTAATAAAGGAGGAGGTTTAATTGGCTTATGGTTCCACAGGCTGTACAGGAAGCATGGCCAGGGAGGCCTCAGGAAACTTACACTCATGGTGGGAGGAGAAGAGGAAGGATGTACATCCCAGGAGAAAGAGTGAAGGGGAGGTGCTACATAGTTTTAAACAATCAGATCTCATGAGAACTCACTATTATGAGAACAGCAAGGGGGAAGTCTGCCCCCATGATACAGTCACATCCCACCAGACCCCTCTTCCAACACTGGTGATTACAATTTGACATGAGATTTGGGCAGGGACACAAATCTAAACCATATTATTTCACCTCTGGCCTCTCCTAAGTCTCATGTCCTTCTTACATTTCAAAATGCAACCATCCCTTCTTAACAGTCCCCCAAAGCCTTAACTCATTTCATCATTAACTCAAAAGTCCTCAGTCCAAAGTCTAATCTGAGACAAGGGAAGTCCTTTCCACCTATGAGCCTGTAAAATTAAAAACAAGTTAGTTACTTCTAAGATACAATGGGAGTATAGGCATTGGATAAATGCACTCATTTCAAAAAGAAGAAATCAGCCAAAACAAAGGCACTACAGGCCCCAGGCAAGTCCAAGACCCAGCAAGGCAGTTATTAAATCTTAAAGGTCCAAAATAATCTCATTTGACTCCATGTCTCACATCCAGGGCACTCTGATGCAAGGGATGGGCTCCCAAGGCATTGGTCATCTCTGCCCCTGTGGTTCTGCAGGGTAGAACCACAGTGGAGGGCTAGAAAGCCCCCTCCACTGCTTTCACAGGCTGGTATTGAGTGGCTGCAGCTTTTCTAGGCACACGGTGCAAGCTGTTGGTAGATCTGCTGTTCTGAGGTCTGGAGTAGCCTTCTTCTCACAGCTCTGCTAGGCAGTGCCACAGTGGAGACTCTGTGTGGGGCCTCTCACGCCACATTTACCCTCCATATTGCCCTAGTAGAGATTCTCCATGAGGGGTCCACCCCAGCAGCAGACTTCTGCCTGGACATTCAGGTGTTTCTATACATTCTCTGAAATCTAGGCAGAGGCTCCCAAGCCTCAACTCTTGCCCTCTGTGCACGTGGCTTAACACCATGTGGAAGCCACCAAAGGTTATAGCTTACACCCTCTGGAGCAGCAGCCTGAGATGTATCTGGGGCCCTTTTAGCCACAGGTGGAGCTGGAGTGGCTGGGATGCAGACAGCAGTGTCCTGAGGTTGCACAGGGCAGCAGGGCCCTGGGCCCAGCTCACAGAACCATTCCTCCCTATGGGCCTGTGATGGGAGAGGCTGCCTTGAAGTTTTCTGAAATGCCTTTGAGGCATTTTCCCCATTGTCTGGGCTATTAACATTCCATCTTTACCTATGCAAATTTCTGCAGCTTGCTTGATTTCCTCCCCAGAAAATGGGTCTTTATTTTCTACCACATGGTGAGGCTGCAAATTTTCTAAACTTTTATGCTCTGCTTCCCTTTTTAAAAATAAGTTCCAGTTTCAGATCATCTCTTTGCCTACACATATGAGCATATGTTGTTAGAAGCAGCCAAGCCATATCTTGAATGCTTTGCTGCTTAGAATTTTTTTCCACCAGATACCCAAAACCATCACTCTGAAGTTCAAAGTTCCACAGATCTCTAGGGCAGGGTTACAATGCCTCCAACCTCTTTGCTAACGCATAACAAAAGTGGCCTCTGCTCCATTTCCCAATAAGTTCTCATCTCCATCTGAGAGCACCTTAGCCTGGATTTCATTGTCCGTATCACTATCAGCATTTTGGCCACAATAATTTAACAAGTCTCTAGGGAGTTCCAAACTTTCCTTTATCTTTCTTCTTCTGAGCCCTCTAAACTGTTCCAACCTGTGTCCCTTACCCAGTTCCAAAGGTGCTTCCACATTTTCAGCTATCTTTATAGCAATGCCCAGTTCCTGCTACCAATTTTCTGTATTTGCCTGTTCTTGCATTGCTATAAAGAACTACTTGAGACTGGGTAATTTATAAAGAAAAGAAGTTTACTTGTCTCATGGTTCCACAGGTTGTACAGGAAGCATGGCTGGGGAAACCTCAGGAAACTTACAATCATGGCAGAAGGCCAAGAGGAAGGAGGTACATGTTATGTGGCTAGAGCAGGAGGAAGAGGGTGAAGGGGGAGGTGCTACACACTTTTAAACAAGCAGATCTCATGAGAACTCGCTCACTATCATGAGAACAGAAAGGGGGAAGTCCACCCTCATGATCCAATCACATCCCACCAGGCCCCTCTTCCAACACTGCAGATTACAATTCAACATAAGTGGGACACAAATCCAAACCATATCAGAAAGACATAACTAAGGAGCCTTGATAGAGACAAAATAATTAATGGGATGGCACTGCATTAGGAAAAAAGGTGGGAGCATTCCTCTTAAAGAAGAGAATGGCCACCTCTCGTTTGAGGTTGAGTGGTTCCAATTATACTTAAGTTTGTAGACTGAGAATGGGAAGACAAGGAGGTTATTTACTAATATCTCTGAGTTTCTATATGAATTAGGATCTTCTGCTGAGAGTAAGAGAGTGTATGTCAAGAGTGGTTGAGGATAACAGTGAAGTTTTGGAGAGTAATTGAGTAGAAGAAGATGCTGATCCAGTGCAGGGATTGGTGGACTTGACAGTTTAGTACTTATCTATTCACAACTTACAATTCTGTCTTCTTTCTCATTGGTTTAAAGTTAAGATTATGAATTGATAATTCATAGGAGCCAGACAGATCCCATAGATTTGTTTTGTTTGTTTCCTGTTATTTTAATAAGCCAAGTTTTAAAATGAAGAGCTTCATATGCAAATTTTAGATTTCCAGGTGTAAAGAATAAGCCAGAAGATCTGAAATAATTCACTGGAGTTGAGCAATATTTAGCGTCTTTAGACAAGGCCTGTATTCTCCTTTAAGCTCAGCCCCTTATATTACCCAGCAAATGCATAGTGTATAATGCATATCACTCATTTGTGAGGCTTGTCTGGCCTGTGTAGGTGTATGAATGTGAGATCCCTGCTTTAAACTTCAGCCAATGGGATTTATTTTTGAAGCATGCAGTAAAGCCAAGCTTGCTTGTTTAGCCTTAGCCTAGGATGATTGCAGCTTAATGGATTAGTGGTTTTTAATGTCAGGTCATCAGCTCTGGTGGCTGAGCTCTGGATATTGAGGCATGTTAACAAAACACATGAAACAGATGGATAAGCAAATACATACCCCTAGCCAGACTAGACAAAGGACAGGATGCTCCTTTTCTCTCTATAAGGCCATTAAGCAACCGAACTTATTGACTGATTGATTGATTGATATAGTTTCTCAAAATTGTTATCAAATATCAATCATGAACCAAGTACAAAGGTAAACAACATACATATCCGCCACTCTCTCACAGAGTTTAAAATCCAGAAAGGGAGACAGGCAGCCAAACAAATGTAGCTGTGCTCTGGGTATGCCAAGGTGCTATGCGTATTCACAGCCAAGGTAATGGCCTCGAGGGCTTAGGCCTGACAGTGTTAGCCAGGCAAACAGGAGTGGGAAAGATGTTCAAATGTGGATAATTGCATTTGCAAAGTTTGGAGATGTAAAAGCATGAAGTTTAGGTAGAATGGAAGCAAATTACCTGTCAGTATAACAGGACAGGAGGAAAGGTTGAGGGATGAGGCTGGGAGTGTGGCAGAGGCCAGGCCATGAAGGAGCTGGTGAGTCACCTTAATGGATTTGGATTTTGTCCTCTGTGTAACAGGAGCCACTAAATGGTTTTAATTTGGGAGCTTTATTACATTTCCATTTAGGACAATCACCCAGGTTGCACTGTGGAGAATAGATACCAAGGAGTAAGGCTGGCAGCCTGGAAACACTGTCTAATGCAGTATACTGAGTGCTTAACTATTTGACAGCATTATAACAAAACCTTGTACATTATCTCATTTAATTATTAAGATAATCCTGTGAGACTGGAGTTTATAATAATGCCAGCTGTAAAGATGAAGAGATGAAAGCTTAGAGACATTAATAGATTGTTGAAAGTAGCACCGTGAATGAGTGGCAGAGGTAGGAATCAATCTCTGCCTTAGAGACTCATGCTCGGAACCATTAGGACATATCACCCCAACTGCAGCTTCCCAGAAGCAATATATGATCGAGGGTGGTAGAATGGCTGAAGAGAAGTAATCTACTCTTGGAAATCAGGAGAATATGATTGACTTTGTGTGTGTGTGTGTGTGTGTGTGTGTGTGTGTGTGTGTGTTTGGGGTGGGAATGGGTAGAGAGACTTGGTAGGAAGAGAAGGATGATATGCAGAATTTTTACTGATCAATTAAGTTCATGGCTTCAGTCATTCACTGAGATACACAAAAAAAGGAGAGTCAGTCTGTGGGAGATGATACATTCAGTGAATGTGCAGGATTGAAAGCCCACGCAAGTGTCTGTAGAAGCTGTCCAGCGGAGAAGCACGATCTGGATTGGCAATAGAGAACCGATGGTCCTGAACATCAAGGTTCCCATCTAATCCAGGGCAGTGGAGGACATTTCCAGGAAATATGTGTAGATTGGAAATAAAATATGACCAGGAAGGAGCAGTAGTTTAAGAACAGTCAGAGGCAAAAAGAGCCAGTAAAAGAGATTGAGAACAAAAGTCTGAGGGAAAACCAGAAAGGGTATGGTGAATTTCAAGGGGATAAAGGCCAATAAGAGTAAACGTTTCTGTAATGCTAAATAAGATAAAAACTGAGAAATGCATTAAATTCAGTGGTTAGTCAAGGGACAAAGTGATGGTTAAGCGGGCACTAATCAGGGAAGGTAGAAGCAAAAGCCAGATTACTGTGACATGAAGGATGGGTGGGGGTGAAAAGTACATACGAAATTGGCATTTATGTCAACAGGTTTGTGAGTGGTAAGAATAAATGCAGTGACTATCAGGAGCAAGGGCTTGAGGGAGAGTTGTTCTTGTCATTTGTTAAGAATAAAGGAATCATCAGCATGTTTACGTGGCAATAGAGAAAAGTGAGTAGAAAAGAACGTGAAAGATGCAGGGAAAAAGAATATGCAAATGATAGCGATCTTTGAGCAATTGGGAAGGATATCGTACAGAGCATTGGAGGGAGATTAATTTTAAATTTAACTTCCCCATGGTAATGGGAGGAATGAGTAAAAAAATGTGTAGAAGCCTGTGAATGTGTAAGTTTTGTGGCAAGAAGTTAAGGGAATCCTGCATAATGAAGGAATTCATTCTGTGAAGTCATAGAGGCCACACATGTCTTGTTTAGACAGGATTTAAATAAAGTTGATGTCTCAAGGGGTAGTTTTACCAAATTATATGTAATTCATATGTCATTGTACTCACCATTATATAACTCAATGCAATTAATTTTTATAGTAAATTCTTGTGGCAGAAGTTCTTTACTGATTTGTTGCTGAAAATTAGCTATCTCAAAATGTTTCCAATACGTTATTTATCAGTCTCACTCTGTGTCTCCCCTCTACCACCTCACCATCATGCCCCAGCTTGTTTTGTTTTGTTTTTAAAAGTTTTCTTCATACATGTTCTGGAACAAGTTCCTGTGGTTTGTTCATTCCGGCCTCCTTATCTTGCCATCCCGTTGCATCCTGTGTTGCTGGTGAGGCCTTGAGTCCTCTGCTCTGTGAAACACAGCTTCTTCTAATAGATATTCCTACCGACACACTCTCATTGGTTTTGGGGAGGTACCACCCCATTTTGCTTCTAAGGTCAGTCCTTGCTCCTGGCTAGTTAAGTGCCAGATTTTGGATACACCATCTCCTTCCACACTTTGAAGGTAATGTTCTCATACTGGGGTGCACCAAATGGTGGAGCTCCAGAAATCAGCCACTCTTCTGAGTTACTAGTCTGGTGCTGCTAGTTCACTTGTTTCCTGAGTTAGCCCCCTTTACCTACTGGAATGCATCTGGTCTTCTTTATGCTCCAGAGTTTGGTACCAATGCATTCTGCCCTCAGAGAGGAGCCCATTTTTATCCCAGGATGAACTAATTCTTTGGGGTACTAATAATTGCAACATTCATTCTTTCAGAAACGATGAGACATGCTGTAGTAAATTAAGCTGCCCCAGAGAAAACAAGCTTTTTATTTATATACCCATAAACATCAAACCCTATGTTCCAAACCTGCTAATTTGTTTAATGGGACTCCCTGGACTCATCACTAAATTTGGGAGCACATTTTTCTTTTATTCTCCTGAAGCTCTTGTTCTCTCTAGCCTTCTTAACAATCTGTTTAAGGCTGGCATTGTCATCTCTGCCCCTCATAATGTTCCTTTAATAGTACTTCTGCCATAATAGTATTGTGACCTAACCATTGAATCTAACTTGCTGCAGAATGTATTATCATTATTGTAAGGTATTTATCTTTTTAAAAATGGAAAACTATTTATTAATTTAAAATTCTGAGATTTCAAATACATACTTGTTATTTGTGAGAAAGTGGCTGTGTTTGGAAGGGCCAATACAACAAGTTGAGGACATTGTGAGAGTTTCATTTACATTAACTAATGGATAAAAATGGCCTTGAAAGACTCACAAAGAGGGCAGGAGAGAGAGTAACAGGTTCTGTACCAAGTTTTTTCACAATCTCTTCCTTTTAATCATTACATATTGTCTTCCTTTGGCAGGTGAGGAAATCGAGCTGATAGAAGTTAAGTAACTTGCACAAAATAACATGGCTACTAAGTTTCTGAGCCAAGCTTAAACTCACATCTTATTAATTCCAGAGCAAGTGCTCTAGATAAACTAGTTTTTCTTCAACATGATAGATATTAGCACTTGTTGATAAAAACATCTTCAATGTTATCTAACTTCAGATGTAGTCAGCAGCAAAATCACTAATGCTATGCAACCAAATTAGGGAAATTTTTTTTTGCAGAAATCAATCTTTATTTAAAAATGTTATAGTTTGTGAACCCAAAGTAAATTCAAAGTTCTTTTTTTTTTTTTTTTTTTTTTTTGAGACGGAGTTTTAATTTTGTTGCTCAGGCTGGAGTGCAATGGCGTGATCTCGGCTCACCGCAACCTCCGCCTCCCAGGTTCAAGTGATTCTCCTGCCTCAGCCTCCCGAGTAGCTGGGATTACAGGCATGCACCACCACGCCCAGCTAATTTTGTATTTCAATTTTAGTAGAGATGGGGTTTCTCCATTGTTGGTCAAGCTGGTCTCGAACTCCCAACCTCAGGTTATCTGCCCGCCTTGGCCTCCCAAATTGCTGGGAGTACAGGCGTGAGCCACCGCGCCTGGCCTCGAAGTTCATGCTTTAAATCATAATCTAGTGAAGAGATTTCTATTTTTATGTTTTTGCAATAAGTAATTAGGCTTTCTGGAATATGCTAAAGACTGGAATAAAGAAGAGTAGATGATTTTTAAGAGGGTCTCATCAACAAGAATTCTGTGAACCACACACAAGAAATCAACTTTACCCAGTGCCTATATGGAGTCTTTTGTGTCCAATTGTAACAAACAATTTGAACTTGAAAGAATGATTTTTTTTTTTTTAAAGAAACTACTAAAGCTTAAAGAGGACAAAGCCATGAAAGCACAGAAAAGATGACAGGGTCTGTGTGTGGGGTTACAAGCCAGGAAAACCTTGTATTGGTAAGACTGCTAACAGATTGCTCAGGCTCCTAACTTAGGCTTGACTTGGCTAAGCTTCAGTGTGAGTGGGAGCCTAACTCTTTCCAGTAGTCTGATTTCACCTAGTTCATTTTGTGTTGAACTCTCATAATATGTAATAAATGTGAGTACATTTTTAGTACTAGTATATATAGTATAGTAGACATCAAAATATCTAGAATATTTGAGTAAATACAAATATTTATTGTGTTCATTCAATTTTGAGAAACTTCTGTAGTTCACCTGTGTAGTCAACCTACCCAAGTGTCTATTTGATAGATGTCTAGAAGGGTTTATCACCTACAGTACCAGATTTTCAGGCTCTCCATAGTCGACTGTGTCCTCTGCACATCAAGGTAGAGGTACTAACTCCTTACTCCTGAGCTTGATTATAAGCAATGGTTCAGGAAGGTATCTAGTAGAAGAAATGGTCTTTCAAACTAGTGTTTAACAAAAAATTCTACAATTTCATATATATTAATATGTATTTGGTGAAATAGAAACAAGCCCAAACTGTTACCAAGACAAATCCCTTTTTCTTTCCATGAAACCTTTTTTTTTTTTTTGGCTGCTCGGTGCTGCTTGTTATTATTTTTCATTTTCAGCATGTATCTGATGATCATGCCAGCCTGATTGCACCAGTTAGAGTGTGGCTGCCCTTGACCTGATTGGATCCATGTGGCATTCCTTTAAGGAGCCTTAGAGTTGACCTTCCTCATTCTCCTGGCTATAATACATCATTTCCACCCTCTGTTTTGGGGCATCTCCTACTGTGGAGAGGCTGGCAGGAGGGAGTACCTACTAACCAGTATGGAGACCAAATGGGTGGGATATCCTCTCCTCTTTGGAACAGTCAGTGGTAATTATGACATACCTTGTTTACCACCTGCACTTTTCTGAAACTTTCAAGTAGAGGCTGCTCCAGGAGTGGCAAGCAGACCAGTTTGCTCTTGCCATATAAACTTTTCTGTGATTCCTACTTTCTTGGGGCTCCATTCCTCCCACCAGTTCCCCAAGACTGGCCTTCTAGCCTTTCATTAATGCTGTTATCTTTCCAATAAATTTTCTTATGGATTAAGGTAGCCAGAGCCTGTTTCTTTTGTTTTTGATCTATAGCCCTGACTGATACATGATCTTAACCATAATGTGTTCTGAGATAATAAATGTTTAAATCATCTGGGTATCAATATTTTATAATATTTTAGGTATAATATTATCTAATAATCCTTGGCCCAGATAGTTTTTATACTGAAAGCTGGTATAAAAATATAAATTCATTTCACTGATGCACAAACACAAAACCACACATAATTTCACAGAAAGGTCATGTGACCTACTTCTAAGAAAAGATTATAATCTGAGATAGGAAAATGCACCTGCTGCAAAAAATAAAAAAAAAATTTCATGCAAATAAGACAGGGCAAAAATGAGTTAAAAATTGGGCAAGTGTACAATGACTAGCTGTTTTCTTAAATAAGATTGCTCTTTTCTTTCCCAAAAGATGGAATGAAGGGGTTAATAGAATTTAGAACAGATACTTTGAAGAAAAGAAGTAATTCTCTATCCTACGATGGAAATAAGTACAATTCTATAGGAATCTGATTGACTGGTTTCATCTTCAATTCCTATAGATTGAGTTGAAGGAATACAAGATACAGCACAAAAAAGAATTATAAAAACCATATTCAACTCAGTACTGTGAATTTATGGAAAAGAGAAGCCATAAAATGTGTCCAACTAGTGCTCTCATTATTTAAGTTAAATTTGGTGCCTTCATTGTAAATAATAAAAAGTTTATTATTACCCATATCCATGTATTGTTCAAATTCCTCATTTATTGTGACACTAGGTTTTTTTTCTCCCTGTTGCGGTTTTAGAAGATACTACTTGGCATCATCAGACTTTTGATAAAGTGATGAGTCCCAAAGCTTGATTGGAATGGTTTCAAGAAAGGATTGGAGAAGAAAATTTGAAAACCATGAGTATAGGCAAATCTAGTAAGATGCTTTACTATACAGGGAGAGAGAGAAAGAGGGTGGTTGCTGAATAAAATTTTTTTGTTTTGTTCTTTTAAGATGGGAGAAGTAATAGATTGTTTGTATGCTGATGAAAAAGAACTGGTGGAGAGGGGAAAACTGTAGAAAAAAAATGCTAAAATGATGCCCTTGAGTAGGCAAGAGGAGTTGAGATTTAGTATAAATTGGAGTTAGTTTTAGACAAATGCATATAGAGTTGACTCACAATGATGGAGAAGAGGCAAGATATACAAGTGCAGATGAGGTTGTTAAAAGGGTCTAGATATTGCATACCTTTTGATGGGAGCTTGCATATCTTCCAGTTGCTTATATTTTCTTACTGAAATAGGAAGCACAGTGTCAGAGAGACATAAAGATGGAGGGGGTGTCAGATGTTTAATAGGAGACAAAAGTATTTAATAGAATTTGAGGTATATGCATGAGTGAATGGATCAGGGATGTATAATATATTTGCCATTGAAGATAAAGATCATGGATATAAAGCAACGCTGGCCAGTATGGTTATGGGATTTTCTCCAGACACATTCAACCACACAGGTAAAAGGACAGAGTAGGTGGAGCTCTGTGATTTACCAAGCTCTGTGATTACCAAGCTCATGATTTTCCCAAGTGAGCATAATGAAGCACAAGAGAGTCATGGTAGTTTGAGGTATAAAGATATGGCTGAATGCAATAAACAACCATGACATTTAAGCTGGATAAGAATGGAAATGAGGACATGAGGAGGGAAGGTATATTGAAAAGGTGGTTGTACAATGGATTGTAGATGTCAGGGGCCAAGCTGAGCTGGAGAGAGCTGTGCTGTGCTACCATGCTTCAGAATAGCTGATTATGACAATAAACCACAATGAAATAGTGCTCTAACATTTAATCACTCACTGTGATAGTATAAGCAAGAAGCTAAACCAGAGAAAGTTCTGACCACTGTCTCTACCACTTCCCACTTCCACCCCACCCATGCACCACCTCTGTCCATTTTACCCGTGAAACAGTACTGGATATCTGAGGGTCAAGTGAATCAATACATGTGGGGAATTGCTTTACTGCTGAGGGAGTCTTGAACAAAAGTCTCCTTTAGTTTTATATACTAGGGGCCCAGGGAAAAGGGTGAAAAGGAAGGGGTAGGAGTAAAAAATTATTGAGCTAGAGTGGAGAAAAGTGTCTTCAAGGTTCCCCTTCAGCTCCTCCAAATGATAAGTTCTTAGCAGAGGTTCCTGAAGGCCTTCTTGCTGAGCTAAGAACACGGATATGCATAAGAGCATGGCCAGCCCTGGGGGCTTGAGTCTGTGACTGCAACTCCTTTCAGCAATGCACTAGCTGCACACCAAGTCTGGTATGAGGAAGGTAGTTCAGGTCTGCCAGGAAAAGTCTTTGTAACTGCCTGGGGTTAGGCCTGAAAGATCACAGTAGGTTTTTAGCCAAAACCCAGATTCCTCAGTAGACCCTGATGCAGCTTAAAGATTGTTGGACACAGAATGGGAGTTAGAAAAATTAGGAAATGAGATGCTTGTGATTGAGATCTGCAGAAAGTCCAGATATTGGTAGTGACAAGATCTAGGGTCTGGTAATGAAAATGAATAGTCCTAATAAAGTGGAGACAATCATTTAAGACAAAAGGCAAGATCATATCTGTGGATATTGAAATCTCAAATAGTTATGACAAGAATAACACTGGAAGGAGAAATGGTGACCTACCCTTTCAGTGCTAAGATTTAAAAATTAATCTCGTATGTCTTTTTTTCTATGAGAAATAATTTATGAAAACTCTATTGATTTCAAATCAATAAAAATGATGGATTTGTTTCAGAAAAAAATTGTTTATAACTTGTAAGATCTGTAACTTAATTGTTTTCTCTTACTGGTAAGGGCATGTTCATGCTAACAGTAGCCCTATAGCTGTGGTTACTTATCTTAATTACAGCCAAGATTTATTTCAGCTTGAGTGTTTTATAAGCAGATTAGAATTTTAAAATTTTCACAGCCAGTCTTCTTGCATTATACTCTTTTTAAATTCAAGCATGTTTCATATTATAAGAAGCTAACCTTAAATTATAGCCCTTGTTTTGTTAAATATTCAGTATTCTAGGAATTTGAAATTCTCAAATGTAGTCTTTAAAACTCTGAGTTTATCTGATAAGGATTTTATTATTATTGTTATTTACATATGAATACAGGAACAAAATGTGATTTAAGTAAGTCATGGCCTAGAAAGGGATTTGTAATGTCTTGGCCCTATTTAAGAACTTTTACCCATGCCTCATGTTCTAGGATTTCTACTTGATCCAGCTTGGAAATCTGAATAACTCATGATATTGGGAAATTTCCATGGCTGCATTTTCTTCAGTTCCTTGCTTGTAGCTCACCTTTGTCTCCTGTTTTTCTTGTAGGTTTCCAGTATATGCTTTGGCCATATAAAGTAATAAAGCAAATAAGTTCCTATCGTTTAATCATATAGAAAAGCCCAGCAAGAATCCATTGTCCAAATCTTGTTTGATTAAGATTGATTGACAGTTTTATGTAATTGGATGACATTTTTAAGAGAAAATCAACAGAACATTATCACATGGTTAAAGCCTACTGCCAGAAACAATAAACTTGGCTTACCTATTTCGTTAGAGTATTATTTTGATTTATTCACTCATGTATATAATTCACTTTCACAGTTGATCCCAGACTCTGTTTTTATGAATGGCAACTCAGAGAATTTAGGTAGCTTTTCTGGGAGCAAGGTTGATGGCATTGGTGTGGGTTGGGGAAAGCCTAACAGTATTAAAAGGGAGAATGATATAGAGGTTGTTCATCCCATGTTCAGTTACCGATGTGTTTTCACCAAAACCATATAATTTAAATGTCTCCTTTTCCTGGAAAATATGAAGCATTGTACAACAGGTAATTTTAATAACAATGTAACTTAGGCTGCTTATGATTGACATCAACATCACATGTATATAATATGATTGTAAGAATTTTTAAAAATGCATCATTGGGATAATAAACTGTAACTGACATCCTTTTAAACTAAAAGCAGGTGAAAGCTTGCCAGTGTTCCACTCTCTCTGACTTACCATTCTAAGAATAAACACATACAGTGGAGTGTGCGGGGCTGCACACTGTGGTTTTATCTACTTCCTTGCTAGAGGAAAGCACTGTTATAAAAACAAGTAAAACATGCAAAGGGAAGTAATTTAATAAGTAATTTTACAATAAAAGAATGGAACTATAAACCTGCTTTTCTTGGACAGCCTTGGTGTTATCCAATTTGCCCTCTTACTGAGCCTCTCTACTGGCTGGCTGTAAAGGACATGGTGAATTAGGATCAGAAGTCGATGGCTGTGTAGTGCCTGGTTTTGAAATGTTTGGAGAACAACATAAGTAGTAGCTGATGGCAAGGCAGAGGGACGCAGGGTTGAGTGGGCACTGCAGATGCCAGGATGACCCAGTTTAAGTGGGTGTAAGCAGTGAAGTAAGCAACAAAGTTGGGCAAGCACTGAAGGTGTAGTTTGTGTAGGAGACAGATGTCAGGGCTGGGGTGGGGAAAGGGAGTATCTGTACCACAGAATTACAGCCTGGGTCAGTTAGTGCCTTGCACTGATGTTTGTGTATATTTTGTCCCCTCAGCTAGATTTTATTACTCTTTGGGGGTGGTATCCTTGTTTATAATTGTTCCCTTGAGCTGCTGGGCACAGTTATGGAACAAGGTGGGTTGTTGCATGAGGATCTCTTGGAAAGTTCTCCTGGGGCTTTCTGGCCCCTTGAGGATGGTATAAATGCTAGTAGGACCAGGCACACTCTCTGTCTTATCAGACACATGGAAAAGGGCACAGAGGAAATGATCTGTTTTAGAATCAGAGTGTGCCTTAATCCATCGAATATGCTGGTGTCATTATTTGACTTCCTGGACTGTAAACACTGCCCTTCTAGGCTCCTGGGACCTTTCTAACCTTTCCTCGTCTGATAACTTTGTCAATACTCAACATTTTCTTGCTCAATCCAGGGGCACCTGTCTAATTCTCCTAGTCCCAGCTGGCTCTCCTTGAACTTGATCTGTCATCTGATCCACAGTGTCTAGGTTTTGGATTATCCTGGCCCGCCTTTCCCTTGAGATCCCACATCAAGATAAGAAACACTGCCTTGAGCCTATAGGGGTTGAGGGGAATTTGTAGCCCTCTGGATATCCATCTTAAAATATGCCAAATAAGTATATTTTGGGGTAAAATATTTTTATTTCCTTCAAGCATTATGCCTGACAACTAAGATTTGATTGTAGTAACTTAGTGCTCTGTTGGATAGAGCACTGTCATTGTCTTAATGAGCATTATATAACTGATTTAAATTCTATTGCACAGTTTATTAAATCGTATCTGTTGGGTAGGTTCCTGCCTTTGAGGCATGCTGCTAACAACATGATGGAACATCTTATTTTTCTTTCAACTAGTTATTTTCATCATAAATTTATGCATAGTATTTTAAAAATAAACTGATAATTTTCAGATAATTATATTAGGGAAGTGACAGCTGCATTACATTCTATCCTTTGCTTGAAAAGCACAGTAAGAACTAAGACATTTAGATGTTTTACATAGGAAATAATATTTTTGGCATTATTAAAACTCACTTCTATGTATTAATTTAAAAATTTTTATTTTTAGGGAAACAAAATTGCTATTCAATTTGGCAGAAGGTTTGTTTTGGGATTTCTGGCTAACAGAATCTTTGCTTTAACTTTGGCAAGGCTGTTTGAGAATTAGCTTCATATTAGGGACCCTTCAGTTCCTGGGTCATTGTTGAAACTCAGTTTTAGAACTTTATTATCTTTATGCTATTCTGAAATAGGGTCAGTGATCTTGATGTCTCCATAAGGGAACTTATTTTGTCAGGTAATGTTTTGTAGAATTTATACATAATTTTATAATTTTACTACATGGGAATAAGTGTTAATACTAAAAAAAAAGTGAATGATTATGAAGGTGTTGTAGGCACATTAACTTGTGTTGCTATTTGTGCAAATATCCTTGACTTTATAGGTGCAGAATAATACCCCTACCCCCACCACAAGACCCTATTTTATTACTGGATCAATAGTGACAGGTAGGGTTTTTAAACCAGAAAGTGGTTTTTCTTATGTTTTTGCTCCCAGTAGAGAAAATATTTTTTCTGAGGGACTTTTTAGTTGATATCTCTCCCTATACATGCAGTAAAAGCAAATATATTTTTCAAAAATGTTAAGGGAAAGTGTAGGGGCTGTAGGCTCTTCTCAGCGTGAACCCTCTAAGGGTTCACTGAAAAATTAGTGCAATTTTAATTATGTATCAGATGCGGAGCTCACCACAAAGGACGAAGCTGCAGATAATGTCTGACCCTTCCCAGCATAGTTTACCCTGCCTATTAGTTTAGAGCCTAGAATCAAATGCCTCCAAAACAGACAAGTTAAACAATTCTAAAAAATATTACAGAAGTGGTTTATAACCTTCAAACAAGTAGCAAAGACAGTATCTGACCTGCCTGACCAGTTTTGACCAAATGTCTAATTTGGAAGACATTTTTACTTTATCAATAATTTTAAAATTAGCTTTATTTATTAAAGATTATTAAAGACATGTGAACTAAAAGGCATTTGAGTTAAAGGGTTTTTTTTTTCTTTTTTTCTTTTTTGTTTTTTTTTTTTGAGACGAGTCTCGTTCTGTCACCCAGGCTAAAGTGCAGTGGTACAATCTCGGCTCACTGCAACCACTGTTTCCTGGGTTCAAGCTATTCTCTTGCCTCAGCCTCCTGAGTAGCTGGGATTACAGACGTGTACCACCATGCCTGACTAATTTTTGTATTTTTAGTACAGACGGGGTTTCACCATGTTGGCCAGGCTGGTCTGGAACTCCCGACCTCAAGCGATCTGCCTGCGTCGGCCTCCCAAAGTGCTGGGATTACAGGTGTGAGCCACCATGCCCAGTCAGCTTTCTTTTTTAAAAAATTTTTAATAAAATGCTTGATTTAAGCACTTACTTTTTCTTTAAACCAATAAATTAGAGCCCTTTTATTTATTTTAGTAGTAAGACATCACATATTACCAGTGTAATTAAGTAGACATATAGACACATAGAGAGAAGCAGATCTTATAAATTTGTGATATTTTTAATTTGCCAGTTTTCAAGGCTTTTTCTTCCTACTTTAGACTGTCAATTTCTTGATTATCTGTTTCTTTGCTCTCAGTTATTGTTAGCTAGGCAACCTTAAATTTGCATTTCTAAAGGAACAGCTAAGATAAAACAACATATATCATTTGAATTTTGATATTTTGAAAGCATAGCGTGAAGACATTAGGCCTGAATATTGTACCATCACTTGTTCAAACCAAGGGAAAAAAATCATGTAAGTAAATTTTAGTTAAGAAGGTGAGGAAAAGCACCTCAAATAAAGGTATAGCTTATAAATTTAAAATAATGGTTAAGAGTTTAATGTATGCAAGCAGACACCCTTACAAATGGAGAGTTCCTTAAAGATGTCAGGCTTTTTTTTTTTTTTTTTTTTTTTTTTTTTTTTTTTTTTTTTTTTTTTTTTTAGAAAAAGGCATTTTAAGATAGCCAGCTAAATGCCAGAAAGTTGTAAAATGGCTTTTTAACTTAGCTTATTTCTTAATTAGATTACTGGTTTTAGGGTGGAGCCCTTTAAGGAACTCAGCCTAAGAAAGCAGTCAGTCTTCAGGGCCTAAAGGATGCTTTTCTTATCCAAACACTCAAAGAGGAGCACCCTGTAGTAATAACTGTTCACTGTAAGCAACTGCCATCAGCCATTCTAAAAGTGTATTTCTCACCTAGCCATGACACATACCAAGGTTAATTTTTTTCATAAAGTAATTTCTGGTACCCCCCAAAGCCAAGAAGATCAGGAAATGCAATACAAAAGGGAACAGAATTTTAGATCTGAGATAACTCCGTCCATTTACAGCTTTGGGGATTCCCTAAGGAAAAATAGCAGTTACTACCAAAAAGGAACATGTGGCACCTTTTTCTGTTAATTTCTCTTTTTTTTTTTTTAAGGCATCAAGTTGTTAGAATTTACTATGTATGTGTCTGTCTGTCTGTCTATCTCTATCTATGTATCTATGTATCTATCTATCTATCTATCTATAGAGACTAGCCTAAATATAGGTTTTAATTAAGTCAACTTTTGACTATAGAGCTCTTAAAAAATCCTCTCAAACCTCTTATTACCAGAATTTGCCAGGGACAAAGAGTTTATATTTTAAATCACACAACTGTCAAACCAGAAAGGACTTGTTCCCTGGCCAGGAATTGAACCTAGGCCACCACAGTGAAAGGGCAGAACCGTAACTCCTGGACACAGAATGGAGTGTCTCCGTTGTTCTTCCCAGAAGGAATGTAAAGCAGGCACTTTTGACCTTGAATAGGATTTTAACTTTGTTTTAGGTCAGATCTGCTCGAAAGAATAGCTATAACATTACTTTGTGTCCCTTTAATTTAACCTTTCCAACAATTGTTTAGAATAAAAGATGGGGGTCTCGCTTTGTTGCCCAGGCTAATCTGGAACTCCTGGGCTCAAGCGATCCTCCCGTCTAGGCCTCATAAAGTGCTAGGGTTACAGGCATGAGCCACCCCACCTGGCCCAATTTGATACCTTTAATCTGAGAAAGTTTTTAGGGTAACTTTAAATCTTGTCGGCAAATAGAAGGTGGAAAATTATTAAACATTGAAAGGATACTTCCTATTAATATTCTCTATTTTTTTATCCTCAATATTTATTTCTACTCCAGTATTTTTTGTTTGTTTTAGTAATCTATTTAGAGTAACAATAAAGCAGGTGAGTGAAGGAGCACAAGGAACTTCATCCCCAATTAATCTGCCTTTTATCAGTTGATTTTTCAGTGAAACTTCAGAGGGCAAAGTGGAAGGGTCCCCTTGGCTCCTTCATGATAACCTAATCTGATTTGTGCCATCTGCGGCTTCTGAAAAAAAAAATCTTTAGTGGGACAGAGAAATAATTAACATCTTCCATGAGGTTTCTTTTTCCTGTGAAGACCAAGTATGATTCTGTTTTGGGAACATTCTGTAATTCTTCATAGATTTTTAAATTAGAAGGGGAGTGTCTTAGTTTCTCTTATTTATCCTCCTCCTTTCAGAGGAGACAGCAAGACCCAGAAAAGTGAAGAACCTGCCTGAACATGGTCAGTGGCAGACTCAGAAGTGGAACTCAAGCCTTTTGCTTGTCCCCCCCACGTTTTTGATGCAGAGTTTTTATAGCTCCTCAAGGGAGGAAGGAACAGAAGGGACCCTGCAGTCCAAGGTCAGTGGTTTAGAAAGTTGGTAGTTGAGAAGGATCCATGTCACACTCCCTGTTTCCTGAGCTACCCCCAGGAAATACAGAGAAGAGTTTACTCAGTGATCAGAGAGTCAATGGAGGTTTTCTGAGTCAGGTAACCAGGATTCTGAGTTTGTGTTTTTTCTAAATCTGGGTTGTTGATGGAGAAGTAGACTGGATTTTATTAATACTTGCAAGACACAGGGTACATTTTTTTCAGTGGTTTTCTTTCCCTTGTTTGATTTTTATAAAGGTACATCATAGTTTGACCTTCTAAAGGTACAAGCTGAGGAGTACATTATTCATCAGGGGAAATTTTTCTAGGGCATCTGTTTTCGAAACATAGGCCTAGGATTGTGTGGGTCCTGATAAGCAAAAATTTAAAAAAAAAAAAAAAACTTTGCCCTTGTCGGCATTTTGGACCCACTGTTTTTGACATTTTTTCAAAATGCTTCAACATCACATTCAAGTCTCAGTGTAAAAGGGGCTATCATTTTCCTTTGAGTTTTCTCACTGGGCTTTTAGAGTTTGATAGGAAACATGGTGATAGTTGCAACTAAAGAGAATGCTAAGATGAGAAGGAAAAGAGACACATTGGGGGGCTGAGATGCGCTTAGAGCTCCATGGTCTCGTGGGAATGGATTTAAACCAATGGTTCCCACCGAGTTCTTAGTGCTGTCAAGTTCTGCAGGTCAGCTGGTCATCACAGGCTGGATCATGTATTTTATGTGCACTCAGCATTATATTCAGAACTTGAAATAGCAGTGTGAAAAAGAGATAGTTGCTTTCTATAATCAGCTTCTGGGTATGCATTTCTAAAAATAGCTTTGAGGGACAAGGTCCTGGACTCTGTGGTTTCTAGTTTCTGGAGGTGGGGGTGAGGAGGAAGGTGCTGGGGTCCTCAGGACTTATTTCTAAACCCTTGCTTTGCTGTACAAAAAGGTCAATTTTAGTATTCACTGGGATAGAAAAGTGGGTATTGGGAGTCATTTAAAAAGTCTAATGAAAGTTGAAGGCGCCAGGGGAGGTTCTCTTGCAGGAGTGGGAGGCAACAATTTACAATTCCTTCTCCAGTCCTTTTTGCCAGTTCTCCAGCAGTTCTCTGCAGGGGAGCCTGGGTTTCTTTCAAGATTGTTTCAATGTTAAATTGACACTAAATCAAGAGCACAGTAAGTCCCAACCTAGTCTTTTTAAGTGAAGAAAATTTTGAAGGCAGCCAGGGCTCCTGTGGGGAGTGGATGCAGAATCAAGGAGGCAGCAAATAAAACCACTGAAGAGGGTGGGAAATTGGAAGCAGAAATTAAAAGGCTTTTACATTTCTATAAAAATATGTTGTCTGTCTTCATATGTCTTTTTCTCACTGCATCTTCTAGTATTATTTGTTTTACGTGGTGAAGAGCTTCCCTAGTCCAAAAGAACAAACATTACCTTTAAAACATTTTCTCCATGCTATGTTCCTTTATCTACCTGCACAGCACCTTGTTGGCTCAAGCTCTCAGCCAGTGTCTTCGTGCTTTGCAACACACCTGAGTCATATATTCATGGATCAATGAAAGACGCCGCATGGTATCTTAAAAGGATGCTAAGAATCAGATCCTGACTTGAAGTCATGGTGCTGATTGATGGTGACTAGATCTCTTTTTGGTAAAATATAGCTAATCATGTCACTCAGTTGCTTAATAAAACTCAAAAGCAATATACAGGACAGTGCATCATGGAAAAGATTATTAAATATAAGTGTCACTTAATTTTGTTATGCAGACAGTAGTTGCGATCTATCTACGTTGCAAGATAAGGAAAGTCTGTTTGACTTTTTAAATTGCATGAAACCAGAACTTAGTACTTAGTGAGAACTTAGTTTTATAGGAAAAGGGGAAAATAAATCTCATTTTAAAAAAGAATTAGCTGCGCATAAACATGCATATTTATGTACGGCAGAATTTGCTTAATCACAAATGTTTATCTCTAAAAACTGTGAGATATTTTAATGCTTTAGAAAAGGAAGTATATTATGGGTCATTTTATACCATCCATTTAGGTTACCTCTTTAAGAAGTTTCATATAACAAGTTTGCAGAATTAATGTTGCTAGGTAGAGAAATACCACTAGCTCTTCAAATATTTTGTGGCTTGTTGTTTCAAAATGACCCCTAAACAAAGAGTTTTGGAAACTGTTAAAAGAATCATAACTTCTTGGTTTAAACCTAACAAAAAAGGTTATCATGGGCAATTCAGCACTGATTGTTGAAATCACTAGTTGAAAGTAACAGATTGCAATTTCAAAAAATGTCATTTATTTCATAAATATTCATTGTTTGCCAATGTGCTGAGACCTTCGTATGGTCCTGGGTGCTAGTCCATACCCAACAAACATGTAAATTAATTGGTGAGAAAGATTTGTTTCTTTGTAGTGGAGATACAAGGTGCAACAGGGATGTAAAGGTGAGGTAAAGAGTGATGTTTTTTGCCTTCATCATTCGACATCATTCTGGATGGAAAGACCATTAGCCTCCTGAGAATATAACACCCAATGGGTTCTCCTTGCCCGCTGCCTAGACAGAGTTGATTTATTAAGAGAGAAGAATTGCAATAGAGAAAGAGTTTAGCTGGCTGTATGGGAGACCAGAGTTTTATTATTACTTAAATCAGTCTCTCTGAAAACTCAGGGATAGGGGTTTTTAAGGATAATTTGGTGGATAGGGGGTTAGAAAATGGGGAGCGCTATTGGTCGGATCAGAGATGAAATCATGAGGAGTCGAAAGCTGTCTTCTTGTGCCGAGTCAGTTCCTGGGTGAGACCAGATGAGCCAGCTTATTGACCTGGGTCATGCCAGCTGATCCATTGAGTGCAGAGTCTCCAGAATATTTCAAGCACTGATATTAGGTTTCACAACAGTGATGGTATCCCCACGAGCAATTTAGAGAGGTTCAGAATCTTGCAGCCTCCAGCTGCATGAGTCCTAAACCATAATTTCTAATCTTATGGCGAATTTGTTAGTCCTACAAAGTCAGTCTAGTCCCAGGCAGGAAGGGGATTTGTTTTGTGCAAGGGCTGTTATCATCTTTCTTTCAAATTTCCTCCCAAAGTTAGTTCAGCCTATGCCCAGGAATGAACAAGGACAACTTGGAGGTTAGAAGCAAGATGGAGTCAGTTAGGTCAGATCTCTTTTACACTCATAATTTTCTCAGTTATAATTTTTGCAAAGGTGGTTTCAAGAAGGCTTCAGGGCATGTAGGAGACAGGAAAGGATATGGGAGGATTTTTGGTTGGGTCTTGAAAGATAAATGTTTTCCAGAGAAAAGTATTATGGGAAGGAATTTCAGAACAAGCAAATAACATGTGCAGAATGATGAAGGCAAAAAAAATCACTCATGGTGTATTTGGGGGAATGGTACACAGTCCTGCTGTGTTTTCTGTTGAAAGTTTGCTCTCCTTTCAGCACTCACAGAGAAAACAAATTCTCTTTGTGTGTGAAAATAGAAAGACAAGGAAATAGTCTTCAGTTACCTACTAAACAGGATGACTTCATATTTATTATGTAGTTGATTCTGGTGATGAAGTGAATCTGGAAAGTGTTATAAAGAGAAAACTAAAATAATCATAATACTGTATGGAAGGGTCAGGCCCCTTCAGGGGAAGGCTGAGTACAGCTTTGGTATCTATCTAGAGCCTGTGAGTCATGAGTGAATGAGTAGGGAGGATAGTGTTTTCAGGTGAGATTTGTGTTTCTTTCAAGGCAAAAACACAAAGAATGAAGTTTAGTCAAGTGAGTGATAGTGGAACAAGGGTTTCATAGGACAGGGTAGAAAGGAATAAGTGAAGAGAGAAACACACGAGCATTGTTGGGGGACAAGGCGGAGATTGGATAGTGTCATCCTGGCAGCTTAGGTGATGAAAAGTTTGGATCCCGGGTAGGCGTATGGTGCCTGAGAGTCCCCCAACATCCACCCTGCTTAGAGTGTCTCAGCAAATGTCAACTGTGTCATTCATAGTAATCAGGGCTATGTCTTCTATTCCTGGTAATTCCATGCCTCCCACTTACTTGCTCTTTCTGACTGTTATCTCCCTGCCCAGCTTTGCCCTGCAGAACCCGCACAACTCACATTACCTGGGCTAGCCCAAGGCTTCCGTTTTTCCTTCAAGGATTTTTTTTTTTTTTTTTTTTTTTGGAGGAAGGATAATTGGGAAAGAAAAAAAAAATTAGTGGCCTCACTATTCCTGCATCCTTTTTTGCTTTGAATCCCAGAAAGTTTAAAGCCAAATTTGTTTCCCAGCTCAACAATTCTACAAGAGCTTGTGCTTTGCATTTCTTTGTGCAAGTCCTAACCAGACCCTTATTTAGTTACCTATGGTTATTTTTGCCTTTTCTTGATTTTCTCATTCCTCAGTTTTGGGCTTTGGTATTGGAGCTATTTTTAAAAGCGCTCTGAAGCACTTTTGGAATGTGATGAAATTTAATAAGTAAAAATAATCAAAAACCTTTCTAAGTTTATGAGTCCTCAGGTATAATCCTCCCAGTTCTCTGCTTTGGAGCACATTCTTGATTCCTCGTCAGTCGGTCAATTCATATGCTCTTTTGTTTGGTGCTTTTTCTTAGTAACTCTTAGCATCCACATAGCTTCCAATAAAAAAGTCCCCCATCTTGTTAGAAACAAAGAAACTCTTTGTTTCTTCCCAGTTTTCGCAAGAATCCCCAAGAATTTTTTTTCTCCTGAAATTATCACTGTTTCCCATATACCAAAAAGAATACCTTGCCTTTTTTCGCCCCAAAATCTATTTTACTCCTAAGCATAAGTCTTGTTCTCTATCCCCTATCTCCAGTGAAATGAACATTTTCTGTTTCCAGTTTTTCATGATTTGGCTGGCCTGCTTTCTAATCTCTAGAGTGGAGGTAAAGGAGGCACAGAATCATCTCTGTAGGGGTCATTTTCTCTTAACAAAGGTTGGTTTTTTCAAATTATAAGTAGCACATGAAATCCAGGAATAAGCAAATATTATAACTGATAAAACTGTGTTTGAAGTATGCTATCTGATCTATGAAATGCATTTTGTACTGTAGAAGCTCTACAGTATTTGAGGATGAAACTTAGTAGTGATGTTCAAGTTCAGAATGATTAATAGAAAATGTCAAAGATGTAACAATATTTTCGGGATCCTTGATTTTTCTTTTGTGTTAAAATGGTGTGAGGTGGTTATTGCCCTGTATTTTGTTACATGACTCAGTGGTGCATTAGTCCTTTGACCTCATCTGTGCTCCAGCCTTCATTAGGAGTCCTGACCACTGATTGTCAGGGCAGCACACACACAGCCAACTAGACTGTTGGTCTGGCCCTGAACTTGGGTTTTTTTCTTTTGGCTTTGACCCAACATGCCACCATATATTGCTTATTCAAATTGGCAGCAAAGGTTATTAGAATCAGCGTTTCTCCCTAATAAGGGTTCTTAATTTACAGTTGAGTTTTTGGCTTTGTCATTCTCTGCTTAAGCTTGTCTTAACTTTCACTTTTTGTTATTTGAGGCCTTGACTAACAGCCTGTATTGCTCTAGCATCTTGAATTCTAACATTCTAGATAGTTTCACAAATTCTTATGGGTCATATAGGGAGTAGAAAACACAGTCCTAGACTCTTTGAAGCCTTTGCAGTCCCAGTTCCAACCTGGTTGTAGAGTCATGAAATTCCGGTCAACAGCCTATAGAGATTTTGGTGTATTCAGAATTCAAAGCGAGGCTTCTGGGCTTTGTTAACCTATGATTTGTAGTTTGCTGTAAACGTCAAAACTCTAGTTTTCTAAATCAAATATTTATTTATAGTTTATGTACTCAATTTAACCAATCTTTTGATATTTATATAGCCATGTATAATTTTTATAGACTTACCTATTTAAGTCAGTTGTCTTGACACATATTTTAAAAATGTTATGAAAAAATGTACACATAGAAACCTATTTATTTAATAATAATTTTTTTTGAGATAGGGTCTAACTCTGTCTCCCAGGGGGGAGTGCAGTTGTGTGATCACAGCTCACTGCAGCCTTGACCTCCCTGACTCAGGTGATTTTCCCACCTAAGCCTCACAAAGTGTTGAGATTACAGGTGTAAGCCAACGTGACTGGCGGAAACCTATTTAAATTTATACCAAGTATAACTGCTTTGGAAATTTAAAGGTGGCTTTGTTTAAAAGTGAAACTCTTGACCACTTGTATTTTTACAAATGACTGAAGATAGCAGAATTTCAGCAGAAGTAAAGTAGACCATATCAAAAAACTATACTGTGAAATTCGCCCCATGGAAGTCACTAAAATATTTATTGTTTATACAATACTTTTTTCACCACTGAATAGTCTTTGAAATATTACTCACTAAAAATGTCTCCCCAATGAAGGATTATTCTAAAGTGCAATTGGCTTTTTTTCTCCTCTCTTCAGTCAACGAGGATCTATAAAATGGTAAATATTCAAATGTTCTTCTTGTAAAATACTATATATTTGCCTGTCTCAGGCAAGTATAGAACTCTGTTGGCAGAAGTCAGCTTCTGCTTATTAAGTAATATTGCTATGGCTTGTAAAATTGGGAAGAAGCATATCTGAAGCTGCAGCATTCCTTTGATATATCACTGACTGTTCTGCCTTTCAGAGTTATTGAGGACATACTTAAGTCTGAATCAGGGAATAATGTCAGAGAAAATAAATATCTACATTTTGGCAGCAGTTTAAAATAAATTAAATTTTAGAAATGTTCAAAGTCACACATATGTTCTTTGATTTATTCCTTTTTATTAATATATAACCAGCATGCAGTGTTCAAACTGACCTTTTGAGGTTTGGATTATCACTCTGGCTAATTTTTTTGTAGTCTTATGCCAATTTTGTCCAATTATAATTTTGCCAAGTAATTAATAATGTGAAAGTGACTTTTTTTCTCGTATAAGAATAATGTGACCAAGACATTTAATTAAATGTATCTCAGCTCTTCATTTTATTCTGAAATGGCTGCGGCTAAATATCAAGGATACCTTTTCAAAAATAATGTCCCTGAATATTCAGGAAAATGCAATTAAATATTAATGGCATGTACAAAATCTTAAGTTATTGGCTTTTTTATTTTTAAATTATTACATTTCTTTCACCGTCCTAAATTCTCAGACCTTTCTCAGTTTTATGGCTGTTGAGCTATTTGGGAATTATTGATAGTGGAGTCCTTTTGCCTAAGTAGGAGGGAGTGGGTATGGGGGAGAGGAGAAATTTTTATAGAAGACTTCATTCATATCATTAAATTAGACTGATCTCCAGTCTGAGAATATTCTCGTATTCACAGTTCTGCAGATAACCAAGCATGTGCTCTTGGACAAATTCTATGAGCCTTTTTGACTTTTCTATGTTGAGTCTCCACAAAGGGATTATTCCCATGCAATCCCTTTTGGGAGCGCTATTCGGTAAGGCCCATATTGTGTTCTAAGGATGTCTCATTTTGTATCGTTTCATAAAACCCACTAAATATCTTGGCAAACCTAAATACTGGGCAACCTTGTTGGCTGGCAGCAACTCTCCCACTTGCAAACATGAGGACCACAAAAATTCTAAACAAAGTTTTATTATTGCATACAAATTGGAGGAGTTTTGCAATGAACAAATAAACAAATCCAAGTTATACCTTTCCAAACTTATTTCTTGTCTTTTCATCTCCATATATCCACTATGCTTTAGCCTCCCCAAATAACAGCTAGTCCTGGAACACACCATGTTCTCCTTTGCCTTTGTATGTTTGCCCGAAATATCCAAAAATCCTGTCACTCTCTGATAACTATATACTCAGTTTTCCTGGCTCAACTCAAACACCAATTATTCTGTGAAGTTGCCAAAATTTCTCTCCCTTTCCCAAGCACAGAATGGTTTTGGTCTTCCTTTTTTTAAATCACCTTATACCTTTTGCAGTACGTAATAGATTGTATGAAGACTTACTGGCTTGTTTACACATGTGATTCATATATCCTCAGATCTTTCTAGCCTAGAGATTAAAATATAGGTTCACAATAACTGGACAGAAAGGCATTGTCTGGCTTCATTCCCAAGAGTTGGTAGTCATGGGGTTGTCTCCCATGAAACCTATTAAGAAACTTAAGAAACCTATGCAAGATACATAATAGGTTTCATGGGAGACAACTCAATGACTACCAACTCTTGGGAATGAAACTAGTCCTGCTAGCTTCCAAGCGGTAGATAGCATTTTTCTCTCCTACAGCATGTTTCTCTGATGGCCCTTGGAAGCCACCAAAGCCAGATACTCTGTGCTGCATCTGTTTCCCTCCACATGGAAACCTGTCTGGTGTCCTGTTTAAATGACCATGCTCATTTTGTACACCAGTGACCTCCCATTGCCTGATGGGGAAAGTCCTTTCACTCTCTTTAGTACTTTGTTTTGTTCCACTGTTACAAAAATTCCTGTTTTGTGCTCTCAATACCTTACATAAGCTTTTATAGAACAACTGGTATTCCTCCTCTCCTGCCAAAGAAATACAAACAAAGCACGTTGAGAAAAGATATCCTTTTATTTCAGGGTGACAACATTTAATTACAGTGGGTTGCTTGTATATCTAATATGCATGTACTGTTTTAAAGGAGACTTAGGAGTTCATGGGCACTATGACTAAAGAAGCAAAAAATGAATAAGACAAGCTTCAGCTGAGCTAAACTTTGCTTATCTAGGAAATCATCTATCTCAAATACTAAGAGACACATCTTTTTGAGACTGTCCATTCAGCACATATATATGTGTATATGCATATACATAATATATAATTGTTACAATGCATTTACTGTACAATATACTCTCCTTTACTGTTCCAAAAGCTAAAGTACCGTTTTTATACCTACTAATGGATATCTTATAGATGCCAAAGGTACTTTATATTAAGTATTTTTTATAACATCAAATTTCCAAAACAGAATACTCTTCTTTTTGAGGATAAAATCCCAAATATCAATTCATTGCCTTTCTCTCAGAGTCCCATGATCAGAGTCCCTGGATGGAGGACATTTTTAACTTCACATATTAATACTCTGAGAGAATATTTTCTGCTCTCATGCAATAGAGAAAACCTTTCATGCAAAGATACAGTTGTTATAGTCTTTGCATGAAAGTGACACTGTTTTAGGTATAAAATGTTATTGGTGAATTAGCAATGCTATTTTCATGAAAAACACAATATAATAATTATTTTATCAGTGATGTAATTTAATTACTTTTAAGGATATTATTGTATTTGCAATATATTATAGAAATATCCCTTCTTTTTCAGAGTTTTTTTGATTGACACGAATGACAGTCTTCAAAAAAAGATACAACACTTTAGATTTTTAAAGAAAAGGCATTTCTTTTATAATCCGTGTTCAAGCTTAGATTGAGTAGGTATTGTTTTAGAACTAAAAGGGAGGAGAGAGAAAGAGAGAGAGAGGGAGAGAGAGGGAGAGATTAAGATTCTTGCCAAGTAATTACATTAAATATTCTCTCTGGAGGGGAAAAGTGTCAAATAAACCTAGAGAAATTGTGGAAATTGGTAGAATAAATTAACTTCTTGTAAAATCATTTTTCCACATCATTATAACATTTGTTTTCAAATGTCAGAAGCAGATGAAATAATTTTCCTACAGATATTGCTTCAAGGATAAGGCTAGAACTCACAGAGCACTTAGAAGAACAAGGATACAAACATCCCAAAGGTGTACATTAAGATTAAATTTGCACGTTGAAGAGGAAAAGAATTGCACTTTATGACTGAACTTTTGAGTTGTTTCTGCATGAATTTTAGGTAAGTATACATAATGAAATATGGTAAAGCATAGACAGCAATATCTGCCAACCATATTTATTAAGATTGAATGCACATGGAGCATTAGGATGCCATACAATACAATTTGTCATGTTGAATTTTAAGAAATTTCAAGGCAGATTATTAGAAAATTAGGACAAGTCACCTGCCTTATTCTTCCACTATTAACATTCCTATTATTGCTATTTTTTCTCTTTCATCGCTAGCAACCTTCATTTCTTTGGCGTTTGCAGGCATCCACTACCTTGAAAACCTTTTGGTTTTCGTTTTCTTTCTTTCTTTCTTCCCTTCCTCTGTCACTCTCCCTTCCTCTTCTATCATGCTCTCTCTCACTCCATCTCGAGTTATCCAGATGTTTTCTTTAATGCCAAAATTAATGCCACTTTTAAATTCGTTATTTGATTTTAAGCTTTAAACACTTGACCTTTTCTGCCTTGTACTTCACCTGAACTATATTTAGAATTTTGTGAAGTCTAGTTTGGTTCAGTGGGCTCTTCTCTATTTAAGACCTTAGGTCCTGGCATCTCCAGGTTAAGTGGAATCACTTGCTCTGAACAGGATGCTTCTCTTCACTATGTGATCATAGGCCTATAATGGCTGTGCTAGGAAACGACATTGACTTCAGATCCATGGCTCATTAGAACACTGTATAGAGTTTCAAAAAAGGATGGTAACATAAGTGTGTGCCTTAGACTGTTTAAAGGGCCATGCAATTACAGTCAATAAGAATATATACTGAGTAAAACTACAGGAAAGTAGGATTTTATGCATGCGGCTGACATAATGTAATTACATGCATTATATATAGACTTGAATGAAAACTCAACCGCCCCAGCAGCCTTTCGTATAAATGGGTCTTGACGGAACTATTCTTCTTGGCTCCTGAGAAGGGGTTTCCTCAAGAGAATTTATTGAAGGGGAAATAATATTTGGATTTTCTGACTTTCATGAATGTCTGTAAAAAGTGTCTGGCTTACTTTTGTGTCATGGATGTTTGAGTGTCGTGGGTGTTTGTAAAGCCCATCTACTATGATAGCCATGGGAAGTGAACTATGGCCACCTAATCAGCTCCAGTTTGTCCTGGTGTTTCAAGAACCTAGTCCTAAGCCCAAAGCCAAAATGAGATGCTTGGGAGACAGAAATAGGGAGACAGTTGGTGGAAAGGATATTTTTAGTATTGGCAGCCTAACTGTAGAACTGTATTTGGTGAATCAATACATCTCTAGTAAAAATAATTTGTATGAAAGGTGCTTTTTAAAAAAGTGACTTCCACTTCTAAATAGCATGCAGGTAACTCATTAACTAAAGAGGCTTAAATTATGTACTTGCTGAAAACTGTTTCATGTCAAGTAGAACCCTTTGATTCTAGAATTTTGCATCTTTTTATTTTTCATGGTTTTTTATAGATAAATACCCAGCTATAAACAAAGAATCAGGTTGTTTAGCAATGTATATTTTAGAGGGAGAAGTAAATGCCTTTTTGATTTGGAAGCAAAGTTAAAACAAATTATAATGTTAGCTGAAGTGCTTCCCTTGAGGGATATGATAGGTAAGAATGGGCAATAGGATTTGGCACGGTGTAGGTAATTTTGGAATGCAGTGTAGCTAAGAAATATTTTGATTTGCTTTCCTATTGATTTCTTGGCTGGGGTACTTGGCACAAAATGAGGAACTCAAATTAATATAAATATGTGGAGTTTTAATATTTTATGTTAAAATGCCATTTTAAAATTAGTCTAAAAATAATGAAGTCTAGTTTGAATTCACTGGCTAAGATTTGTAACTAGTTTCATGCATGGTGATGTTATAGCTCTAAATCAGAACTCAAAGTGGATGAAGGGTATGGCTAGCTAAAACCAGCCAGCTTGTCCATTGCTGAAAATAAAATGGAATAGATGAAAGAGAAGCCAGGTCTTCACTAAGAGTTGCCATTTATTTCTAAATTTAATTGCTTAAGTCTCTAATGTCTAGATAATACCGTAGGGTATCTATTTTTTTTTTAACGTTTTGACACAGGGAGTACTATTGAAGGGTATACAGCTCTATTAATGCCCACTTGCCTGACTGAGAGATAATTCTCTCTTGGTAAATGATGGTGATCATTAGTATTTCCTGAGTAAGCATTGAATCTCATATAAATAGCCTGAAAAGTTATCCGATAGAGAGTACTCTCTGCTAGATAAGGGCTTGTCAACTTTTCATCTTATAGATCTTAATCCTATGTATGGGTTTGAGGTGTTGATGGTGTCACAGAACAGACTGCCTATGGTTAAATGCATGCCAACCACATGTGACCCCTGTAATGGTGTTTATTTTAATTGGCACTTCTCAACCTTACTACACAACAACTATATTGGAATGCATGCTTTACTAATGTAAAATAAAATTCAGGAGTAATACAATCTACCTATACATAATTTTAAAAAACTCTAGTGCCATAAATTAAACATTAAAAAGGAAATAAGCTATTATAAAATAATTTGCCTAGCAATAGGTAAATACCCATGCAAGACTTTACCAGAGGACAAACAAATACCCTCACTATTTCCAAGAAACTTTTAAGGGACTGCACTAATCTCATTAGGATTCCTCCTTTAAAGAAAGTGTACTGTGTCTTGTCAAGCCTTTGAGGTCTAGATAGATGTTTTCCTCACTTGCTAAGGCAGCAGGACCCTTTCCTCCAAAGAAATCACATGCAGGTGTATAATATATAAACCTGTATAAAGCATATAAAAGCCCTCCTGTGCTTCCTGTAAGTTGTAATGGCTTCTTTCTGAGAAATCTCTGGTCCAGGGGTCTGGATAGCTAATTGTGTCAGTGGTCTCTTGAGAGGTAAAAATAAACTGAAGTAGATGAAAGGGAATCTGTTTTTATTAGTAAGGAAATGACTTCTTCCTTAAACTTTATTTTCCTTTTTTGGTTAGAACAGTAGAATAATTTCCCCAGTCTTATTACTGAAAGGAATTGTTAAGGATTAGAGAAGATAAATTAATGTATCTTGGAAAGATGATTCAGGAATATTTTATACAATTCTTTATTGCACAGCTAAAGGAAAAAAAAACACCACAACAAATGTTTGAGTAGATGAGACATTCAACTTTCTAAATGCTCCAAGGATGGTCTAACTTCAGATCAGCTACTCATGTTTAAGATGAAGCCATTTGAGGACAATCTTTCTAGCATTTCTTCCAGTTCAAAACACAGATTAAAAATTTAACTTGTGAATGGTTGGTTGTATGATATAAACAGTTTTTCTTTCACTAACCCTTTTTATATGCTCTTACGTTGAGTGTCAAGTCTGTCTTCTAATTAGTCTTTCCTGGAGCAGTGTATCATAGAATCATAGTCTTTCAGAGCCAAAATAAACCTAAGGGATACCTAGTTCCAAATCTAAATTTGTAAAATAAGTAAATGAGGCCAAGAGGTGCGAAGTGATTTTCTTAAGATCACACACACTCAGTTGTCTAATGGGAGACACGTGCTGGCTACAGACTATAACACCATCTAATAACCCCCTCTCAGGAGGGGTTTGAATATTTGTTACTACTTGCATATTATCGGGTATCATGAAGTAAATATTTATTCTAGCAAAATAGGATTTGTTTTGTTAACTGGCAGGAACCAGGCTTGTTACAGGACTAGAGGGCTGATACGGTAGACCCCTCTGAACTGACTCAATTTTTATTATATCTCTAATGGCCAATTATTAGGCCTGTGGGTTTAATGTGGCAGCCTGTCATCATAGTATTCTAATAAATAATGTCATAATAGCCTGCCTTCATATTTGTATTTCTACTGAAAAGATAAATGTATATTGTTACCATTAATTGGTCTCAACATGACAAGACTCTTTCCTCATATGTTCTACACCTTTTTTTAAAGTTACTTTTCTTCTTTTAAAAGCTTTTTTTTATTGTACTTTAAGTTCTGGGATACATGTGCAGAACGTGCAGGTTTGTTACAAAGGTATACGTGTGCCATAGTGGTTTGCTGCACCATCAACCCGTCATCTACACTAGGTATTTCTCCTAATGCTATCCCTCTCCTAGCCCCTAAACCCTGGCAGACCCCAGTATATGATGTTCCCCTCCCTGTGGCCATGTGTTCTCATTGTTCAACCCCCATTTATGAGTGAGGACATGTAGTGTTTGGTTTTCTGTTCCTGTGTTAGTTTGCTAAGAATGATGGTTTCCAGCTTCATCCATGTCCCTGCAAAAGACATGAACTCATCCTTTTTTATGGCTGCATAGTATTCCATGGTGTATATGTGCCACATTTTCTTTATCTAGACTATCATTGATGGGCATTTGGGTTGGTTCCAAGTCTTTGCTATTGTGAACAGTGCCACAATAAACATGCATGTGCCTGTGTCTTTATACTAGAATGATTTATAATCCTTTGGGTATTACACGGTAATGGGATTGCTGGGTCAAATGGTATTTCTAGTTCTAGATCCTTGAGGAATCACCATGCTGTCTTCCACAATAGTTGAACTAATTTACACTCCAACCAACAGTATAAAAGCGTTCCTATTTCTCCCCACCCTCTCCAGCATCTGTTGTTTCCTGACTTTTTAATGATTGCCATTCTAACTACAATGGGATAGTATCTCATTGTGGTTTTGATTTGCATTTCTCTGATGACCAGTGATGATGAGCTTTTTTACATATGTTTGTTAGCTGCATAAATGTCTTCTTTTGAGAAGTGTCTGTTCATATCCTTTGCCCACTTTTTGATGGGGTTGTTTGTTTTTTTCTTGTACATCTGTTTAAGTTCTTTGTAGATTCTGGATATTAGCTGTTTGTCAGATGGATAGATTGCAAAAATTTTCTCCTATTCTGTAGATTGCATGTTCACTCTGATGATAGTTTCTTTTGCTGTGCAGAAGCTCTTTAGTTTAATTATATTCTATTTGTCAATATTGGCGTTTGTTGCCATTGCTTTTGGTGTTTTGGTAATGAAGTCTGCGCCCATGCCTATGTCCTAAATGGTATGGCCTAAGTTTTCTTCTAGGGTTTTTTATGGTTTTAGGTCTTACGTTTAAGTCTTTAATCCATCTTGAGTTAATTTTTGCATAAGGTGTAAGAAAGGGTTCCAGTTTCAGTTTTCTGCATATGGCTAGCCAGTTTTCCCAACACCATTTCTTAAGTAGGAAATACTTTGCCCACTGCTTGTTTTTGTCAGTTTTCTCAAAGATCAGATGGTTGTAGATGTGTGGTGTTATTTCTGAGGGCTCTGTTATGTTCCATTGGTCTATATATCTGTTTAGGTACCAGTACCATGCTGTTTTTGTTACTATAGCCTTGTAGTATAGTTTGAAGTCAGGTAGTGTGATGCCTCCAGCTTTGTTCTTTTTACTTAGGATTGTCTTGGCTATATGGGCTCATTTTCAGTTCCATATGAAATTTAAAGTAGTTTTTTCCAATTCTGTGAAGAAAGTGAATGGTAGCTTGTTGGGGATAGTATTCGCTCTATAAATTACTTTGGGCAGTATGGCCATTTTAATGTTGATTCTTCCTGTCTATGAGCATGGAATGTTTTTCCATTCGTTTGTGTCCTCTCCTTTTTCCTTGAGCAGTGGTTTGTAGTTCTCCTTGAAGAGGTCCTTCACATCCCTTGTAAGTTGTATTCCTAGGTATTTTATTCTCTTTGTAGCAATTGTGAATGGGAGTTCACTCATGATTGGCTCTCTGTCTGTTTTTGGTGTATAGGAATGCTTGTGATTTTTGCACATTCATTTTGTATCCTGAGACTTTTGCTGAAGTTGCTTATCAGCTTAAGGAGATTCTGAGCTGAGACAATGGGGTTTTATAAATATACAATCATGTCATCTGCAAACAGAGACAATTTGACTTCCTCTCTTTCTATTTGAATACCATTTATTTCTTTCTCTTGCCTGATTGCCCTGGCCAGAACTTCCAACACTATGTTGAATAGGAGTGGTGAGAGAGGGCATCCTTGTCTTGTACCAGTTTTCAAAGGGAATACTTCCAGTTTTTGCCCATTCAATATGATATTGGCTGTGGGTTTGTCGTAAACAGTTCTTATTATTTTGAGATACATTCCATAAATAACTAGTTTATTGAGAGTTTTTAGCATGAAGGATGTTGAGTTTTGTCAAAGTCCTTTTCTGCATCTATTAAGATAATCATGTGATTTTTGTCATTGGTTCTGTTTATGTGATGGATTACACTTATTGAATTATGTATGTTGAACCAGACTTGCGTCCCAGGGATGAAGCTGACTTGATTGTGGTGGATAAGCTTTTTGATGTGCTGCTGGATTCAGTTTGACAGCATTTTATTGAGGATTTTCGCATTGATGTTCATCAGGGATATTGGCCTGAAATTTTATTTTTTTGTTTCTTTCTCTGCCAGATTTTGGTATCAGGATAATGGCCTCATAAAATGAATTATGGAGGATTCCCTCTTTTTCTGTTGTTTGGAATAGTTTCAGAAGGAATGGTACCAGCTCCTTTTTGTACCTGTGGTAGAAATCAGATGTAAATCTGTCTGGTCCTGGACTTTTTTTGATTGGTAGGATATTAATTACTGCCTCAATTTCAGAACTTGTTATTGGTCTATTCAGGGAATCGCCTTCTTCCTAGTTTATACTTGGGAAGGTGTCTGTGTCCAGGAATTTATCCATTTCTTCTAGATTTTCTAGTTTATTTGCATAGAGGTGTTTATAGTATTCTCTGACGGTGGTTTGTATTTCTGTGGTATCAGTGGTGATATTACCTTTATCATTTTCATTGCATCTATTTGATTCTTCTCTTCTTTATTAGTCTGGCTAGTGGTCTATCTATTTTGTTGATCTTTTCAAAAAACCACCTCCTGGATTCACTGATTTTTTGAAGGGTTTTTCATGTCTCTATCTCCTTCAGTTCTGCTCTGATGTTAGTTATTCTTGTCTTCCACTAGCTTTTGAATTTGTTTGCTCTTGCTTCTCTAGTTCTTTTAATTGTGATTTTAGGGTGTCGATTTTAGATCTTTCCTGCTTTCTCTTGTGGGCATTTAGTGCTATAAATTTTCCTCTAAACACTGCTTTAGCTGTGTCCCAGAGATTCTGGTACGTTACCTCTTTGTTCTCATTGATTTATTTCTTCTTTAATTTTGTTATTTACTCAGTAGTCATTTAGGAGCAGGTTGTTCAGTTTCTATGTAGTTGTGCAGTTTTGAGTGAGTTTCTTAATCCTGAGGTCTAATTTCATTGCACTCCATTCTGAGAGACTGTTATAATTTCCATTCTTTTGCACTTGCTGAGGAGTGTTTTACTTTCAATTATGTGGTCAATTTTAGAATAAGTGTGATATGGTGCTGAGAAGAATGTATATTCTGTTGATTTGAGGTGGAGAGTTCTGTAGATGTCTATTAGGTCTGCTTGTTCTAGTGCTGAGTTCAAGTCCTGAATATTCTTGCTAATAAATGGCATATATTTTTAATGTTACTACCAAACTCACTCTAAACACTTATGGTTTTTTAACAGGAGTTAACATCTTAAATAGCTGGGGAAATGCAAAGGCTGCATAAGCCTAGACTGTACCTCAGACTTACTCAAAGAGGAACTCTAGAGATGGGATGCATGCAGGTACATCTTTGGACAGAAGACCCAGGAAACAGATTCTGAGCAGATTTACATTCAGGAAGTTTATTGGAAAGTACTCTTGGAAATGATCCTGCATGAAAATGGGAAAAGCAGGTGGGCAGAGGGAGAAGTTGAATTGAAAAGTAATTGCAATAGAGGCCTCAGACGACCCATAGGGAGAGCCTTGGAAAGACCCTGGAATGACCAACCCTTTGAACTTGTCCTGGGATCAGAGAAGGGAAAGGGCTTAATTACTGGATGCAGACTTTTTCTGGGTAGAAGTATTACTTGAAAGAGGCAGCTCCCATCTGCCATCTAGGTTGTGCCAAGAGAAGGATGCATCTATGAGCTATTAGCAGCCAACACTGCTGGCAGCTGTGGCAATGAGTTCCTGGGGCCTGAAACGGTAACCTAGGTGCTGTATCATGGGTCCACCCAGATTCACTTGCTTTACATAGTAATTGACCGCATCTAGGAATAGCTCTTTCTGGATTATGGGTAGTCTCTCTTCCTGGGGAAACATAAAAGAGGAAAATTAGTCTGACGAACTTCAGTTCTGTGCCTGCAGCAAAATTTGAGGCTGCAACTGACACTCAGGTTGTCCTTCATCTTCTGTTCATTCTGGTTTACACTCACTCTAGACTGGAACCTCTACTGTTCAAGGCCTTACCTGGTGGACTGACCCAAATCCCTAACAGGTCTGAGCCCTTGATTCCTATGCCCTTCTCAGGCCAAGGTACACTACTGCACTTGTGTATTTACCGTTAACATTGGGTGGGAGAGTACAAGGAAATACCCAAGGGATCATCAGGTTGCAAACGTATTATTCTCTGTCCCAACCTCCTTGTGGCAATTAGGACTGAAGACATTACAAGAAGTGTGACTTTTTTTTTTTTTTGTCTCCTGGTTTATTGGCATGAAGAGCCAAGAGTGACTAGCAACACTCATAGGCTAATATATAATAGGACTTTCTCTGAACTTTAAAAATTGCACTATCTCTACTTTAAAAATGAAAATAGATTCAATGCAATTTCAATCAATATCAAAGTTATTTTAATAGAAATTGGTAAATTGATTTTAAAATCTGAAAAGTCAAAGGAACTAAAATAGCCACAATAATATTTTCTAAATGAACAACGTTAGAAAATTCACACTGTGTGATTTTAAGACTTTGTATTAACTAGAGTAATTCAGTGAGTGTGGTCTAGGTAAAGGACAGGTATATAAGTGGCTAGAAAAGATTGGTAACTTCAGAAATAGGCTCACAGAAGTAGGATGGCCATGTGATGTTGGCAAGGGTGCAAAGACAATTCATTGCAGAAAGGTAATCTTTTTAACAAAAGATACTGGAAAAACTGGATATCCATTTGCAAAATAATGAACTTCAACCTATACCTCACGTAATATACAAACATTAACTCAGTATACATCATAAACCTAAATAGAAAATCTAAACCATAAAACTTCCAGAGGAAACTATGGAGAAAGTCTTCAAGACTTTTGATTACGTAAAGATTTCCTTAGCTATGATACTAAAAGCAAGATTCATAAAAATTGTAAATTAGACTATCAAATTTGGAATCCTCTGCTTCTTGAAAGACATTATTAAGAGAATTAAAAGGTGGGAAGAAAATATTTGCAAAACACATGTGTGATATGGAAATTGTGTCTAGAATATATAAATAACTTTCAAAATTAAATAAGAAAACAAAATAACTGAATATAAAGAAACATATTTAAAGAGACACTTTGCCAAAGGAGATATAAAGATGGAAAATAAGTACATGAAAAGATGCTCAACATCATTAGTCATTAAAGAAAAGCAAATTGAAACCACAAGGGAATACTACTAAATCAACTAATGTCTGAAACAAACAAACAAACAAACACCACCAAAAAACCACTGTACCTACCAAGGTCTGGCAAGGATTTAGAATAGCTGGAAGTCTCAAACATTGCTAATGTGAATGCAGATGGAAGAGCCACTTTCAAACACAGTTGGGAAATTTCTTGTAAAAGTAAACTTACACTTACTGTATGACCCACCAATCTCTCTCCTATTCACTGAAAACAAATGAAAACTTATGTTCACACATAAGTACAGAAACACTTGTAAATGAATATTTACAGCATCTTTATTCACAATAGCCCAAAATGTAAACTATGAAAATGTGTTTCAACTGCTCAATTGATAACAAAGTAGTACTTTCAAACAATGGAATACTACTTAGCATAAAAAGGAATTAACTACTGATATATTTAACAACATACAGTATGGGAAATGAAAGACATCAGACTCAGAGGGTTACATGTTTCATGATTCCATTCTGGAAAAGACAAAACCATAGGACAGAAAATATTATCAGTGGTTGCTAGGCATCGAGAATAGAGTAGGAGTTGACCTCAGAGGAGCATGAGGCAATATTTTGGGGTGATGGAATTGTTCTATATCTTGATTTAGTGGTTACTCAATTAATATACTTGATAAAGCTAGTCAAATTATACAGTAAAAGGGTAAATTTTACAGTATGTAAATTACACCTCAGTAAAATGAAATTTTAACCACTTCGATGGGAATTTTATTATGCCCCCTGGTGGAAGTGTTACTATCTTGGAACTAAGACCTCCAAACCTACTAAGTCTAAACCTATGAGGGCGATATGCACAAATTTCCCAAGTGTCACTGGCAATAATAGTAAGTGGGACAACTTCTACTTTATCCCTTGGTTTCTGGACCTACAAATTCCACTGAATTGGTATTGTAGCACCATACAATGAAATTGCATTTGAGATGAGCCTTGAAGGAGCCAGTTGCAACAAGTCTATAAGGTGGGAAGGATTCCCAGAGGAAAAAGCATTGTAAGAGCAAAATATTGGAGGCAGGAAAATACACAGTGTGTTTCAGAATCCATTTCATTGGAGCACTAGGTACA